>NC_000011.10:17560000-18185000 GCF_000001405.40 Homo sapiens
AACTGCAGCCTCTCGAGAGATTCATCAGGACATTTGATTTCATAGGGATATTTAAATTAATCAGGACTGCGCTTCTTAAGGTGTGTATGAGAACAGATCATTGGTTTATGTATACACATACATTTGTTTAAGCATTGGTCCATGTATGGGGACTGGTTTTCAGTGTATAAATTTGCAGCACATCTATAGTGTGCTTGGCTAGGAGGATGGTTGAGATAAAAAATATAAAAATAAAGCCATTGACTTTGGGAATCAGAATCTGGTTTCAGAGATATCACGCTCATATGACCAGTCTAAGGTATGATGTGGTGAAAGCCAGCTCAGGGGAGTTCAGATAAGAAAAAATACAGGAATTCAGAATGGGGAGAGGTTGTCAGGGAAGTCATTCCTGGAGGAGGTGGTGCCTGGCACCTAAGCTGTTTTTGATGCGGTGACAGGCTTTTGAGAGGTGGTGAGGAGAAGCTCGTGTGCAGGTTGGGGATGGGGTTGTGGGCAGTTCTCTGAGCAAAGGTCTAGGGGTGGGATTCTTTCATCAGAAGGTGTTCACTTCTGGCCTGAGCCAAGGATTTATAGAGGAGAAAGTTTGGAAGTCGGTTCAGAGATGAAAGAAGTTAGATAAGGGGATCTTTATCAGAGGCCCTGGGGAGCCACGAATGGTTTGTGAACAGGGGCAAAGGTGAGTTAATTGGCCCTTTGCTGTCACTCTAGGGCTCATCTTCGAGGATGGGGGCTGCGTGGCACCAGCTGAGTGTCCCTGTGAGTTTCACGGGACTCTGTACCCACCTGGCTCTGTGGTGAAGGAAGACTGCAATACTTGGTCTGTGTCTGCTGCCGGGAAGCAGGGTGTGGGGCATGGCCGCTGAGGCTTTCCACGAGGGCTGCCCATCTGGGAGCACTAATGGCTGGCGTCGGGGCACTCACTCAGTACCTTTGAGTCCCAGGGGAGTCTCATTAGATCCAATCCATGGGGGAAATCTCTACCACCCATTTTAGAGATGGGAAGACTGAGGGCTGTGGGCCCTGCAGTTTCCCAGCATCTAGCTCAGGCCTGGAGGGGTGACCTCTTGCCTCCTTGGTCTCTGTGTTTTAGCACATGCACCTCAGGCAAGTGGGAGTGCAGCACAGCTGTCTGCCCAGGTATGTCTGCCCCCCACCTTGCACTAGGATCCCTTCTACCAGTCTGATAGGTTTTGGGGCAAGGAATCTCTGGGGGCCAGGCTTGCTGCGGGTGGGGATGTCACTCAGTTCCATTGGCTACGCCCCGACCCCTGTTTCCTCAGAATCACTTTGCCTGATTAAGGTCTGGCTCCAGCCCCTGCCAGGAAGGGTTTTCCATGAGGAGAAGGGGTTTCCATGGGTTCTGTATATCTAAAGACCTTCCCGAGCTAGGGGTACTTGGCCTGAGGCTGGTCCTCAAGGCTAGGCCCTGGTCTCCCCTCCAAGGGAGATCCCCAGGGCAGGGCTGTACCTCTCTTCAAGGAGTTCTCTGGGGACAAGCCTGTGTCTCCCACTGCCCAGGGCTCTCAGGGGCCAGGCCTCATTCCTTATACTGCTCTTATTCTGGAGGGCAGGGTGCTGTGTCCTCCTCATACTTGGAGCTTGCAGGGCAGAGTTCCCCTGGGGCGGCTCCCATGGGTCAGTGGCCTTTTTCTACCTCTCAGCTGAGTGCTCAGTGACTGGTGACATTCACTTCACAACCTTTGATGGCCGCCGGTACACGTTCCCCGCCACATGTCAGTACATCCTGGCCAAGAGCCGCTCTTCGGGCACCTTCACCGTGACATTGCAGAATGCCCCATGTGGCCTGGTAAGAGCTGGGGATCCCCAGGCCCGATCCACCCAGCTACTCCTGCCTACTGCCCCCAAGAGAGACTGGGACTTAGGACAGGGCTCAGGTCTTCCCATGGCCCCCACCTGCTGCCTCTTCTCTCTGGGGAGAAGACTGGACTCCAGCCCAAGCACCTCTGCTCTCTGCTGACTGAGTCACTTCCCTTTTCTGGACCTCAGTGGGTTTTTGGTTTTAGGATTTTACTACCTAAAAAAAAAATATATATATATATATATATATATATGTATGTATATGAAAGTGTAACACTGGCACCTACTTTTAAATCCATTAATTTATGAAACAAATCTCTTGTAGAATATGTTGGCATTGAAACAGTAGGTGGAGCTTGCAGTGAGCCGAGATCGTGCCACTGCACTCCAGCCTGGGCAACAGAGCGAGACTCCGTCTCAAAAAAAAAAAAAAAAAAAAAGAAATGTAATGGCTATCTACAAAAAGTTAGTTTTGATTGTTGGTTTCCTCCCATATTTTATGTGTCTTCACACTTAAAGAAAATTAAAATTTTCAAACATTTTATATTCCACAATTTTTGAAAAAGTACACCGTTTTTCACTGCTATGGTCTTTATAAAGGACATGACTTAAAATTTCAAATAAAAAAGAATGAATGTTCTAGGATAACTCTGTCTTTTAAGAGCATCTTTATACGGAACAATTTGAACTGGCATTCAGGCAACTTCTTTTGTTGTTGCACACCTGTATTAGGAAAATTACACCCATTTTACAAAAAAAAAATTCCAAACTATTTACTGAAATAAGCTCAAAACAATGTTAGAAAGACCAGTGTGAATGGCACACAAAAATCTCTTCCTTATAAATTATTAACTGGAATTCCTGATCATGGAGTGGGCCTCAGTGTTTAAAAAAAAATCTCTAAAATTGGTTTAATTTAACTTTATCGTCTCTGCTTCATTGGATTGCACCTTCAACATTCGTCCCTCCCTTCCTTCCTTCTTTCCTTCCATCCTTTTGTCCTTCCTTCTGCAAACATTGAATACCTATTTGTGCCAGAGGCTGAGCTGGGTCTTGGAGACTGGGATGAATTAGACATGGCTCCACCTCCCTGGGCCCTATAGTTTGGTGGGCAAGGCAGGCAAGTGAACTGTTGTAACTGGGCTACAGCAGCTGTGAGAACATGGAGGGCACAGGGTGGATCTCTACGGGGGAACTTCTTGTTGTTGTTGTTTTACTTGGGCACTGGGTGACAGAAGTGTGAAGTGGATCAGGAAGGGCTTCCTGGAAGACATGACCCTTGAACTGTGTCAATCACCTGTGAACATAACTGAGAAAATGGCCAATGTGCAAGTCTGGGGTAGATGGGGGTTTGTTTGTCTCTCAGCGGAGACTCCGTTGTCCCTGGGTTGATCATGCTCAGCCAACCCTGGAAGCCCCAGTCTGGGCTGTGCCAAAGCTCTTCCTTGTGCATCAGAGCAGGAGCTCACACCCACAGCCAGGGCAGCTGCCCCACAGTCCTGCCTCCCTGCTGGCCTTGCTCCAGCCCCCAGCACTGAGGGCCCTGAATGTGAGCAGGCATCAGCTGAAGGTGTCACTCCATGGCCCTGGGGACACAGGCTGAACTGTGGATGAGGCAGAGGACTGGTCTTTCTTCTCCTTTTGGCCTGAGTGTGCCCCTCCCTTCTTTCTGCTAGAGAATGGCCCAGCCCTGGCTTGGCTGCTCTCTGAGTCAGGAGACTGCTCTTCCTCAAAAGTGGGGTCATTCCCATCACATCCTGAGGGTGGCATAAGACAGACAAGACACACAGACACAGCCCAGCTGCTCCTTCCCACTTACAGAATCCTGGGGGCTATTGGGTCTCAGGGTCCCTTACTCAGAATCCCCCCCTTTTTTTTTGGAGACAGGATCTCACTCTGTTACCCAGGCTGGAGTGCAGTGGCGCAATCTCAGCTCACTGCAGCCTCAACCTCCCAGGCTCAGTCGCTCTTCCCACCTCAGCCTCCCAAGTAGTTGGTACCACAGACACGTGCCACCACACCTGGCTAGTTTTTGGTTTTTTTTTTTTTTTTTTTTTTTGGTATTGTTGAGGCTTCATCATGTGGCCCAGACTAGTCTCAAACTCCTGGGCTCATGTGATTTACTCTCTTCAGCCTCCCAGTGTTGGGGTTATAGGTGTGAGCCACCACACCTGGCCATCAGCCCTTCTCTCTACCATGTCTCTGATAGGCTGTGGGTCAGCCTTGGCCTGAGTCAACCCTCTTCTTTGTGGGACAGTGCCTCTTGACAGCAGGTTCTTTTTACCTTGGGCCAGCTCTCCTCCTTGTGACTTCACCCACATGATGGACCCATGGAGGGCCAGCCCTGTGCCAGCTCTGTGCTGGGCATGGTGAGGTTACACAGAGTAATCAGACCCTGATCCTATCTTCAGGCTCTTGTGGCCTGTAGGGAGGTCAGCGTGTCCTCAGACAGCTTCCATACAGCTACAACATGATCAGTGCCATCACAGGGGAGTTCTGTGGAAGAAATAGTCCTATAGGTCAGAAAAAAGGATCAGGGAAAACCTCATGACAGAAGTGGCATTTGGGCTGAGTGACCTAAAAAGTGAGCCTAAAAATATTCATAGAAATCAGTATGCCTGGGTAAGGAGAGGGAGGGAGGGCACTCCAAGGGTTGATTAGATTATATGAGAAAAACAACGAGGTTGGAATATTCCAGGATCCATTAAAGCAGATGCAGAAGGACTTGGCAACTGACTGACTGTGTCTGGTGAAGCGGGGAGTGTGTGGGAGAGAAGTCAAAGATGAAGCTGCGACTGCACTCCTGGGTGCCCAGCAATGGAGTGGAGTGGGGACATTCACAGAGAGGATGATAATGACAATGATAAAATATTTGCACAGTGCCTTGAACTTTGACTAACTACTTTGCAAAAAACATGTACTTTAAGTCTTAACATACCCCATGTGGTAGTTATCATTCTCCCCATTTTAAATATGATGAGACAGGCCTACAGAGGCTTGGGGCATTTTTGAGAATCCACAGCCAGCAGGAGGCAGAGCTGAGCCCGACCTAGGGTTGGATGTTATCACAGCATCTGAACACATCCACCCCAGAATCTGTGTAGTGTTTGCAGCCCTCAAAGTGTTTTTTTAAAGTAGACTTTATGTTTTAGAACATCTTTAGCTTTACAGAAATATTGCAAAGATAGTACCTAGAGTTCCTGTCTATCTTACGCCCAGTTTCCCTTGACATCTTTGTTAAAAATAATGAACCGATGTTAATAGATTATCATTAGCCAAAGTGCATACCTTATTTAGATTCTATAGTTTTTTACCTAATGTCATTTTCTGATCCAGGGTACCAGATTACATATAGTCATCATGTCTCCTTAGGCCCTTCATGGATGTTACAGTTCCTCAGATTTCCCTTGTTTATGATAATCTTCAAAGTTTGAAGAGTGCTGGTCAGCTGTTTTGGATAATGCCTCTCTATTGGAATTTGTCTGATTCTTTTTCTCATGGTTTGACTGGGGTTATGGTTTTTTTTGGGAGGAAGATCACAGAGGTAAAGTGCCATGTTCATCACATCTTATCCGTGGTATATACTATCAACATTGTTTATCACTGTTGATTATGACCTTGATCATCTGGTGGAGGTAGTGTTTTTCAGGTTTCTCCACTGTAAACTTACTCCTTTTTCCCCCTTTCCATACTGTTCTTTTTGGAAGGAAGTCACTATGGGCAACCCACACTTACAGAGTGGGAAGTTATTCTCCCCCTCCTTGAAGGCAGAGAATCTACATGCATTATTTAGAACTTTTCTGCCAGGGAGATTTGTCTCTTTTCTCCCATTTACTTATTTATATCAGCATAGACTCATGGCTGTTTATTTTATACTTTGAGTTATAATCCACTACACCTTTATGTTCTTACTTGAATTGTTCCAGCTTTGGGCACTGGGAGATCATACAGTTGACTCCTGTGTCCCTTTGACATACCTTCATTATTGCGTGTGTATATGCTAGTGGTGGTGGGGCTTGAGTGTGTGTGTGTGCTTTCATGTCTTTACTTTCTGGGCCTATTAGATGCACCAGGCTTATCTTGTATAGTTCCTGTCCCAGTGCTAGTATCATTCATTTCTCCAAAAATATTACCAGGTTCTCCTGATTCCTTTTATTGGACGATGGTATTAGAATCAAGATCAGGGGATGAGGTGTGCTCATTGCTACTGGGGTATGACTTCCTTTAGGCCTTCTCAGCTGACAGAGAAAGGAAATACCCTTATTATCTGTGGGGTATTTCCACAGATAATGTGGGTATTATCTGTGTTCCAGCACCCCACTCCCCACAGATACCAAAATCTGCAGATGCTCAAATTCCTTATGTAACATGGTATATAGTATTTGCATATAACCTATGCTCATCCTCCTGTGTACCTTAAATCCTTGCTAGATTACTTATAATACCTAATACAATGTAAATGCTTATATAAATAGTTGTTATGCTATATTGTTTAGGGAATAATGGTAAGAAAAGTCTGTACATGTTCAGTACAGAAGCAAGCATCCATATTTTTTTCCAAATATTTTCAATCCATGGTTGGTTGAATCCATGGATGCAGAACCCCTGGATATGGAGAGCCGACTGTATATGCATATCCATGTTTATCTTAGTATATACACATAAGTATAAATATTTCTCTATAAAACCATCTGTATCTACATGTGCTAAACATGACTTCATACTGATGGTCCAATTCTAATCCATTCCACATGGATCATTCTAGCTTCCTCCTCTTGCTTATCTGTAAACACTCACTCTAACAGTAAGAAACCTGGCCTTCACCATACACCATCCATTTACCTAATTGTTCAATTCCAGCATACATGTATATTCCTATTATTAACGCATACCTCTATAGGAAATAACTTTATCAACTAAAGTACAGGTTTTGTTCTCAGTTTCTTTTGCCTTTAGTCTTATAAATTCTACTTATTTACAAAGCTACTTATGTCAACACCTTTCCTCCCACTCTCTTCACTGAGATTGTTTCATACATTTGTAATGCAGTTAGATTCTTTTGTTATCATCTACATTTCATCCTGGGATCCCCTCCTACGTGATTTTTAGAATTTGCCTACATCAAGTTTCACTCTTAGTGAAGTTCTGTGGGCTTTTGGAGGTAAATGCAACCTCTAAAATATTTTATGCACATTTAAAAATCTGTACCCAACTGGGTAGGATTGGGTACAACCAAATGTTGTTTTATCTCTGTTTTGCAGAGGAGAGAACTGAGATATGGAGAATTTAAGTGACTTCTTTAAGGTCTCATAGCTTTCAGTTACATTAGGATTTGAACCTGAGACTTTTGACTAAAGGGTGTGGGCTTTATTCCCACACAGGTGACATGTCCAGAGGGGACTAGAGGATGAGTGGGTTGAACAAAGAAGATGATGTTTTAGATACAATGATTTTGAGCTGTTTCAGGGATTTTCTGTACTCCTGGGCAGGAACTCAGAAGGATGGTTGTGGCTGGTTGCACAATGTATTTCTTTAAAGTTTCAAGCCCTGATCATTCTGTCATTTCACTGTGTCACTCTCCTGGTTCACTTTCTCAGGTTGGCTGTTGGACTTAAGATAAAGTCTAAAAATATTTCAAGGCTCTGCCTAAGCTGGCCTTTACCTACCTCTTGAACTTTTTAAAAAATTATTTTTATTTTTTATTTTTGTAGAGACAGGGTCTCTGTATGTTGAGCAGGCTGGTCTTGAACTCCTGGGCTTAAGCGATCCTCCTGCCTCAGCTGCCAAAGGACTGGAGTTACAGGCGTAAGCCACTGTGCCCAGCCTTGAACCTTATCTTAAACCACTTTGCCTGATGGGTTCTGGTCCCTCTAGTCTTCTTTATGCCCTTGAATGCATTAAACGACTTCCTGTAACAGAGCTTTTGTACAAGTTGTTCCTTTTGCCTGGATGTCTCCTTCTTCTTCTTCTCTCTTTGCCCAACTAGCTTCCATGCATCCTTCAGATTTCAACTTATATGTCAACTTTTTGTGTGCCTTGGTTTTCTAATCTGCAAAATGGGGATGTTAGTAACACTTTCTTTTCTTTTCTTTTCTTTTCTTTTTTTTGAGACAGAGTCCCGCTTTGTCACCCAGGCTGGAGTGCAGTGGCGAGATCTCGGCTCACTGCAAGCTCCGCCTCCCGGGTTCACGCCATTCTCCTGCCTCAGCCTCCCGAGTAACTGGGACTACAGGCACCCGCCACCATGCCTGGCTAATTTTTTGTATTTTCAGTGGAGATGGGGTTTCACCGTGTCAGCCAGGATGGTCTCGATCTCCTGACCTCGTGATCCGCCCACCTTGGCCTCCCAGAGTGCTGAGATTACAGGCGTGAGCCACCGCACCCGGCCAGTAACACTTTCTTAATCAGATTGCTATGAGAGTTAGGCAAGTGAATATATATAGAGAGATTTGAACAGCACCTGAACATACTAATTCCACATGAAAGTTAGTTGTTGGTTGTAATATCATAATAATATTGTGGTATTATTATGATAATTTTATGTTATTATCATTCCCTAGGAAGGCCTTTCCTACCTCTGCAGACTAAGTCTGGTTCAGTCATATGCTTTTCTAACACTCTACACCTGCTTACAGCACTGATCACAATTATAATTGAGTAATCAACTTTGTAATTACTTATTTAATGTCTGTGTCCCACACAAGTATGTAATTTCCTTGAGGACAGAAACTTTGTCTTATCACTGAATCCATAAAGTCTGATACAGTATGCCTTGCACATAGTTGGTGCTCAGTTAAGTGTTTAAATGAATGATTGTGTGGATGTTTTCCTGTGGAGGGAGGTATAAAAGGGGCCCAGTGTGTGACCATTTGAGAGATAGAGAACCTGAGGCCCAGAGAATATTACCTCATTTCCTGCCTGCCTGTCAGTGGAGTGCAGGATGTGAACATGAAATGAATTATAAAAACACCCACAAAGGGATGAAATTAAAGTTCTGGGTTGTGATGAGGTGGGGGAGGCCAGTGTTTCTCAGGCTGGACTCTGGGCCATCTGGGTTCCATCTCTGCTCTGTGTCTTTAGATAACCTGAGAGTTGACTACCATTTTTATTAGTGTTATCGCATTCTGCTACTAACCTTCTCCAACCTGAGCCTCTGCCTGCCCATTCCCAGACGAGGGTATTTGGTTGGATGATCCCTGATATCTTTGGGGCTCTGTCTGTCATTCTGAGGAAACTGTCTCTCAAGCTGGGCTGGGGTCTCTGTCCCTAGAGGGCTCTGTTGTATCCAGCAGGAGGGTCAGACCAACACTGCCCCATTGACCTTTCTATCTCTCCAGAACCAAGATGGAGCCTGTGTCCAGTCAGTGTCAGTGATTCTGCACCAGGACCCTCGGAGGCAGGTGACCCTGACCCAGGCAGGGGATGTCCTTCTGTTTGACCAGTACAAGATCATCCCGCCATACACAGATGGTACGGTTTGGGGTGGACAACAGACCTAGTTGGGAACTGAGGGTTTGGACCTCTCTTCCCAGGATCCTCTGGCTAAAAGCACTGCTACCCTGGCAAAAACTCATATTCTAGTACTGGGTAGATCAGGATAGGGGACACTTTGGTTGCAAAAATGTGGACTCCAAAAATGTGTCTTTGTCCCACCTCAACAGGACAGTGGACTTCCTAGTAGCATGATGGCTTCTCCTAACATGAACATATACATGGGTGTTTCCCATCCTGACTCTCATAACTTGTTTATTAACTACTTGTTATACTGTCTGATTCCACAAGGAACTTATGTGTAGCTCATAAGAAACACATGTAACAAAAATGGCAAAACGATTAAGAAATAAAAACCTAGCACCAGAAAGAAAGAAAAACAACAACAGGGGCTCAAGGTTGGGAGGAGTGGGGATGCACTGGGTGTCAACAGGCTGCAGAAATAAATATAAACCATAAAGGGTATAAAATGTTCTACAATAAAATCTAAAATTTAAATTTGTTACACTTGAATCTAAAATTGTATCATGAGCTTCCATAATAAAACTGTGTTGTGGCCACTGTGAAGAGAATGGGTAGTTACAGAATCCTCCTTCTGCTAGAGGAGGAAACGTGTACCAGTTCCTTAGTGGGAGCAAAGCTTTAATTGGCACTTGATGCTAAAAAAAATTTCTTAGCCCAGGCTGCAGTGGGAAGTTATCTCTGGGTCCTGATTTCATCACTGAACAGGGTTTCCTCAAGCCTCCCCATACCAGCTTCATGGCAGGCACGCAGGCAGGCAGGCAGGCAGGGGGCGAAGACTGGGCCGGGCGTGGGAGTCTGAGCGGGCCAGGCAGGTGGTGGTGGTGGGCGGGGTGTGTACTGGCTGCCCTCCCACTCTCTCCTTTTGGATTCTGTGCCCAGATGCCTTTGAGATCCGTAGGCTGTCCTCCGTGTTCCTGCGGGTGAGGACGAACGTGGGCGTGCGGGTGCTCTACGACCGTGAAGGGCTCCGACTGTACCTGCAAGTGGACCAGCGATGGGTGGAGGATACCGTGGGCCTCTGCGGCACCTTCAATGGCAACACGCAGGATGACTTCCTGTACGTAGCCCTGCCACGGAACCCGAAGAAGAGGGGAAATGGGCCCCTTAGGGCTGGGTATCTAGAGGCACTGCCTAAATGTCTCTCCCGTGAGCCTTCACTGTGCCCAGCATGCACCATTAGTTATTGATTTCTCTACATTTAAATTTAATTATGTTTCTTTAAAGCAGCGGTTCACAGTCCTCTATGTGTGGAATCACCTCAGGAGCTTGTTAAAACACTGATTCCTGAGTCCCGCTCCCCAGGATTTAGGGTGGACTCAGGAATCCTATTTTTGATAAGCACCTCTAAGATTCCAGTATGGGAGGTCTATGGGCCACACCTTGAGAAATGCTGTTTTAGAATGAGGTCTTAAAACCGGGGACCTCAGACTGACTGATTTGGCTCATGGTTTTGTTTGTTTTAATTGAGGTGGACACCACCTTTAGGTGAGTGTAAGCCCCTAGTGAGCCAAGAACACTAACATTCCCACTTTCTAACCCACCAGGCCAGTCTAACCCTTGTGCCTTTCCTACCTGGTACTTGAAGGCTCTTGAGTTTGCACGCCGTGAGCCTCCCCATATTCAGGGAAAGGCTGTTTTCTGTGAGCTGACATATTTGGGCACAGACGTAGGTTAGGAACTTAGGAAGGTTGATTTTAAAGGCTGGAGATCCTGGCCAGTCCTTGGAGTTCCACACATTAGGGGATGCAGAAGGAAACAGGGAAGGCATTCTTTAGCCAAAACGGAGAATTCAGATTTGCTGTGAAGAACAAGAACAAAATAAAGCTCAGAGCTTTTCAATGCATATATATTTAAAACTGTGGCATTCTACTATGCTTTGCCTAGTAGGGCAGATGTTAGGGTAGCTGGCCAAATAGTAGGGGGAGACCTTGGTTTAGTGTGTAAGCTGTTTGCCACTTTCCTAAATGTAACCTTTGGGTAGGAATATTGCCCTACATAATATGAGTGTACTCATTGCCCCAGAACAATAGTTGGGCATGGTGGGTGCCAGGCAGAACCTGCCCCCCAGAGAGACCATGACCTCCCTCCGCTCAACACCTACACCTGGGTTTGGTGACTCTTGGAGACTTGTGATGCCTAGGAAACATGCTCATCCCCCTTCCTCCCTTCACTGCCCCTTGTATGACGGTTTCCTACTGAGAGAGCCAAAGGGCGAGCCAAGGAGTTTTCAGGAATTGCCCATGGAGAAAGGGGGAGGAAAAGTCTTACCCCCATGGTGTTTGATACTCTTCATGATGTCCCTGTTTCTTTTTCTGACCTGAAGAGCTGGGGGTGGGGAATGAAGCCATATTCATTCCCCGCCCCAAGTGGACAATCCTAGCCCATTTTGAGCCCTTTTGGGACCTGTTAAATGTTGTGTGTCTGCGTGTGTGTGTGTGTGTGCGTGCGCGCACGCATGCATGTGTACATCCATGATTCTATGTGTTTGAATGTGGCTGTGTGGACCACTTTGGCTATATGCATGTCTGGCATATATTTGTGCTCTGTGTGTGTGTTGAGAGTGTGTGCGTATACATGTTACATATTTGGGTGAGTACACGTGCTCCTCTGAGTGTGTGTATATGGATGTGTAGATTATGACTATGTGTGTGTATATGAGCAAGTAGGTGTTACCTGGATCTATGCTATTTGTGCCCCCTGAGTCCACAGGGGCAAGTGTGTGAATATGGCTGTGACATGGCTGCAGGTCTCCAGTGGGTGTACCTGAGAGCACCCCACAACTTTTTGGCAATTCCTGGAAAACACTTTCTGCTTGCTCCCCGCTGGTCTCTGGCTCCCCTCTGGACCCCTGCGATGTGCACCTGCAAGCCGGTGAGTTGGTGGGGGAAGAGGAGAGGCATGGTTGAGTGGGGTGGGGAGGACTGCTTTGAGAGAGATGAAAAGGGAACTCCGGGCAGGAGAGTGCTGGCCAAATTTGTAGGAGTGATAAGAGAAGGAGGAGCAGCAGGGAGGGGAAAGGAGAGACAGTGAGGGCCAGGCAGGCAGGAAGCCTCATATTCTTCCACTATCAGATATACACACACACCTTTATACTGGCTTCTCCATCTCAGGGCAAAAGCGGAAGTCGGCCCCATGGCCCCACCAGGCCCCACCCTCTCTGCCCATGCCCCCCTTCTCACCTCCTACTCTCACCGCCCTCTGCTCTGCCCCAGCTGCCCTGGCCTCCTTGTTCTTTCTACACAGTCAGGACTGCTCTCCTCTCCAGGCCTTTGCACTTGGCAGTTGCCTGGAATGCTGTTTCTGCAGACACACACATGCCTCAGTTCCTCACTTCTTTCAGATTTGTGCTCAAACCTCATTCCCTCACTGAGGCCTTCCTGACTGCCTGAATTCAAATTGCAGTTGCCCCTCCTGCCTCACCTCATACACCCATGCTGCTTCTTAGCTTTCTCTCGCTTCTTACCTTCTTCACCTTTGAAGTTTCTATATGAATTTTTTAGTGACTGTCTCCTTTGACCAGAATGTAAGCTCCAGGGATTTTTGTCAAGCCACGTATTCACACCCAGATGTACTAAACCACACCCATACCTTCCCAGCCAGCTGTACACTGAAGTAGCTGCCTACATCCGTACAGCGTGTGCACACACACACACCCCTGAGCCATGGGGAGGGAGAGAGGCTGATCCTGGGACACCAGGTAGACCGACTCCCCTGACTGCCTGGCTCCTGTTCTTCCTTCCCCAGCCTCCTACTCAGTGCAGGCCTGCAGCGTGCTCACGGGGGAGATGTTTGCGCCCTGCTCTGCGTTCCTGAGCCCCGTGCCCTACTTTGAGCAGTGCCGCAGGGATGCCTGCCGCTGCGGGCAGCCCTGCCTGTGCGCCACACTGGCCCACTACGCCCACCTGTGCCGGCGCCATGGGCTCCCCGTTGATTTCCGCGCCCGCCTGCCAGCCTGTGGTGAGTGCCCCACCCATGTGAGGCTGAGCTGGAGGAGCCAGAGCTCCAGACCTGAGTGTCCCCTGCCCCTGAAAGTCTCCACTGGGATGCCCTCCAGTCTCCTCCAGCCTGACTGCACCCAGAGCCTGCTTCTCCTCCTGCACCCTCCATCTCTGCCAATGGCCCCCATCCCCTCCATCACTCAGGCATAACACCTGGGACCTGTGACTCAGGACTGCTTCTGTCACGCTTACTTCCAGTCCATCTCAAGTCCTGTCAGTCCTGTTAATCCCAAATTCACCCACTTCTTACCACCTCCGCCACCCTACTCAGAGCCACCTTGCGTTGCACCTTTCAAAAGACCACTGGCTGTTGCCCTGGGGTTTGAGTACACACACAACTTCAATATCATGAGCCAGCCCCTACCCGTCCCTACCCTGACCCTGGGCTATGCTCCTTCCCATGTCTTCATCACCTCTGTGTCCCCAGCTCTGGCACAAGGCCTGACTCTCAGTAAGCTTTTAGCAAATGTTTGTTGAATAAATGAAAAAGGCACTGTACTGGGAGTCAGGAGGCCTGAGTTCTATTCCAGCCCTGCAGGTGACTTGCTGTGTGTCCCTAGGCAGGGCCCTGATTCTCTCTGAGCTAGTTTCCCCAAAAGGGATTGGACAGGCCCACTGGTTCTTAACCCTGGCTGCATATTAGAGTTACCATAGGAGCTTTCAAAAGATTCACACATCTGGGCCACATCGAGTATCAACGAAGGCAACATATCTGGCAGTGGGGCCCAGGCATCAGCATTTTCAGAAGCTCCCCAGGTGGCTTTGATGTGCAGCCTGGGTTGAGAACAGCTGAACTGGATGGTCTCAGTGGATCTACTGGATCCCACAGAGTGTAGGAGACTCTGGGGGGAGTGGGATGCTGGCCACACAAGGAGAGGGCAGTCTTGAGTCTTGGGACAAAGGGAGCAAAACAGGCTGCTAGAGGGAGCACAGTTGATATCCACAACCTGTGTGTGACACAGCCAGGGGAGTGAGGGGGTAGGAGTGTGTGTGTGTGTGTGTCCACACACTTGGGCTCATGCATGTGTCTATGTGTGAGTTACGGGGTGGGTGCAGGGCCTTAGCAGGTGGTGATCTCTACCCCTTCCCCAATGTCACTGCCTCAGAGGAATGCCTTTTGGAGGAAAGGACCTGCCAGTGGTTTTCCAGGCTGAACTTGGTAGAAGGACCCACCTGCTGCTTTGCCGTTCCAGTGTATTGGTAGGCAGTGGGACTCTGGAGTCAGACCTGGGTTCAAATCCTGCCTCTGACCTTGACCTGCTGTGTGACCTCAGACAAATGTCTGAACTTCTCTGGATCTCCATTCTCCTCATCAGAATGACAGCCCCACTCCACATAACTGTGGGGATGAGGGAGACAAAGCATGCACCACTCCCCCCTCACTGCAGCACTGTCCTGTGAGGCCTCCAAGGAGTATAGCCCCTGCGTGGCCCCGTGTGGACGTACCTGCCAGGACCTGGCCAGCCCTGAGGCCTGTGGGGTTGATGGTGGCGATGACCTGAGCAGAGACGAGTGTGTGGAGGGCTGTGCCTGCCCACCGGACACCTATCTGGACACCCAGGCTGACCTCTGTGTCCCCCGGTGAGTGGGTCAGCTTGATCTCTGAGTTGGGTGGGAAGGTGAGGCCAGGGGTCTCCAGGGCATCTGAGACTGGGGAACCTGGCTGGGCCTCTTGTGTCCCTCCTTCCCCTCACAGTTGCAGGCCAGACCTTGGTGGGTAAGGTGGGTGGGCTCCCTCCTTGGGGCCTCCCTCCCAGATCTCTCCTCAGCCTTGGCCTTTGGGCCATTATAGCAGCTTCCTCACAAGACACAACAACCCCACAGAGCCCAGGGGCCCTCTCTCTCCTCATTCCCCTCTCCTTCCACATAATTTATTGACTTTCTGGTATGTTCCAGACATTTCTAGGGCTTGGGAATTCAGCAATGAACAAAGCAGAGTTTAGCCCTCAGGGAGCTCACATTCTAGGGTTGCAAGACAGACACATAAATGAACAGACACTTAATGGACAGGTGGCAACAAGAGCTGTTGAGCCAAGTAAGGCAGAGTGAGAGCAGGGAGTCCCATTCCTGGTGTGTTACTTGAGGTGGGCCTGGAAGTAAAGCCTTTCTGCGGAGGTGAGGTCTGAGCAGAGACCTGAGGGAGTGAGGAAGGGGGCTCCAGGAAGAGGGGGTGGCTCAAGGCCCAGCTTGTTCTCAGTGTAGCTGGAGGGCAGAGCAGCAGGAGGATAGTGGGAGGCAGCGACCCCACGTGATCTTGGGGCGACTGGCAAGGTCCTTGGTCCCTTCCAGGCCTCTGTTTCTCCGTCTGTAAAATGATACACATTTGATTGGTGGTCTTCAAATGGTGGCAGGGCTGGAGAGAGGCCCCTTTAGGGTAAATAGGAATCACTCATAGGCCTTCCCAAACTACAGAATCCTCCCTTGAGATCCAGATGTGTGCCTGGAGGCTCTCACCCCTTGATGTTGAGTGTTGCCAACGAAAGGGGTCTGTGTGGCTTATATATAGAGAGGGAGGTGGTTGTTAAGCAGCACTGGAGCTGGAAGAGTTTCGGCGTCCGGTCCATAACTCACTGCGCTGCTCCAAGACCTGCACGTGCCTATAATCGGCAGGTTCTGTGGGAGCTGTGTGAGGAGGAAACATAGCCTTTGCCCTTAGATGACCTGCACAAAAGAAGAAAGACAGCATAAGAATCCCTACCTTACAGAACCCCTGCGAAGAATCAATGAGATTATGTATGCAGAGGGCCTGGCTGGGTGTCCCTGGCCAGAGGTCAATGTACTTAACAACCAGTGCAGCACAGGCACTGAGCAATTGGAATAGATGCTGGGCGTGAGTGACCAGGACACCTGTGTCAGGATGCAGCACCAGCTGAATATCTGCCCTGTTCCTGACATGGCATGGGCTCAGGAGCTGTGCTCCTGTTCTTACTGCCCCTCCCTTCCCCGGTCCAAATGAGGCTGGCTGCAGGAGTGTGTGGAGACCAGTGACTCCTTGTCTAAGCTTGGTGCATGGCCCTGAATCTGGGACCCAGCCGTGACCTCTATCCCTGGTGTCAGGCTGGCTTTTCTGCTCACTGGAGATGTGTCACATGTCACTGTAGATACCATTACTTTTCCCTGTGTCCTTATGCACCTGGTTGGCTGAGGGTGGGGTCCCTGTCCTTGGCAGTCTCTGCCCTAGCTCCTGAGCCTGCTCACCTTTCTTTGCTCCCATTTTTTTATAGGAACCAGTGCTCCTGCCACTTCCAGGGAGTGGACTATCCCCCCGGAGACAGTGACATCCCATCCCTGGGCCACTGGTGAGCTCCGTAGGTAGCAGCCTTCTTGTCCTCTCTTTAAAGGGAGGCTGCTGACTGAAGACAGTGCAGCTGATGGAACTTTCTGTGAAGGGACACCCAGCCCTGCTCTGTGCAGGGAGGGGGAAGTGAGTGAGGGTGTCTTTCTGAACTCTGCAGTGACCCGAGTGCAGCAACATGGGGTGTCTGGGTCCTGCAGTGACTGGGTCGGCTAACCCCAGGGCCCGTCTCTCTCTGCAGCCACTGCAAAGATGGAGTCATGAGCTGTGATAGCAGAGCCCCAGGTAAGGGTGGGTGGAGGGGTGGAGCCCTTCTGGGGGCTCCACATGGTAAAGGAGAGTGGGGAGTGGAGCACTGATCAGGCTGTGGCAAGCCCACTCCAGGTTTTGCCCTACATTGGGCCTTCCGTATTCCTTGCCCTCTTGGCAAAGACTCCAGCTTGGAGGGTGGCACCTGAAGCCCTGTCCCAGCCTCAGCCCCACCCTAGTGGCTGTCTCTGCTGCCTGCAGAGGAGAGGCTGAGACTTTGTCTTCCTTCAGGGCAATGATCTGGGGCAACCACGTTGGGTGTCTGGGCAGTTTCCTGACTTCCTTTGGGTCCTGATGTTTTCTGTCTGAGCTGTCATGTATCTACTGAGGCGGACTCTGCCCAGGACAATGCTAGGTGTGGGGTCACAGAGGTAGGCAGGACAGCCTGGGCTTTTGAGACCCTCCTAGGCAACAGAGATAGGGATGGGGTGGAACAGTGGTCGTGGGATGGGGGTCAACCTTTGAGAGGCTGTGAGGTGGAGTAGGGCCTGGGGGCTGGAGCATTCAGGGAGGGCTTCCTGGGGTGGAGGAAGGGATTGGAGAATAATCATACAGTAGGTGGTTAGGAGCAGGGCCTGCAGAATCATCCAGCCTGGGTTCAAATCTTCCCTGGCACTCACTAGCTGTGCAGCCCTGGGCAACCCACTTTACCTCTCTGGGCCTTCATTTCCTCTTTGGCATATAACCTAGTTTCCTGCATCCTCCCCATGTTTTGTGTATAATCCTGGAAGCGCTTTTCCTTTGGTCACTTCTGGCTTTGGATTTCTGGCTCTTTGGGACTTTTATCTCACCTCCTGTGCCTATGCCTTTCTCTCTGGTTCATCCCAGCCTGGGCATGGAACTCAGCTCCTTTTTATTAATTTTCCTAAAAAAGATCACTCACGCAGTGTGAATGTGCGGGGCAGACCTTATGGAAGGCTGAGGGAGAGGGGGTGCATTCATGTCACAGAAATAGTGGTAACAGGACCGTGACTCTCCTTGTCATTCAGAGTCCTCTGGCCCCCTGCCACACTGATTGGTCATCCTCTTTCTAGCCCTGCTCCTGGTCCCTCTGGGGCACTTCTCACTTTATGGTGACTTTGGGGAGGAGGAGAAGTGGCTTCACTCCATTATTTGGGAAAATGGGGGACAATAATACTTCCTAGAGTTGTTGCAGGATTCAATATGATGATGCAGGGGAAGCACCTGGAGTAGTCTGGTATGGAGGACGTGCAGAGATGGGTCCTGGTGGCCGCAGTCTTATTGTGTGACAGACAGCACACATCTACCCCTCCCTCTGTGAGGCGTATCTGGGAAACCAAGCAATGCCCAGGAGCGACCAGGGAGGGAGGAGACTTCCGAGCCCGTCTCTCCCTCCATCCTCCAGCTGCTGCCCCTGTAGCCCAGGAGCCCATACTGAGGCCCCAGGGCCTCCGCTCCCATCTTCTTCTCTTCCAGCTGCTGCCTGCCCAGCAGGCCAGGTCTTCGTGAACTGCAGCGACCTGCACACGGACCTGGAGCTGAGCAGGGAGAGGACGTGTGAGCAGCAACTGCTGAACCTGAGCGTGTCAGCCCGTGGCCCCTGCCTCTCGGGCTGCGCCTGTCCCCAGGGGTAAGTACCCATGGTGTCGTGGGCCCGTGATCCTGAAGGCTGGCAGAACCAAGGGCCACAGGGTGGAGTGGGGGCAGGGAAAACATCACATGGCCTTGTAGGAAGGCACTGGCCCAGGCTGGCCAGCCACAGCTGTAATGGCCAGAGAGGAGTCTGGGAAAGAGGAGAGGCTGGGGATCCAGCCTGGAGTGTGGGCTGGAGGAGGGAGAGCCCTGGCCGCTCATCTGTGAAATGGAACCATCATCAGGCCTACCACCTTAACAGGCTACTGTGAGGAATCAGTGAGCTCACTCAGTGGAAGCACTGAGTGGGGTGTCTGGCACGCTGGGCACTGCAGTGCGTTGGAGGCCACTGGAGAGAAAACTCAAGTTCAGCTCTCAACCTCTTCCTCTGCACTGTTCTGACCAGAGCCCTCAGGAGGAGGGCTAGTGCCCCTAAA
Organism: Homo sapiens; assembly: GCF_000001405.40. Taxonomy (NCBI): domain Eukaryota; kingdom Metazoa; phylum Chordata; class Mammalia; order Primates; family Hominidae; genus Homo; species Homo sapiens. The sequence continues at coordinate 17,578,966 of NC_000011.10, forward strand.
ATATTAAAAAAAGAAGACCCCACCCAGAGAAAACTGTCTCATTCCCAGGTCCCCAGAACCCTGCCATTAAAGCCGTGAGAGCTGCGTGAGTCAGGCTCTGTGGGCATGCCTTGTGTGGGCTCTGTACACCGACGTGGCCCAGGGCCTGACACCCAGCTCTGCCCATTCTCATTCCCAGGTCTGGGCTGAGAAGACAGCTGGCACCTTATCCCATGGCTTGGCAACAGCCGGCTGTGCCCTTCAGCTTATGCAGAGATTAGTGGTCACCCGGGAGTCGTGGCCCAGGCGTGAAAGCCTAGGGAAATGACATGGGGGTCAGGGCTTCTAGGGTAGGAAGGGGAGGGGACAGTCAGTTGGAGCTTTACTGCTTCTAAGACACTTTCATGTTATTACCTCCTTCAGTCTCAGAGCATCCATGGCAGAGAGGAGGGGAGGACCATGATTCCCATTTTGCAGGTGAAGAAACTGAGGCCAGGGGAAGGGTGGAGGGAAGTGGTGCCCAAAGAGCCAGGACTCAAACCCAAGTCTCCTTACTCCAAGCCCAGCCGCTGGCCCAGAGCACATGAGGTCCGTGATGGTCACCTATATAGATATCATAATGTGGGTTGTAAGCCTGCCCCTTCCAGGCAAGTGTCTGAAAGAGAACCTGCAAGCAACCCTAGGCCTGACCACCTGCTGCCACTTGGGCCCCGGAGTGGCATTTGAAGAGTATCTTTGTCACTGAAGGCCGCTTGTGACACCATCCTGGGTGCACAGCCTGCCTCTCAGCCTGAGGTCAGGAAAAGCCAGGGTGTCTGGGGTCAGGAACCGAGGGTCACTCACTGCCAAGAGTAGTAGCAAGGCCACAGAGACACAGTGGAAGGGGCGCTGGACTGGAGACCGGGAGACCGGGCTCTGGGCTCAGTTTGGCCAATGACCCATTGCGTGCTGTATCAAAGGCCCTCTAAGGAGCTTACACACATGCCTCAGGGGCTTGTCAAAGTGAAATTGGTACAGTCTCAATTTGTAAGGGAAGGGCAGGCATTTCCTACCATCCTGGAACATCCTCTTGCTGGGATAGGGCTCCCAAAGATGCCCAACCATCCTTAACAACCCCTGCCTAGGACCCTTGGGACCCATGATCACCTCTGTGCATGAGAGTTCCGACTGTCTGGCCACCATGCCCTTCTCAATGATGTATCTAAGAATCTCCAAAGAACGGTCTGTGGCTGTCTGTGTGCCTCCATATTTCTTTGAATCTGGGGTCTGGCCAAGGGCCCTGGGGCCACTAGGCAGTGAGGCACAATGAGCACAGACTCAGGAGTCAAGCTTGAACCCTGGTTCTTCCACTTCCTAACTGAGTTAATTAATTACCCTGAACCTCAGCTCCTTCATTTGTAAAATGGCACAGAGTAAACACTCTATGTGAGCAGATAGCATTGTTTCTTCTCATCTGGATCCCATGCATTTGCAAATAACCTCCCTGAGGGGTCCCTGGAGTGAGAAGGTCCCCTACAAGGTAAAGAGAGGGTACTTTGCAAATTGAAGGCACCTTGAGGACCGAGGCCAAAGCCTTGAGTCCTTGCATGCTCTTCCCCATGATGGGCACACAGCAGGTGCTCAGAGATGCAGACAGGTCTGCTAAGAGCAAGGAGGGAGTAATGGATGGTGGGCAACAGAGAAGACCCCTCAAGAAGTGGCTGGAGACAAGGCTTGGGGCTGAAGAAGGAAGGCAGTGAGCCAGCCCTTCACTGGTGTCTGATGCAATTATGGGGGAGAGAGGGGCAAGAAACCAATATTTATTGTGTTTCTACTAGGTGATAGGCAGTGTGCCCAGGCCTGTAAGATTCTCATAATGACCTTGGGAGGAAGGTGTCATTATTCCTGTTTTAAGCACAAAAACAGAGGCTTAGAAGGGTTAAGTGGCTTCAGGTAAAACGTAGTGAATTAAGCATGTGCTTTTTTTTCTTTCCTGCTTCCTCCCACAACCACAGTGAAATGATAATGGGGTAAAAAGGTATAAATCCCCAGGGACAAAGAGAGAAGAGTGGAAGATCAGTAGTTTTTGAAGAAGGAACGTGGGTGGATGTGTAGAAACTGGCCTTGCAGAGGGGAAGGCCAAGGAGAAACAAATAGTACATGCATTTTGGAAAATAGTTTGGCAGTTTCTTATATAAACATGAATCTACCTGAGCACCCAGCAGTTCACCCTGAAGTGTTCATCCAAGAGGAATAAATAGAAGGGGGCGTCGGGGGAGGGAGACAGGAGGTTGGGTTGCAAGTCTGTGCAAGGAGGAGTTCAGCCTCCAGATCCCCTATTGCTCCTGCTGGGGTCACACCACTGCTCCAGCCCCATCCAGCAGGAGAAAGGAGAGTTTCAAGAGAAACCAAATCAGAGACTTTGGCCTTGTAGGCACCAGGAGGGGTGAGATGCATCGTGGAAACAGGGAGATTCAGTGAAAAGCAAGTGGAATCCCAGCAAATGGAGACATTCGCCTCCCAGCTCAGAGATGACAGAGATTTCTTCCCTTGAAAATTGGCTGGGCCAATAGAAAAATACAACAGAAACTGACATCTTGGGAGTTTCTCAACAAAATGGTTGGTCCTCCTTAAATAGGGAGCCTCCAGTCAGCTTTTGATGCCTCACTCTTTTTTCTTTTTTTCCTTTTAGGAAGTGTTGCGTAATTTATATACAGTAAATTACATGGATCCTAAGTATACCGTGTGTTAGGCTTTGACAAATTGATACCTGCTTGTAACCCACACTCCTGTGAAGATATAGAACATTTCTGTCACTCAGAAAATTCCCTAATGTTGGCGCCCTATATATTCCCTAATGTGAATATATAATGTTTATCTATTCTAGATACAAGTCTTCTGTCAGTCCTTTCCAGCCGGTTCCGCCCCCACCAGCATTGCTGTGCTTCACACCAGCATAGATAGGTTCTGCCTGTTCTAGAACTTCATGTAAATAGAATCATACACTATATACCCTTTTGGGCCTGGCTTCTCTTCCTTAACTCTTGAGGTTGACCTACCTTGTTGCATCTATCAGTAGTGTGTTCCTTTTTCTATCCCGGTAGTATTCCATTGTATGAATATACAATTATTTATCTGCAAAGGTGTTATATATAATAAAATGTACCTACTTTTAGTGTATGGTTTGATGAATTTTGACATCTATGTATATATCATCATAATTAAGATATATAACATTTCTATCACCAACAAAGTTTCCCTCATACTCCGTTGTAGTCAATCCTACCCCTGTGAGTGCTAGGCAAACACTGGCCGGCTTTTTGTCACTATATAGTAGTTATTCCTGTTCTAGAACTTTACATAAAAAGATCCATATATATACAAACACACACACATACACACTCACAAACCATTTTGATCTGGATTCTTTAGCTCAGCAATAAAGCTTTCAAGATTCAAAAAAGAAAACAGTTATTTATCTGCTCAAGCATTGATGGACATTTGGGTTGTTTTCAGTTTGGGACTATTTTGACTAAGGTTGCTATTTATTTCCCTTGGATGAACATTTCAGGGTGGAATTGCTGGGTCCTAGGGTAGATTCATATTTATATAAGAAATTGTCAAGCTGTTTTCCAAAGTGATTGGACAATTTTACACGTCCAGTATATGAGAATCTGACTGTTCCACATCCTCACTAACACTTGGTGTTTTCAGTCTTTTCCATTTTTGTTATTTCAGCAAGTACATGGTCCTATCTCATTATGGCTTTGATTTGTATTTCCCTAATGACTGTGAGTAATTTTTCATATACTTATTGGCCATTCGTGTATCTTTCTTTGTGAAGTGTCTGTTCTGGTCTTTTGCCCATTTTTAAATTTGGTCTTTTTTTATTTGATTGAGTTGTAAAAATTTTTTATGTATTTTAGATACAAGTCCTTTGTCAGGCATATGTATTGCAAATATTTTCTCCCAATGTGTGTTTACCTATTTATTTACTTAACATGCCTTGAAGTATCTAAAAACTTCTGATGAGAAGTTTTTAATTTTGATAATGTCTAATTTTTTTCTTTTAAAAATCTCCTTCATTTCTGATGAGGTCTAATTTATCATTTTTTTCTTTATAGTTAGTCCTCAAGGTTGCAAAGATATTCTCCTATGTTTTTTTCTAGGAGCTTTACAATTAAATGTAATGGATTAAATAATTAATTTATTATTATTATTTTTTTTTACAGACAAGGTCTTGCTCTGCTGCTCAGGCAGGAGTGCAGTGGTGCCATCACGGCTCACAGCAGCCTTGAACTCCTTAGCTCAAGCGATTCTCCCGCCTCAGCCTCCTGAGTAGCTAAGACTACAGGTGTGCACCACTATACCTGGCAAATTTTTTAAATTTTTTGTAGAGATGGGGGCTTTGCTATGTTGCCCAGGCTGATCTTGAACTCCTGGCCTCAAGAAATCCTCCCAAAATGCTAGGATTACAGGTGGGAGCCACTGCAACTGGCCAGCTTTACAATTTTAGCTTTTACATTTAAGCCTATGACCTATTTAAAATTATTATATTTTACACATGTTTCAAAATGGAGTCAAGGTATGTTTTATTTTATTTTATTTTTGATGGACATCCAGTGATTGTAGCCCTATTTTTTAAAAAACACTTTCTTCTCCCCATGTAATTGCTTTGGCATTTTTGTGAAAAATTAATTGACTGTATACACGTGGGTATATTTCAGGACTCTTTTCTGTTCCATTGATCTATTTGTCTGTCTTCATGCCAATATCCACTCTCTTGATTTATGGAGCTTTATAGTAAGCCTTGAAATCAGGAAGTGAGAGTTCTTCAACTTTTATCTTTTCTTTCAAAAAGTTGTTCTAGGTCTTTGCATTTCCGAGTAAATTTAGGATCAGCTTATCAATTTCTACCAAAAAAAAAGCCCCTGAGATTTTGAATGAAACTGTGTTGAATTTATAGATCAATTTGGGGAGAATTGGCATCTTAACACCAGTAAGTCCTCCAAACCACAAATATGGTATTATTTTCTTATTTATTGGTCTTCATTAATTTCTCTTAGCAATATTTCATAGTTTTCATGTGAAGGTTTACACATTTTTCATTGAATTTTTCATAGGTATTTGCTGTTTTTGTTGATGTTATAAACGGTATTATTTTATTAATTTTCCATTTTTTAATTGCCACAATATAGAAATACAGTCGATTTTCACATACTGACCTTGTATTCTGCAATCTTGCTAAATTCATTTATGAGTTCTAGTGGCTTTTCTTTGGGTAGATTCTTTAGAATTTCAGTAAGTGATCATGTCATCTGTGAATAAAGATAGTTTTACTTCTTTATTTTAAATTTTTACATCTCCCATGTTTCTTGCCTTATTGTGCTGTATTGGACTTACAGTATACTTTTGAATAGAAGTGATGGAAGTAAAAATCATTGCCTTCGTCTTGTTTTGGATAAAGCAGTCAATCTTCTACCATTAATTCTAACATTTGCTGTAGTTTTTTTTGCAAATGATCTTTATCAGATTGGGGAAGTTTCTTTTTATTTCTATTATGCTGCAAATTTTTTTATAATAAATGGGTATTGAATTGTCATTTGATTTTTTTTTTTTTGAAACAGAGTCTCAATCTGTCGCCCAGGCTGGAGTGCAGTGCCTCAATCTTGACTCACTGCAACCTCCACCTCCCAGGTCTAACTGACTTTTATGCCTAAATCTCCAGAGTAGCTGGGATTACAGGCATGGGCCATCACGTCTGGCTAATTTTCATATTTTTAGTAGAGAAGGGGGTTTGCCATGTTGGCCAGGATGGTCTTGAACTCATGGCCTCAGGTGATTCTCCCACCTTGGCCTTCCAAAGTGCTGGGATTATAAACATGAGCCACCGCACCAAGCCTGTCAATTGATTTTATTTATTGGAGTATCATATGATATTTTCCCTTTATTTTATAAATGTTGCAAATTACATTGGTTGATTTTTAAAATCTTAAACCAGTCTTACATTCCTGGGATAAACCCCAGTTGTGACTGACGTATTATTTAATATTCTGTGGTCTGTGGTTTTCCATACTTGCAACGTTTTTGTCTGGTTTTGGTATCAGATTAATGCTGGTCTTATAAAATGAGTTGGGAAGTATGATTTCCTTTTCAATTTTTGGAAGAGTTTGTTTAAAACTTGTATTATTTCTTCCTTAAGTGCCTGGTAGAATTTACCAATCTTGGAAGAATTTTAACTTCAAATTTAATTTCTTTAAAGATATTGGGCTAATTCAGTTTACCTATTCCTTCTTGGCTAAATATTTATAGTTTGTGTCTTTTAAGAAATTTGTCCATTCCATCTAAGTTGTCAAATTTATTCACTTAACATCGTACATCATATTTCCTTATTTTCCTTTTACTATCAGTAGAGTCTGTAGCAATATCTCCTCTTTGTTCCAGATATTGGTAATTTGAGTATTCCTGTCCCCCTTTTTATCATTCAGTTTAGACAGGGGTTTGTCAATTTTATTGGTCTTTTCAAAGAACCAGCATCTGGTTTCACTGATTTTTCTCTATTGTTCTGTTTTTTATTTCACTAATTTCTCCTCTTATATTCATTTCTTTCCTACTACTTACTTTGGATTTAGTTTGCTCTTGTATTTCTAATTTAGAACTTTGACTTTAATCCCTTCTATTTCACATCCTGACCTGGATATGCTGGCCACTTCAGAAGCCCTCAACCCCATTTTCTGTCTGCTCCCCTCAGTGATGCATCGTGCCATGCTTGGGTTCCATCATCCTGTACTATAGTCCAGAAAGTGCTTCCAGGCAGAAAATCTGGATACAGGAGCAACTAACAAGGGACTCCTTTGAGTATAATGCCTGTAGCACCCTTTCTTTTCACCTCTTTAACCCATGTGCTTGTATTCTTTTGAAAAATAAAATAGGAAGGTTAAGTAACTTGTTTCAGGTAGATCCTGGATTTGAACAAAAAATTATTTATTGCCAAAGTTTGTATTCTTAGCCCTGCCCCAGGCTGTATCCTGTTGATGCCTGATCTAGCGTGATGCTATGGCCTGAGATCTTTAATAAGTGCCCTGAGACATCCTTGGCTCCGGCCTGGGAGTGCTCAGATTTCATGGAAACCAGACTAGAAGACAGCAGCACTGCTGCTTTGGGGCCTGTGGTCTGAGAGCTCCATGAACAACCTGGGTAGGAGGGTCATCGCCCATATCCATGACCTGTTCATTAGTATACAACTAGTGCCTGAGGAGCAACTGGCATCCACCTGGTCAGTAGGGCTGTGGCTGGTAGAGATAAGCCTTGCTTCTTGATGGATGACAGAGACTCAGGCTGGGCCTAGTCTGTTACTGGTTTTTCCAGTTACCAAGGTCCCTCTGAACCTCACTGAGCAGCAGCAGGATGGGGAGTGAATACACAGTCAGTCTCTTCTAGGGTAAATGCTGGGAGCCACCTCCGAGCATCCAGATTGAGGCAGGGTCCTCCACAGATGGCAGCTATGGGAAGAGTGCTCTCCTGACCGCCTGCTTGCTGTGTCTCTACAGTCTGCTCAGACACGGGGATGCATGTTTCCTGCCAGAGGAGTGCCCCTGCACTTGGAAGGGGAAGGAGTATTTCCCTGGGGACCAGGTGATGTCTCCTTGCCATACCTGGTAAGTGAGGGTCCCAAGCAGGCTTTGCTTTTTTGCTGGGAGGGGGCATGGATATGGGTGCATAATCAAGAGTATAGTCTAGCATTCCCATTTCATTATGTTTGTATTCATGTTGTGCGTTTGTGTGTTGTGTGTGGTATAGGGGTTTGTGTACACATAGGAGTATATGCATACAAAGGAATATTTTTGTTTTTACATGAGTATGTTTGTTCAGTCATGTATATGAATGTGTATACATGCATATTTGTAACCATGGCAATTTGTTTGCATATTTATATGAACATATGAGTGTGAGTGCAAATCCAAAATGCACATGTGCATATGTGAACATGCATGTACATGGATGTATATAAAAAGGCAGGCATTCACAAATCTCAATATGTCAGTGAATATGTACAATTAGAAATTTGTTTATGTAGACAGGTGTGTTTATATATATTTTTGTGCATATGGATCCATTTAAAATGTGTGCACATGTATGTGCAAAGTGTGTGGATGTATGTTTTTAATGGCTATACATATTTGTATTCACATGTGAGTGTAAATGTCTGTGTAAATGTGCATTGTGTTTGCCTGTGAATAGGTACATTCTTGTGTATGAAAGTACGTGTGAGGGTATTTGTTTAGTAATGTAAGTGTGCATATGTGGGAGTGTGTGCCCCTGGATTGGATTCTGTGGAAACAGACTCGGGGTTAGTTCTGCAGGGCCTGTTCTGGGCCACACAGAGGTGGGTAGGCAGTGGGTAGACTCAGCTTTCTGATAGAGAGAATGCTGGGGGACGGGGTGAGGAACGATGAATGTGCCCTGATGCTGGAGAGCAAACCCAGTCACTGTTCCAATTTGGAGAACCAGCTAGGGGTGGCCTGAGGTGAGCAGGAAGCCCCTGGCACTGGAACTTCAGGGCCCAGCAGAGAAGCTCAGAGAGGTTCTATCTCAGAGACCCATCTGGCTAGCTGGAGCATGGCCCCCAGTCCCTGTCCCATGCTGGGACTGAAACCACCCTGTTTCTCTGGCCTAGAGGAAGGCCATAGTGTTTCTTTCTGTGTTAGAAGCAGGGTCACGGTCAAGCCCATCTGCTCCAAGGCCGGTTTCTCCAGATACATCAGAGTGTACTTGTAGGGTCAGAGCCCTGGCTGTCTGACCCCAGAAGTCCCTGGGTATAATGTTAAGACACAGACCTCTGCACAGGCTGTGTGCTCATTTTTTTTCTTGAGATTTTGTGACTGTGGTGAGCCAGAGCTCACCAGGGATGCCAGGCACATGAGGTGGGAGACTGGGGATGGCTGGCCTGGATTTGCCCAGGGGTGCTCAGGCCCTGAGATGGATTCACTTCCATCACTTCCCTGGACTCCAGCCCCTGTAGCAGCACCCTCACCCTCAGGCAGGGGATAGCTGAGTTACATTGAATCCTCTCCTGTGAGTGCATTGTGCTCAGAAATCAGATCCAAGGCAGAGGTGGTAAGGAGTCTGGAGCCAAGGCCGAAGAGCTGGGATTATTTAGGATTTGGAACCCTGACATGAGGAGGCATCTGCCTTCATAGGAGAGGCTGACTGGCCATAGGGTGGATGTCCTCTCTTCCATAGAAAACTAGGAGATAGATGGGCAAGTTTTTACTTTTTAACTCAGTTGTAAAAATTCTACCTCCTAATACAGGGACAAACCTTAACATTTGCCCTCGAAGGACCTGCCACTGTGGCCCAGATTCCAGCTGCTCTCCCGTGGGGAGGCAGGTGCTGGAGATGTGTTGCGCTGGTGTGACTCGAGCATTTGCTGGGATCTCTTTACCAGGATGGAGCCTGGCTACCCATCCCTTCCCAGCTCTGTGTTCCGTGTCACCATGGTCGGCAGCATGGTCGGCAGCATGGTCAGGCACAGTGGGAGTATTTCCAGCAGTTATGCATTTATGGCTGAGTTGTAGGTCATGTAGGTGGGTGAATGACAGGATGGATACATAGGCTTAGGAAGCCACGTGGAGTCAGTGCATGACTGAGCCTGTCCCTCATTGTTGCTGTCAGACACAGAGCCCTGGGTCATGCCCCTTTACTTCTAAAGATTTTGGCACTGAGCTCTGTGACTCTTGCCAACCCTACTCCTTCCCTAATTCTTGGAGATTTTAGTATCTGTTTAGAGGTGCTTCTAGTATCTCCCGACATCTCAGATTCTTCATCCTCTCTCTTCCAAAGATCTTTCTCCACCCTAGTGGAGTGAGGAGTCATCTTGTAGATCTTGCCGTTCCCAACAACTCACCCAGCCCATATCCCAATGCGTCTCACCTCACCTTCTGTCTTTCTACTCCACTCCCTCTCATACCCTGACTCCCTCAATCCTGCAACCCCACAGGGATTTCTCATCCATGATCCCTACCACCTCTCTGCTGCCTCTCACCCCCTCGATGTCTCCCCTTCCCTTTTACCTCAACCTGTGGTCCAGAACCATAATCACTTCCTTGAGTTTAGCCCCACTTCTGTTCCTCCTCCTGCTTTGCCCTACTTGTTTGGCAAAACCACAACCCTGGTGACATCCACACCTTTACTTCCTTTGTACCTGCACCCATGCAGCTGAATGTGACTGGAGGGATGTGCAAAACCCGGCTTCCAGCTCTCGTTTTAAATTCATGGGCTCAGAAGGGTCGAAAAGGCCCTTAGAGCTGATGGGCTCTCGGATTGTATTTCCCGGGTCTCCTTTGCTCTTTCATCCCACTAGATAACTATTCCACTCTTTCTCCTCTCTCCTCAAAGCCCTGACACCTCCTCCCCTCTTATTCTCAGCTGATGATACTGCTTCCTGTTTCCCTGAGGAAATTAAAGCCATGAGAAGAGAACTTTCCAGGCTCTGTACCCATGTATTTTGCCCGTACAACAGATGAACTAAGTGTCCGTGTTCCTATCTAAAGTGAAGTTCCTTCACTTGTCCTTTGGGTCCTAGCTCCTCACTTGTCCACCTAAGGGAACCACTGCAGCATCTCTCCCTCTTTTCTCCCATATAAACAATTTGCATTCTCTACTGGCTCATCCCTATTGCATAAAAATATATCGTTTGAAAAACTTCCAACCTCCTAGGAACTGCTCCATTTCTCTGCTCGCCTTTTATTGCAAAACTCCCTGAACACTTTTTCTATACTTGCTGTTTCAACTTTCTGTTCTCCCGTTCCCCTTTAAGCCCTTTCGGTCAGGCATTTTCCCCATCATTCCTTCGAAACTATTCCTACTAAGGTCACCAGTAACTTCATATTGCCATATCCAGTTAGCCTTTCTCAGTCCTCACCTTCCTAGACCTGTGGGCAGCATTTGACACAGTTGATCACTTTTCCATTATTCCCTCCTTCTTGATACTTTCATTCATGTGGCTTTTGGGACACCACCTCCTCTTGCTTTTCCTCCGACCTCTCTTCCTGTTCCTTCTCCGCTTCCTTCATTGGTTCTTCCTCTTCTCCAACCTCTTGATATTGGAGCAACCCAAGAGACCTCTCCTCCTCTCTATTTATACTTACTCCCTTGGTGAACTCTCCCAATCTCATGGCTACAAGGCCCATCCATAGGCAGAGGACTACCAGATTTCTACCTGTAGTCCAATCCATGCTTCTCAACTCTAGGCTCACACATCCAACTGCCTACTTGACATCACCATACGTATGTCTAATGGAGGTCTCAAATTCAACATGTCCAGAACAGCACATCTGATCTTCCCCCTCAAACTTGCTTCTCCCTCAGCCTTCCCCATCTGAGTTGATGAAGACTTCATTCTCCCAGTTGCTCAGGCCAAAAAACCTGGAGTCAACCTCGAGTCTTGTCTTTCACTACCTATATCCAACCTCTCTGCAAATCCCTTTGGTTCTACCTTCAAAATACATCCAGAATCTGACAACTTCTCACTCTTTCCACTGCTGTTACCCTGCTCCAGGCTGCCATGATCTCTTCCCTGATGTGCTGCAGTAGCCACTCAGCTGGTCTTTCTGCTTCCCCTTGACCGCCTTGAGCTTAGGCTCGGTGCGGCAGCCAGAGTGGAACATAAATCACACAGTGTCATTCCCATGATCAAGTCTTCCAATGCCCACCACCCCCCATTCCTAGCAGGAGCTAACCTTCCTACAGTGGCCTTATTGGACCCATGTCACCTGACCGTCCGTCGCCCCTCTGAATTCCTCTTCTACTCTCTTGCCCTTGCCCTCTCCATTCTAGCCATGTTGTCTCCCGAGTGTTCCCCACAGACTTTGGAGAGACTGTACCCTTTATTTGAAATACCCTTCTTACAGATGCCCATGGAGTTAACTCTGTCACCTCCTTTATGTCTCTACTCACACATGCCCCAACCACCCTATTTAAAATTGTAACCCACTCCACCCACATTCCCAGTGACCTGTATCCTGCTCCCCCATAACACTCATTGCCTTCTAATGCACTATAGTACATACTTGCACTGCCTTATTATTTTTTATTTAGTGTATCTCTTCTCCCTCTAGAATAAACATTCCCAGAGGCAGACGGTTTTCTTTTTGTTTTATTCACTGATGTATCACAAAATTTTGGAAGAATGCCTGAGATATGGTAGGCACCTAATATTTGTAGAATGAATGGGTAAGTGAATGAATGGAGTGGTAAAGGGAGTGTAGACTTTGGAGTTAAATAGATCTGGGTTAAATGTCAGGCCCATTATTTATTGGCTGTGTTTCATAACCTCTCTGAGCCCCTGTGTCTCCTGCATGAAATCACAATCCTGCCCTCCAGGCTCCTGTTAGAGGTTGGTGTTTGTTGACCTCTTTGCCGAGGGACACAGTGCACATGCATTCGATAAGCCATGGCTCTGTCATGAGTATTCAGGTATGGGGTGGGTGTGCCCTGTGATCTGGTCTGGGCATGTGTTTTTCAGTGTGTGCCAGCGGGGCTCATTCCAGTGCACCCTGCACCCTTGCGCCTCCACCTGCACTGCCTATGGGGACCGGCATTACCGCACGTTTGATGGGCTCCCGTTTGACTTCGTGGGGGCATGCAAAGTGCACCTGGTCAAGGTGAGTTCCCGGATGTTTCTGCCCAGTTGGCTCCATGCACAGCTGTCAGGGCACTCTGGTGCTCTGGACTCCAGTTTGATGCAGAATTGGGTGATCGGGGATCTAAGCCCTGAGGTGGGGCTATCTAGAGACTGGAAGAAGTGCTGAGGCACAAGCTCAGGGCTGGATGGAGCTCACCAGTCCTGAGATACCACACTGCCTGTCTGCTCACCATTATAATCTTGCTCTGTTGGGTCCCAGTGCTTTTTTCTGTCTATAATAGCAAGAGCTAATGCTTTTTGAGCTTTATTATGTACCTAGGGGCATATTGAGCCATATTTTGTGGATTATTTCACTTAAATATCACAGCAGCTTTACAAGGTAAAGTTTATGGATCCTATGTTATAGATGTAACAATTCAGGCTAAGGGAAGTTAGGTAACTTGCCCAAGGTCACACAGCAGTCAGTGGTAGAGCTGGGGTCAAGTTTGACCAAGAAATCTGACTGGAGAGTTGGTGTGCTTAAAGGAGTCACAGGTTATAATTTTCGGCTCACCTGGAGGAAGAAAACTGGTGATGTGGGGGGCACAGTGAAGGCAGGATCCCTACCCCAGGAGGAATGGGCACTGATGTGGTGGAGGAGTGTCACCCAGGGGACCTTGGGTTTGCTAATAGCCTATCTCATCTTATAAGAGTAACATCAATAATAAAAATAACATGTAATAATAACAATGACAAAACCTTTTATGGAAGGAATCCTACCTATAGGGCAGGCACTGTACTGGGGTCTTTCACATAATTGCAGTAACTCTACAAGATGAAGATAATTGACCTCATTTTATTTAAAAAGTTTTAAAGGTTAATGCAGTGTATATTAAAAACAGATATTCCCCTTCCCAATTCTTCTGTTCCTATCTCCTGTTAAATAACCACTCCAGTCAGGGATGAATCCTGCAAGAACTTTTTTCTGTGAGACATGGACACACACACACACACACTTTGTTTAGTTTATGTGAATAAGATTCTACAATGTGCTTTTTTTACTTAAGAGGATACCTCGGACTTGATTTCATATAGTTGGTACACACTTTTTTCTTTTGAACAGCTGTGTAGAATTCTACAGAAATAATGCCCTCGAGTTTGCTTTATTTTTTCCCCATCGATGGACATTTAGGTTGTCTCCAATATTTAAATGCAGCAGTGAATACCTGTGTGGATGTATCCCCAGGTTCTTAGAAGTAGAATTGCTGTATAAAAAGCTACATACATTTAAAATATTCAATGCCAGCAAATTCCCCTGCAAAAAGCTTACACTAGCATCAAGGATGTATGTGAGACAGTGCCTCTTCCCCATACCCTATCAACACAATCATCCCTATTATATATTTATTAATACATTCATTCATCAGATATTTTGGGGAGTCACTACATGTTAAACACCGCACTAGGCATCCAAAACCAGAACAGCTTCAGAGAACAGAAGTCGCCCAAAGTCACACAGCTCAGCTAACACAAAGTAGAAGTGGACTGAAAGCCACTCCAGAGAGCGTGTTCCTCCACCTCTGTACCTCTTGGCAGGATCTCCTTTCTCCCTTGTTTTATTGGACTCACTTATTCTCTCCTCAGAGCACATCAGATGTCAGCTTCTCTGTGATTGTAGAGAATGTGAACTGCTACAGCTCTGGCATGATCTGCAGGAAATTTATTTCCATCAACGTTGGGAACTCACTCATTGTCTTTGATGATGACTCCGGAAATCCTGTAAGGCTCAGTGCCTGTGAAGGTTGTGTAGACAATTTACAGGTTACCAGGGTTGGGGCAGAAGAGGGCTGAGGACTGGCTTCCTTACCATAGCAGTTTCTCTTGGAGAGCCACTGAGTTAGGAGCCCAGACTGAATTCCTCTTGGCCAGGGTCAGGAACACAGAGGCCAATGTCAGGGTATGAGGGAGGCAGAGGCATTGGTGAGGGCCTGGCTGCAGGCATAGCTGACCTGGGCGCTAGGGGGCACTTGGGCTCAGGACTGACCATCTCTGTCCCTCTAGAGTCCAGAGAGCTTCCTGGATGACAAGCAGGAGGTCCACACATGGCGAGTGGGATTTTTCACACTGGTGCATTTCCCACAGGAGCACATCACCCTCTTGTGGGACCAGAGAACCACAGTGCACGTCCAGGCTGGGCCTCAGTGGCAGGTACTTACATGAGCAGTGACATTCTGCTCCTGCCTGGGGCTAAGCCAAGCCCTGGGTGTCCTTGGGTGAGCTGTACCCTCCCTGAGGAGCCAAGAAGAGCATGCCTCTGTTCTCTCCTCCGCCCTGCTCTGGGCCCCTTCTCCTCTGACATTGCTCCATCCCTCTTCAAACTGTGACCTCAGCAGTGGCTTCTAGGTCTATGATAGACTCCTGGGCTCATGGTGACCCCTCTGCCCGTGGCTCACCTCTGGCAGGCCTGCAACTGACCATGGTGTCCTCTCTCCTTTCAGGGCCAGCTGGCGGGCCTCTGTGGGAACTTTGACTTAAAAACCATCAATGAGATGAGGACCCCGGAGAACCTAGAGCTAACTAACCCCCAGGAGTTTGGCAGCAGTTGGGCTGCAGTTGAGGTAAAGCCTCTCTTCCAGGCTGGCTTATGCCCCTCACTCAGATGGGCGCTGCCAGCACTGAACCCGGCCCAAGGTCAGGGAAGAGGGATGCTGGTGTGAGGTTTCTCCTGCAATGTTCTCTCAGCCTCTGACTGCATCCCTAGCCCTAGACTCTGTCCTATGGCCCAAAGATCATGCATAGTCTTGTCTCACAAATCCAGCTGCCCACCCTACCCTGGACCAAGCCCTGGTAGGGTGGTGGAGGGTTGGGAAGGTGACAAAGTCTGTCCCAGGAGAGATGGTCACTCATGATGATGCTTCCCAGTGCCTGGCACTAGGTCTGGCACAGAGAAGAGACCAAGAGAGACTGAGGTGGGTTGAGGCAATCAGGGAAGGCTTCCTGAAGGAGATGAGAGTGGTGCTGGCACTTAAAGGCTGGGCCATGCTTAAATAGATGAATATATCAGAGATAAGGTCTCTGAGAGGAAGGGCAACACTAGCAGAGATAGAAATGAGGGGGTCTGCCCAAAGGACAGTCTGCGAGATGTCTAACTGAGGCTGCCAATCTGTGAGCTGTGGGGGAAACAGCACTGAGTTGAGAGCAGTAGACCTGGGTTCTTGTCTTGGGTCATCCATTGACTTTCTGGGTGACCTTGAGTAAGTCCCATTCCTCTGCAGAGAGGGGACTGGGCCAAGAGAGGGCTGATGAATAGATTTCACTTCATGTGACAACTCTGATTGGTCAAAACAGACTGCTTGGGAGCTATGTTGAGAAACATCCAAGATCTGTGTCAAGCTCAGCTGGAAGGAGGACTGTGATCGATTATTTATGTCTGCCATAGGAGCAGCAGTGGAGAGTGGTGATATGAGCGTTACATATTTGCCTCTCCTGGACTTAGTGATCTTAATGCCCTGCTGGGAAGTACACGGAGATGAGCCTATGTAGACTGGGGTAAGGGAAGCAGTCGTGCATGGCCTGGAGTTCAACTGCTCCAGGTGGGGCAGGGCTGTTCCCACAGCCTCTGAAATCCTGAGGTGGGACAAGGGTTCCCACAGCCTCTGAAAAGTGCGCCCTAACACACCCCCATTTTAGAGAAGCTCAGTGGGTGACTAACCCTTGTTCTCCCCACACCCCCATGTACATCATATTTCTCTCTTGCTAATCCCATTCGGCATACCATGGGGTTCCCCAGTGAAAATGTAGTCTAAGGAAGGAGATTCAGCAGACATCGGAAACATCTGTATTAGTTATCTACTGCTATATAAAAATTTTATGAGACTTAGTGGCATTAAACAACACACATGTATTATTTCAGTTTCTGTGGGCCAGGAGTCAGGACACGGCCTGACTTGGTTCCCTGCTTAGTGTCTCACAAGGCTGCAATCAAGGTGTCAGCTAGGGCTGGGCTCTCATCTGGAGGCTCTACTGGGGAAGGAACTGCATCCTCATCTGCTCACATGGTTGTTGATTACATTCAGCTCCTTGCAACTGTAGGGCTGGGAGCTTCCATATTTTGGGCTGGCTTTTGGCCAGAGACCACCCTCAGCTCCAAGAGACCACTGACACTTCCATCCATGTGGGGTCCCCCAGCATGGCTGCTTGCTTCCTCACAGCCAGCAAGGGAGAGACTCCAGCAAGATGGGCTCTGGGATCTCATGTTGGGAATCATGTGATCACATACACATGGCCACGTCCATCCCATCACCTGGGCCATATTCTGTTGGTTTGAGGCAAGGTATAGGTCCCTTCTACACTCAAGGGGAGGAGATTTTACAAGGACCTGAATATCAGGGGGCAAGGATCATGGCGGCCACCCTAAAATCTGTCTGTCATGTCAGGCAACAGGCATTTGGCAAGTAGGGAGGTCAACAGCCCTGCCTTTGCCCCTCAGTGCCCAGACACCCTCGATCCTCGGGATATGTGTGTCCTGAATCCTCTCCGAGAACCATTTGCCAAGAAGGAGTGCAGCATCCTGCTCAGTGAGGTGTTTGAGATCTGCCACCCTGTGGTGAGTGTACCCCAGCCTCGGCTCCTCCCGAGTGCCCCCTCCACTGTCCTGGGATCCCTTCAGCTCTCAGACTCCCCCATGTCTCAGAGGAGACAGCTCAGATCTCCAGGGAAGATCTGCCTCTGCCATTCCCCTGCCTCCAGCCAGCTCAGATGAGTCCGTCCTATTTCCCCAGATGACCAGGCACAGACAGCCAGGAAAACAGAGCTTGTGCCCTTTTCAAGCCCATCTTGATCTGGCCCTTCCTCCTTATCATGAAGTTCTTCTAAATGGTGGACCCAAAGCCCTCATGCTGAGGCACCACCTATTGCCTGTTTTGCTTCAGTGCACACAGAGGAGGCTGGGGCTCAGCACTGCATGGCACCCTGCAGGCCTTGAAGGCTGCTGTCAGATTGGCCTTGGCTGTCTCTGGCCCTGGCTAGGCAGTTCAGGCTCTACTCCTGTTCAGCCATTCTTGGCTCCTGGATCAAACAGCCCAGACTAAGGAGAGAAGAGAGCTTAGTTCTCAAAAGTGGACATCTGCCTGGACCATGGAGTTCTCGCTTCCTTGTCCTTCTCCCTTCACACCTCATGAGACAGGATAGCTCACCCTATCCCGTGGTCCCTTCATGTTGGTGCTGGTCGTCATCAGCTGAAAAGATGCAGATCTGACATTTGGGATCTGTCCTCTGACCTCTAACTTCTGACCTTCTCCAGGTTGATGTCACTTGGTTTTACTCAAACTGCCTGACAGACACATGTGGCTGCAGCCAGGGTGGTGACTGTGAGTGCTTCTGTGCCAGCGTCTCCGCTTATGCCCACCAGTGTTGCCAGCATGGGGTGGCTGTTGACTGGCGAACCCCCCGCCTCTGCCGTGAGTGTCCCAGACAATCACCTGAGGGGACAGAGTAGAGTGTCACCTGTGGGCATGCCCTAGGGGTACTGGCAGTCTGTCTAGCATTTACTGAGTACTTAGAATGTACCAAGCACCAACTGCTTTGGGCGTGTTATTCATTGAATTCTTACAACTACCCTTTGAAACAGGGCTATATATTTCCTATTTTACAGTTGAAGAAACAGCCTAGAGAGAGAGATCAAGTAACATGCTCAAGGTTAGTGGAGGAGCCAGGGTTCATCCCTAGAGAGTCCAATGCGAACCCGAGCTCATAGCCACTTTGTTAGAAGAGTCAGGAGCCTAGACCCAGAGCTACCACTCGCAAGCTATGTGACTTCAAACAACTCACCCAACCTCTCTAGGGCTCAATTTTCTTGTGTGAGAAGCAGGAATAGACCTGCCCCCAAGGTTGACTCTGAGGACCAAACTGGGTGATGAATATAGAAGTCCTTTGTCAGCTGAGGTTTGCAGGTCCCATCAGAGGCAGCACAGATGATCAGTTTATTCAGAGTAATGGTGGTCTGCAGATGCTTTTCATTGCACACACCTATCAAGTAAAATCATTTTGTGCACATACATATGCGTACATAGATATGCATCCATAGATATACTCCTCAAGTAAAATATGTAAACAAATTTAAAAATTAATATTTAAAAGATGAAAGAAAATATAAAGAAGGCTAAATTCTTCATTGATTATTTTTTATTTATTCCCACGCACCAAAGGATTTTCCTCGTGCAAGCACCTCACCTTGGGGTGCGATGGCCATTACACAGCCTTGCGCTCTGGGGTCAGACTGACTGAGTTTGGCCCCAAGCTCCACTGAGTTGGCCTGGGACATATTCCTCACACTCTGAGTCTCTTCGTCTGTAATAGAAGGGTGAAGATAACTGCTTCTACCTTGTAGGGTACTGTGAGGTTTAAACAAGGCATTGCATGTACAGCACTTGGCACAGTGCCCTGTGCTAATGTGGGGGTTGTTGTCATTTTTTCATGGACACCCGGTACTGACATGTCCAGAGCCCTGAGGCCTGCAGGCAAGACGCCAAAGGAAGAAGGTGGAGCAGAAGGACACTTGCTGAGGGTCCACTGTGTGCCAGGCCTTGTGCCTATGTGCATTACTTCATTTAATATGCAAGACTAGGGGGAGGTGATTGAGGTGCTTACCTGGGGTACAAAGTTTCAGGGGGCACCAAAAATGCAGTAATCAAGAGAAATAATGTTTCAATATAATATTTCTGTAAAATAAAAATTGCTGTAAAAATACTGTGATGAACAAACTATCAAAGGATCAATAGTATTAATGTTTCCTTTTGTCTCAGTCTCTACTCTGGCTCAGTGGGAGACTGTTAATGATCTTGTCTTTATTTTTAAATTGTAATATTTTATTTATCATGGATATTTTTGCATTAATTTTGATGTTTTAAAAATATTGCATTAAGATAGTATTTATCTTGATTACTGAGATTTTTGGTAGCCCCTTAAATTTCACATCCAAGATGAGCACTTTGCCTTACCCTGGTCCAGGCCCTGGCAGGTCTATGGGGCAGATGTACGTAGCGGTCCCACCTTAGAGGAGGGCACTAAATTTCACTGACGTTAAGTAATTTGGTCCAGTATGCACAGCTGATGAGTGAGGGAGGTGGGATTTGAACTCAGGTCTGACTCTAGAGAGCTGGCTTTTTAATGACTCTTCTCGGCTACCACCCCTTGACTGGGTATACCCTGGAAACCAGAAACTTGGAGATTTTCTAATTTTCTGGTTCAGCCTTCTGAGTCTGCAGATGGAGGGAGAGGCAGGCACGTGCCCCTAGCCACATGGCGGGCCTGTCTCCTGACTCCTAGTGTTCTTTCTGGAGGGTGACCCCAGATGCATTGACCTTGTGGTCTGGGGTGTGCAGTGAGTCGGTGGCTCTCTTCAGACCGTGCCTATGTGTGAAGCATGCTGCTCCTAAGCTTTATCCCAGGTCTATCCGCCTGGCTCCTCATGGCTTTGCTGCTGGCTTTAGGGGTCTCCTGCAAGGTCCCAGGCACACCTCAGTGGACTGAGAATCTGCAGCTGAGGGGCTAGGGGAACAGGGTGTGGTGCTGGGGATGACCACTAGAGGGCAAGCTGAGCTCACGCTTGCGGGAGCTTCTCACAGCTCGGCTGGTGGAAGCGCCTCTGCAGTGCAAGGGGCTTGAAGAAGCCGGGGATGCTGGGGGCTCCCGGTCCCCTTCCCACCGAAGGCTCTTGGAAGACCAGCCTCCATCTTGTGCTTGCATTCCTCTGGGGGCCTTCCGCAACATTTCTGATTAAAACTCCCACTCCTTGGTTCTAATCCTGCTCTTTGGCGCCACACAAAATACACCTGCTTCTTTTCAACATTCATTCGTTTGTTCATTTACTTGACACATCGCTGAGGTGCCTACTGTGTGCCAGTCTTTGAGCCTCGTGCTGTCGGCCCAGAGAGGAGCCATTCTCTTTCCTCCACTTAAGACATCTGCATCCATGACCATTCCCAAATCTTGACATGTGGGAGGCAGGCCAGGCCCAGCACTTGGGGAAGAAGGGAGGCTGGGATGCTGGGAGCCTTGGCTCTGTCTGTCTGTTCCAGGCTCTGGGCTGGCTCTCAGGAAGTTCCTGTTCTCTCTCTTTCAGCGTATGACTGTGACTTCTTTAACAAAGGTAAGCCCCTCCTCCCCACGCAGAGTCTCAGGGGCTCAGGCACTGCCAGCCCTGTCCTGACGCCACACAGCATCAGCCATCCCGAGGCGCTGCTGGCCCTGGAAGAGCCGTGACCCGGAATGGGAGGGCCCCCATCATGCAGAGAGAGCCCTGACAGTGAAGGGCCCAGGGGTGTCCTGCACCTCTATCCTCAGCAGTTCCTGCAGCCCCTGTCCGGGGCCCAGGCAGGCCAGCTCCCGGGGACTGTGCTCGGCAGGGCAGCCCCACCAGGAAGGAAAAACCCCATTCTCACTTATGTGCCAGCTCCTCCGCCTTCATAATCTAGCTCATCAGGCCCACAGAACATCACCTTGGGTTCCCCGAAGATTAGCTTTTGGCAAAAGCAGACACAAACTGCCCTTTCTGACTA
Source organism: Homo sapiens (assembly GCF_000001405.40). NCBI lineage: Eukaryota > Metazoa > Chordata > Mammalia > Primates > Hominidae > Homo > Homo sapiens. Next base: position 17,600,107 of record NC_000011.10, read on the forward strand.
TGGGTGGAACAAAACATGTGGCCTGCCACATTCATCTTCAAACTCAGCCAAGGTTGCAGGGTTCCGGGAGATGCTCTGACATTTAGATTAACGAGGGTGAAAACACAGGTCATAACCAAAGACCCAGGGGAGGTTAATGTCCAGTTTAGAGCCAATTCATCAATTTAATCACTGGGATTGGGTGGGTGGGGTAGAGAAGGGCTGCCCAGGAGTAGTTTTTAGCACCGAACTTCATCCAGTTGGGCCAGGGTCAGACCTTGGTAGAGTGAGATGCTCATCTGGTCCTCAGTGCTGTTCGCCTTTGACTTCCAATCCCCGACCCTCCTCCAGGGACTGTGCTGCCAGGAGCAGGCCTATGTGGGCAGAGGCCCAGACTTTTTGTCCTCAGTTGCCTGCATTATCAGATTTTGGCTTGACTGTGGTGGGTGAAGTGGAAAGGAGAGACTGGAGACAGGATACCATCTGGGGGCCTGCGAGATGACGGCCGGACCAGGGTGTAGCATGAGCATCCGCAGGACTGCAGTTCTGCCAAAATGCTAGTCCCCAGGGGCTCTTGACAGCCCCAGACCTTCAATTGGTAAAGGAATGAGCCTGCAATGGGGGAACTGTGGTCCCTGGGGCAGACAGGATCTGTCTGACATCAGGCAAGGCATTTCAGCAAGATGGAGCTGTTTCGTTTTCTCTCTTCCATGGCATTTTGGGTGGCAGTAACTGGCAAAGGACAAGCTGTTTCTAGCATCTTCCACCTACCCACCCACCCACTCACCCATCCTTGCTCCGTTCTACTAGCATTTGCTCTGGTCCGGGCCCGCCAGGTGTTGGGAAGTCAGTGGTCCCTGAGTCCTGCCACAGCGGTGTGTGGAGCAGGCTCACGCCGCCTCTCTAGCACCTATTGTGTTTCTAACTCCACATTCAGTTGGTAGTTTCCAGTTGACCCCTGGTGGGAGTGTTTACGCCATGGAAATCCAGAAGCCCTACAAACCACTTTTTTTTGTTTGAGATCTCATTGTTAGCCATTTGCCAGCACAGCCAGCACTGCTTGTCTCCCATCTAGTGGGGGTGACAGATGTGGGCCTCCCATCCAGATCCTCATCCGAAGAGCTGTAACTGGTGTGTGCCATGCTCCAAGAGCTGGTGGGGCACAGAGGAGGAGGGACAACATTTGCATGTGGCAGGAGAGGGTGCAGGGAGAGCTTCACAAGGAGGTGACATTTGAGCTGGGCCCCAGAGGTTGAGTAGGCGTTTGTCAGGCACAAAACGGGGAGGACTACTCTGAGTGGGTGGAACGGTGTGATGAGATGTGAGCTGGGAAATAACACCACTGCTCCTTCCAGGAAGAGCAAGAGAAGTTCAGCATGGCAGGAGCCAGGGCGTGGGGGGAGTGGGGGAGGTGGGCAGGGGCTGAGGGCTGAAGGGCTTCTGAATTCAAGCTGGGCTCTTTAGATTCTGTCCTGAGGGCCATGGAGAGCCACTGGTGCGTCCCACCAGGGGGCGTGGCTGGGAGGGCAGCTCAGCAGCCGTGGGGAGGAGGCATTGGGGTGGGGGGTGGGCACAGCAGAGGCAGGAAGATCCTTACAAGGTGATTGTCCAGGAAGCCCATGCTCTGTGCCAACCTATACTGACAACCACAGGAATTCTAAAGACTCAACAGTGACACGTGTTTGAAATAATTAGATAAACACTAACAGGTTTATTGTCCCTCAGGCCTGGGGTGGGCAGAAACCGGGTCTGACGTCTTCTTCCAGAGGGGACCTTGAATAGAGCAGTGGCTGTAATGGTGAAGTTTCAGGCAGTGGGAAGGCTGTGGAGAGACAATGGGGGGCCCAGGTGCTCCCTGTGGGTCGCCTTCTTCCTTGGCTCCCTGTGAAGTGACTCAGGCACTGTGCAGTGGGTCTGTTCCTTTCAGGGGCTGGCAGCCTGGGAATCCTGTCCCTTCCTTCTCAGGGTCATCAAGGTCCCTGAGATCTGGGATGAAGGACACCATCAAGAGTTCCTCCTTGGTAGCTTGCCCTCCCACCCCACTGCTGCCAAGGGGTGGGGCAGGAGGTATGGGAGGTGGGCAGGCCATGGGGCCAGGTTGCTGATGGGGCCTCTTCTCTCCAGTGCTAGGTAAGGGCCCCTATCAGCTATCCAGCTTGGCAGCCGGTGGTGCTCTGGTGGGCATGAAGGCGGTGGGCGATGACATAGTCCTAGTGAGGACAGAGGATGTGGCGCCAGCAGACATTGTGAGCTTCCTGCTGACAGCTGCTCTGTACAAGGCCAAGGCCCATGGTAAGGCCCATCCCAGTCCCACTCCAGCTCTTCTGGGAGGCAGGAGGGTGCTAGAGGAGGGGAGGGTGCTGAGGCCCTAAGTATCTGTAGTGGCCGGAGAAATAGGGGCTCCGACAAGTGCCCCTCTCCCAGTTGAGATGGTGCTTCTGGGTCAGCTTCTTCTCCTCTGCAGAGATGCTCTCCATCTGCTCCCCTAACCGCCAGGGCAGCCAAGGCCCAGGTGTGCCTCTGTACCTTGCTGTATGCAATAGCTGTGTTCCAGAAAAGCCAAGTGGCAGCTCTCCCTCCTCATGCTCCTCCTCCTCCTTCCTCTCTTCCTATCTCACCCTCCCTCCCTCTCTCCCTTCTTCCCTCCTCTCTTCCCTTTCTCCCTCTACCTCTCTTCTTGCCTCCCACCCTTTCACTGAGCCCTAATCCCATGCCAAGCACAGAGCCAGGTACTGGGAAATCAGGGATACAAGAGACAAGGTCCCTGCCCATCAGAAGCCCACAGTCCCATCGAGGAGACAGACGTGCCCAAAGGCGGAACACGGGGGAGGGGGCCCCCAACTCAGTCTTAGAGTCAGGAGAGCCTTGTTAAAATAGAGGATGTTCCCCTAAGAGTAAGAAGGAGTCAGGAAGGGAAACTTCTTTCTTACTTAGTAAGCTAAGCTCAGGATTTGGGACTTTATCCTGAGGGCAATGGGGAGCCATGGAAGGGCTTTGTGGAGGGGAAGGGACGTCCTGGCTCCTGCCCAGCCCCAGGCACAGCCAACATCCCTAGCTATAGGTGATGTTCACGGTGGTGTGAGCCTGGGTGAGGTAGGTGGTACCTGGCAGAATCACGTAGTTGCACAAGGAGGCCTGGGAGTGAGGAGTCAGGCACTGGGCCGCAGGACAGCTAGAAGCACCACCCCCAAAGACAGCACTTCCTCCCTAAACATTTCTGATCCCCAGATCCATGCATTCCTGCCTGACGAAGGGTGTCTCACCACCTTCCAGATGTGGCAGGCCATCTGCTTAGTGAGGCTTTTCTGTTCTCCATCCAGTATTTTAATCTAGTAGGTAATGTGTAGTCCAGAGGGGGTGTTGCCTTTCCACTAGGTTTATGGGCATGCTAAGCAGAACCCCGGAGTCACCTGGCCTTAGAGAACGTCACTGGGGGCAGGATGCCAGAGGGGCTCCAGTCCAGGCTCCGTCTCAGAGTCAGGCCTGGGTCTCATGGGCCCAGTGGGGACCCAAGCTCCTCCCTCTCCCTTCCCATACTGCTTCTCCTGGGCTGTGCCCAGGGTCCTGGGCAGCCAAGGAAAGGTGCCTTCCAGGTGGGACCTAGGGTGGCTGCATGGAGGAGGTGTCCCTTGAGTTGGGCCTTAAAGGATGGGAAAGATGGTTATGCGAAGAAGTGGAGAGCAGGAAACATCACAGAGGGGAGGACTCAGCAGTCACTGAGGCCCAGGCTTCCCGCTCTGGGGAGTCACCACCACAGCCTGACACAGGTCACCGGGGTGCTAGTGTTACCTGAAGATTTTTGTGGTGGGGAGGTTACTTATTTATTAATAATCATACGTTGCCCTTCTGTAGGACTTCTCATGTGCCGGCACTGTTCTAAGCGCTTCATGTATAGCAACTCATTTAATCCTCATGACAATCTTAGGAGGTAGGGACTATTATTTTCCCAATCTACAGATGAGGGAACTGAGGCCCAGAGAGATTAAGTGATTTACCCAAGGGTGCAGTGCTTGTTAGTGACAGGCGCCAGCCGTTTGGCTCCAGAGTCTTTCATTCAAACTCCTCTGCCATGCTGCCTTCCAAACCGAGGCATTAAACAAGAAATACAGAGGATGGCAGGCGAAGTCACTCGAATATTTACAGTACAGCCCCGGACTCTGCATCTCAAGGTCTCTGCCCTGTTAGGAGGACTGCAGGGAAAACAGTGGAGAAGCCTTGATCCGGGCCAACCCCGCCTTCTTGAAGGAGGAAGCCAAGGCCCAGGGAGGAGAAGTGACTTGCCTGAGGTCACGCATCCAGTGGAGCGGGCTGGGGCTGGGACTCAGTGCCCTACCATGCTGGGCTGCCCATGCCCACGCCTGCATCCCATGGGTGGGGCCAGCCATGTGGTGGTGAAGATAGCTGGGCTCTGGTCTCAGCCTGCCTGCATCCAGCCCTGCCTCCCTCATCCGCCGTCAGTGTGACTCTGGGCCTCTCTTCCCTCCTCTGTAAAATGGGAATTGTAATATCACCACCTTTTAACCTCTCATAGAAATTTATTCTCTCTCCACCCCACAGCCCCCAGGATGGTGAGCTCCATGAGGGCAAGAATTTTCATCATTTTGCTCCCTATTGTGGCCTCAGTGCCTAGAACAGGGCCTGGCCCACAGCAGGCACTCAGTAAATATTTGCTGCTGAATGAAGATATTTTTCACTTCACAGGGTTCTCGTAGGAATTTCAAAACCTGCAGGTAACCAGCTTGCTTAGCACAGTGCCTGGCACGTAGCGAGTCATGTGTAAACAGCAGCTGTGATTATTAACATGGATGAAGCCAGTCTCTGTTACCTGCCATCTTCTCGCAGCTTCCCAGGGAGGTGTGACAGGGACACTATCGTCCCTCCTGGGGACACAGGGGACACATGGAAGGGGCTGAAGATGCACCCACCCAGCACCAGGCTGTGCCAGGCGCTTCACACACACCTCGTTGATGATCCCTCCAACAGCCCAGGCATGAATGCGCTTGCCCACATCACAGCCAGGGTGGTGAGCTGGGATTCCCGCCCCATGCTCACTCCCTGTGCCTGCTTGTGGATTTGGGACTTGAGGAGACCCATAAGGCCCTGGGCAGGGGAAACTGCCCACCAGGCATCAAGCCCCCATGCCCTAGAACTGGGCAGTTATGGAGACCAGAGAGAGAGGACAGAGACAAGCTTTGGGTCTCTGGGCAAGCTCCTTTCTCTCTCTCTCTGGGACCCTCTCCCTATCTATGAGTTGGATGAAGGGTTGCCAATGCTGGCCCTGTGGAATTCTGTGAGGAGCAGGACCAAGCTGGGGACCCTATAGCTTGGCAAATCACCAACCTTCAGCGTGCCCCACATGTCTAATGCAATGCAACCCCATCAGGGCAGTTGCCTCTATTGTATTCACTGATGGATCCTGCGTATCTAGAATAGTGCCTGGTACATTGAGGGCACTCAAACATGTTTGCAGAAGGAGGGAAGAATGGAAAGAGGGGTGCAAAGGGGAGGGAAGGAGATAGTTCAATTACCTTCCCGAGGCTTAGCAGCTGGGGGGTCTCTAAGCCTCCGCTCGCCCTCAGGCAGAGATGGTGTGAGGGGCAGCTGGCAGGCAGAGTAGGTGGGCTGGGGGCTGGTGTAGGGGGCAGGGCCTGCTGGTCTGCAGGCGTGCTGCCATCCAGAGTCGCTGAGAGAGCAGATGTGTGCCAGGATGCTGTTCCCGCAGCCACCTGGACCTCTGCCTGTACTGACTCTCCCCATGTGGTTCTCTGCAGACCCAGATGTGGTGTCCCTGGAGGCAGCAGACAGACCCAACTTCTTCCTTCACGTCACAGCCAACGGGTCTCTGGAGCTGGCTAAGTGGCAGGGCCGTGACACCTTCCAACAGCATGCCTCCTTCTTGCTGCACCGGGGGACACGGCAGGCAGGCCTGGTGGCCCTGGAGTCCCTGGCCAAGCCCAGCTCCTTCCTCTATGTGTCGGGCGCGGTGCTGGCCCTGCGGCTGTACGAACACACAGAGGTGTTCCGCCGGGGCACACTCTTCCGCCTTCTGGGTAGGCGACCCCCTGCCATTGCCCTCGGCCCTTTGGCCCTCTCAGTCCACTGCTCTTCCCACCCTGTCCCCACTTCACCCTTCCAATTACCCCTAAGAAGCAGAATCCTCCTTCTCCTGGCACAGGGGCCACATGGGTGCCACCCTGAGATGAGAGGTGGCCCAGCCTCCATGTTGACAGCTTAGGGAGCCACGGACAGTGTGCTTGGGGTCCAGCCAATTTCCTGGGTCCTGCCTTCTGCCACAGGCCAATTACACTGTCTAAAAATATAGCAGCCTTTGTGGAAGTGAGGGGAGGTGTGATCCTGGCTGCAACATGCGTAGCCGCTGGCTCAGTTTTCTTGCTGATGAGGTCACATGTCTGCCCCATGAGTTCAAAGACTGCACAAGGGGGATAGGTCTGGGGGCCAGCAACCTCCTCTCTCAATGGAAGGCCCAAGCCCCTGGACAGGGATGGGGCAACTCCCCGACCTTCCACCAACGCCAAGGGGATCCAGGGCCTGCCCTGCCAGGTGTGTCTGTCCCCAAAATATTGTTCTCTGCCTAAACCCTGGAGAAGGCGATCATAATTTCTTCACTGTTTTCTCTGTCTTGCATGGGGCTTGGGGGTACCTGTGTCTGTGGGTGGATCCATTTGCATGTACACGTATGTAAATGTGTCTTCAGCCAGCCTCCTTATTTCATCACCCACCCCACCCAAGCCAGGGCTGGGTGAGCTCATTCTTCCCTTCAGCGGTCAGTTATCGAGTCTGCCCTTAAACTTGACATGGGACAGATTTATCACTGGCCATGATGACAAGACTTGCTCATGATGGGAGTATTTGTGTCCCTCTCCGGAAGACACTAGGGCAGAGTGGCATGAGCCCAGGCTTTGAAGCTGGACAGCCTTGAGTTCAAATCCTGACCCTGGTCCTAGACCCTTGGAGGAGAACCCTCATCTCCTTGACTTGGTTTCTTCACCTGTAGAATGGGGATATTTGTCTCGGAAGTGTGCTGTGAGGACTGGCTGTGTCTCGCGGGCTTTGCCTTGTGCTGGCACATAGTAGGTGCTCCCCAAATGTAAGTTAGACTTTTGGAAAAGCAGGTTTCTTTACAGCTGGCAGCAGTGTTCAGGTTAGGGCGTCTGGAGGAGCTGCCGGTGGGGGATGCTCCCTGGAGCCTGCTTCGGAGCCTACCCACACCTCCCTGTTCAGGCTGTGTGTTCAGAAACTGGTCACTTGTGCCAAGGTAGCCTGGGGTCTACTTGTCTGCCTCCAAGCCCCCCATAGGCTGCAGACTTTTCCCTCATTTGCCAAGGTGCTAGCCACAGGGCCTCTTTTGAGAACATCTCCTCTGAAAACCTTTCACTTTCTCAGCATCATCTGTGCCTGGGTTTCCTCTTCTCTAAAGTGGGGGTAATAATAGCGCCTACTTCCTAGGACGATGATGAGGTTGAATGAGTAAATCCGTGTGAGATATTTTGGGTAGCGCCCAGTGCTGTTTAAGAGTTAGCCCAGCCGCCAGGGCAGTGAGGGTGGTGCTCACACGACCTGCACTCTCAGGCCCTTCAGGGGCCCTCTGGGAACAGAGAGGGCTGAGTCGGGGGAATAACACCTCCCTTGCAAGCTCTCTGGGGCTAGGTGCCCAGGAACGCTTTGGGCTAGAGGGGAAGGGATCCCCCAGTGCCTCCCCTCACCCTGCAAAGGAGAGCCTCTTGCCTCCATGGAGGTCTGCAATAGCCCTGCTAGAGACAAGGCAAGGAGGAGGTTACTGTGTCCTGGGATGCAGGGCAAGCCTGAGCACCAGGGTCCCAGAGGGGCAGGGTGGGTGGCAGGGCATCCCAAGGGAGAGATCAGGGGTCCAGGCCTCTTCTTCGGTCACCCTTCGAAACCTCACTCCAACTGCCGGGGCCAGAGCTTCCCTGTCCTCAGTTCTTCCCTGTCCTCAGTCCTTCCCTGTCCTCAGTCCTGCATTCAGCTCCCAGAGCCCCGTCCCCAGGATCCCCCAGGCACTCACCCCAACCACCATGAACGCAGTTTCTCCTTAGTGTGGTTTTTTCCCCATTTGCTTTCCCTGCATGGGTCCATTTGTCCCCTCCACAGGATGGGGGGCAGGGCTGAGCTCTGGGACTCCCTCTGTGTCTTCACCTGACCCAGAGTTGCTGCCCCATCTCACTTTCTAGATGCCAAGCCCTCGGGGGCTGCCTACCCCATCTGCGAGTGGCGCTACGATGCCTGTGCCAGCCCCTGCTTCCAAACCTGCCGGGACCCACGGGCAGCCAGCTGCCGGGACGTACCCAGGTGAGATGCCAGGGGCTGTGGGCATGGAGCCAAGGTGTGTGCACTAGTGTGTGTGTGCACTCACATACACTTGTGTATGAGTGTTTCATATGTTGAGTGTATGGGGATGTGTGTACCACGGTAACTGTGTCTTTCCGTATATGCACATATGTCAGCATATGTGACTATCTATTTGTGCATGATGTGCATGCAGCAGAGCCTTGCGTGTGTTTGTGCGTGTACTACTACAACTGTGCATTCGTTGTACACAGCTGCATGTATGCAGGTGTTGTGTGCAGCTGTGTGCATGTGTGAGGGTGTATTCACTGATTTTTGTGGGAGTCTCTGTGGATGTGTTTGCATGTATATGTAAAAATTTTGGAGTCCTGCAGGGTTGGAGGGGGTACATGAGGCCATGTGAGAATGTGCCCAGGCAGAGACACATGTGAACATGTACATGAGTGTGTGCAGAAGTGTACCTTGCTCGTGTGTGTGTTTCCCTCTCGGTCTGAGGGGTAGAAGTGTGCAGGAGTGTGCCGCATACACATTGGGTGTGTGTGCTCCTGTACATGTGTGACAGCATCTCTATGGAGGGTCATGTGTGTGTACACGTAATAAGCACATGTGTGCACGCACATGTGTCATAAGAAAGGATAAGGCCTGTGCTCAATCGAGAGAAAAAGAGATGGCCCTGCCTGTATTTCAGGCCTTTAAACTGCTCCCTGCTCTGTCCTCAGGGTAGAAGGCTGTGTCCCTGTGTGCCCCACCCCCCAGGTCCTGGATGAAGTCACACAGAGATGTGTCTACTTGGAGGACTGTAAGTGGCCCAGACTTCTCATCCTTCCCTCAGATTTCCTCTAAGTCCCTAGGGTCTCACTGAGCAGTCATGCCTCAAAGCTCCCAGGTCCCAGAGAAGCAAGATCAGCACAGGGACCTTTGGAAAGAGGCACAGGCACAGGGGATGCAGAGGCCTCATCCGGTCTATTCGCCCCATTTCACAGAGAGGAGAAATGAGGCCCAGAGTGGGGTCACATGGTGAGAAGGTGGTGCAGCCAGACTTAGACCTGAGGTCTCTTGGTTCTGGGGTCAGGGTCTGACGTCTGGGGCGGAGTCCAGACCTGCTGACATCTGGCCGTTAGAAGCTGCCCTCACCCCATCACCGAGAGTGCCAGTCCTCAAGCCTCACACCACAGCCCTGCCCAGCAATGACCCCCGGGGCAGCAGTCACCCCGCCTTCTGAACCTCTTCTTTTGTCTCCGCAGGTGTGGAGCCAGCAGTTTGGGTTCCCACAGAGGCCCTTGGCAATGAGACCCTCCCTCCCAGTCAAGGGTTGCCCACTCCCAGTGATGAGGAGCCACAGCTGTCACAGGAAAGCCCCAGGACCCCCACCCACAGGCCAGCCCTCACCCCAGCTGCCCCACTCACCACAGCCCTGAACCCACCAGTGACAGCCACTGAGGAGCCAGTGGTGTCTCCAGGCCCCACCCAGACCACCCTGCAGCAGCCACTGGAGCTCACTGCATCTCAACTCCCCGCCGGCCCCACGGAGTCCCCAGCCAGCAAGGGAGTGACTGCCAGCCTCCTGGCCATCCCCCATACACCAGAGTCCTCATCCCTCCCTGTTGCACTGCAGACACCCACACCTGGCATGGTGTCAGGTGCCATGGAGACAACAAGGGTGACTGTGATCTTTGCAGGAAGCCCTAACATCACAGTCTCCTCCCGGTCGCCCCCTGCCCCTCGCTTCCCGCTCATGACCAAGGCTGTGACAGTCCGAGGCCATGGCTCCTTGCCTGTTAGGACGACACCCCCACAGCCCTCCTTGACAGCAAGTCCCTCCTCCAGACCTGTGGCTTCCCCTGGAGCCATCTCCAGGTCCCCCACCTCCTCGGGATCCCACAAGGCTGTGCTGACACCTGCAGTAACTAAGGTCATAAGCAGGACAGGGGTCCCCCAGCCCACCCAGGCCCAGAGTGCTTCAAGTCCCAGCACCCCTCTAACTGTGGCTGGAACAGCAGCAGAACAGGTTCCTGTCAGTCCCCTTGCAACCAGGAGCTTGGAGATAGTGCTATCCACAGAGAAGGGCGAAGCCGGGCACAGCCAGCCCATGGGCTCGCCTGCCTCCCCACAGCCACACCCACTCCCCTCTGCACCACCCCGCCCAGCCCAGCATACCACCATGGCCACCAGGTCTCCAGCTCTGCCCCCAGAGACCCCAGCTGCCGCCAGCCTGTCAACAGCCACTGATGGGCTGGCAGCCACACCCTTCATGTCCCTTGAGTCAACTCGTCCCTCCCAGCTCCTCTCTGGCCTGCCTCCCGACACCAGCCTGCCCCTGGCCAAGGTGGGCACATCTGCCCCAGTGGCCACACCCGGCCCCAAAGCCTCTGTCATCACCACTCCACTCCAGCCACAGGCCACGACTCTGCCTGCTCAGACACTTAGCCCAGTACTGCCTTTCACTCCAGCAGCAATGACCCAGGCGCACCCACCCACTCACATAGCACCCCCAGCAGCAGGCACAGCTCCAGGCCTGCTGCTGGGAGCCACATTGCCAACCTCTGGAGTCCTGCCTGTGGCTGAGGGCACGGCCTCCATGGTATCTGTTGTCCCACGAAAGAGCACCACAGGGAAGGTGGCCATCCTATCCAAGCAAGTGTCTCTGCCCACTTCCATGTATGGTTCTGCAGAGGGTGGGCCCACAGAGCTCACGCCTGCTACGAGCCACCCTCTCACGCCCTTGGTGGCTGAGCCCGAGGGAGCCCAGGCAGGCACAGCTCTGCCAGTGCCCACATCCTATGCCCTGAGCCGTGTCTCAGCCAGGACGGCCCCCCAAGACAGCATGCTGGTTCTGTTGCCTCAGCTGGCTGAGGCCCATGGAACCTCGGCAGGGCCTCACCTGGCAGCAGAGCCGGTGGACGAGGCCACCACAGAACCATCTGGGCGCTCAGCCCCAGCCCTGAGCATCGTAGAGGGTTTGGCGGAGGCTTTGGCAACTACCACTGAGGCCAATACATCCACCACCTGTGTTGTGAGTGATTTGCCAGGGTTCTGGCCACCCGTATGTGACCCTTCCCTTCATCCCTTCCTCTTCCCTGCTAGATGGAGTTTTAGTCGCTATCCTCATACCTGCCCCATGCTCCTGGTCCCTGAAAAATTCTTCAGTCTCCTATTGGCCCCTGATGCCATAGCAGGGTTCCGCCTGGCCCATCTAGGCCCTGGGGGGCTGATTGGATGGCCTAGTGTGATGCCCAGGTGACAATGTGTGTGTGCTAGTGTGTGCCTGTGTGAGACTGCTGTGTGTGTTTGTGTTCACATGTGTGAGAAAATATGAGCGCTCCTGTATCTGCATGTGCTCTTGTGTGTGTGAGGAATGGTGTTTGAGACATCCTCATGTGCATCTTTGTGCCTTTGTGAGAAACTGTGTGTGTGTGTGTGTGTGTTTGTGTGTATAGGCTTGTGCAAGTATGCTAGGGTTTCTGTGAGTGTGAGCTAGTGTGTATACATGCCTGTGTACCCAGACCTCTCAGCGCAGGCCAGGCAGATCTGCAGAGGTCTCAGGGAATAGGTCCCTGACCCCCGAGCTCACACTAAGTGCATCGCCAGGCCCCACATGGCTTGTGGTGGGTAGGGGGTGAGGGCCTCTTTCCCTAGAAGGTCCCCTGCCCCGCTAGGACCTACATGTGGGAAGGATCTGGTGCCATCACAGCTTGCAGGGTGGGCTGTAGCTCCTTGATGGTCACTCACACTTCCTCCACTCTGTACCCAGCCAATCGCCGAGCAGGACTGCGTCCGCCACATCTGCCTGGAGGGCCAGCTGATTCGCGTGAATCAGTCCCAGCACTGTCCCCAGGGTGCTGCTCCCCCTCGCTGTGGGATCCTGGGCCTCGCCGTGCGGGTGGGTGGGGACCGCTGCTGCCCACTCTGGGAGTGTGCCTGTGAGTCATGGGATCAGCGGAGCCTCCTGCATCCTCCCTGTATCCTTACCCCAGCATGACCGCCATCCCTGATCTGTGTGTCCCAGACTCCCCTCCTGTGGGACCCCGACCTGGCAGATTTCCTACGCTTGTGACCTCTGATCTGTGTGATGCGTGGTCTGAGCCACCCTCCAGACCCCAGGCCTCTGCATCCATCCAGGAAAAGGGCCAGGAACCTGCCCCATCTTCCTAGGCGGCCTTGGTCTTGGAGGCATCCACCTATTCTTCTTGTGCCCTGCCCCTCCCCCAGGCCGGTGCTCAATCTTCCCTGACCTGAGCTTCGTGACCTTCGATGGGAGCCACGTAGCTCTGTTCAAGGAGGCCATCTACATCCTCAGCCAGAGCCCAGATGAAATGCTCACCGTCCATGTACTGGACTGCAAAAGTGCCAACCTGGTGCCTGCCCCATACCTCCCTCCCTGCTGGGGACTAGGAATGGGACTAGGATAAGAGGGGAGACGGAGCAGTGAGCCAGGGTACCAGAGGCAAAGACAGATGTGGAAGCCCCCCTGAGCTCCCTCTGTCTCCAGGAATGGGCAGGGCCTCCCAGGTGATGGCTCCCTTGGAGGCTGGGGAAAGAATTGAGTGGAGTGTGCCACCTCCTGGCCCCAGCCTGTCCCATTCCCAGCTTGTGCCAGCTTCCTGCCATGTAGGAGGGATGGCACAGTAGTGCAGAGGAGCTGGGATGCCACTGCAATGGTGTGGCCCGAGGTCATGGGTGCTGGCTGCAGGGAATCTCCTACTAGGATGTCCCCATAAGTCAGGTGGAAAGAGGTAGCTTCTTTCTCTTCTCTTCTCCCTTTTCTTTCTTTCTTTCTTTCTTTCTTTTCTTTCTTTCTTTCTTTCTTTCTTTCTTTCTTTCTTTCTTTCTTTCTTTCTTTCTTTCTTTCTTTCTTTCTCTCTCTGTCTGTCTTTCTCCTTCTTTCTTCTCTCTTCTTTCCCTCCCTCTCTGCCCTGCCCTTCCTTCCTTCCTTCCTTCCTTCCTTCCTTCCTTCCTTCCTTCCCTCCTTCCTTCCTTCCTTCCTTCCTTTTTTTCTGTTTTGGTCTGGGCTTGCATGAGGTCAGATGGAGCCGCAACAGTTCCATGCAATCCTGGGCACCATCAGCCCAGCCTGATGGGAGCCCCTGGCATAGTGCAGGGGGTAGTCAGGGGAGACTGTACTCACATTTGCTGTGCCCACTCACTTGGAGGGGGACAGAGGACAGGGCTCCAAGTTGATGAGGGCTGGGTTCTCTCTGCAGGGGCACCTGAACTGGCCCCCGTTCTGTCTGGTGATGTTGAACATGACTCACTTGGCCCATCAGGTCACTATTGATCGCTTCAACCGAAAGGTGAGTGCATCAAACAGCCAGCCTCCAGGGCAGGGCCACAGTCAGCTGAGGGACAGGGCATCCAGGGGTGGAGGGGCTGTGAGGCTGAATCATGATTCAGGGCAGGGGTGGGGAGGGGACCTTTTTTTAGAAAATAATGCAAAATTAGGTATATTTGGAAGTGATTATAATTAGAATGCTTGTGGCCACACCAATGTCAGGGGAGGAAGTATACCAGGAGGAATGGGATATTGTTGTGACAGAGAAAAAGTCGGAAAGGCAAAGAGACAGTGGGTTTAAATATTTATGGCTAAAATATCTCACTTTTGCAATTTTCACAAAAACCTATGACCACATGAACACATTACTACCAGGACCCCTACCAGGAAGTGAGGAGCCGTGAATTTAAGCTTCACTGGCTTCACTAAGTTCACCTCTGTCAAGGAGGCCGGGGTATCCAACAACAGCCCACCCCCATATGGGCATCCTCTCCAGAGGGCCCACCTTTGCTCCTCCCAACAGGTGGGCAAAGGGTACTGATCTGTCTCCTCCTCAGGTCCCAAAGTTGTGAGTCTGCCCCCAATTCCTGAGCCTTGATCTGCAGCCTTCCTTTTGGAATCTGCCCTTGAACACAGGGTGCGGCACATTTGTGGTGCTCTTAGGAGCGGGGTTTCGGACAGTAGGTTTCCTATGGGATGGAGGCTTGAACAGAAAACTCCCTGAGTTTCGTTTCTTAGTTTATAAAATTTTTCCATTAAAAAATTAACATATAATCTACATGCAGTAAAATTTACCGTATTTAGTATACAATTCTACAAGTTGCAACAAGCACCCACAGTCATGTAACTACCACCTCCAACCAGGATATAGAACAGTTTTACCATCCCAAACACTACCTCCTGCCTCTTCATTGTCAACCCCTCCCCCCTCCTGCTGACAACCATTGCCCGCTGCCCCTATAGTTATGCCTTTTCCAGAATGTCATATAAATTGACCAGAGTATATGGTGACATTCATCCACATTGTTGCACAGATCAGTAGTTCAATCCTTTTTATTGATGAATAGTATTCCATTGTATGTATGTACCATAGTTTATTTATCCATTAACCAGTTGAAAGATATTTGAGTTGTTTCCAGTTTGGTACAATAACAAATAAAGTGGCTATAAACAGTTACATACAGGTTTTGTGTAGATAAAGCCCCCAGGAGTAGATTCCCGTGTTGAACAGGAAGGATGTATTTAGCTTTACAATACTTGCCAAACTGTATTCCAGAGCAGGCATTTAGCATTCCCACCAGCAATGGATGAGAGCTCCAGGAGCTTTGCATCCTTGCCAGCACTTGGTGGCACGTGTTTGTTTGTTTGTTTAGTCATTCTAATAAGTGTCAAATAGAACCTCATTTTGGTTTTAATTTGCGTTTTTCTGCTTACTGATGATGTTGAGCATCTTTCCATGGGTTTATTTTCCATGGTATATGCTCTTTGGCAAAGTATCTGTTCAAGTCTTTTGCACATTTTAAAGATCATGTTGTTCTATTGAGTTTTGAGAACTTTTCCTGTGTATTTTGGACACAAGCCTTTTATCACATATAAATCTAATTTTCCAGTCTGTAGAGTGTTTTTCCATTCACCTACTAGTGTCTTTCGAAAGACAGAAGTTTTTTTATTTTGATGGTGTCCAGTTTATCAGTTTTTTCTTTTATGAATCATGATACTGGTGTTGTACTTGATGAACCTTGCCCAAAGTCACACAGAATCTCTCTTATGTTTTCTTCTAGAAGTTTTATAGTTTTAGGTATTACTTTTATGTGTATGTTGCATTTTAGGTTAATTTTTGTAAATGGTACAAAGTATGAGTTGAGGTACATTTTTCAAATGTGAATACTCAATTTTTCCAGCACCATTTTTCGAAGAGACTATTCTGTCTCCATTGAATTGTCTTTGAACCTTTATTTAAAAACCAACTGGCCAGGCACAGTGGCTCATGCCTGTAATCTCAGCAGTTTGGGAGGCCGAGGTGGGCGGATCTCAAGGTCAGGAGTTTGAGACCAGCCTGACCAACATGGAGAAACCCCTTCTCTACTAAAAATACAAAATAAGCTGGGCGTGGTGGCACGCACCTATAATCCCAGCTACTCGGGAGGCTGAGGCAGGAAAATCACTTGAACCTGGGAGGCGGAGGTTGCGGTGAGCTGAGATTGCACCATTGCACTCCAGCCTGGGCAACAAGAGTGAAACTGTCTCAAAAAAAAAAATTAATGTTTGGGATAATTTATATGCTTTTTATTTTGTCCTATTAATCTATCCTTTCACTGATGCTACAGTGTCTTGATTACCATTACTTATTATTAAACCTTAAAATTAGGTGGTATTGTTTTGTCTGTTCTTTTTTTTAGAGACAGGGTCTTTCCCTATCATCTAGACTAGAGTGTGGTGGTGCAATGATAGCTTACTGCAGCCTCGATCTCCTGGGCTCAGCAATCCCCCCACCTCAGCCTCCCAAGTAGAGGACAACAAGTGTATGCCACCATGCCTAGCTAATTTTTTAATTTTGTATAGAGATGGGGTCTCACTATGTTGCCCAGGCTGGTCTCAAACTCCTGGCCTCAAGAGATCCTCTTGCCTCAGCCTCCCAAAGTGCTAGAATTACAGGCGTGAGCCACCGTGCCTGGCCTAGCTATTCTAATTCCTTTAACTTTTCATAGAAATTTAGAATCAGCTTTTTGATTTCTACCAAATGTCTTCCTGGAATTTTGAGTTGCATTCAATATATAGATTATTTGGGAGAAGAATAAATCTTAACACTGGTGAGTCTTCCAGTGCATGAACATGGTTCATCTCTATTTTTTTATGGCTTCTTTGATTTTTTTATTTGTGTTTTGTAGTTTTTAGTGTAAGGATCCTATACATATTTGATAGGCTTATTCCTAAGTAGTTTATATTTTTTGGTGCTATTGTAAGTAATTGTGTTGTTTTTGTTTCACTTTCCAATTGCTTATTACTAATGCAAATACAGCTTATTTTTGCATATTGAGCTTGTATCTTGCAACGTTACTAAGCTCAGTTATTAGTTCTTAAATTCTTTGGGTTTTTCTACATAGACAATTATGTCTTCTCCAAACAGAGACAGTTTTATTTCTTCCTTTCCAATGAGTATGCTTTTAATTTATTTTCTCTCACCTATTGCACTGGCTAGGACCTCTAGTGTGATGCTGAATAAGAAAGGTTGAGAGCAATCATCCTTGTCTGATCTTAGGGAGAAGGCATTCAGTCTTTCACTGTAAGGCATGATGTTAGTTGTAGGCTTTTCACAGATGTCCTTTATCAGGTTAAGAACATTTTCTTTTATTCCTAGTTTTCTGAGAGATTTTATTACCAGGAGTAGATGTTGAATTTTGTCAAATGCTTTTTTCTGCACCTATTTGGATAATCACATTGTTTTTCTTTTTCACATTATTAATTTGATGAATTACATTGATTTTTGTGTGTTAACCCAGTCTTGCCTTCCTGGAATTTACTTCATTTGTTATATTATCCTTTTTATATATTGTTGTATCCTTATGATAGGTATTAGTCTAAATTTTCTTTTCTTGTAATATGATAGTTTACTATTGGTAGCAGAGTAATGCTGGCCTCACATAATGAGTTGGAAAGTATTCTCCCCTTTTTAATTTTCTGGAAAATTATATGTAGACTTGGTAATATTTATTCCTTAAACATTTGGTAGAATTCAACAGTGAAGCCATCTGAGCCTGGATTTTTCTCTGGGGAGATTTTAAAACACACGTTCAATTTCTTTAGTAGGTGTAGAGCTATTTTGTTTATATATTTCTTCTTTGGTAAATTTGGGTAGTTTGCATCTTTCATAGAATTTGTCCATTTCATCCAAGTTGTTAAATTTATAAACATTAAGTTGTTCATCATATATTCTTGCTATACTTTTAATTTCTGTAGGATCTGAATCTATGTGCCATATCTAATTCCTGACATTAGTTATTTGTGTCTTCTCTCTTTTCCCTGACTAGCCTGGCTAGAGGCTTATCAAACTTACTGTCCTTCTCAAAGAATGGCTTTATTGGTTTTCTCTATTATTTTTATATTTTCTATTTCATTGATTTCTGCTATCTTTATTATTTTCTTTCTTCTGCTTACTTTAGGTTTAATTTACTCTTCTTTTTCTAGTTTGTTAAGGAAGAAGCCTATGTCATTAATTTGAGAACTTTCTTCTTCTTCTATTTTTTTTTTTTTGAGACAGAGTCTCACTCTGTCGCCCAGGCTGGAGTGTAGTGGTGTGATTTCGGCTCACTGCAAGCTCTGCCTCCCTGGTTCACACCATTCTCCTGCCTCAGCCACCCGAGTAGCTGGGACTACAGGCACCAGCCAATTTTTTTTGTATTTTTAGTAGAGACGGGGTTTCACCGTGTTAGCCAGGATGGTCGCGATCTCCTGATCTCGTGATCCACCCGCCTTGGCCTCCCAAAGTGCTGGGATTACAGGCGTGAGCCACCATGCCTGGCCTCTTTTTCTAATATAAGCATTTAGTGCTACAATTTTCCCTGTACGTATTGATTTAACTGCATCCTACAAGTTTTGATATGCTATGTTTTCTTTTTCAATCAGTTCAAAATACTTTTAAATATCCCTTTTGATTTTTATTTGACCCATGAATTAAGGGTTTTGTTTAATCTTCAAATATTTTATGATTTTCCAGATGCCTTTCTGTTACAGATTTCTAATTTAATTTCATTGTGTTCATAAGACATAATTTGTCTAACTTGAATTCTTTTACATTTAGTAAGATTTATTTTATGTCCGAGAATATGCTCTAAGTAAGTGTGTATTTTATTATTGGGTGGAGTGTTCTATGAATGTTAATTAGGTCAAATTGGCTGATAGTGTTGTTCAAGCCTTCTAAATTCTTACTAATTTTCTATCTGTTTATTCTCAGTTACTGAGAGAATGTTGAAATATCTGACTGTAATTGTTTATTTGTCTATTTCTCTTTGGAGTTTTATCAGTTTTTTTATTCACATATATTGAAATTCTGTTATTTAGGTGCATAACATGCAGGATTGTTATGTCCTTTTGATGAATTAACTCTTTTATTCTTAGGAAATGGCCATTTTATCCTGGTAAAACTCTTTGTTCTGAATTCCACTTTGTCTGACTTGCCTGTAATAACTTCTCCAGCTTTGTTTTGATTGGTTTTAGCGTGTATACCTAATATGTATATCTAAGATGTATCTTTTTTAATCCTTTTACTTTAACCTGTTTGTGGCTTTTTATTTAAAGTGGGATTTTTGGCCGGCATGTAGGCTCATGCCTGTAATTTCACTTTGGGAGGTTGAAGCAGGTGGACTGCTTGAGCCCAGGAGTTCGAGACCAGCCTGGGCAATATGGCAAAACACAATCCCTACTAAAAATATATATATTAAAAAATTAGCCAAGCATGGTGGCACATGCCTGTAGTTCCAGCTATGCAGGAGGCTGAGGTGGGAGAATCACCTGGGCCCAGGAAGTTGAGGCTGCAGTGAGCCGTGATTGCACGACTGCACTCCAGCCTGGGTGACAGGAGTGAGGCCCTGTCTCAACAAACAAACAAACAAATAAAAGTGGGACTTTTGCAGGGGGTAAATAGTTGAGCCTTCAGTTTTTAAAGATCCAATCTGACAATCTCTTCCTTTTAATTGGGGATGTTTATACCATTTATGTTTAATTTGGTCCTCAACATAGTGATGTTTATATATTGTTGCTATTTATTTTCTATTTGTGACATCTGTTCTTTGTTCCCTCCTTCCTTTTTTTGCCTTCTTTGGATTGTTTTTAATGACTCCATTTCATCTCCAATGTTGGATTATTGTCTGTACTTTTTTTTTCTCCTTCAGTGGTTGCTTTAGATATTACAGTATGTAATTTTACTTTGTCACAGACTAGCTACAAATAATATTATATTGCATCATATATACCATAAGAACTTTATAACAGTATACTGCTATTTCCTTTCACCAAGCCTTTGTGTTATTGTCATAAAATTTACTTCTATAATTATTATAAACTCCACAGTAAATTGTTATTATTTTTCCTTAAGCAGTTATCTTCTAAAGAGATTTTTAAAACAAGGAAAGTTTATATTTAACCACATATTTACCATTTTGTGCTTTTTATTCCTTTGTGTAAATCTAGATTTGCATCTGGTATCATTTTTCTTCTGCTCGAAAGACTTCCTTTAACACTTATGTAGTACAGATCTACTGGTGATAAATTCTTTCAGCTTTTGTTTGTCAGAAAAAGTCTTGGTCTTTCCTTCATTTTTAAGAGATACTTTCACTGGGTATAGAATTATAGGCTGATATTTTTTTCTTTCAGTACTTTATAAGACGTTGCTCCTGTCTTTTTTTTATTGAGGAGAAATTGACAAAACATAAAATTAAGCATTTTAAAGTGAACAATTCAATGGCATTTAGTACATTCACAATATTGTGCAACCATTGCCTCTGTATAGCTCCAAAACATTTTCATCACCCCAAAAGGCAACCCCATACCCATTAAGCAGTTTCTTCATAGTCACCTCTCCCCACAGCCCCTGCCAACTACCAATCTGCCTGTTGCCTCTGGATTTACCTATTCTGAATATTTCATATAAGTGGAGTCAGACAATATCTGACCTTTTGTGTCTGGCTTCTTTTACTGAGCTCCATGTTTTGGGGGTTCATCCACATTGAAGCATGTATCAATGCTTCATTTATTTTTATGGCTGGAATAATATTCCATTGTATGTATATACCACAGTTTGTTTATCCATTCATTATTGATGGGCATTTAAGCTATTTCCATATTTTTGGCTATTTTGAATAGTGCTGTTATGAAGTTCCACTATCTTTTATCTTGCTTATTTCTGGTAAGAAATCTGCTGTCATTCTTTGTTCCTTCATACATAATGTAGTTTTTTTCTACCCCTTTTTGCTGCTTTTATGATTTTCCTTCTATAGTTGTTTTTAAGCAATTTGGTTATGATAGGCCTGGTAATTCATTTCTCTTTTGGGGACTTCAATTACATGTGTTTTAGGATACTTGAAGTGGACCCACAGATCACTTATGCTCTCTGCTCATCATTCTCTTGGGTCTTTTTTAATTCTGTGCTTCATTTCAGATAGTATTTATTGCTCTAAGTTCATTAATCTTTTCATTTATAGTGTCTAAACATATTAATTCCATTCAGTGGTTTTCATCTCAGACATGATATTTTTCATCTGCACAAGTTTGATTTGGGTCTTTTTATATCATGAACATCTCACCTTCTTCTGTTTTCCTCTATTTCTTGAGCACATATAGTTAAAACAATTTTAAAAATAATTGTTTGTATTTCCTTGTCTACCGTGTGTGTCATTTCTCAGTCAGTTCTGATTGATTTTTTCTTTCATTATAGGTTGTATTTTCCTGCTTCTTTGCATGCCTGACAATGTTTTTAAATTGAATTCCAGACATTGTGAGTTTTGCCTTGTTGGATGCTGGATATTCTTTCATTTTATTTTTGAAAATATTCTTGAGCTTTGTAGTAGTTATGCTACTTGGAAACAGTTTGATCCTTCTGAGGCTTGCCTTTAAGCTTTGTTAGGTAAAGCCAAAGTAGCCTTTATTCTGAGTGTGATTTTATTCTTTATCCTACATACCAATTCCCTGCTACTAAAGCAACACCCTTCTGCATACCCTACCCTATACTCTACATATTAGGAGGTTTTTCTACTATTCTCAGCCCTGTGCTAGCTCTGTGGATTTTTCTGTCTGTTTCTCTCAGGTGGTTCTTTCCCTAGTCTCAGGTAGTTTTCTCACCTGCATACATTGATCAATATTCAGCTGAAAATTCAGGACAGGGTCAGGACAGGGTTGGAGGGGGATTCTGCAAAGCTTCAGAGCTCTCTCTCTCTCTCTCTCTGTCTGCCATGCAAACTCTAGCTACCTTGGCCTTTGTGAATGTCTATCTCTTGTCTTCTAAACTCTAGGAAACCACCAGGCTCTACCTGGGTTCCTGCTCCCTGCACTGCAGCCCCTAAACTCTCTAAGTAATAACCTTGGACAATCATAAGGCTTGCCTCATTTGTTTCCATTTTTTGTTTTCAGGGATCACTCTCCTGCATTGCCAACTGTTCACGTTGGAAAACTGTTGTTTTATATATTTTGTCAGTTTGTTTGATCATTTAAGGCAAGAGGGTAAATCCAGTTCCTATTACTCCACCTTGGTTAGAAATGGAATTCTAAGTCCTTCGTTTTTAACCTTTTATTCTTTGTCCTTGCATGGAGTCCTATGAATGCAGGCGAGGCTCCTCTCTGGGCTTCAGGTATGTATGTTTACTCCCAGAACTCAGAGACTGCTCATGGATCATGAAGCCCAATCCTCTGTCTGTACAAATAGGAAGGCTCAGGCTAGGAGAGCCAGGGGCTTTCCTAGGGTCACAAAGTTTTCTTTGTGACTCCTGGGCTGAGGCTCCCTCTACATAATAGTTCATGTGCTGCATAATTTGCTGCATAAAACAGTCTAATCCTTTTTTAATTTTTAATTTTTATGGGTAGATAGTAGGTATATATATTTGTGGGGTACATAAGAGATTTTGACACAGGCATTCAATGTGTAATAATCACATCACGTAAAATGGGATATCCCTCCCCTCAAACATTTATCCTTTGTGTTACGAACAATCTAATTATATACTCATTTATTTATCTTTAAATGTATAATTAAATTACTATTGACTGTAGTCACCCTGTTGTGCTATCAAACACTAAGTCTTACTCATTCTTTTTAATTTTTCTTTTTACTCATTAATCATTCCCATCTCTTCCTCAACCCCTCCACTACCCTTCCCCTGTGTCCGTGAGTTCAATTGTCTTGGTTTTTAGATCCCACACTTGAGTGAGAACATGTTAGGTTTGTCTTTCTGTGCCTGCTTATTTCATTTAACATAATGACCTCCATTTTCACCCATGTTTTTGTAAATGACAGAATCTCATATTATTGTGGCTGAATAGTACTCCATTGTGTATAAGTACCACATTTTCTTTATCCATTCATCTGCTGATGGACATTTACATTGCTTCCAAATCTTAGCTATCGTGAACAGTGCTGCAACAAACATGGGAGTGCAGATATCACTTCGATATACGGATTTCCTTTCTTTTGGGTGTATACCCAGATTGCTGGATCATATGGTAGCTCTATTTTTAGTGTTTTGAGGAACCTCCAAACTGTTCTCCATAGTGGAGAACTAATTTACATTCCCACCAAAAGTGTGAGGGTTCCCTTTTCTCCACATCCTCACCAGCATTTGTTATTTCCTGTCTTTTGGATAAAAGCCATTTTAAGTGGAGCGAGATGATTTCTCATTATAGTTTTGATTTGCATTTCTCTGATGATCCATGTAAGAACATTTTCATATGCCTGTTTGCCATTTGGATGTCTTATTTTTTATTTTATTTTATAACTTTTAAGTTCAGGGGTACATGTGCAGGTTTCTTATATAGATAAACTCATATCGCAGGAGTTTGTTGTACAGATTATTTTGTCACCCAGGTATTAAGCCTAGTACTCATTAGTTATTTTTTGATATTCTCTTTCCTCCCACCTGACACCCTCCAGTACACCCCAGTATCTGTTGTTCCCCTCTACCTGTCCATGTGCTCTCATCATTTAGCTCCCACTTATCAGTGAGAACATGCAGTATTTGGTTTTCTGTTTTTGCATTAGTTTGCTAAGGATAATGGCCTCCATCTCCATCCATGTTTCTGCAGAGGACATGATCTCATTCTTTTTTATGGCTGCATAGTATTCCATGGTGTGTATATACTACATTTTCTTTATCCAGTCTACCATTGATGGACATTTAGGTTGATTCCATGTCTTTGCTATTGTGAGTAGTGCTACCATGAATATATGTGTGCAGGTGTGTTTATGATAGAATAATTTATATTCCTCTGGGTATATACCCAGTAATGGGATTGCTGGGTCAAATGGTAGTTGTGTTTTTAGGTCTTTGAGGAATCATCACACTGTTTTCCACAATGGTTGAACTAATTTATACTCTCACCAACAATGTGTAAGTGTTCCTTTTTCTCTACAACCTTGCTAGCACCTGTTATTTTTTGGCTTTTTAGTAATAGCCATTCTGACTGGTGTGAGATGGTATCTCATTGCTGTTTTGATTTGCATTTTTCTAATGATCAGTGATGTTGAGCTTTTTTCATATGCTTATTGGCTGAATGTATGTCTTCTCTTGAGAAGTGTCTGTTCATGTCCTTTGCCCAGTTTTTAATGGGGTAGTTTGTTTGTTGTTGTTTTCTTATAAATTTGTTTAAGTTCCTTATAGATACTGGATGTAAGATCTTTGTCAGATGTATAGTTTGCAAAAATTTTTCCCATTCTGTAGGTTATCTGTTTACTCTGTTGATAGTTTCTTTTGCTGTGTAGAAGCTCTTTAGTTTAATTAGATCCCATTTGTCAATTTTTGCTTTTGTTGCAATTTCTTTTGGTATCATTGCCATGAAATCTTTGCCGTTTCTGTGTCCAGAATGGTATTGCCTAGGTTATCTTCCATGATTTTTATAGTTTTGGCTCTTACATTTAAGTCTTTAATCTATCTTAAGTTAATATTTGTATATGGCGTAAGGAAGGGGTCCCATTTCAATCTTCTGCATATGGCTAGCCATTTATCCCAGTAGCATCTATTGAATAGAGAGTACTTTACCTATTGCTTGTTTTTGGTGACTTTGTAGAAGATCAGACAGCTGTAGGTGTCTGGCCTTATTTCTGGGCTCTGTATTCTGTTCCATTGGTCTATGTGCCTGTTCTTGTACCAGTACTATGCTGTTTTAGTTACTGTAGCCGTGAAGTATAGTTTGAAGTTGAGTAGCATGATGCCTCCAGCTTTGTTCTTTTTGCTTAGGATTGCCTTGGCTATTCGGGCTCATTTTTGGTTCCATATGAATTTTAAAATAGTTTTTTTTTCTAGTTCTGTGAAGAATGTCATTGGTAGTTTGATAGGAAGAGCATTGAATCTATCAATTGCTTTGGGCAGTATGGCCATTTTAACAATATTGATTCTCCCTATCAATGAGCATGGACAGTTTTTCCATTTGTTTGTGTCATCTGTGATTTATTTGAGCAGTGTTTTGTAGTTCTCCTTGTAAAGATCTTTCACCTCCCTGGTTAGCTGTATTCCTAGGTATTGGATTCTTTTCGTGGCAATTGTGAATAAGATTGCCTTCCTGATTTGGCTCTCGGCTTAGCTATTGTTGGTATATAGGAATACTAGTGATTTCTATACATTGATTTTGTATCTTGAGACTTTGCTGAAGTTGTTTATCAGCTGAAGGAGCTTTTGGGTTGGAACTATGGGGTTTTCTAGATATAGGATCATGTTGTCTGCAAACAGGGATAGTTTGACTTCCTCTCTCCCTATTTGGAGGTCCTTTATTTCTTTCTCTTGCCTGATTGCTCTGGCCAGGACTTCCAATACTATGTTGAATAGGAGTGGTGAGAGCGGGCATCCTTGTCTTGTGCCAGTTTTCAAGTGGAATGCTTCCAGGTTTTGTCCATTCAGTGTTGTTGGCTGTGGGTTTGTCATAGACGGCTCTTATTATTTTGAGGTATGTTCCTTTAACACGTAGTTTATTGAGAGTTTTAAATATGAAGCGGTGTTGAGTTTTACCAAAAGCCTTTTCTGCACCTATTGAGATAATTCTTGGTTTTTGTCTTTAGTTCTGTTTATGTGATGAATCATATTTACTGATTTGTATATGTTGAACCAACATTGCCTCCCAGAGATAAAGCCTACTTGATCGTGGTGAATAAGCTTTTTGATATGCCACTGGATCCAGTTTGCCAATATTTTATTGAGGATTTTTGCATCACTGTTCATGTCTTCTTTTGAGAAATGTCTATTTCAAATTTTTTGTGCATTTTTAAATCAGATTATTAGATTTTTTTCCTATAGAGTTGTTTGAGGTCCTTATATATTCTAATTATTAATCCCTCATCAGATGTATGGTTTGCAAATATTTTCTCCCATTCTATGGGTTGTCTCTTCACTTTGTCGATTGTTTCCTTTGCTGTGCAGAAGCTTTTTAACTTGATGTGATCCCATTTGTCCATTTTGCTTTGGTTGCCTGTGCTTTTGGGGTATTATTCAAGAAATTTTTGCCCAAACCAATGTCCTGGAGAGTTTCCCCAGTGCTTTCTTGTAGTGGTTTTATAGTTTGAGGTCTTAGATTTAAGTCTTTAATCCATTTTGATTTGATTCTCATATATGGTGAGAGATAGGGGTCTAGTTTTATTCTTCTGCATACAGATATCCAGTTTCCCCAGCACCACTTATTGAAAAGACTGTCTTTTCCCCAATGTATGTTCTTGGCACTTTTGTCGAAAATGAGTTCACTGAAGGTGTATGAATTTGTTTCTGGGTTCTCTATTCTGTTCCATTAGTCTATATGTCTGTTTCTTTGTTTGTTTGTTTTTGTTTTTCAGACAGAGTCTCACTCTGTCGCCCAGGCTGGAGTGCAGTGGCACGATCTTGGCTCACTGCTACCTCTGTCTCCCAGGTTCAAGTGATTCTCCTGCCTCAGCTTGCCAAGTAGCTGGGGTTACAGGTGTACACCATCACACCTGGCTAATTTTTGTGTTTTCAGAAGAGACAGGGTTTCACCATGTTGGCCAGGCTGGTCTCAAACTCCTGACCTCAGGTGATCTGCCCACCTTGGCCTCCTAAAGTGCTGGGATTACAGGCATGAGCCACTGCACCCAGCCTATATGCCTATTTTTACGCCAGTACCATGCTGCTTTGGTTACTATAACTCTGTAGTATAATTTGAAGTCAGGTAATGTAATTCTTCTAGTTTTGTCCTTTTTGCTCAGAATAGCTTTGGCTATTCTGGGTCTTTTATAATTCCATGTATATTTTAGGGTTGTTTTTTCTATTTCTGTGAAGAATGTCATTAATATTTTGATAGGGATTACATTGAATCTGTAGGTTTCTTTGGGTAATATGTACATTTTAACAACATTGATTCTTCTAATCCATGAGCATGGGCTATCTTTCCATTTGTGTCTTGTTCAATTTCTTTCAGCAGTGTTTTATCATTTTCATCATAAAGCTCTTTCACTTCTTTGGTTAAGTTAATTCTTAGATAATTTAATTTTACTTGTGGCTATTGTAAATGGGATTACTTTTTAAATTTATTTTTCAGATTGTTCACTGTTGGCATATAGAAATGCTACTGATTTTTCTATGTTGATTTTGTAATCTGCAACTTTACTGAATTTTAAAATCAGTTCTAGTAGTTTTTTGGTGGAATCTTTAGTTTTTTTCCAAATATAAGATTATATCGTCTGCAAACAGGATAATTTAACTTCTTCCATTCCAATTTCAATGCCCTTCATTTCTTTCTCTTGTCTGATTGCTCTAGGTAGGACTTCTAATACTATGTTGGATAACAGTGGTGAAAGTGGGCATCCTTGTCATGTTCCATATCTTAGAGGAAAGGCTTTTCATTTTCCCCCATTCAATATGATACTAGCTGTGGTTCTGTCATATATGGCTTCTATTACTTTGAGGTATGTTCCTTTTATACTCATTTTTTTTTAGGATTTTTATTGTGAAGGGATGTTGAATTTTATTGAATGCATTTTCAGCATCATTTGAAATGATCATATGGTTTTTTTGTCCTTTATTCTGTTGATATGATGTATCACTTTGATTTGCGTATGTTGAATCCCACTTGGTCACAATTAATGATCTTTTTGATGTATTGTTGAATTCATCTTGCTAGTATTTTTTTGAGGATTTTTGCATCAATATTTTTCAGAAATAACAACTTGCAGTCTTTTTTTGATATGTCCTGGTCTGGTTTTTGTATCAGAGTAACACTGGCCTCATAGAATGAGTTTGGAAGTATTCCCTCCTTCTCTAATAGTGTGAGTAGGATTGGTATTAACTCTTCTTCAAATGTTTGGTAGAAGTCAGCAGTGAAGCCATCGGATCCCAGGCTTTTCCTTACTGGGAGACTTTTTATTACAGCTTCTTCTCATTACTTGTTATTAGTGTTTTCAGATTTTTTATTTCTTTGTGGTTCAATCTTGAGGTTGTATGTGTCTAGGAATTTATCCATTTCCTCTAGATTTTCTCTTCTACTGGCATATAGCTTCTCATAGTAGCTGCTAATGATCCTTTGAATTTCTGCAGTATCAGTTGTGATGCCTCTTTTTTCATCTCTGATTTTATTAGAGTCTTCTTTCTTTTTTCTTAGTTAGGCTAAAGGTTTGTCAATTTTGTTTATCTTTTCAAACAAACTTTTAGTTTCATTGATCTTTTGTATTTTTTTATTTCAAATTTATTTCTGTTCTGATCTTTATTATTTCTTTTCTTCTACTAATTTTGGATTCGATTTGCTCTTGCTTTTTTAGTTCTTTAAGATACATTGTTAGGTTACATATTTGAAGTTTTTCTTCTTTTTTGATATAGGCACTGATAGCTATAAATTTCCCCCTTAGTGCTGCTTTTGCTGTATCCTGTAGGTTTTGGTATGTTGTGTTTCCATTATCATTTGTTTCAAGAAAAGTTTCAGTTTTTTTCATAATTTTTTTATTGACCCACTTGACATTCAGGAGCATATAAAACAGTCTAATCTTGAAGGGAGGAGGTTAATTCATTATAAATACTTTAAAATCTTAATCTTTTTATATTCCATTTTTTTCAGTGTAAAACTATTGTAATAACCCATGGTACATCCAAATTTAACCTTGTTAATACGTAGAAGAGGTTGTAGCCTTGAATTTAAAGTGTTTGTGAGAATTAGAGTGTGTTGCATATTTAACAAATATTGATTGAGCCCCTATTTATGTTAGGCTCAAAGGCAGGTGTTGGGGATTCAAAGGTAAATCAGGCATAGTATCTGCCCTTAAGAAACTCAGTTCACTGGATATCTTGATGTGGAAACAGATACTTAATGGCCAGCACAGAGATGAGGAAAGCCCAGAGCAGGGGTATGTAGCCCCAAGGCTGGGAATTTAGGGAGACTCTCCCAGAAGAAATGATCTGAACAGAATCAGGAAAGACTCCCAGAAGAAGTGATCTGAACAGAATCAGGAAAGAAGAGAGTGATTGGAAGGGCTCAGGATTTGTGTTTATTTGGGCATTAAGATGCAGCTTGCCTCCTGTTGTTGCATTTCTTGTTTCATTGTATTTTTCCAATAAAGATATTTTCAGAAACCTCACATGCCACTTTCGACGGTGATTTGGCTGCATGTGCCTGAAACAGAGCCTGGCACATAGCAGATGCCTAATAAATGTTTGTCAGATGATGGGTGGATGGATGGATGGATGAATGGATGGACGGACAGATGGATGGATGGATGGATGAATGAATGGATGGACAAGCTGTGCTCACACTGAATTCCCTCCCAAGGTGACTGTGGACTTGCAGCCTGTGTGGCCACCGGTGAGCAGGTATGGATTCAGAATTGAGGACACAGGCCACATGTACATGATCCTGACTCCCTCAGACATCCAGATCCAGTGGCTCCACAGCTCAGGACTCATGATCGTGGAGGCCAGCAAAACCAGCAAGGCCCAGGGCCATGGCCTGTGCGGTGAGGTGGAACCCAGCTTGCGGGGAGGGGATGCTTCCCAGGTCCACCTCTGCCCCCACACATAATTCCTCCTGGAGCAGGAAAGGCTGGGACAGAATACCAGGCCAGAGGTTGGAGCAGCAGAGCTGTCAGGGCAGGGAGGCCTAACGTCTTGTGTCCTGGGGCCAAAGCTGCCAGTAGGGAGATAGTAGAGGGCTCTGGACTCAGCCAGTTGTCACTTCAGCCGGGATTGTCTGTCAGCTTCCCTGACAGCCTTCTAATGTCGGATAATCCTTTCCATCTGCATGAGCCTGGGCATTTCACAAAGTACTTCCACAGTCTATCTCACTTATTCCTGGTCATCCACACAACAGCACTGAGAGATGGCCATTAGTATCCCCACTGAACTAAAGAAGAAAGGGGGCTCAGAGAGATTAAGGGGCTTACCCAAGGGCACACAGCAGAGCTGCCACAATACACAGAACTAATGCTCTTCAGACCATAGCACAATTGCAGAGCATGCCCTAAAAGATTGAATGTATTCTCATAAGGAAAAGAGATATGGGACAAGCCTGGATGTGGGCCGCTGCTCATTGCCGGGGCATAAGCACATGGACACTCATGGGGCACTCCGTGACAGACTACCATGATTGTGACGATGGGTGAGATAAAAACACTTACACACACACACACACATACACACACACACCCTCCATCCTCCACCTGCACCCCGGTGATCATTCACACATTCCCATTCATGCCCCTCTGCATCCAAATTCCCTCTACACATGCACTAACACATGCAGTTCAGCTCCATGCTCATTTTTTCCTTTGTGCAACACATATTGCCATGTACCAGTCGCTGGGGACAAAACAGTGAACAAAACAGACAAAATCCCTGTTTTATGGTGCTTCCATTCTTAAACACTTCTTACACACATGCCACCATCCCCACCACCACCAACACCATCACCATCACCATCACTACCACCATCTTTTTCTCATCATTTCTTCCTTCTCCTCTGTTCATTGCCAGCAAAGAGCACTGTGGTCAGCAGTAGCCTGGTGAGCCAACCCCTCCCTAGGATACCTTTGGGACACCCCTCACTGACTTAAAGCCAAGACCCAAAGTGTGACCATGGGAACCATTAATAATATATTAATAAGAGTTTGCCTTTAATCATGCTTTATATTCACAGAATCATGGTTAGAGGTGTTAGAACAGAAGTCAGATCATTTATATCTCCATTTTATTTGAATGAACATTTGACAGCTGGGCACCCTGCTAGACAAACTTAGGGGAGTGCTGAGATAATTGAGAATCTAAAAGAAAATGAGTCTTTGCACTCAGAGAGCTACAATCTTTTGTGAAAGGCTGACCTGCAAGCCAATGACTGTTACACAGACTTTGGAATGTCATGGATAGTGCATCTGAGGCGTCCTTGAAGGAAGGACATCTGAGAAAGTATTTCAGGCAGAGGAAGCAGCTTGAGCAAAGTTGTGGGCAGGAAAGTGTGTGTCTGGAGCATATAGATGGTATGTGGGAGATGAAACCAGAAGTTTAGGTCACATTAAAAGCTAGGACAGATAAACTTCACCCTTGCCCCCATCTCAGTGCCTTAACACAACAGAAGCTTATTTCCTGCATACATAAGTTCCCAAATGGATAGCAATGATTCAGAGACCCAGAGTCCTTCCATCTTCTGGTTCTGCCATGTCAACATGAGTTTCCAAATTCACAGGAGAGGAGACAGGTGGGAAGTTTTTATGAACTAGGCCTGGAGGTGGTACTCGTCACCTTCACTCATATGCCATTGGCTGGGACTCAATCGGATGATCTCACCCAGCTGCAAGGGCATCTGGGAAAAATACACTGACTGCCCAGGAAAAAGAAGGAACAGTTGTTATAATCAGCTAGCAATCACTGGTAAAGCAGACTTTTGGGGGGTAGCTTTTTATTTTGGTGTAATATAGCAAAGCTTATAAAAATTTAGAACTTGCAAAGACAGTATAAAGTAGTGTACACCTTTTACCCAGATTTGCCCCATTTGCTTCTCTCCTTCTCTCTCTCTCTCTCTCTCTCTGTGTGTGTGTGGGGGGGGGTATACATTTTTATATGCACATGCAATACATATATATATATATGCATTTTTCGGAACCATTAGAAAATAACTTCAAGACATTGTATCCTTTTACCCCTAAATACATGTGTATTTCCTAAGTACAAAGACATTTTCTTTTGTAGCAGGTTTCCTAGCTTCCCTTCACCTAATTTCCCTCACCTATAAAATGGGGATAATGGTATTATTGACCTCAAAGAACTGTGAGGAATACAAAAAGTGAGAGCTGACGACATGGGAGTGGTAGTGATGATCGTGGCTGTTGGGATTGTTTGGCCCCTTTCAGGTATCTGTGATGGAGATGCAGCCAATGACCTTACCCTGAAGGATGGCTCAGTGGTGGGTGGGGCTGAGGACCCTGCTCCCTTTCTGGACAGCTGGCAGGTGCCCAGCTCCCTGACCTCAGTGGGCCAGACCCGCTTCCGCCCAGACAGCTGCGCCACAACTGACTGCTCGCCCTGCCTTCGCATGGTGTCCAACCGCACCTTCAGTGCCTGCCACCGCTTTGTATGTGCCAACTGGGTCCAGCACTGGGGACACCTCCTGGGCTGGCTGGGGATGGCAGCACCTACCTGCAGAGGCTCATTGTTCCTTTTGGGCAGGGAGGGGAGGAGCTGGGCACTGGGATATGTGCCATCCGAGTAACCAGCACTGCCTGATGCATATGTCCAGGTGCCTCCGGAGTCATTCTGTGAGCTGTGGATCCGGGACACCAAGTACGTGCAGCAGCCCTGCGTGGCCCTGACTGTGTACGTGGCCATGTGCCACAAATTTCATGTGTGCATCGAGTGGCGGCGCTCTGACTACTGCCGTGAGTTTGCGGGGCAGGGGGACCCTCCATTGTGACTATTGTTCCCATCCCCTGTTAAAGTGGGAAAAGGCTCCCGGCCCCAAGTTCATGTATGCTTTCCCAGCTTTAATCATTCATGGATTTATGTACATTAGTAAATTTATAAATATTTCATATGTTTAATTTATATTTAATTTTTATATTATATAAAAGTACATTTTATACTAATGAACACATTTATTATGATTCATATGAACATATTAACACATAGTAATTGTATTGTTATTTTAGTATTTGCTTTCTTTGCGTCTCTTCTCTGTAAGTGGAGACTGTAACCATCGCCCCCGCCCAGGGTGGTTTTGAGGATGTGGGGGAATGTGTTCCGAGTGCTCACATAGACCTGCCCCACGGACACCGTCCAGCACACCTTAATTCCCTCTGCTTCCTTTTTGCTCACGTTTCTCTTCTTCCAGAGTTTCCCTTCCTTCCTGCAGGAAGGAAATGAGATCTGCCTCCTCCTCCCCCAATTAGGTTTGACTGGTAGGGTCGACAGGGGTGGCCTGGGCTAGGGTAGCTTGATTTATAAATGTGAACCTGTCCAGAAAGGCTGGGATTGGCTCACAGGAAGTCCACACCCACAATATGACAAGTAAAAGAGGAAAAGACAAAAGTCCTCTTGGGTCGTGTTCTTCAAACTGTGGATCCCAACTCAGCGGGTATGAAATCAATTTAGGGGGTCAGCACCAGCATTTTAAAAAATACAATAGAATAGAAAATACCAGTGTGTATTGCTCATAGAAAGTTTAGGTATGATTTTGTAAAAGAGATTTTTTATTTTATATAGAAGCGATTTTCAATCCTAAATACCCTTTGAAATCACTCAGACAACTTGAAAATGCATGGGCCCCACAATCAGAGATTCAATTGGCCTGGGGTGGGTTCCCCACAATGATACCTCAAAAACTCCCAAAGGATTCTTTTGTAGTCGAGTTTGAGGACCACTGTTCTACATGCTTGTATTAGGCCACAATGTAAAATCTACTTTTTACAATCAAGAAAGTTTGAAAACACTGATCTAGAGCAAGGGGTTGGCAAACCTTTTCGGTAAAGAGCCAGAAAGTAAGTATTTGATGACTTGTGTGCCATATGGTCTCAGTCATAAGTCCTCAACTCTACCTTTTTTGGTACAAAAACAGCCTGAGACAGAATATAAATGAACAGGCATGGCTGTGTTCCAATAAAACTTTATTTGTGAAAACAGACAGTGGGCTGGGTTTGGGCTGTGGGCTGTACTTTGCTGAGTCCTGATCTAAGGAAGGAGGTGATGTCACCAAGCCCTTTAACTTATGCACTCTCTGCTGAGGTGCTGATGACACTCTGAGCCCTCTCCTCATCCCCTCCTGTTCTTTCGGCCCTCAGTGGGGAGCCCTGCCTGGGGTCTGAGGTAGGCCTGGTGCCCACTGTGCCCCTGCAGCCTTCCTGTGCTCCAGCGACTCCACATACCAGGCATGTGTGACAGCCTGTGAGCCACCCAAGACATGCCAGGATGGGATACTAGGGCCTCTGGACCCAGAGCACTGCCAGGTGCTGGGCGAGGGCTGCGTCTGCTCCGAGGGCACCATCTTACACCGGCGCCACTCTGCACTCTGCATCCCGGAGGCCAAGTGCGGTAGGTTCCTCCCCTCCCTGAGTGGGGGGCCTCCAAAGCCAGCCTCAGCCTCGCCTCCTGCTGTCCACAGCTGAGTCCCATCTGCATCCTTTCAGGTCTGCTTAGGGGTGGCCAGTAAACCAGGGAGAGTCTAGCCTGGGAAGGTCTGGGCTCACCTTCCTCAGTCCCTCGCACCCTGCCATTCCCCTCTGCAGCCTGCACTGACAGCATGGGGGTGCCGAGGGCCCTGGGGGAGACCTGGAACAGCTCCCTCAGCGGCTGCTGCCAGCACCAGTGCCAAGCCCCAGACACCATTGTCCCGGTGGATCTGGGCTGCCCCAGTCCCCGCCCTGAGAGCTGCCTGCGATTCGGGGAGGTGGCCTTGCTCCTACCCACCAAGGACCCCTGCTGCCTGGGGACTGTCTGTGGTGAGTGTCCACCTTCACTTCCTTGGACGTCAACTGTAAAACAGTTAAAAGGTTCCAGCCCTGCACACCAACCCTGATGGATAGGACAAGGCCTAGGAAAAGCAAAGTGTCTTGTAGGGGGTGAGCTTGGAGGAGGGGAGAACCCTCCCTGGGGGCAGGGGCAGAGGCTCAGGAGTCAGTGCAGGGAGTGCTGTGGAGCCAGGCAGCCTGGCCACTCTTCCTCCCCCACCTGTAGCCTTGTGGCCTCGGGCAAATTATTTCACATCCTCTGTGCCTTGGTTCATTCTCCTGGGACATGAGCTGAAGATCGATCGGGCCCATCTTTGGGGTTGCTGTGAGATGGGGTGCGTGTCAATGGATGTTAGCTCTTGCTGATCTTCTGTCCCAGCCCTGAACCCTCGTGTGACCCTCAATGACCTCATCTAGGAGTATGGGTCCTGGGGGCTGGGGGGAGGAGTGGGGCCAGGCGTCCAGGGGTTGGGCAGTTGTCCAGTGTTCTCCACTGGAGAGCAGTGGGGACATCCGGCCCCGAGGTGACAGGCCCTGTGGTCCCCGGGGCCAGTGTGTAACCAGACTCTGTGTGAGGGTCTCGCCCCCACATGCCGCCCAGGCCACCGCCTCCTCACCCACTTCCAGGAGGACTCCTGCTGCCCCAGCTACAGCTGTGGTGAGAGGCCCGGGGTGGGGAGGGTGGGGGACGGACTGAGGGCAGTGGGGGGAGGACAGCTCTGGGGGCAGGGGCCCAGGGGTGGCCAGGCAGGTTCCTCTCCCAGCACCTAAATTCAGCCTTTTCCCCAGAGTGTGACCCAGATCTCTGTGAGGCAGAGCTGGTCCCCAGCTGCCGACAGGACCAGATCCTGATCACGGGCCGCCTGGGGGACTCCTGCTGCACCTCCTACTTCTGCGGTGGGTCGCCGCCACCAGACGCCAGCGCACACAGCCTGATCACAGTCCGCCGGCCTCACCCCTGTGTCCTTGGGCAGCTGGGAGGAAAGGCTGGGGGTCTTCAGATGGGGTGGGCAAAGGGAGAAGGACAAGCTCACTGTCCAGGAAACAGTGTGGGAGGAAGAGGACACCGACCCCGTGTTCCCCCTAGATTACTAAGCACGAGGAAACTGGTGCTTGTTCTGTGTAAGCCTTTGGGTGGACATGAGGGAGAACTTCCAGATTCTGATTCCAGAACGGATCACGTGAGACCATGCGATGCTGCCATTAGTTAGCTCCTGCCACACCTGGGTTGTTGAGGAGGCCCCACCCCCAGCAACGTGCTGTGTGCCAGGCCCCTATGAGAGGACTGCTGTGACAGCATTGACCCTCTTCCCCCTCAGCCTGTGGTGACTGTCCAGACTCCATCCCCGAATGTCAAGAAGGGGAGGCGCTCACTGTGCACAGGAATACCACGGAACTCTGCTGCCCTCTGTACCAGTGTGGTGAGTCCTGGCTGGGCACATGGCGGGCTGCGGCAGGAAGGGGCCCTTCACAGAGTTCCCACCCCGGACCAATGGGGGTTGACAGGGAGCAACAGAGCGCCCCCAGGTGGTGAGCTCTGGAGGGGCCGAGCAGCTGAATCCAGGACGAGTGCAGGCCCACCTGAAGAAGCTGGGTCAGGCTGTCAGGCTGGAGGGTGGGAGGTCCAGGCCTGTCCCCTCCATGGAGGCCCCCAAGGGCCAGACAGAGGCTAGGGTTGAAGGACAAATACTTGGGTCCCTCCATCCCCCACAGCACTGATAAGAAGTCCTCATTCCCTGACTGACCCAAGGCTCCCCTTCAGGGTCCCTTTCGCCACTGTGTCGCCATAGTGCCCGCTCCTGGAGGCTGTATCACAGAAGGCCCTGTGTTGCAAAACCTCTGAAGCTCTTTTATTTTGTAATTATAAATAAAAGTATGCTTTTTCCAATATTTTTATAGGGCCTGGTACCTGTATGTATGATACTGTATATACATGTAGACATGTATAGTATGTGCATATCATGTACTGTGTTCATAGTACCTTGATATAGAATGCACTATGTACATAGTACCTCAATAGTAACTGTTAAGCATAGTGCAGCCAGCATTACGGATTGTAAGCAAACCTAATGGATGAAAATGAACAAAATGGTTCTATTTAAATATTATTCAATTTACAAAAATTGCTTTGCACACTGATAATAGGAGAAGCATGAGGTTTTTTCTTACACAGAACAGAGTAGGAGAGGGGCTTCCACCAGGACACCCAAGGGCTTCTCTGATTGGTTCAATGTGAAGAGCCACCTCCGAAACAATGTAGGCTCCCATCCCATGAGAGTTGCCCAGATGACCTGGCCGCACCTGACCAGGAGCTTGTTGGCCCACTTGCCACAGTATTTGCAAGACTGATGTGAGGACAGATTCACTATCCTTTCTCCTTCTCTTCTGTCTTTCTCTTTCTATCATTACCCCTCCCCCTCAGCCCTCCTCCTGTATTCACGTTTCTTTCCATGTTTCTCGGGGGGCAGCCTAGTCCTATGGATGGAGTATGGGCATAGTCAGTTGGTTTCTGAGCCTCAGTTGGGCTGTCTACCAGCTGTGCAGCCCAGGGCAAGTTCCTTACTCTCTGAGCCAAGGTTGCTCATTTGTAAAATAGCGATGCTAGTATCTGCCTTGAGGGGCTGTTGTGGAAATTAGAGATAATTTTTGTGAAGGACCAAATGGTCCTTGGTATGCAGTAGGTGCTCCAAAACAGAGGCTGTTGATATTATCACTTTCTCCCAGTCTTCGTCATACTTTTGCTATTACAAAAGCACTGTATATGCATTGTAGAAAGTACGAATTCCAAGTAAATGCAAGAAAATGAAAATACCACCTTCCTACCTGCTAGATAATTCCACTGCCAATGCTTTAGTGGATACATATCCTTCCAGATTCTCTCTATGGCTTTATATAGATGTGTGTGGTTTACCAAAATCAGCTCATCCTGGACATACTCTTTTTTTTTAAACTGGCTGTTTTCATTGAACAATCACTACCTTTCCATGTTAATACATTTTCAACTCATCTCATGCCCAGTCTGTTTCTTCCTGTTTGTCCAATCCAGGATCCAGTCCTGGACCATGCATTATAATGACATGCCTCACATCTCTCATCCTAGCACAGGTCCCTTTTCCTGTATGACCTCCCACTGTAGAGTCCATGCCATGACCCTGCAGAGAGTTCCCGCTTCTGGACTTCACCAGTTGCTTTCTTTTGGAGCTGCTTACCTTGTTCCCTGGGCCTCTGTGCTTCCTAAAACTGAAATTTCCATCTAAGGATTGATGGGTTCAAGTTAAAAATTTGGGGCTAGACAGTGCGTGCATGAGCTTCATAGCACATCACTTCGGGTGCCACACACTATCTGGCTGAGTCACAAGAATTGATGTTAACGTTGGCCCAGATTAGGGTGATGACCGTAATCCTAAGATCTCTCCATCTTACATTTTTCCTCTTCCAACCAGAAAATAACCTATTACTTTGACACCATAAAAATGCCCTCCCTCATAATTTTTTGGAACACCATTTGATAATCCTTGCTTGTGCCAATAACTTTATTAGTAAATCAAGTAACTCTTACAGTTTTCAGATCCTCACCTTTAGTGCTGACCCTCGCCCCTCCCCTATCCACCAAAACGTTGCACCCAGGGAGTTCCCTCACCCCTTGCCTTGTTCTCCCAGCAAATGAGAATGGCTGAGGAATCCTGAACTGAGAAAAGTCAGCCTAAAGACTAGGAAGAAAGGAAGTGCGGGCCCTGCAGGGTAGCATCAGCTGAAGCAGGGCATGCTCAGGTGGGCCCCAAGTGGATGAAGTTTCCACAGGGTGGGAAAGGTTGTGTTAGACAGAGCGGGATGTTCCCCATCAGCAGACCTTACCCTAATGGCTGGCTCTCCCTGGACCACCTCTTGCAGGGTGACTGCAGATTGAGGAGGCCCAATTTAATGAGCTTGAGGTTCTGACCCTGTCATGTCACCAGTGCCTCACAGACACAGCACCAGGACCTGAAGTAGCTCCCTGGGGAGACTTCGGGTGCCCAGACTCTTCCCTGGGGCTCTGAGGACAGTGGGGGTCACTAAGGAGGAGCTGGGGGTAGCCTCTCTTTAGCCAGTGTTGCCCTTCTGAGGATTCACATCCCCAGGTGCCTGTGACTGACGTGTCAACTGCCTCTCCTTCCCCACAGTGTGTGAGAACTTCCGCTGTCCCCAAGTGCAGTGTGGCCTGGGCACTGCCCTGGTGGAGGTGTGGAGCCCCGACCGCTGCTGCCCCTACAAATCCTGTGGTGAGTCCGTGGTCAGGACAGCCTCCCCGCTGGGAGATCCAGTGGCCCTGCTGAGGAGGGATTGAGGGAGCCCGGCCTACCACCGTCCACTCCTCTCAGATCTGTCCCCTGCAGGGTCTCTAGAGGAAGCCACCAGAATCACCTTCCTTCTGCATCCGCACTCCAAGTGCTGAGCATTCCTACAGCCTTTTCTCTCTAGGATAAAAGAAGGAAAAAGCAAGTTTCCCATTCCAAAGAGGGTTTCCGTCTTAAAAAGTCCTTACTGCGGCCGGGCACGGTGGCTCACACCTGTAATCCCAGCACTTTGAGAGGCCAAGGCGGGTGGATCATGAGGTCAGGAGTTCAAGACCAGCCTGGCCAAGACGGTGAAACCCTGTGTCTACTGAAAATACAAGAAAATCAGCCGGGCACGGTGATAGGTGCCTTTAAGAGGGTGGACGTTGCAGTGAGTCAAGATAGCGCCACTGCACTCCAGCCTGGGCGACAGAGTGAGACTCCATCTCAAAGAAAAATAAAATAAAATAAATAAAAAGAATAGGCTCTGGACCAGGTGAAGGGATTAATCCAGGTGACAAAAGGAAACCTGTGATTGGCCCATCTGCCTATTTATCCTTGCTCCATACCCAGTGGAGAGCTTGGTGTTCAGAACCCATCACTGCCCACCTACCTAATCAGCAGAGCTGCAGGCCTTCTCCTGCCCCCAGGGATGGAAGGAGGCTGAGATTTGGGCCTCTTCCTCTCCTCTCCCAGGCCTGGCCTGGAGCTGGGTCTTCAGAAGACGGGTTGTGCCAGCAGTGAGAGGTCCAGGGTACCCAGGGGATTCCTACCTGGACATCCCTGATGAAGTGGGGCCTGGCCCCTTGTGTTTTTCAGAATGTGACTGTGACACAATCCCGGTGCCCCGGTGCCATCTGGTATGGAGACGCTCCTCCCCCAACACTCCCTGGTCTGCTCCCCTTTCCTTTCCTCTCTATCCCCTCCTCTAGAGAATCTGCTCCTTTAATCTAGTGCAAGGAACCCGGGGTTGCAAGTCAGCATTCTTTTCCCAAGCTCTGCCACTGGCTTTCTGGGTATGGTGCCCTCCTTTGTAAAGTGGACATAATCATGCTTTAGAGTTGTGGTAAGGATTAAGTACAATGAAGATGAAAATTATCATGAAGATGATAATGATGATGCTGATGGTAGTGATGATGGTGGGGACAGTGAGGAGGATGGTGGTGGTGACGATGGTGATAGTGCAGTGATTATGGTAATAATGCAATGATGGTGGTGGTGGGGATGGTGAGGATGATGGTGGTGGTGATGGTGATAATGCAATGGTGATGGTGGTGGTGATGGTGAGGATGATGGTGGTGGTGATGGTGAGGATGGTGGTGGTGGTGATGGTGATAATGCAATGATGGTGGTGGTGGGGACAGTGAGGGTGATGGTGATAATGCAGTGACGATGGTGATGGTGGTGATAATGCAATGACAATGGTGGTAGTGGGGAAGGTGAGGATGATGGTGGTGGTGAAGATGATAATGGCAATGATGATGATGATGTTGATGACAATCATGACGGTAGCTAATGTTTACTGAGAGCTTACTAAATGCCAGGAACTTTCCTGGGGCTTTCATGTGTATTATTTATTCTCACAACAACCCTGTGAGGTTGTTTCTGTTGTTTTCTCAATCCTGCAAACAAGGAAGCTAAGGTTAAGGTCATGAAGCTAGTATATCATGGAGCCAGGGCTGACACCAAGGAAATCTGTCTCCAGAGATCATGCTCTTAGCCACCAGGCTGCATGGCCACTGAGGGAAGTGAAAATACTTTAAGAAATGTGAAGTCGTGTTTACAGTCCTTTTCTGAATTATATGTAACCCTCCCCACCCCAGCACACATTTCCTCTCACTCTGTCCCCCATTTCCTCCCTCCTTAACATTGCTGAAGGAAGGTGAGAAGTAGTGTGAGCCACCCGGGGCTCTGTCCCTCGCTGTGAAAGGAGAGGACACTGGACAGTGCTCCTCATTGGGGAGGCCTGGTAGCCACACTGGGACTGAGCTTCCAGGCTGCTGAGGGGCCCCAGGCCTGCCAGCCCCCCTCCTGCCCACCACAGGGAGGGACTGACGTAGAGAGGGGCCCAGGTGGCAGACTGCTCCTGAGGGCCAGGCTGGCCCCCAACCCAGGGTGCTGACTGCCTCTGCCCCACCCAGTGGGAGAAATCCCAGCTGGATGAGGAGTTCATGCACAGCGTGGAGAATGTGTGTGGCTGCGCCAAGTACGAGTGTGGTGAGTGGGGGAAGCCTCGGGGCAGAGCCATGCAGGAGGGGCATGGGTGCCTGGGCTCTGGATGACTGTTGCCGCCCTGCATGCCCATCCAGTGAAGGCCCCGGTGTGTCTGAGCCGCGAGCTGGGTGTGATGCAGCCCGGCCAGACAGTGGTGGAGCTCTCAGCAGATGGCGTGTGCCACACCTCCCGCTGCACCACCGTGCTCGACCCTCTCACCAACTTCTACCAGATCAACACCACCTCCGTGCTCTGTGACATCCACTGTGAGGCGGTAGGGTGCAGCCCAGGGCGGGGTGGGTGGGGTTGGGAGGGCTTGCCTGGCAGACCTTGGGTGCTCCAGGAGCCAGAGGGGCCCTTGAAGCTGCCCTAAACCCCCAGGACAAGTCAGAGGGGCCCTCAGAAACCTCTGTAGAAAGTGCCAAGAAAGGGACTAGGTTGGGAGAGGCCAGAAGGGGAACAGAAGGGACGGATTTAGTGCCTGGAAAGAGTGGGTGTTGACAGACACAGCACACATTTATTAGGTGCCTATGGAATGCCTGGCACATTCCCTGTCCCTTTGGTTTGCGTGCTTGTGTTGCTACTATTTGGTGAGCACTTCTTCATGCCTAGTACTTAGGATGGTGACTGGCTTCTAGTAAGGGCTAAATAAATATTACTTGGATAAAGAAGGTTAGAATTATTCCCATTTTTCAGAGGAGAAAACTGAGGCTTAGGGAGACTCTGTCATTTGTCAAAAGTCCTACAGGAACTAAGACTCAAATGGAGGTCTGTCTGGAATAAAAACTGGCATCCTTACTTAGCAGAAATGGCTTGGAAAGGGTGGAGATGCTCTTTGCTGTAAGGGAGGCTCAGGGTAGATACAGGGATGATTAGCTGCCTGTGACAGAAGGAGGCTGGGAGCGCCTCTTCTCGAGCACTTACAGAGGGTCCTTCCAGGCTCTGGGATCCCTCACAGATAACCAGGCAGTGGGAGAGCCAGGGTGGAGGTGGGCATCTGGCTGAGGCCCACCCCGCCCTGGCCTGTAGAACCAGGAGTACGAGCACCCGCGGGACCTCGCTGCCTGCTGCGGCTCCTGCAGGAACGTGTCCTGTCTCTTCACCTTCCCCAATGGCACCACCTCCCTGTTCTTGGTAAGCAGCCCCCTCGCTGCCCACTTAGGAGGGTGTCCCAGAAGGGGACACCAGGACTAGGGCCCTCTCTGGCTTGCAGGCCAGGGCTGGGTACAAACAGGCTCCCAGACCCTATGGGTTTGCGCAGGCTGTCCATCTGGCCACAGCTCCCATTACCTACTTCTGTGCCCTCCAGCCCGGGGCATCCTGGATCGCAGACTGCGCCCGCCACCACTGCAGCAGCACGCCCCTGGGTGCCGTGCTGGTCCGCTCTCCCATAAGCTGCCCACCGCTCAATGAGACTGAGTGTGCCAAGGTCAGTGCCTCCTTCTCCACTGAGGCTGTAGGCCAGGGGCATCAGCTGTCTCACTGGTGGTGGGGTGGAGGTCCTGTGTGCAGGAGTGCAGGAAGAAGGGCTCCCTGGAGCCTGTGCCTGCACTGCCACCCCAAATCCATATGTCTCTCTGCATTTCTTTTTGCCCTGACCACATCACACCCTGCCTCTTCACACATCACATGACCACATGCAGATGTGCACAAACACACACTGTTACATGTTCTAGGCACATTCAGCCAGACACCAACACAGGTCACCAGTCACTCACACACCACACACTCCAGGGACATTCACATCAGCATGCCAATGCACACACCACGCGTCATCACACCTCAAGGCACTCACATAAGCACACTCTTGCACACACATGCCACGCAGATGCAGTTCAGTCCTGTGATGGCTGGCAGGTGTCCAGCACTAGCATGGACAACTGTCAGTATGGGCGCACCTCAGAGAAAAGGATTTCCTGGAAGGCTTGGGGTTATTGTTGAATTATTAAAGTCCCTGAGATTAATAGTGGACATTTGAAGATTTCCGACTCTTCCCTAGAAAACAAATATACACAGACACTCAATGACACTCATACACACACCCACACATGCAAAATCACACATGTACACACAGATGCTCATGTATGTGCTCACAAAATCACACACACATACTGAGACCTGCCCCCCAACACACACACTTATGTACAAAGAACTGTCCCATCCATTGTTTTACCCATTTCATTATAGAGGAGGAGGGTTTTAACGGATACTTGCCCCCATTTTAGAGATGGGAAAATTAAGCCTAGAGGAAGAGGATGATTTGTCCAGGGCTGAGGTAGAGCCCAGGCCACTGACCAAAGTGGGTGACCCCTGCGCCCCTCCCCTCCCTTATCCTCTGTGCTGGGAAGCACTGGCAGTGGGGTAGGCAATGGAAGACATGAGGGGAACTGCCCCAGGAAAGATGGGAGGCCCTGTACCATCTTGACCCAGGCTCCTGCCGCAAGGGGGCTACGTGCAGCCTTAGTGGCAGCTTAGCCCCCGTGGCTCTCCTATGGCCTGGCAAGGGGCCTATGCTCCTGCCCTGGGGCATCACGGGGAGAGAAGAGTCAAGACTCCTGTACTCTGCCTGTTTCTGGGATCTTGGCTCCCGGCCTGGACAGGGGTCTCCACACCTACCTACCTCCCCCGACTTCCTCTCTCTAGGTTGGGGGTTCCGTGGTACCTTCCTTGGAAGGATGCTGCAGGACCTGTGAGTGAGCATGGTGGGGGCCCAGGGGTGGGGGGCTCTGATGGGGGCACAGGGTGTCATGTCAGGGGACAGAGGACCAGGTTCCTGGCCTGGCACCTAAAATGATAGCTCTTCTGGGCTGAGTAGATGAAGGGATAACACCCACACCACAGGGCTCACGGCACTGACGCAAATATGCAGATGGCTGGAGGCCATGTTTATGTCCTTGTTCCCATACAAAACCTCTGCTTCTTGTCACAGCCAGAGGACATTGGGGCATAGCATTCAGGAGGTCAGTAGCTCACCAGTTACTTCGCCTCCTCCTGCCCCTGCCAAGGCCCCCAGCCCAGATGCTCCCACATAAATTCTCCCGTAGTCAGACGCCCTGGTCTTGGAGGAGCCTCCTGGGTGGGATTCAGGCCTCCAGGGTCCCTGACAGTCCCCGTTAGTCCCGCCTCTCCTCCACGGGTTAGTGTCCACTGTCGCCCAGGTACTCCTCTCGGAAGCCCACTGCACTGGAGGCAGGCAGCCGCATTGCTATGTCCAGCAATGTCCCTTCTGCTAGATGGCCTGATCTCTGGGGGCAAGGGAGGGGGAGGGCCCCTGCTCCCCACGTCTGGCACAGGCTATTGGGCCTGCAGTGCATGCTGGGTAGTGAGCTGTATCCCCTGGGCTTGCATGGGAAAGCTTCAGCAGGGCCCGCTCACCTGGCACCCACCAATGCCTCGGACTGCCACTGCTTTGCTCTTGCTGGTCACTCAGCCAGTCTTAGTCCAGGGCCCAGAGGGCCATGTCAGGACAGCCCTTAGTTCTCCTGCCTCCTGGAGCAGAGAGGGAAGACAAAGTGGACTTAGCTATGGCCAGAAGCCATCTAGCTGGTGCAGTAGGAAACCTCTGTGGTGAGGCTCAGAGACCAGAAGAAAAGATTCCATTCCATTTCTAAAGGGATTCCTGGGGTTACAGAGTGAGTGCACGTACCTGGCAAATATTTGTGGAGCGCCAACTATGTGCCAGACACTGTTCTAGGCACTGTAGAGCCTTGTGGAGCTGATATTTAGTGGGAGAGACAGAATAACAAGTATAAAAATATATACCAGGATGGAAGCATTGAGTTTTGTGGGGCCTGACTTATGCAATGTGGGGGGCTTCAACAAGAAGAAGAATACAAAATGTACAAATTCACATTAAAGTGTGAAAGGAAATATTTATTTAAAATGCACAAA
Source organism: Homo sapiens (assembly GCF_000001405.40). Taxonomy (NCBI): domain Eukaryota; kingdom Metazoa; phylum Chordata; class Mammalia; order Primates; family Hominidae; genus Homo; species Homo sapiens. The sequence goes on from NC_000011.10 coordinate 17,644,709, forward strand.
GAACTTACAACAAATTCTGGAAGGGGCCTGTGCAAAAGAAGGCCATAAAGCTTATGATTCACATCGTAATTACCGATGTGTCTCTGACAAGACAGTGATTGTCCCCTCGACAAATATAAGCAAGGGAGGGGTCAGGGAGGGAGGACTGAGTAGAGGCAGTGAGTTGCAACTTTAAGAAGGGGAATCAGGTAATGCCTGGGAGAGGAGATATTGCAGCCAATTGCTAAAGGAGGTGAGGGCGTGAATGAGCCACAAGACTGGTTGTCTGTGAGAGGCATGGTCCAGGCAGAGGAAACCCACACTGGTTAGTTTCCATCCCTGTAACAGCTCTGTGAGATGGGTGAATCCCTGGTCCAGTTTGATAGCTATGGAAACCAAACAAAGCATCCCATTAGAATGAAGCGTCCCACTAGAGATTGGAGTTTCTATTCATTTAGGAAATTGCATAATCTTAATGCTAGAAGCCCTCTCAGGATGGGAAAACTGAAGCTCAGAGAGGGGTAAGGGTAAAGTGGCCAACACAGCTTAGAAATAGGCATTAGGGCTGGGGTGGGGAGGCAGCCTCACTCTGTCCCCAGATGCTTCTCTGCCCTAGCACAGAGTCCTCAAGGGGGCCCTGCTGGCCTTCCTGCCTCACTTGCTCACACTGCTCTGTTTCTGCCTTCCTGACTCCGCCTCCTTCCAGGGCATTGGGTTAAAAGGCTTTCCCTGGATGGGGAGGGGCACTAATGCATGGGTGCTAATGCTGGAAGAGAGACCCTCCAGCATGACACTAACTGCCCTGGGCTGGCCCATCCTGCTGCCCCGAAGAAGCCTGGTCTTGGCCACAGCTGCCTCATCCCCCTGTCCCCCCAGGTAAGGAGGATGGGCGCTCCTGCAAGAAGGTGACCATCCGCATGACCATCCGCAAGAATGAATGCAGGAGCAGCACCCCTGTGCGTGGTGCCCACAAGGCAGTGGGGCAGCAAAAAATGGGATGGAGGGGGTTTGGGGGTGTGAGCACCACAGACTGCCTCACTGGCCTGCCCGTTCCAGGTGAACCTAGTGTCCTGCGATGGGAGGTGCCCATCCGCCAGCATCTACAACTACAACATCAACACCTATGCCCGATTCTGCAAGTGCTGCCGTGAGGTGGGCCTGCAGCGGCGCTCTGTGCAGCTCTTCTGTGCCACCAATGCCACCTGGGTGCCCTATACAGTGCAGGAGCCCACCGACTGTGCCTGCCAGTGGTCCTGAGGCCTGGGGGCCCGGGCTAGCTGGACCACCTCTGCCAGCCCCACTTTCTGTTTCCAGCTGGCCCAATGTGAATGGGGGTATTAAAGGTGGTAGAAATCTGGCACGTGTTGAGCATGGAATGGTGGGAAGAGGTCACAGGAGTAACCAGAAAGGGTCACCCCTGCCCATCCTGGCTCCCTTTCTGGGCTCCCCATTTTCCGCACATGGGAAAGTGCCACAGTTGAGGGCTCAGGGAGCTCACCTCTGTCCCTGGTTTGAGATGGAAAATGGGCTTTAGGTCCAGGGGCAGCAGCCTCTGAACCTCTGTGACCCTGGCCACAGCTCTTGGTGGAGGGGGTGAGAGCTGTGGGAAGATGGGAAGGTGCATGGTGCTTACATGGGAACCACAGCTGGACCCAAGACCAAGCACAGGGGCAGGATGCAGTGGCCCATTCTCTTGGCCTTTTTGACTACACAAGAAACCAGACACAGTAAAAGGAAAGAGGGCTATACCTGCAACACTCAGGCCTGCAGATGGCTGCCCAGAAGGAGTTCCCAAAGACAAAGATGGTGGATTCTAGGGCCCAGGTTGTCTCACCAAGATCTGTGAAATCAGAGTGAGCTCAGTGACCTTCGCATCTCCTGTAGTCCAAAGAAAGGTGCCTGGTGTCCTGGTATTGATATGGTAATTCAGGAAAGGATTTGGAAGACCTAAGCCTGTACCCTTACCCCAAGGCAACCTTCCCAGCAGGCAGGCCGGCCTTGTGAGGCGGTGCTGGGGGAGTGAAACCCTCAGTGAGGGCCCAGCACTACTTATCTAGGATGCTGGTTGACAGCCCATGCCTTCAAGGCCCTAGGTTGCTGAGGGGGTACCTTCAGCCTGCAAATGCAGCTCCAGGCTTTGCAGTGTGCCTTTTCTCCAAGGCCATGACAGAGTCGGGCTCAGAGGAGCCTGATTATGGGTTGTGTGGCTCAGCCAGTGCCAGTCTCTGTGCTCCATGGGACTGTTTAGCAAGAGAGTGTCTGTTGGTGTCAGTGGAAAACACAGCCCCAGCCTCCCTGAGCACTTGTGAGATCCTTGTCACTGAACCAGAGCGTCCCCTAAAGCCAGGGCCAGCGTCCCCTTCCACACCCCACTCTGCAAGTCTCCCACCCCCTGTGCCACTTTGTGCCACGTGGAACCGAAGGGCATGAACATAAGGTTGTGCAGGCCCCAGCACTGCCCTGTGTGTCTGAAGATGTGGCTGGATGCCCCTTGAGGTGAGGAGGCTGTGCCAAGATGGACCCTGCTGTTTCCAAGCCTCTTTGTGCCCATGTTTGTGTTCTGTTTATTCATCAATAAACCACAGGATGACTTCAGGCCTCTGAGCATCTCTGAGGGAGCCAGGTTTACTTCGAACTTGAAGGAGTGTCCACTGTGAAGAGAAGACTCTATTTTGTGGCCCTGAACATCAGCACTGCTTCTGCCCCATCCGTCCCAGCACTATGCCCCACTCACAGCAGAACCATTGGTGGGTGTCTGCTGGTTGGAATTGAATGGACTGGAGACTGGCTTCTAGAGGAAGGGGATGAGGAGAAGGAAGAGGACATTGGGAGCTGGGGAGCTGGCACCCAGGAGAGGGACTGAGGAGTGATCCTGGTTCTGTGGGCCCAGAGACAGACGCTTCTTACAGGAGATGTGGGTGGGGCAGACCCAGAGAGTAGGTTTCATATTGGCCTCTTAACATTTCTGTATTTCTTTCCTTGTTGTTCTCCCAATGAGCTCAGTATGTTTTTGCAGCCATGTCAGCTGTGGTAGGATTAAGGAGCACCCAGGGACAGGCTCTCAGTGACACTTCACCTGCGAAGGACTGTTGGTACACCTAAGGAGCAAATGGGAGGGTGCTTTCCTGGGTTGTCCCATGTGGGAAGGAGAAGGAGGGGGGCTAGGAAAGTACCCCTCAGTAATAGGGCAAACTCCTAGAGGAGTCAGTGCTTACAGTGCAAGAGCTTCACCCTGCCTAGAGAGGGTAGAACATCTTTTTTTGAACGAACACTTGGAAGGCTTGGCTTTTATTTCATAAGTAAGCTCTTCTTATGGTGCATCTGTCTGCTAACATGGACCCTGAGTCTTTTCCTAATGAAGCTTTATGGCTTTGTAAGCAGCACATTTCTAAATAATCAATGGCTCAAATAAGAAATCAGAAAGGAAATTGGACAACATTTTGATCTGGGTGATTTTGAAATTATGACACATTAACCTGTGAGATGCAGCTAATGCAGTACTTAGAGAAACATTTATAGTCTTAAATGCATACATCACACTTCTTAATTTCTCATTATTACAGCCAGAGATGGGGTGGGACAAGGCTTCCAAACTTCTCTATCAGGGATGATGATCCATGGCTTGTAGTCAGTTATCTCCTTAGCTATACACACTCCCTAAATCAATAGTTTTCAGAATTTTGAACTCTGATTTCAGCAGAACATGACTTTAAACAGAACATGGCTGTTAAAGTGAACTAGGTTCAAAATCCTGGTTCTATTATATGGCAAGATGTTTTGACTAAGACATAAGGAAGTTTTTATAGCCATTGCTGGCTATATAGTATCCCTGGCTGTTCATTCCTCACCTCATCACCCTTCCCATCTGTTTGTGTCCAGTTACGGGAAAGCAGCTTTTGAACAGGCCACTCCTCATCAGCTGTTGCATAGACAGAGGCAGAGGGCACCAGGTTAAGTCAGCCAGCCTTGGCCTAAATGTCTTTCTGCAGTCTCAATTCGGGAGGGTGGCTCCAGGCTTTCAGACACCTGTTCCCCACATCTGACCCATTGTTGGTGACACAGTTTCAGTAGCCTGGCCCTCCTTGGCTCCAGTTGGCAGCAGTTCTCCAGCCCTCCTGCTGTACTCCCACTGTGTCCTCTCAGATGGCCATAGCTCCTGGTGATCACACCCTACTGTGGGAGTCCCAGCATGCCTGGATGTTCCCCCCGGCCACCTCACCTCCACTCCCGCTCAGACAACCCCCCCGCCTACTCCTACTGGAAGCCAACTTCTCACTCTAAATTTTTGGTCAAAATTCCCAGTTCTATTTTCCTAGATCCCTCCTGAAGATACTGACTTTTTTTTCTTTCAGGGTAAGACAATTTAGTGAAAGATTAATGAGAGGAAAATCTCCAACCCTGTCTTGCAATGTAGGGAAGGCAGGAAACAGTGAAGACTTTGAACCTTAATTAGTGTTGTCCATTGCCCTCCAAAAAGCCAGTGCCAGCAGTGTTAATGCGAGTGTTCATATCAAATAGATACAATTTGTAGATGGTGATTTAAATGTAAAATACACATCTCCTTTAACTAAGTCATCCTATTTCTAGGTAGCTATGGAAGGCTGAATAGTGGTCCTCCAAAGATGTACAAGTCCTAATTTCTGGATCTTGCGAATATTTATATTACATTACATGGTAAAAGGGACTCTGCAGACGTGATTAAGGATCTTGAGATAAGAGGATTATCCTGGGTCATCCAGGTGGGCCCGGTGTAATCACAAGCGTCCTTATATAAGAGAGGCAGCCAGGTCAGAGTCAGAGAGAGGAGACGGGATGACAGAAGCGAGGTTGGAGTGATGTACTTTGAAGTTAGTGTAAGGGGCCACTGGTCAAGAAATCCAGGCAGCCTCTGGAAGCTGGAAAATCAAGGAACTGGATTCTCTCCTAGAGCCCCCAGAAGGAACACAGGCTGGCTGGCCCCTTGATTTTAGCTTAGTGAAGCTGATTTCATACTTCTGACCTCTACAACTGTAAGAGAATAAATGTGTGTGTTTTAAGCCACTAAATGTGTGGCAATTTGTTACAGGAGCAATAGGAAACAGATAGCATCAAAAGAAAGAATTCCTGCAGAGGCATGCGCCAGGATGTTTATTGCGGCATTGTCCTGAGTGTTAAAAATTAGTAACAACTGCAAATGCCTGTCAGTAGGGAAGGATTAAGCAACCTGGTACAGCCACACTCGTGAATATTATGTAGCCCTTTTGGGTACTGACATGCTGAGCTCTCCAGGATATGTTAAATGATGACAGGAAATTGTGGGTTGTTTCACACAGAATGATCCCTCCTTTATGCACCTGTGTGGGTAATACACACACACATACAACACAACACAACACACACACACACACACACACACGTCTCATTCCCTTGAAGAGTTTTCAAGATTGAGGAAGGTCCTTCCTGGCTGTTGAGCCACCAACTAGTTCAGTGGCAACTTTGGTCCTAGAATAGCCTTTTCAGATCCCAGGAGATCATCAGAAGAGACTAGAATAGACTGAAGGCCCTAGGGACATCTGTGGCATCTCCCCCATTCCTGTTTCCTCCCACACTCTGTGCATTACTTAAAGCTTGAGGCAACTCCAGTGGCCACACACAGCTGAGGAAACAGAAAGCCAGGACCAGCAGAGCCACTGAGAGATTGGTGGCCGAGCAGGGTGGCTGCCCAGCTTGCAGCCCCCTGTGACGTATTTGCAAACACGAGGAGTTTTGAGCTGCAGAACCATCCCATTCTCCGTGGTGCAGGCTCAAGTTCCCGCCCTGATTTTCTGGGCTTAATCCTCTTCCTGTGGAAATCAATAAGGACATTGTGATGGAATGATTCACGTTCAAGGTCAGGCCGGAGCAAATTGGAGGCGACATGCTGATTTTACTACCCTCACTGTGAGGAGAGCCAATCCTGCTCACAGACCCCCTTAACCCTTTCCTTGTCACTGTGGTAAGCACTGTCTGCACAGGCCCCCTCCCCAGGCCCAGATCCCCCTGGCCTCACCCACGTGTGGCGCTTTTGTTTACATTTTCCCAAGCCTCTGACCACACAAGGCCTTGGAGTCTTGCACACTTGTCATGGTGGTTTGGGGAAGGCAGACGACAGGTTCAGGAACAGCTTCAAATTGGAAGTCAAACGCTACATATCTAACTTCAGCTTCATGGGTAACATCCTGTTCCTCTCCCTTCACCAGAGCTGTTCCCCTTCCAACCCTCTTTTCTGAGTTCCAGACCCCTCTTCCCTGCTTTTCTGGGTTGTCCCACATGGGGAGGTAGAGGAGAGGGGACCAAATTCCTCATTTATTTTTTTCACACACAGCAAGGCTCAAACATGATAGAAGCTTATTCCTTCCTCCTATTTAAAAAAAACACTCAAAATAAGTAGGTAGCTAGAGCTTTGTGTCCAGAATGATTTAGGGATCCTGGCTCCTCTGTCTTGAGGTTCTACCACCTTCAGCACGGGCCTCCCAGAGTCTCTGTGATCTCAGGCATCAGCCAGCCGAGGTGCAGGGAGAGCATGTGCGGGAAGCTTGCAGGGCCCAGGACTGAAAGTGGCTCACTCCCTTCCACTCGGATTCCACTGGCCTGAACTGGCCACATCTCAGTGCAAGAAAGGCTGGGGAACGTAGTCCAGCTGTGTGCCCAGGAAGATGGGTCTGGTGGGCAGTGCTGTCTCTGTGAGGAAGCGGAGAGAGTGAGGAGGACAATGCTAGAAAGTGTGACTGGAAAAGAAGAGATAGAGCATGAGTTAGGGGAGGACTTGAGGTAGGCAGTGATTTGACTGTATGCCCTGGAGAAGCCAGTGGAAACAGAAAAGCTTTGCTGTGGAGAAAAGTCAGGGTCTCAGAGGGCCATAGCTGGCATGAGGAGGGACAGTGATGACACAGATACCTCTGGCTGGGCAGACCCCACCTTAGGTCTTTCTTTATCTCTGTTTCCAACATGGAACACTGAGGACACTGGAGAATAAGTGTGAACATACCTCTAAGCTTGAAGGTGAGGAGCCCAGACAACAAAGAGTTAAAGGGTGCAGGGGTGGGCAGAACCGGGGAGCCAGGTGCTCCCTAACATACTGTGCGGTGCCAGTTAATCCCCTGCAGCAGGCAGGAGGCCTGCACAGCTGTCTCTCCCGAGCTGGGATTGCATGCTTCCCCCTCCCTCTGCCACCTCCCTGATGCCCCCGGCCCCTTGCCCAGAGAACACAGCACCCCAGGGATTGGGTGGGGGTGGGTGGAGATGGGCAGGCAGCATGCTGGGTAACTGGTCCAGCCCCTGAACCCTTGGACAACTCTTTCTCTAGAGATAAACCATTCTCTAGGCTTGTTTCTCACTGGCCATGAAGACCGTACCTCTCCCAAGCCAGCCAAACCCAAACCTTATAGCTGGTCCTCCTACACAGTGTCCATTCCTGCCTCTGTGTCTTTGCCTCACCTGGAGTGTCCTTTTCCTCCTCTCCCTCGACAGTCCCTGCCTAGCCTGCAGAGCAGCTACAACACAGCAGCACCTAGGAGCCCTCCCTTTGGCCTCTAGCCCCCCAGCCCTAGTTTCTGCTTGACTGGGGCTTCCCATGCCAGCCTGTGCCTGTGCTCTGCCCAGGGAGGGGAGATGCAGGTCTGGCTCCAGCAGTCATTCATTTATTCCCACGACATCTTCATTCATAACAGATGAGGCTGCTAAGGCTCAGAGAGGGTAAGTGACTTGCACAGCTTGAGAGTGGAGGAATTAGGACTCAAGCTCACAACTGTTTAACTCCAGAGCCCACACTCACACTTTCTTTCTCAGCCCAGAAAGAGACTAAGAAGATTGCTGGGTGCCTGGGAGCTCTTCCTCCCTGTTACTCCAGGCTCCTTCTTCCTGGAAGCCAGAGGGAGCAGTGGAAAGAAGGTTCTAGTTTCTCTTTGGCCAGTTAGCAGTTGTAGAACATTGGCAAATTTTAAGCCTCAGTTCCCCATGGTGAGGAGAAGCAATAGGTTCTGCGACAGAGTTGGCAAGAGGGTCAAGTGAGATCATGGATGGGAAAGGGCTGGACAACTGCAGAGGCTGTGCTCATATGTGAGGCTGCTGGGCTGAGCCAGGGAATCCCAGCCCAGCTGGGACCAGAGCAAGAGAAAAGCAGGCTCAAAGAGCCGGACTCAGTCCCAGCCCACCCTCCATCCAGCAGACTCAGGGCTCACTGCTAAGCCTTTGCCTCTGTGTGCCCTATCCAGCTATGCCATCTTGCCTCTGTTCCACTGAACCAGATCACCATTTACGGATCCTTGGAGCTGATCTTCGGGATCTAGTAAAGGGCCTAGATTGTGGGGTAGGTTCTATCTCTGAACAGCTGTATGATTTACACTCTCCAAGTCTCAGTTTCCTCATCACCAAAATGGAAATGAGAGTCTGGCAAAGTGATGGTGAGAATGTTTATAGATAGAGTCCTGGCCTATGGTAGGCATTTAATAAATGGAGCTATTGTTTCCACTATGAACCTTCTTTCCTAAACCTTTAGGAATATCTTTAAACTCCTCCTTTTCAGGATTAGGAAACTGATCCCAGGGAATGACAGTGACTCACCCAGAGTCTCACTGCAAAGTGAGCAATGGTGGAGGCAGCGCCAGACTCCAAACCGAGTGCCCATTCCATTGCCTCTGCCAGAGAATCTTCCCTGAGCTCCAACCTAGGGTGGGCCTCCCTGTGCTGACCTTACAGCCTCTACTATCTGAGTCGCCCACTAGGCCTTCCAAAAGCCCTGTCTCTATCTGAGACAGGAAGTTCCCAGGTAGGACCCAAGCCCCCCAGCAGAAACTATCACCTAGCTGGATCCTTTTCAAGGTGTAGATACCCAGCTAGGGAAGCTTATTTCTCAAGGGGTTTCCCGGGACTTGGCTAAGCTGGGTGACATCAACTTCCCAATGGAGGGGAGAAAGAAATAAGAGAGGGAAGGGTTAAGGCTCAGCAGCTGGGACAGGCAGCCTGCAGACGGCCCAGCCCAGTGCTGGGGGGCCTGCACCATTCCATTCCTTTGCAGATCAGTTACACCCAGCTGTCTCCCTCCCCACTGCCAGCACCCCTCGGATTAGGCGGGAAAGGCTCCCCGGCCTGCGGCCTGCACACGGCCCATGGGGAACAGCGCCTGCAGCCCACGCCTCCACGACAGCTGCTGAGTGTCAGGCAAGAACATAGATCAGTGGGATCCTGGCAGAGGTGCCCTAAGCCCAAGCCCTGCCCCCAGCATGTGCAGGAGGGGCTGCCCGAGAAGAAAGGGGGTCTGTGAGGGATTTGGGAGGTACAGGGCAGAAATTGCTCCCAAAAATATCTCCTCTGCCCATGTGTCACTGTGCCTCAAATTCCACCATTAAACATCTTAAAAGTTTGGGGCTTCCAGAGACACCAATTAAAAACTACACCCCATGGAGTAGCTGGCATTTTGATGCACTGTTGATAGGAATGTATTTGTAAAATTTATGAACATTTAATTTTATTTTACAAAGTATATATGAAGTCCCTCAAAAATATCTTTTCCTTTTTCTCAGTTGTCCCACTGAGGGCTTTAACTTAAAGAGGAACTTAACTTAAGGACATAGTTTATAATATGGAAAGAATGTGGGCTGGAGTCTTAAGATTAAGAGAAAACACAAACTAAGGTCATGAATACTCTCAAAATACTCACAAAAGCCAGATGAAAAAAACAAAAGAAATTTTAACACTAGAAAATATCTGTGCCTGTACCGGAAAACATGAAACAGTTCCACCAATAGGTCAGAAATAGGAAATTTCTTGAAGTTATAAAGCAAATGGGAGGCAGCATAGTGTATAGGTAGAAAGATGGTCCAGACTCTAATCCTGGTTGCTTTACTCACGAGTTCTGTGATGTTAGCAAATTACTGAACCTCCCTGAATTTCAGTTTCCTCAACTGTAAAGTTGGAACAGTAATTACAATAACTGTGAGAAATACATGAAGATTAGAGGAGATCATTTTTGGTAAATATCCCTGTGATTCCACCATCAGAGGACCGTGACCATAGAAATCACCATCAACTATGAGTGAATGGTTATGGTATGTCTCCTCCAGCCACTTGCCTACATAGCTGCTAAGAAAACCCTCACAGTACCAATTCTAATTAATCCAGAATTTTATTATACATATTACCAGCCAGTTAAAACTCATTATTTGAAAAGAATGGACAATGGCAAAATGGTGCCCAAGTTGAAATGGCAGGGTAACTTACCCTCAATGAAAAGTCAATCAATTCAAGGAAGAGGAAAAGCATGAACAGTATTCTAATTAATATTCCCAGGATGATCCATGAGGATATTGTATCTAAAAAATAGGAGGCTAATAAAGTACAATCAGAAAAAAAAGTTTCTAGAAATTAAAACCATATATAACTTCTACTTCCATCACACAGAGTACCTGGTATTCAACCTACCCTGCAATTATAAACAACTAGAAAATTGGTGAAAATACATGACATACATGTTTCCAGACGTGGGCAACAGGCAGTGCAAGGCTAGGATCCCGCAGAGAAGGGAAATAGGTGAAGAATTAATAAATCTTACTAGAAAGTTCCAAATTCTGCCTGGATAATTTTCTGGAACAAGAGACAGGGAAGGGCATGTCCCAGCAGAGCAGGGTGGTCTCGCTGAGTTGAAGACAGATCAAATTCAGGCAGTCTGAGGCAACTGAAATATGTGGGGCAGAATACCAGAGATGAGGGAGCCATGTAGAAAAAGAACTCCAGAAAGTTGCATATATTAAGGCTGTGGTTGAACATTAAGGTGCACATGTGTAGGCTGAATATCCATAAAGACAGGTGAAGAACCAGTGGGTAATTGTAAACTGAGAAATTCTTGGAGCTTTTGCAGAGCTGAGAGACATTACATTTCTTACCAGCCAAAGTGAAAAGACCTCACTGAACATCCCGGGACTTAATTGAGCTTCCAGAAATGGTCATACTTTAGAAGAAGGATTAAACTACACCTAGAGTAAAGGCTACCCTAAAGAAGCCCTAATTAAGCTTTGAAAAAAGCCTCAAATTGACCATGCTGACACACAGTAGCTATAAGACATAAGAAAGTCTAAATATTCTTTAAGGGAAAAAATACAGACATTCAGCAACATACTATTAATAATGCCTAGAATCCAATTAAAATTACTAGACATGCAAAGCATCTGGAAAACGTGACCCATAACAAGGAGAAAAAAACAGTCAATAGAAACAGACCTAGAAATGACAAAGATGATGATATTAGCAAACAAGGGCTTTTAAGTAGCTATTATACATATGCTTAAGAATGTAAAGAAAAACATAAGCATAATGAAGACAGAAACGGGAGATATTTAAAAAAATAAAATAGTCTAGAGATGAAAATATAAAGTTTTAAGTGAAATGAGATTAACAACAGATTAAAGAGTGCCAAATAAAAGATCAGTGAACTTGAAGATGTAACAAGAGGAACTTTCCAAAATGAATTACAGGGGCCAGGCGTGGTGGCTCATGCCTGTAATCCCAGCACTTTGGGAGGCCAAGGTGGGTGGATCACTTGAGGTCAGGAGTTCGAGACCAGCCTGGCCAACATGAGGAAACCCTGTCTCTACTGAAAATACAAAAATTAGCCAGGCGTTGTGGCACTCACCTGTAATCCCAGCTACTCAGGAGGCTGAGGCAGGCTCCCAGGCTGAACCTGGGAAGCAGAGGTTGCAGTGAGCCAAGATGGCACAACTGCACTCACTCCATCCTGGGTGACAGAGTGAGACTCCATCTCAAAAAAAAAAAAAAAAAAAAGAATTACAGGGTGATGGCCAGGAACAGGTGGCTCACGCCTGTAATCCCAACTCTTTGGGAGGCTAAGGTGGGTGGATCACTTGAGGTCAGGAGTTCAAGATCAACCTGGGCAACATGGCAAAAGCCTGTCTCTACTAAAAATACAGATTAGCTGAGTGTGGTGGTGGACACCTGTAATCCCAGCTACTTGAGAGGCCAAGGCAGGAGAATTGTTTGAACCCAGGAGGCTGCAGTGAACTAAGATGGTGCCACTGCCCTCCAGCCTGGGCGACAGAGTGAGACTCTGTTTCAAAAATAAAATAAAATAACAAAATGAATTACAGAGTAAAAGAAAAACTGAAAAAAAAATGAACAGACCCTTAGTGACCTATAAAACAGTATGAAGAGATCTAAAATCCATAAACTTAAGCCCCAAAGGGACAGAAGGGAAAGAAAAAGTATCCTAAGAAATAATGGATTCCAGAATATATAGATAACTCCTAAAGCTCAACAATAACAACTAAAAACAAACAACACGATTAAAAAATGACCAAAGGACTGGAATAGACATTTCTTCAAAGAAGATACACAAATAGTAAGTATATGAAAAGATGCTCAACATCAGTAATCACTAGGTAAATGCAAATCAAAATCATAAAGACATACCACTTTACACCCATTAGGATGTTTATTATTTAAACAAACAAAAATTAGAAGATAAGTGTCAGTGAGAATATGAAGAATTTGGCAACCTTGTTTACTGCTGTTGGGAATGTAAAATGGTGCAGCTGCTATGGAAAACAGGATAGTAGTTTCCCTAAAATTAAAAATAGAATTACTATATGATCCTGTAATTGCATTTCTGGGCATATGCTCAAAAGACTTGAAAGCAGAGACATAAACACACATTTGTACACCATGTTTATAGCAGCATTATTAACAATAGCCAAAAGATGAAAACTACCCAGGCATCAATCAATGAATGAATTGATAAACTAAATGTGGTGGTACATACAATGGAATATTATTCATTCTTAAATAGGAAGAAGTTTCTGACACATTCTACTCTTTGGATGCAAATTTAAGACTTTATGCTAAATGAAATAAGCCAATCACAAGGACAAATGCTGTATGATTCCACTTATATGATGTACTTAGAGTAGCTTGCTTAGTGGTCACCCAACAATTTGGATAGAAGTTATTCCTAACCATCTCAAAACTCACAAGTTTTCACACTCTGCCTATCAGCCTATATGTGGGTTGGCTCGTGCACTTCAAATTGTAGCCATGCCATAGACATAAAGGTAAACATATAGATCAATGGAATAAAATTGAAAGCCCAGAAATAAATTCTCACATTTATGGTAAATTGACTGTCAAAAAGTGTGCTAAGACAATTCACTGGGAAAAAGAACAATCTTTTCAACAAATGGAAAAACTGGATATTTACATGAAAAAGAGTGAAGCTGGACCTGTTTCTTACACAATATATAAAAATTAACTCCAAATAAATTGTTGGCCCAAGTGTCAGAGACAAAACAATAAAACTATTGGAAGAAAATATGGGAGTAAATTTTCATGACCTTGGGTTAAATAAAGCTTTCCTAGATATGACACCAAAAGCCCCACTGACAAAAGAAAAATAGATACTTCAAATCTCATCAGAATAAAAGCTTTTGTGCTTCAAAGGACAACATAAAGGAAGCAACAAGACAACTCACAGAATGGGATATAATATTTGCTAATCATATGTCTGATAAGGGACTTATATCTCTAACATATAAAGGAGTCTTACAAATCAATAATAAACAACAACAAAATAACCAGTTTTTAAAAATGGGCTAAGGATCTGACCATGCATTTCTTCAGAGAAGATGAACACATGTCCAAGAAGCACAGGAAAAGAAGATCACCATCATTAGTCATCAGATAAATGCAAATAAAAACCACAATGAGATATCACTTCAAATCCACTAGGATGACTGTAATCAAAAAGTCAGATCATAACAAATGTTGAAGAGGATATGGAGAAATTGAAACCCTCATACATTGCTGGTGACAAGTAAAATGATACAGATACTTTGGAAAACAGTCTAGCAGTTTCTCAAAATGTTAAACATAGGGTTACCACATGACCCAGCAATTTCACTTCTAGTATAGACCAAAAATAATTGGAAATATATGTCCACACAAAAACTGCACACAAATGTTCACAACAGCATTATTCATAATAGCAAAAGTGTAAACAACCCCAATGTCTGCCATCTGATGAATGGATAAATGTAATTCCACACAATGAAATATTGTTCAGACATAAAATGGAATGCAATACTGATAAATACTACGACATGGATAAACCTTGAAAACATCATGCTAAGTGAAATAAGTCGGTCACAGAAGACCACATATTTCATGATTCCATTTATATAAATTGTCCATAGTAGGTAAATCTGTAGAAACTGAAAACTGATTGGTGGTTGCTTAGAGCTTGGGCATGTTGCAGGAAATGGAGGGTGACTGCTAATGTGTACTGGGCTTCTTTTAGGGTGATAAAAATGTTCAACAGTTGATTGTGATGATGATTGCACAACCCTATGAATATAATAAAAAATGTATAATAAAAACCATAGGTATACTTTAAAAGGGTGAATTGTGTGATATGTAAATTATATTGCAATAAAACTGATATATATAGTTATATTACATACACTTATATATGCAGTGATCGTCAGACTGGATAAGAAAAATAAGAACTATGTATATGCTGAATGCATGAGACAGGATCCAGAAACAAATAATTTGAAAGGGAAGAGTACAAATTTTTATATTCTGCACATAGTAACCAAGAGAAAGCTGGAGAGGATATAGTAACATAGGCAAAAGTAGACTTTAAGACAAGAAATATTCCTGGAGACAAGGAAAGATGTTTCATAATGATAATATGCTGAATACATTAAGAAAGTACAACAATTATATATGTAAAAGTATTTTACAACAGAGCCCCAAATTATATGAAGGAAAACCTAACATAATCAAAAGAAGAAATAGACAATTCAAGAGTTGTAGCTGAAAACGTTAATATTCTTATCAGAAATTACTAGAAAAACTAGACAGAAAATCAGCAATGATATAGTGGACTTAAACAACCCTGTTAACCAATTTGACCTAAATGATATATATTGATCACGCCACTCAACAACAGCAAAATAAACACATTTCAAGTGTTCAATAACACTTTTATTGAGACTATTAAATAAATCTCAATATATTTTGAAGGAATGTTATCATTCAAAGTATGTCCCCCAGTCATCATGGAATTAAGTAAAACATCAACCAAAGAAAAAAATCTTGGAAGTTTCCAAATACTTGAAAATTAACACAGATTTCTAAATAAAATAAAGTAAGAACATTTATTCAAAGTAAAATAAGGAAAAATTACAAGTAAAACTAGAAAATATGTTAAACTGGAAAAAAATGTAAACAAAACACATCAAAAATTATGGAATGCAAGTAAAGTAGTTCTTAGAGGAAAGTGTATAGTTTTAAACACATTAGAAAGAAAGATTCAAAATCAATAATCTAAGCTTCTCACTCCAGAAGGCCATAAAATGAAGGCCTAAGCAGAAAGAAGTTAGTAAACATCAGAGCAGAAACTAACAAAATAGAAAACAGAAAAGCAATAGAAAAATAAATGAAAGTAAAAATATACTCTCTGAAAATCAACAGGCTGGGTGTGGTGGCTCATGCCTGTAATCCCAGCACTTTGGGAGGCTTAGGTGGGAGGATTGCTTGAGCCCAGGAGTTCGAGACCAGCCTGAGAAACATGGTGAAACCCTGTCTCTATCAAAAATACAAAAATTAGCCAGGAGTGGTGGTGCACACCTGTGGTCCCAGCTACTCCAGAGGCTGAGGTGGAAGTATTGCTTGAACCTGGGAGGTGGAGGTTGCAGTGAGCTGTAAAGGTGCCATCGCACTCCAGCTTGGATGACAGAGCCAGACCCTGCCTCAAAAAATAAAAAATCAACAAAATTGATAAACTTTTAGCCAGACTGACCAAGAATGGAAGAGAAAATGCGCAAATTATTAAACTCAGGAATAAAGGAGGGGACATCAAAACAGACCCTACAGAATTAGATGAGAGTATTATGAATAACTTCATGCCAACAAATTAGACAAGTTAAATGAAGTGAAAACATTATAAGAAAGATATAAATAACCAAAAGTGACTCAAGAAAGAAGAGAAAATATGAAAAGACATATATCAAATAAAGAAATTGAATTAATAATTAAAATTATCTCACAAAGAAAACCCCAGGCCCAGATGCCTTCACTGGTGAATTCCATCTAACATTCAAGGAATAAGTAACACAAATCTTACATAAACTTTCCCAGAAGAGAGAGAAGGAGGGAACTTATTTTATAAAGCTGGACAAAGACATGACAAGAAACAAAACAACATTCTAATATTCCTCACGAACATGGATACAAAACTCCTTAACAAAATATTAGCAAACAAAATCCAGCAATGTATAAAAGAGATTGTACACTATGACCAAGTGAGATTTGTCTTACTGATGCAAGGTTGATTTAACATCTAAAAATCAAGTAATAAACAATCAAGTAATACACCATATTAACAAAATGAAGAGCAAATTCTACATAATCATCTCAATAGGCACATAAAAAGCACTGATAAAATCCACCATTCATTGATGAAAACAAAAACCTCTCAAAGAAGTAGGAATAGAAGGAAATGTCCTCAACAAAACAAAAGGCATCTACAAAAAACTTTCAACTAATATCACACTTAATAACCAAAGACTAAATGTTTATCCAGAAATATAAACTTTGCAGGATTTATGGTCTTGCCACTTCTATTAAATATCATACAGGAAGTTCTACCAGTCAATAAAGTAAGAAAAAAAAAAAAACCTTAAGGTATAGAGTGGAATGACAAAAGTAAAAACTATATTTAGAAATTAGAGGATCATCTATGTAAAAAATTCTAAGGAAATTACAACACAAAAAGCTATTAGAACTATGACTAGAAAGCTACCTACTTAGTAAGGTAATGCAATGCAAGCTCAATAAGCAAAAATTAATTGTATTTCCGTTTTTCTTTTAACTTTTATTTTAAGTTCAGGGGTACATGTGCATATTTCTTATGTAGGTAAACTTATGTCATGGGGGTTCATTGTACAGATTATTTCATCACCCAGGTATTAAGCCTAGTACCCATTAGTTATTTTTCCTGATCGTCTCCCTCCTCCACCTTTCAATAGGCCTCAGTGTCTGTTGTTCCCCTCTACATGTCCATGTTTTCTCATCATTTAGCTCCCATTTGTAAGTGAGAACGTGTGATATTTGGTTTTCTGTTCCCGTGTTAATTTGCTAAGGATAATGGCCTCCAGCTCCATCCATGTTCCTGCAAAGGACATGGCCTCATTCATTTTTATGGATACATAATGTTCCATGGTGTATATGTACCACATTTTCTTTATCCAGTCTACCATTGATACGCTGATTCCAGGTCTTTGATATTGTGAATAGTGCTGCAATGAACATACACATGCATGTGTCTTTATGATGGAATGCATTTCTATATAATAGCAACAAACAACCTAAAAATTAAATTATGAAAATAATTGCAATCACAATAGTATAAAAAGAATAAAATATTTTGGAATACATTTAACAAACGTGTAAGACTTATATGCTGAAAATTACAAAGCATTGCTGAGAGAATTTTTAAAAGATGTGAATGACTAGAGAGATACCTTGTTCATGGATTGGAAGACTCAATATTGTTAAGTTGGCAGTTTTCCCCAATTTATCTATATATTCAATCTAAATCCTCGTCAAAATCCCAGTAAGCTTGTTTGGTAGAAAGTGACAAGCTGATCCTAAAATGTATATGAAAATGTAAAGGATCTAGAATAGCTAAAGAACAAAGTTGGAGAACTTAAACTACTTTATTCAAAACTTATTATAAAGCTACATTAATCAAGACAGCATAGTGTGGGCCTAAGAATGTACATAAAGGTCAATGGACTAGAATAGAGTCCATAAATACACCCATGCAATAATAATAAGTCAAGAAACTGATAAGAACATGAGCAAAAATTTGAACTGACACTTCACCAACAAGACATAGTCATGCATCACTTAATGATGGGGTTTCATTCTGAGAAACGCATTGTTAGATGATTTTGTTGTCCAAACATCTTAGAGTGTATTTTCACAAACTTAGATGTTATAACCTATTACACATCTAGACTATATGGTATAGTCTATTCCTCCTAGGCTACAAACCTGTACAGAGTATAACCGTACTGAATACTGTAGGCAATTGTAACACAATGGTACATATTTATGTATCTAAACATAGAAAAGGTTCAGCAAAACTGCAGTATACAAGATAAAAAATGGTACATCTAAAAGCTGTAAACGACACTTATATGAATGGTGCTTGCAAGACTGGAAGTTGCTCTGGGTGAGTCAATGAGTGAGTGGAGAGTGAATGTGAAGGCCTAGGACATCACTGTACACTACTGTGGACTTTATAAACACTGTACACTTATACTACACTGTTTATTTTAAAATATTTCTTTCTTTAATAAATTAACCTTAGCTTATTATAAACTTTTTTAACTTTTTGACTTTTGTGATAACACTAAGCTTAAAACACAAACACACTGTACAAAATATTTTCTATCTTTATATCCATAAGCTATACTTTTTCTATTTAAAAGGTTTTTTTATTTTATTTAAAAAACTTTTAAATTAAAAACTAAAATGCAAACATGCACACTAGCCTAGGCCTACACAGGGGCAGGATAATCAATATCACTTTCACCTCCACATTTTGTCCCACTGGAAGGTATTCAGGGGCAACAATACACATGGAGCATCATCTCCTATGATAGCCATGCCTCCTTCTGCAATATTTCCTAAGGGACCTGCCTAAGGCTGTTTTACAGTTAATTTTAAAATATGTAAGTAGAGGAGTATACTCTAAAATAATCATAAAAAGTATAGTATGTGAATACATAAACCAGTAACATAGTCATTTATTGTCATTATCAAGTATTATGCACTATACATAATTGTATATGCTATACTTCCATAAGACTGGCAGCACAGTAGGTTTGTTTACACCAGCATCATCACAAACATGTGAATAATGTGTTGCACTATGACATTATGACAGCTACAACATCATTAGGCGATAGGAATTTTTCACCTCCATTATAATCTTATGGGACCACCGTTTGTATATGCAGTCCGTTGTTGACTGAAACATTGCTGTGCAGCACCTGACTGTATGATAGCAACTAAGCATATGAATGCACATGAAAAGATTCCCAGCATCATTGGTTATTAGGGAGATTCCAACTAAAACCACAATGAGGTAACACTGTACACCCTCTAGAATGTCTACAAAAATGTCTAAAACACTGACCTAGCAAGTTTTGGTGAGAATGTGGATAAATGGAACCCTCATATATTGCTGGTAAGAATTTAAATAGTACAGCCATTTTAAACATTTCCTAAAAAGTTATACGTATATTTCCATGGGACCCAGAAACTCCACCCCTATGTAGATACACAAGAGAAATGGAAATTTGTGTCCCTCAAAGACTTGCATGCAAAAGTTCAAGGGAGCATTATGCATAATAATGTGTCCTTACTGGAAAAAACACAAATGTCCATCAACAAAGGAATGAACAAACTAAATACGATATACACATACAATGAACTACTACTCAAGAATAAACAAGAAATGAACTATTAATACATGCAACAACATGGATGAACCTGAAAAACATTGTGCTAAGCATGAGGTGCTGCATACCAAAGACTACATACAGTATTATTCCATTTATATGAAATTTATAGAAAATCCAAAAGTATAGTGACAGAAATCAGATCAGTGGGTACCTGATGCTTGGGATGAGAATGGAATTGGCTGCAAATGGACAGGAGGAAAATTTGGGGATGAGTGGGTAATATAATTGTTCTGGAATTGATTGTGGCAATGATTGCAGAACTATATAAACTTACTAAGAGTCATTGAACTGTAAACTTACAAAGGGTAAATTTTATGTTATCTAAATTATACCTCAGTGAAAATATGTTTTTTTTAAAAAAACTCACTTTAAAACAAAAACAACAATGTTCCATGTGGTAATTTATATAGGAAGAAGTAAAATGTATGATTACAACAACGCAAAGGATGGAATGGAGGTATACTGTTGTAAGGTTGTATAATGTGTACTGTTGTCCATTATGCATACAATGGTATAATAGTCAATAGGGAATATTATATGAAGGTATAATATACTTCAATTTGAGCTTACTTGAAGTATGTTTACAAAGATTTTATGAGCCATTATTATATACTTCATGTAATTCTGTACTTATTATATATTTACATACAAATTTTATATTACATATAATATATAAATTATATGCCTCCAATAGTATTTGAAGGTAGAATGTGATGTGATAAAGATAAGTCAAAGATGCTTATTTTAAACTGTTCTGCAATCACTTAAACAAAAGAATTATAGCTAATAAACAAATAGTGGAGATAAAAGGGAATCATAAACAATAATTCCTCTAAATGAAAGCAGGAGACAAGGTAAATAAGAAAAAAAAGACAGAGTAATAGAACAAATACAAAACACATAACCAGATGATAGATTAAAACCCAGTTATCATAGTATTATATTACATCATTATATTATGTTTAAAACAAATGGTCTAAATAATCCAATAAAAAGAGATTAAAATTGGGCTTTAAAAAAATGGTCAAATTATATCTGTCACAAGAAACAGTTTAAATATAAAGACACATGTCAGTTAAAAAGGAAAGAATAGAAAAAGAAATTGCATGCAAACACTTATCATAAGAAAGTAGATATATTAATATCAGAGCAGACTTCAGGGAAAGGAATACTCTCAGAGATTTTTTAAAAGGTAATCTCATGATGAGAGAGTCAATTAATCAAGAAAACATACAATCAATAATTTGCATATACCTAATAACAGAGCTTCAAAAAACAGGAAGTAAAAAAATAATTATCGTTATAGTTGAAGATTTCAGCACTCCTCTACCAATAATTCATAGAACAAGTAGACAGGAAATCAGTAGGCTATAGACTTGAACAACACTATCAACCAACTGGACTAATTTACATTCATAGAACATGCCATCAAACAATAGCAGAATACTTATTCTTTTCAAATGGACATGGAATATTTGCAAAGATAAACCATATTCTAAGCCATAAATCAAGTCTACCTAAGTTTAAAAGAACACTGTCATAAAAAGCATTTTCTCTTACCACAATGGAATTAAGTTAGAAACCATTAAGAGAAAGATTTCTGGAAAGCCTCAAAATACTCAGAAATAAAACAACACACCTTTAAGATACCATGGATCAAAGAAGAAATTAAAAAGAAAATTATAAATAATTATAAATTAGAACACAGCATGTCAAAATTTGTGGGACACATCTAACATTATAACACTAATTGCCTGTATTAAAAAAGAAGAAAAATCTTAAATCATTGATCTCATCTTCCACTCTGTGTGGCTAGAAAAGGGAAATAAAATTAAGACCAAAGTAAACATAAAAAAGATAAAATAATAAAGTTAGAATTAATGAAATAAAAATAGAAAAACAATAGAGAAAAACCAATAAAAACAAAGTTTTGTTTTTTAAGAAGCTTGATAAAATTGATTTTCCTGGAGCACAACTAATCTAGAAAAAAAGGGAGAGAGGAATATATTACCAACATCAGCCATTAATGAAGGGACATCAATACAAATTCTACAGACACTAAAGAAGAATAAAATATGATTGTGAAAAACACAATGTCCACAAATTTAACAACTTGAATGAAATGAAAATGGAATTTAAAATAGAAATAGACAAATCAACCATTATAGTTGGAGACATCAAAACTTCTCTCTCAGTAATCAATACAATAAGTAGACAGCAAATCAGTAAAGATATAGAAGATCTGATCACTACCAATTAAATTGACCTAAATGACATTTAAAGAAAACTCAACCCAACAACAGCAGAATATTCATTCTTCTCAAGTGCACATGAAATAGTCACCAGGAGACAATATATTCTGAGTCATTAAAAACTTCAAGAAATTGCTTTAAAAATTGAAATTATGTAAAGACAAATCTCTTAACAAACAGAATTAAACTAGAAATTAATAACAAAATATCTGGGAAATCCATAAATATTTATAAATTAATCAATGCATTTATTGTCAAAGAGGGTCAAAGAGGAAGTTATAAGAGAAATTAGTAAATATTTTTAATTGAATGAAAATGAAAACACAATATGCTGAAATTTGTGGGGTGCAGGTAAAGTACAGTATAATTAATATTTATAGCATTAAACGCCTATGTTTTTAAAAAAGGAAGACCTTAAATCAATTTTCTAAATTTTCACCTTAAAAAACAGAAAAAGAAGGGTAAATTAAATCAAAGCAAGGACAAAGAGGGAAATCATAAAGATAATAACAGAAATCAATGGCATTTAAAAAGAAAACAGTATAGAAAAAAATTAAGGAAATCCAAAGCTGGTTCTTTGAGAAGAGCAATACAATTGATAAGCTTCTAGGTAGTCAGATCAATCATAGACAGATGATACAAATTATCAATATCACAAATGAATGAAGGGACATCACTACAGATCCCACAGGCACTAAAGGAGAATAAAGCATTATTGTGAGAATATAATGTCCATAAATTTAACCACTTAAAAGCAATACAAAAATTTCTTGAAACATACAAACAACCAAATGTTATTCAAGAAAAATTAGATAATCTGAATAACACTATTCTATTAAAGAAACTTAATTAATAATTTAACACTTTCCAACAAAGAAAACTCCAGGACCAGATAGCTTCACTGGCAAATTCTATGAAATATTAAGGAAGAGATAATAACAATTATATGTAAACTCTTCTAGGCAATTAAAGAGGAAAGAATACTTCCCAACTCAATTTATGTGGCAGGCATTATCCCCATTCTGAAACCACAAGAAAATTTTATGAGAAAAACAAACTGCAAACCAATATTCTTCATGAACATAGTTATAAAAATCCTCAAGAAAATACTAGAAAATAAAATCTAGTAGTACAGAAAAAGAGTAGTATATCATCACCAAGTGGAAGTTAGTATATCATCACCAGTAAGGAAGGTTAGTTCAACATTTGGAAATCAGTGTAATTTGCCATCAACAGAGGAATAAGAAAAACATAAGATCATCTCAATAAATGCAGAAAAGGCATGAGACAAAATTCAACATTTATTTATGATACAAAGTCTCAGCAAATTAAGAATAGACAAAAACTCTCTCAATCCAATAAGGGGCATTTGAAAAAACCCTAAAGGAAACATCACACTTAATAATGAGAGACTGAATGCTTTCCCTTTAAATTTGAGAACAAAGCTAGGATGTCTTTTCTCACCAATTCTATTCAACATTGTACTGGAAGTTCTAGACAGTGAAGAACATCAAGAAAAAGAAATAAAATGTATACAGATTGAAAAGAAAAAAAAATAAAACCATCTCTAATTCACAGATGACCTGGTTGCCTCTGCAGAAAATTCCAAAGAATAGACAAAGAAACTATAGAGCTAAAAAGTGAGTTTAGTGAGATTGTAGGACACATCAATATATCATCAATAAATATTTTGAAAATAAAATTTAAAATAAGTACTGTATTAGTTCAAACTTCCATAACAAAATATCATAGATCAGGTGGCTTAAAAAACAAAATTTACTTTCTCACAGTTCTGAAGGCTGAGAAGCCCAAGATCAAAGGGAAAGCCAATTTGGTTCCAGTTGACAGCTGTCTTCCTGGCTTGCAGAAAGCTGCCTTCTCTGTGTCCTTACATGGGGAAAGTGGAAAGGGTGGCAGTGGAGAAAAGAGAGGGAGAGAGCTTCCTCTTCTTCTAAGCCCACAGTCCTATAGGATTAGGGCCCCACCCTTATGACCTGATTTAACCTTAATTATCTCCTAAAGACCCCATCTTCACATACAGTCACTTTGGGGATTAGGGCTCCAATATATGAATTTGGGGTGACGGGGCATGTAGTCTAGTCCATAGCAAGTACCATTTACAATAGCACCAAAAAGCATGAAATACTAAGTGTAAAGCTTACAAAATATGTGCAAGATGTATATGTATAAAACTACAAAATGCTAATGAAAGAAATCAAGGAAGAACAAAATAAATGTGGTTTTGGATTGGAAGACTCAGTATCATTAAGATGTCAATTTCATCCGGGCGCAGTAGCTCATACCTGAAATCCCAGCACTTTGGGAGGCATGTGGATTGCTTAAGCCCAGGAGTTGGAGACCAGCCTGAGCAACATGGCTAAACTCTGTCTCTATTAAAAGTACAAAAATTAGCCAGGTGTTGTGGCACATGCCTATAGTCCCAGCTACTTGGGAGGCTGAGGTGGGCGGATAGATTGAGCCCACGAGGTGGAAGCTGCATAAGCCTTTTTGGAACCAGTGCACTCCAGCCTCGGCAACAGATACCTTGTCTCAATTAAGAAAAAAAGAAAGTCAATTTTCCCAAAGCTGGCCTATAGACTCAATGGAATTCCAATAAAAATCCAAGCAGAATTTCTTTGGTAGATATTGACAAGCTGATTTTAAAATTTACGTGAAAAAGCAAAGATACTAGAGTAGACAAAGAAATTTTGAGAAAGAACAAATTTGGAGGATTTACACTGCTAGATTTTAAGATTTAATACACAGCTACAGTAATCAAGAGAATATGGTATTGACTAAACGATAGATGCATAGATCAATGGAACAAACTAGAGATTTAATATAAAGCTACAGTAATTAAGAAAATGTGGTATTGACTAAAGGATAGATACATAAATCAATGGAACAAACTAGAAAGTCCAAAAACAGAACCAAACAACAGTAATCAAGACAATTTACTATTGGCATAAAGATAGATTAATCAATTAATAAAACAGAGTAGAAACGACAGAAGTAGATCCACACATATATGGACAACAGATTTTCACCAAAGGCACAAAGGCTGTTGAATGGAAACAGAATATTCTTTTCACTAATGCTAGAACAATTGTATATTTGTATGTTTTAAAATGAAGCTCATTCTATCCTTCACAACTTGTGCCAAAATTAACTCAAAACAAATACAAAAAACTGTAGTTTTGTATAACTTTTGAAATCAAGTACTGTGAGTCCTTCAACTTTGTTCTTTTTCATAGCTGTTTCATTATTATAAATCCCATACATTTCAGTATAAATCTTAGAATCAGCATGTCAACTTCTACAAAAAAGCCTAAGATTTTGATGAGATTGCACTGAATCTATAGATCAATTTGAGGATAATTGACATCTTAGTAATATTATGTCTTCTAATCCATGAGCACAGGCTACCTCTTGATTTATTCAGATCTTTTACGTTTTCTCAGCAGTGTTTTGCAGTTTTCATTACACAAGTCTTGCACAGTCTTTGACAGATAGATCTCAAAGCATTTCATATTTTTGATGCTATTATAAATGGAATTATTCTTTAAATTTTAACTTTTAATTGTTCATTGCTGGAATATAGAAATACCATTGATTTTCATATATTGATCTTGTATCATGCCACCTGACTAAACTCACTAGGTCTAGAAGTTTATTTGTATATTCCATACAGTTTTCCAAGATAATCATGTTGTCTGTGAATAAAGACAGAAAGTAGAAGAATCAGTCAGCAGAAGGCAGGAGTAAGCAGGGATCCTAGTAAGCAGAAGGTAGGAATAATTATATGTGAAAGACATAAAGACTAAAGAGTGTGGTTGATCTTGGCTGATATGGAAAAAGCAAAAATATTTTTCATGCTGAAGAAGAGGTTACCAGATAGCATGGGACTGTAAATGAGCTTCCAGTTCCCAAACTACTTTTGAGACTCTGTGAATCTTGTTAAATGGTTGCACCCGAGTTTTCATGAGATTTGACTATATGGCTATCTTTTATGCTACAATGGACACTCTTGGTTTCTACCCGGTTCTACCAACCTTCTCCTTCACAAAGAGAAACCCAATTTTATGCAGATATCCGCCTGTCCTCTGCATAGTCATGGACTTCAGAGAAAGTTGAACTCACCCCCAACGTCAGGGGTAGATCCTAATTAGTCTAAGCCAGGGATTGGCAAATTTTTTCTTAAAGGACTAAACAGTAAATATTTTAGGCTTTGAAGGCTAAAAAACAACATGAAAGCTATTACATGGGTAATTATATAACCATTACACTGTAGCCATTTAAAAATGCAAAAACCATTCTTAGCTTATGTCCTGACTTCTTGGATCCATGAGCTATGGTTTGCCAATCTCTGGTCTAAGTCAATAAGCACAGGGTTCTTCTGGTAACTATTATTGGTCCAGAAATGGGCATGTAACCTAAAGTTGCCCAATTAGACTCAAGAGAAAGATGTACATTCCATGGTGGGGGAGAAATTATTTTCCTCTTTCCCATTAAACTGAACAAATGAAAAAAAAAACCCAGCTTTCTGCTGGCAGCTATCTTACAACTAAGAGGCAACCACATTATTAAATGGAGTAAGGCAAAGCTGAGTAACAGAACCTGAATCCTTGGTGACATGATTGCACTGCTGAATCAATCAGTTCTGAGTCTTACTTCATCTCTGAACTTATTTTGTGAGTTAATAGATGCTCTTATTGGTCTAAACCCATTTGGGTTGGGTTTTCTGTTATGTGTAGCCAAATCCATCCTGCATCCATATGATCAGCCTTCCATCACTGAACGAATCTCCTCTTCATGCAAACAGAAAGACACGGACTCACAGAAGGAGAAATTTAGTAAGACTGGGCTCCTTGCCTTTTATTTTGAGCCACTTATCCTCCACTCATTCCCCAATCCTCTTACAAACTGGTCCTTGGCTTTGGCTCCAACCCATCCCTCATCTCCAATTTGTGGAATCCGGATCTATCATGAGACATCTTTACTACAACCCTGGCCCCCTTTGACTGTGGATACAACTTGGTCCTTGAATTATGACCCATGGAGCATCTTTTATGCTTGTAGCTCGACCCACACTAGACCGATTCATGAATGGGAGCGTTACTGCCAGGTTCTCATCCTGGCCCAGCCACCAACTCCCTCTGTGATCACTCTTTCCTCCTGGGCCATAGCACTCCTTTACATACGGTAGTTGGTCTGGACTACATGTCCCAAGGTGTCTCCTAGCTCTGACCTTCCAGGATTCCTGGACTCTGAGATACATCAAACTCTGTTCACTGGTTAACCCAACACCTTATTTTGCATTTGGCACACAGCCATTCAACACTGGTCTCCTGTACTGTACAATGAATGTGGAAGGAGGAAGATAGAAGAACAAGCTCAAGAACCCCGGCTCATGGCCTTGAAAGCCCCTGATTTCAAGCATAACAGGTCAGCTTTTGCCCAGACTCACTCCCTGACACACAGAGTTGGCCTGGTCTGCAGAGACACATGGGGATGGGAGGAGTAGAAGTTACAGGAAATTGTTTCCAGGGATGTGGGACAAAGAGAGGAAGGACAGGGGTGATGGATGGATATTTGGTGGGAGATGAGAAGAAAAGGATCAGAGATCCTGAGGGGTCAGAATCGGTCACCAAAAGATCTCTGCTCTCTGCCCCTCCCTCAGAGGCTCTGTTGGCCATTTCCACTTCCAGTCCCTCCCCACCCCTACTCAGCACCCCCTCTTTCTTCATCCTGAGCCTTGCTCCAATTTCAAAGCTTTCTCTGGCCCCAGCTGCGTTGGGAAACCAAGGAAGGGAGAAAGCATAATTTTTAGTCCTGTCCTGGGGAGGGGGCATAAAGAAGGGGCTGGGTGGAACACAGAAAATGAAGTGGAGCCTTTTGAAATGAAAGCCGGGCCAAGCTCATCAGAGATTAATGTAGGAAAAGCCCCACTCGTCTGATAGGGCCCAGATGGTGGGTAGACTTACAGGGGCTGCTGACAGATCCTGATGGTCCGCAGCCTGCTTCCAGCTCCTTGTCCTCATCTTAGAGAAAAAGAAGCAGGCCCATCCTCTCGGGAATCTTGGGGCTGACCAGGGCTGCCTCCAGACCAGGTGGGGAGTCAGAGCTCTGACCCAAAGGCTCCGTACTACAGCTGTCTGCACACAGGCATGCACACACTACAAACACTCACACACCCAAAGGGAAAATGACAGACATTTGACCCAGGCACTTTCTTCTGTGGGAAGCCCTGCAAGAGGAGAGAGATCCCTAACTGGCAGTGGGTGGGAAGAGGATGGTGGCCACCACCATGCTTCACACCTTCCTTCAACCCTCCGTCGTGCCTGATCACTGTCGTCACTGCCCGTCTCTTCCCTTCTCTTTCTAGTCGAGCTCCTCAAAGACACTGTCTCCATTCACTGTCCTCCATTTCCCCAGTTCCCACTCAATGTCTTGCTATCTGGATTCCACTCTTCACACCCTGTGGAAACTACCCTGTTCTGACCACTTCATTCCTGCATGTAATGGACACTTCATGGTCCTCAGCCGCCTGGACCTCTCAGCATTATAGGACATATTGACCGCTCCTACCTTCCTGCTCTCTCCTCCTTCCTCATCCTAGAACACTACTCTCTCCTCATCTCTTCTGACGGTTCTTTCTCTGCCTCTTTCACTGGCTTTTCCCCTTTTGTCTTTTTATTGCTTTTCTTTCCCTTTCTTAAAGGTAGGGGCTCCTCTTGGTTCTGTCCTCAGGTCCTTTCTTTCAATACACATTTCTTCTCCTCCAAAGGCTTTGAACACCAACTCTAGACTGATGAGGCCCAAAACAAGCTCTCAGCCTCCATCTCTCTCTGAGCCCTGACTCATCCACTCACGGGCCTCCTGATATCTCCTCTTAGGCACCTAAAACTTAACACGATCCGAACCACAGCTGTTATCCCCTTAGCTTCTCCTCCTGCGTTTCCCATCTCAGTAAAGGATATGCAATTGCCATAGTCAGAAACCTGAGACTTATCACACCTCTCACATCCTCTCGACCCACAGGGCCTTTGGATTCTACCTCCTAAATGGCACTCGGACTCCATTTCCCTCCATCCTAGGCCCTCATGTCCCCATGCCTCTTCCTTCCTCTCCTGGAAAACTACAAGCAGCTCCCACCTGATCACTCAGTCTCCATTCTTGCCCTTCCCCAATCTGTCTTTCAAAAACATTTCCGAATCATCATTCTCTTGCTATCCTAATGCCCCCTTCCCCAGCCCACTCAGCTTACAGGATGCAGCCCATGCTCCTTACCCTGGCATTCAGGACCCTCCACAAGTGACCCCAGTTTACTGTCCTAATTGCTCTCCTCCCTCTTCTGCACTTTGCCACCCTTATGCACCCTATAATTCAGCTGCACAGACAGAATCCCTCTCTATGCCTTTGCTTTCACTGCCTGAAATTACTTTCCAATTTATCATCTGGAAAATCCAGATACCATCTCCTCCTGGAAGCTTTCCCTTATTTCCCAAGGAAAATAACTCTCTCTTTTCCCCGGGCTCTCAGGACACCTTGCACATGTCCCTAGGGCAGCACTTACATTGACTTTTACTTCAACCCTTATATTTCTTCTTCCTTGGTTAGTCTGTGAACTCCTTAAGGGCAGAAATAGTGTCTGAGTCATCTTTGTATAGCCACTTCTTAGCCCAGGGCATAGAACACAATGGGTGACTGAAAAATATTTGATGAATGACTAAATGTTTTTATATCAAGTATTGTGACTGCCTTCTTAAAGCCAAGTCAATATTAGATTTATTTCTCTGTACTGAATCTGGGATCCTGAGGACCAGCCTGGCTGGCCTTGGATGGAGCAATAAGGCAAAGCAATTGTTTCCAAACTGGATGTTTTCACGGGCATAAGCAATGGTGTGGTGAACATCTTAGTGCATAAAGATATTTCTGTATTTTTTATTCTTTCTTTGGGACAAATAAGAAAGAAAAGCAATCAGGCTGCCTGGCTCTTTTCTAGAAAGTGATAAGCCCCCTTGCATGGGATAAACCTCCTCTGTAGCTTCTCTGGGAACTTACCCTGGAAATGACCACAAACCAGGGTAAATGATGTCATGTCTCATCAAGAAGTTATAGAATATGAGCACCAAGGAGGCTTGAGAACAGGATGGAATGATCCCACTCCACTGTGTGTGATAATCTATGTCTCAGGGAAGGGGAGCAGTTTATCTAAGATTATTTTAGACAATCTTGGCTCAGATTAACTGCTAAGCCGAGCCTAAGAACCAGGGTTTTCTGACTGCCACACCTTATTCTTGCTCCTGCATCCCATGCCTGCCTTGGAAATGCCAGCACTTAACAAAGATTTAAGAGAGGAGGTTAGAGATGGTCTCAGGAAGGAGCAGAGGTTGTGGGAAAATAATATGCAGAGAAAGAAGAAGCCTGGAGGATGGGAAGCAGTGGGCTCTCCCCAGGGGGCAGCCCTTCAAACCATCGTCATTCCCCTGTCCTCACAAGAACATTAGCTTAGGGACAAGGGAGGTGGGGCACTACGACACTTAGAGGATGCAGTGGAAGCACTCCGTCCTTGTTATTATCATTCTTAAGATAACAGACAACAATAATATACATTTAATTGTCTAAACTTCCCAAGTATCAGGTCACACTGTTATTCTTTGTCTTCATTTTACACCTATAGAAACAGGCTCAGAGAAGTCAACCAACCTGTTCAAAGCCACACAACGAGGATTCCAAAGCCTACAGAATTAACTGCAATCACAGAAGTTCCCCAGCTTCCAGTGAGACTTGGGTAAGGACTCTGTTGAGCAGGTCAGGAAGACAGGTGCCCTGAATCCTGAGCCCTCACCTCTTACAAAGAATTGTTGTGAAGAATAAAAGATCGTAATAAACAAACTCACACATATATGGATACCTGGCTTATGACAAATATACCAGTGCAGTGCAATAAGGAAATGATGATGTTTTCAGTAAATGGTGCTGGGTCAACTGGATGTCCACAGGGAAAGAAGAGAACGTTGACTGCCCACCTGCCCCACCTCACACCATACACAAAAATCAATTTCAGTTGGATTACAAATTGAAGTGTGAAAGGTAAAATAGTAACACTTCTCGAGCAAAGTATGGGACATTTTTGTGACTTTGGTGTAGGTAAAATTTTCTTGAATAGAACATAAAATTTGACCATATTAAGATTATGAATGTGTTTTCAGCAAAAGATACCATTAAAAGAGTGAAAAGGCAACACATCCAGGGAATGAGAAGACAAGCCACATACTGGGAGAAAATATTTGCAAAAGATCTAGCTGATAAAGGACTGTTATCCAAAATATACAAAGCACTCTTAAAACTCAATAATAAGAAAATGAACAACCCAATTAAAAAATGGGCAGAAGATATGAACAGACACTTCACCAAAGAAAACACAAGGATGGCAAATAGGCATAGGAAACGATTCCCAACATCATATGTCCTTATGCAATTATGGAATTGCAAATTAAAACAGTGAGATAATACTACACATCCATTTGAATGGCCACAGTCTAAAACACTGACAACATCAAATGTTGGTGAGGATGTGGAGCAACAGGAACTCTTATTCATTGCTGATAGGAATGCAAAATAGTACAGCCACTTTGGAATACAGCTTGGCAGTTGCTTACAAAACTAAACATACTTTTACCATATGATCCAGTAATTACACTTCTCAGTATTTACTCAAATGAGTTAAAAACTTATGTCCACACAAAAATTGCACATGGATGTTTATAGCAGCTTTATTCATAATTTCAAGAACTTGGAAGCAACAACATGTCCTTCAGTAGGTGAATGGATAAATAAACAGACAATAAAATATTATTCAGCACTAAAAAGAAATGAGCTATCAAGCCATGAAAAGACATGAAGAAACTGTAAACATATATTACTAAGTGATAGGCACCAATCTGAAAAAGCTACATACTGTATAACTTCAACTATATGACATTCTGGAAAAGGCAAAGCTGTGGAGACAGTGAAAAAGATCAATGGTTTCCAGGAATTGGGGAGAGAGAGAAAAAAGGTAAAGCACAGAGAATTTTTAGGGCAGTTAAACTATTCAGTATGATACTATAATGGAGGATACATGCAATTATACATCTCAAAGCCCACAGAATGTACAACCTAAAAAGTGAACCCTAATGTAAACTATAGACCTTGAGCAATAATGATGTGTCAATGTGGGTTCATTTATTGTAACAAATGTATCATTTTGGTGCAGGTTGTTGACACTGGGAGAGAGGCTGGGCATGTGTCCGGCTGGGGCTATGTGAAAACTCTCTACTTTCTGCTCAGTTTCTCTGTAAACCTAAAAATGCTCTTTAAAATGGTCTATTTTTTAATTAAAATAGCAACACATAGTGGGAGAAGATATTGTATTCAACAAAGCATTTGTATTAATCTGTTCTTGCATTGCTATAAAGAACTACCTGAGACTGGGTAATTTATAAAGAACAGAGGTTTAATTGACTCAGTTCCACAGGCTGTACAGGAAGCATGGCTGGGGAGGCCTCGGGAAACTTAAAATCATGGCCAAAAGTGAAGGGGAAGCAGGCACATCTTACATGGCCAGAGAAGGAGGAATAGAGAGGAGGGCGAGGTGCTACACACTTTTAAACAAACAGATTTATGAGAACTAACTCACTATCATAAGAACAGCAAGGGGGAAATCCGCTTCCATGATCCAGTCACCTCCCACCAGGCCCCTCCTCCAACACTGGGGATTACAGTTTGACATGAGATTTGGGTGGGGACACAAATCTAAACCATATCAGCACTCATATCCAAACTCTTGCAAATCAATAATGGAAATAAAAAAGACAACACAATAAAAAATGGCAAAAGACTTGAACAGGCACTTCTCAAAAAATTAATATCCAAATAATAACAAAGTAGTCAATAAATGTGTGAAACTGTGCTCAATTTCACTAGTCATCAGGGAAATGCAAATTAAACCACCACACAATACTACATTCAATATCACTAAATGGCTAGAAAAAAGATAGAAAATGTCAATATTTGCTAAGGATGTAGAAACCAGGACTCTGTAAACTGCTACTGGGAATGTAAGTTGGTATAACCATCTTGGAAAACTCATTTACAGTATTTATCCAAGATAAACTTGTGCATACCCTAAGAACCAAGTTATACTGTATGGTACCATCTAGATAAAGCTCAAAACCAGGCACAATTCTTTGTGGTAATGGAACATTTCTGTATCCTGATCATGGTGGGTAATTTACATGAATCTAAACATGTTATAAAATTTCATGGAACTGTACCCCGAAAACAATGAGTGCGTGTAAAAACTGGTGAAAGCTGAACACAGTCTGTAGCAAAGTTAGTAGTATTGTACCAACAGCAATTTCCTGTCTGATGATATACTGTAATTTTGTAATATAGGCTGGGCATGGTGGCTCACGCCTGTAATCCCAACACTTTGGGAGGCTGAGGTGGGCGGATCACCTGAGGTCAGGAGTTCAAGACCAGCCTGGCCAACATGGCAAAACTCTGTCTCTACTAAAGATACAAAAATTAGCTGGGTGTGGTGGCAGGCGCCTGTAATCCCAGCTATTGGGGAGACTGAGGCAGGAGAATCGCTTGTACCCGGGAAGCAGAGGTTGCAGTGAGCTGAGACCACGCCACTGCATTCCTGCCTGGGTGACAGTGAGTGAGACTCCATTTCAAAAAAAGATAAATAAATTTAAAAAAATTTTTGTAATATATCATTGGGGGAAGCTGGGTAAAGGGTACACAAGAACACTCTGTACAACTTTTGCGACTTCTTGCAAGTCTAAGATAATTTCAAAACATAAAAATTTTTTTTGAAAAAAACCAGACACAATTAATTTGTAGTGCTAGAAGTCAGGATAGTATTATCCTTCTAACTCTTACCCTTGGTAGAGTCAGAAGTGTTGGAAGGGGACACTTTCAGGCTTCTGGGTGTGTTGTTATGGCCTGTTTCTCAATTTGGGAGCTGAATTACACAGCTGTGCTCATTTTGTGAAAATATATCAAGCTGTACATTTATATGCATTTTCTCTATGTGTATTATACTTCAATAAAAAGGTTTTTTTAAAAAAAAAATCGCAACGATATGCTTATAAAGAGCTCGGCACAGTGCCCAGCACATTCTCAGTAAAAGTGTTTTTCTCCGTATCTGTGGCTGTCTCCTACCCTCCTCTCCTGTCTACTTCTTTCTTGCGTTGCTCGCACTGTGCAGGTGAGCACGTTTTATAAAGGAGGTGCCTTCGCCCACAGGACTGCAAAAGTGGGAGTTCCAAGCAGATGTTTGGGGAATAGCAAGACCTTCTGGCAGGAGGAACAGACCACAATGTGACGTTCGCCATACCTCCATCCAGCACTGAGCACAATATAGAGAGCTTAGTATAATAACTGGGCACATTACTAATCACCAATTGGTTCACTGCTTAAAACAAAATACTCTTCATTTAAAAAAACAGAAAATGTAAAACAAATATCAAAAATATAACAATCAAACAATATTCTCTTGCTATGAAGAGCTTTATACAAATGACAAAGGGTATGCTGTGATTTTGCAATTTCTGTTGGGAGAGAGCGGGAGGTTCCAGCTTTTTGAGCCTTTTCGTTAAGCTATGCTACCCTCACAAGTCAAGTGCTGCCTCCTGTAGTTCCTTAAAGGTGTTTTTTGTTTGTTTGTTTTTGTTTGTTGGTTGGTTTGTTTTTTCTCTGAGATGGAGTCACACTCTGTCGCCCAAGCTGGAGTGCAGTGGCACAACCTCTGCCTCCCGGGTTCAAGCAATTCTCCTGCTTCAGCCTACCAAGTAGCTGGGACTACAGGCACACGCCAACATGCCTGGCTAATTTTTGTATTTTTCAATAGAGGCAGGGTTTCATCATATTGGTCAGGCTGGTCTGGAACTTCTGCCCTTAGGTTATCCACACACCTCAGCCTCCCAAAGTTCTGGGATTACAGGCGTGAGCCACCGTGTCTGGCCAAAGGGTCTTTATTTTTAATTTCGAGAAAGAACATTCTGCCAAAATCAAAAGTGTTAGGAATTGTTGAAACTGCAGAACACACAACATAAATGCAGGCACTCTGGTTGTAATATTTCAAAATAACTATCTTGGCAAATTCAATTTTAATTTTTTCCATTTGCCTTTTTTATGATTTTGCACAGAGCAGCATTGATCATAATTCTGGAGGGTTACTTGAGAATTGTTTTTATTCCTTTGGTGTGTCTGCCACACTGGATTTTTCACCCATCTTTTAATGTGATTGGTGAAATGCAAACAAAGCCAGTAGCTGTATTTGGCCTCTGAAATCTTGTGTCTCAATGGGCAGTTGCTGTATCAATTACAGGATGAAAAATGATGGACTATAATCCTTTCCCCCAAAGAATCTGCAGATCAGAGAACCATCTATGCTTTGGAGCATATGACAAAAAAAATTTAAAGTACTATCCTTTCAAACAAGAGAGTTTTACGATGTGGGAAATGTGATTTAAAACAGTTGGTTGTTACACAGCCTTTAGGGCAAGCATGCTGTCCACTGTACATTTTGTAACTGGATTACAACTTATGCATTACAACTCAACTATGCTAGAAAATATGTTATTGTTCTCTATATGTTTTCAACTTGTTTTAAAGTCTCCAAATGAACTGAAGGTGGAGGAAGAATTGTACACTCCAACTCTTCAAGTTAAAATTGCTTTGGAGTAAATGCATGCTCTTTTGGTGAGTACTTCAGTTCTTCAAGGTACTCCCCACTCACTCCTTCCTCTTTCTTCCCCTTGAATGCTATAGAGGCACTGACAAGAAAAGGGGGTGCTCCATAGCACAATGGCATGGAGGAGGACCTGCGGTCTAAGCCATATGGCTTCTGCTCACCTGGGGGAAAGGGATAGATCAGTCCACCTGGTCTCTAGAAGTGAACCTCCTCCTTCCCTTATCCGTTGCTGACCAATCTCAGTCTGTGCCTTCAGTACCGGCAAATGACTCGGTGATTACATTCTGAAAGATAGCCCTGTCATTTTGCTGTTCGGCTCCTGCTCAAGCTACTGACCCTGTGAAACTCAGCTACAGCTCCCACCTAAACCCCAGCTTTGGGCTGCCTATTCCCAGCCTCTTGTAATGGGAGTCTTCCGACTTCCGAGCCATGGGGGACCTTGGACTTCCACACCATGGCAATCTTTAGACAGGCCTGCCGATTCTTAATTCGCGTCAACTTTTCTGCTTGCCGCAGCCATGAAGATGCTTCTGGATCCCTTTAAAAGCATGTGAAGCCTGCTTCTGGCTATCAGTCTAGACACAGCGTGCAGCATATGAGTGGGGCAGGGAGAAAATGCAACCACAACACAAACTCTTGTAGCATTTCCTAAAACTTGGAAGTGTGTGGTTTTATCAGGGCATCCATCCTCTCTCCTCTCCCCTGTATCCCTGGACTAAGGCAGCATCCTGATATTATTTTATACTTTCAGGAAGAGCTCTCTGCTTCCCCTTCTGTCTAAAGGGACTTCTCTTACATCATCTCTTTCTCCTTTCCTACTTCAGCCCAACAGCCTGAAAGTCGATGGGAGAAATGCTGTGGGGCTGAAGCTGGGAGCAGTGGCTCACACCTGTAATCCCAGCACTTTGGGAGGCCAAGGCAGGTGGATCACCTGAGGACAGGAGTTTGAGACCAGCCTGGCCAACATGGTGAAACCCATCTCTACTAAAAATACAAAAAAAGATTAGCCAGGCATGATGGCATCTGCCTATAATCTCAGCCACTCGGGAGGCTGAGGCATAAGGAATCTCTTGAACCCAGGAGGCAGAGGCTGCAATGAGCTGAGATTGTACCACTGCACTTCGGCCTGGGTGACAGAGTAAGACTCTGTCTCAAAAATAAAAAAAGAAAAAAAGAAAAAGAAATGCTGTAGGGTATAAACCCAAACCACTTAGAATAGAAACATGTATCAGGAAGTTTTTTTTTTTAAGTTATAGAAGATCCCTGCCATATAATTCTGACAAAGTTTTCTATATACTTTCAGGTAACAAACAGCCAAGTCTCAAAGGGCTAGCAACCACTACAGCATTCATCCTTGCTAATACTCATACAAACATTCAGATTCTTCTGGCAAAGGGCAGGCGAGAACCAGTTTTCACAGCGCCTCACAATATACTGAATATATATATATATATATATATATATATATATATATATATATACACACACACACACACACACACACATAATTTTTGCACATAAAAATAATCCAGGCTATATGATTATAGGCACATAAAATATTATTTGCACATAAAAATAGTCTATATTATTATAGTCCAATCCAAAGATTTTAGAGTAATAAGTGCAAAAGAAACATTCTTTGTCAAAATCGTCTGAATTCCAAAAGCTGAATTTAACCAATATAACAATTTCTTGTGCCCTTTTTGTAAACCCACTGATGCTTTTATCTTTATCTGTATGATATATTTTGGTCTTGTCACTGCTTAACCAATTAAAGACTAGTAGGATGGTAATTAAGTGTTATTGGGCAACTGGCAGATAATCATATTAATAAAGCAGTGCAAAGATGCACTTTAAGATTCCTTAGAACTCATGCCTGTAATCCCGGCACTTTGGGAGGCCGAGGCCAGCAGATCACGAGGTCAGGAGATCAAGACCACCCTGGCCAATATGGTGAAACCCTGTCTCTACTAAAAAAACCAAAAAATTAGCCCAGAGTGGTGGCACATGCCTGTATTCCCAGCTACTCAGGAGGCTGAGATAGGGGAATTGCTTGAACCCAGGAGGTGGTGATTGCAGTGAGCCGAGATTGTGCCATTGCTCTCCAGCCTGGTGACAAAACAAGACTTGGTCTCAAAAAAACAAAACAAAACAAAACAAAACAGAACGGAAAAAACAGAAACCTTAGATCTTACCTCCTTCGTTGTAATAATTGTTATACATCCTGATTCTGCAGTCATGTGTTTGAATCCAGATCCTGTATCTGAATCCTACGTAAGTGGGTGTTTGTTTCTTTGCTAATGCTTTCATGCTAATTATTGAGTGCTTTAGCATAATTAATAGCCAATAGTATTGCCCTCTCTGACTCATGTGGGTCTTTCAGAGTCACTGATCTTAACGCAATGTTCTTATACATCCTGCTGCCCCTCCTGGCCCTCTGGCTCACACCTGGAGTGTCTGCCTGCACCTTGTAAGGGACAAGCCCAGGTGGGACCTGTTGCTGGGGTTGTCCTGACCATCACCCAGGTCTGCACATTGGCTGACCTTTGGAACAGAATATTTAGCTACCTGAGGATAAGGCTGGGTCTTTATTGTTCTTCATGTTTCCTTCCTTCTAAATACACAAGAAAAAGAGTTAACATTTATTGAGAACTTATTGTGTGCCAAATACTTTACAGTAATTATGGCATTTCATCCTCACAACAAGTCCTTGAGGTATGTTCTACTAATATCCCTATTTTATAGCCAAAAACAGTGAGGCTCAGAGAAGTTAAGTAACCCATCTGAAATCACACAGTCAGCAAATAATAAATCTGTGATTTGAACCCATCTGACTCCAGGGCTCTTAGCTATTAGAATTGGAGCACAGAAAAGTTAAATAGTTTGTCTACAATTATGAAACTAATAAGTGGCTGGGCTGGGATTCAAACCCAGGTCTTTTCCACCTCCAAACCTTTGTTTCTAAACCTACAGGACAGGGAAAAGGAATGAAATAGGAATGCTCACATTAGGTCTATGAGAGCAGCATAAATTCAGATGATCATAGCAGGAACTAGCCTAGAAACTGGATGGACGGTTTATGAGAGCTGACCAAGCAGAGGTTCATTTCAGCTGACTGGATGGTGGAATTTACCAATCATAGAACAAGGGCTTTGGAGAGCATATGGTGAACCTGACCAATGAGAGCTGCATATTGTGACAGATGGGTGATTAAACCGGCCAGGCAATAACTGAGAAAAGGGGATTATTCAGTGAAACTGACCAGTCACAGAGTCACAGGAAAGCCTGCATCTCTGTGTTGGGAACTTGCTCCTCGGAGAGGTGATCTGACCTAATGGCAAAAGGCCACTCTGAGCTCTGCCTGGCGCCAGGGTTCCAGGAAACAGGTCTGAAGCCATTCCTGTGCCAGCAGCAACTGCCAGCACGCCTTTGCTCATAGATCAGCCATGAGGTCAACGGTTTGAGTGACTCACCTCGTGAAAATGAGGCGGCAGTGTTGGGCCTTACTGTTTCTCTGTAAGCATTTAAATTGATTTTTCTGCCTGGTTAAATTCCCCCGCTTTGTTTTTATACAGAGGCTTAGGATGAAGCTGGATATCAGGTCCAAAGACACTACCAGGTAAAACAGCCCTCCTGCCCCGTGTCCTGCAAGATCCAGGCTCTGTGACCAATGAAACTGACTAATTGAAATCGCGGTCAGGTGTCAGTCATCCCAGGGACAGCCTTGCTGATAGTCACTGCTTGAGACAACCCCACTAGTCAACTGGCAGTCCAGGGAAGCCATCACCAAGGGCCTAGGGACATTTCTAACCCCCTCCTAAATCACCATATTGAGTGAGGATCCCACCCACTGCCACAAATGTCAAGAAATCACATGTCTTCAGGCCCCCACAAACCATGCGATGCCTCCCTCTTGGAAAGAAACTTCAGGAGCTCCAGGAGTTTGATATGGGGAGAATCTCCAGAGAAGGATAGGAGGCCCCAGCTGCTACAACCCTTAGAATTTACCTTGTGTAAAGTTTTTTCCTACTGCTGTCACCGGGTGTCACTCCCTCCACCCCTCATGGTGCTGCTCCCCAATTCAAACAGCCCTCCTGGCACAGGCAAACCATCTTGGTTTGGGTTGCCCAGAAGGCAGAACCTGAGACAAGGACTTGTTGAATGTTATCTACTTGGAAGGTGATCTGAGGACACAGATAGATAGGAGTAGCAAGAGTGAGATAGGGAAGTAGGAAAATCTAAAATGAGGGTGTTTCCTTGGACTCATGTCTATAGGTGTAGGGGCTCAATTCTTCTGGAATCTCTGAAAAGTTTATAGAACGTCTCCTGCAGTGTGCACCTGACAGGTGATACCCGGAGTCTTTATCCACCATCTCCCCTTACTGGTTGAAAATTGTTTCTAGGGAAGTTAACTGCCTTGTGCCTCTAGGCAGCATTTGCAGGTTGTAAGCAAGCTTCTGTGTCGTGAAAGAAACCTCAGATCAGAATCTGGAAAGACTCTGGCTCCTACTTGCGGTAGGACATTGAGACTGAGTCCAAGCTTGCACAGAACTGTCCACTACTGCTGTGGCTGAAATCAGGGGCAGGCCAGGGGTTTGTGGTGCAACACCAGAGGCTACACACACTCAACGGAACCTTCCTAAACAATTTTCTGAACTCTGAGAGCAAACAATAGGGAAATAAACTCAAAGGGAGCAAGAAACGGGATCCAGTGTATCTCAACCAAACTGGGATATATGGTATTCCACACTTCTACCCAAAAGGCATTGAAGAAATACCTACTGACTTTTGAATCCTATAAACTTGGGTTCAAATCCTGGCTCTGCCACTTGGTAGGTTAGTAGCCTTAGACATATCACCTGACTGCCCTAAGCCTCCATTTCCTAAAGTGTGTAATAGGGATTAAAATACTTAACCTTACAAAATAATTGTCTGCAAAGCCCTTGGGATATAGTAGGTCCTTTCTCAGCAAATGACCACTCTTACTAAAGGGCAGGCACATTTTCACACCCTCAAAGACTCATGCCAGAAGCCAGCTCTGAGCTCCAGGCTGCCCCTAAGGGAAGGTGGCCATTTCGCCTTCTCTAGTTAAGAGCTGCTTGGCATCTCAGTACTTTTAAGACCAAGACCAGATAGCGATATGGCCCCCACTGTCCTTGCCCTCAGAACTCTAACAGAACCATTTCTTGTCCTAGAGATTTGGCTCAAACTATTTAGCAGGTACAGGAGAATTAGGTCTGAGTGAGATGCAAAAATATCCAGGCATTAAAAAATGGAATGATGTGGAAAAGATCAGTCTTTGGAGAACTATCTTGACCTTTCCCTCAACAACTGAAGAACAAAATGAAACTTTCCTCTATAAAGGTTTGTTTCATGGTCTGGGTTTCCATACTGCTGGGTGAAGCAAGCAGGACATGGTAAAAAGCAAACTCAGATTCCAGAGGAGAGTGTCTCCATGTG
This sequence comes from Homo sapiens, assembly GCF_000001405.40. NCBI lineage: Eukaryota > Metazoa > Chordata > Mammalia > Primates > Hominidae > Homo > Homo sapiens. The sequence goes on from NC_000011.10 coordinate 17,685,712, forward strand.
TCACAGCCAAACCATCTATGTTCTTGAATTGTACTAAAAGATGACAGTATCTATAAAAGATATTTTAAAAACTTATCACCCTTATTTCAATTGTTTCCATATTTCCATTCTTGCTACTCTCCAAATTTCTCCTTTAAATGACCTGAAATTCGACTTATTTAATCTGGGTCAAAGGATCATGTGCATTAGTCCAAAACCCTCCTTCCCCTGACCTCCTCTACTTTGGGTGTCTGGGGTTGAGCAGGAGCCTCCATATCTGATCCCATCATGCAGACAATAGGTCTGCAGACAAACTTCTCCAGGAGGAGCCAGGAAAAGAGTCCTGCAGTAGGAGGAGAGAGACCGGGGCTCTGCTGTGAACAAGCATGTGACCTTAGGCAGGTGCCTCACCAACCTAGGCTCCAGTTTTCTTTTCTTTAAGGTGAGGGGCTTAGACAGGAGGAGCTCTGAGAGTCTGCGGATGTTATCCTTGCGGGCTTAAACAGAGGTCCCTGGACAGCCAGGATGTTCTGAGCCCCACCATGGCGTCCCTGGCCTGGCTAGGGGCTCCCGCAGGGCAGGATCACGTTGCCCCAGATTCCAGGACTGGCTGCGGCACAGACCCAGGATCAGGTGACAGATCCATCCAGCCTGGACTGGCTCAATCCCTCCACTACAGCCGCAGCCCTGGGGGCTGGAAAACCAGAGCTAATGCAAGCCAGCTGGAGGCCAGGACAAGATTGATGAAGGATAGGGAGAGGATTTGGCCAGGGTTTTTTTCAGTGCGGGAGGGTGGTAGAGAATAATTAGTCCTGCCTGCTTCCCAGAGGCCCTCAAGCTGGGCAAACTTCATTAATTGGGAACCCCCAGTGGGGAATTCCTGCTCATGACCCAGAAAAGGAAGAGCTCTTTAGGAGTTAATTAGTAGTGAAAGTGCCAATCAGGGAAAATGTTTAAACTATTAAATGTCTGAGCACCTGTTTACCTACAAACAACTGATACAGTAATTATCTCACCATCAAAGCAGGTCCTCTATGATAGTGATTACCAACCTCAGGAGAGCCTGAGGATCGCCTAGGAACCTTGTTAAGCATCCATCTCCAATGCAATGATCCTGATTGGTCAGCAGGAGTGAGAAGCATTGCTCTAAACCGTCCACTAGCCCAGGAGTTCTTGCCTCAATCTCAGTGGCTCCATGTATCAATAAGCAAGAAGTACTATTACCACTAGTCTTTCTATAATTCACTCAGCTTTACTATGCCCCAAGAACAATGCTAGGCCTTTAGCATTCATTGTCTTTTAATCCTCATAGCAGCCACGTGTGATAGGTGTTATTACCTCTTGTCTGCAGAAAATGACGTAATTGAGCTCAAAGAGGGGAAGAAACTCACTAGGTAAAATAAAGTTAGTAAGTGGCAGAGATTTTATTTGATCCTAGATATTTTGACTCCAGAGCCCAAATCTTCACTGCAATATTTTTAATGATCCCCAGTGTCTTTCCTGTCCTTTGAGTGATTAAGACAAGACTGCTATGCTTTTGAGGACAGTCATAGTGCTATTCAAGATATCCATAATACAGACGGGAAAACCAAGTCTCCAAAAGGGGACATTAATTGATTCAAAGAGTTCAAGCTTATGGCTCCCATGTTTGGGCCATTTTCTGTTAGACAAAACTATCACGTGGAATTATGAACTAGAAGGAAGAAGAGATGCTGGCCTCCAGTGCCAAATATCAATGTGTTGCACTGCTATTCAAGAAGCAGAGCAATTTAGTTAGGAGCATTGGGCTGTAATCATATCCATTCTACCAACACCAAGTGTGACCTGAGACAAGGCACTCACCTTCTGTGGGTCTCAGTTGCCCCATCTGTCAAATGGAAATGCCACTGTCTAGTCTGCCTTCTGCCTTGTGAGTGGAGAGTCAATGAGAGAAGAGTGCCATCATGGTGGAAGGGATCACTCCAACTGGTGTGTAACAGCTTTGACTTTAGGGGGCCTCTCATGCAACTACATGACAGCTTAGAGCTTGGCAAGACTTCCCTTTGAACCAGGGCCCCAGAGCCAATATTCTCCTTTCTGGATTTCAGGAGGCTAAAGAAAACACTTCCCAATATTCTCCAGAAAGCTGGCAAGATGGTTGACCAGTTGGCCCTCTAGGCCTTCTTCCTGTGACACCTGGATTTGACCTTATTGACCAGACAGGCCTTGTAGCCCTATCCCTCAGACCAAGAGCAGCCTCCTCCAGAGCCACCCTTACCTAAGGGCACCATCCGGATGCCTGCCTAGTTCCCTTCCGGCCCTGATGGAGGCATGAGCCTCCCCCACCGCCTGCTCACTGCTCACTCCTCGGCCGCCAGCCCAGCAGCTGTTGCCTCAGATCAGTGTGGACCATCTAATCCCCTCTCCAGAGCCCTGGCCCCCTCCTCAGGCAGTAAATTAAGGAGGATGTAAGAACAGAGGGCACCAGCGTCAGCAGAGCGGCATCCAAAACATCCTCCCCAACCCGCGCCTGAGTCACAGGGCCCTGAATTGGCCCCTCTCCTCCTGAAGCAGGGGAGGAGGAGGCCAGGACAACCAGGCCCGCGGGAAGAGGGAAGCAAGAACCCAGAGGAGGGAAAGGGCAGGGGGCTTGTAGAGAGGAACCAGGCCAAGCTCCTACGGGTGTTCCAGCTCAATCACTTTCACTGTGACTCTAGGAGACCCCAAATCTCTACTCCAGAGTGACACAAGACAGGGGACCCGGATGTCAGTTTCTTATTACGCCCTGACTTCCAATCCCGTCTGTTTCACATGCCGCACCCACCCCAGACCGTTGTGTCTCTATTCCTGAAATGGGCAGAGAATAGTCAACTGACAAGAGTCAGGAACACCTCATCCCGGGGCACATCCCAAATCCCTGTGTTGAGGGGCTGGGGCAGTAGAGGCATCTTTGGCAGCTAGCCTCACCTCCTGCCCCTGAGAGCATGGTCTACAGGACTGGCCTAAAATCCTATGACTTGCTGAATTAAAAACACCATCTAACACTCCCTATACAGACGGTATGCTGGGGCCCACACCAAGAGCTTTCCGATCTGACTCAGAACTATCAACAAACTGAAAATGCAGGAAGAGGTAGAAAGATGGCCAAATAACACTGGCATAGCATCCACAGGTATGACCCAGAAAGAAGGGCAATGTGGGGATGCTGCCCTGTTTTTCAGAGACGTCACCTGGAGAAGAGGCAGATGAATAATGTAGTGACAGAGATCGGAGTAGAATAATAAATCCCAGGGGCTTGAGATTTTAAGTCAGCAAAATCAATGCACCTTTCCAACTTCACCAAGATGTGGTAGGATAAGACTCGCCCCTCAGAAACAAAATAGAAATTTTCATGGGCACAAAGAAAATGAATTTGTTCAGGGGAAGGGAAACAATCCTATATGTCAAAAGCACCAAGGATTGTGTTTCAGGTTTGCTTTAAATGCCATTTATATGCTGATGACTGTCAAATGGCTATCCTCAGGCCAGATCTCTCAATCAACTCCAAACTCGTATCTATCAGCCTATGTGGTATCAATCACTTGGATATCCAATAGACCTCTCAAATTTAACCTATCCAAAACTAAATTCCTGATCACCCACAAACCCACTATATATACAGCCTTTCCCATCTCAGCTTATGGGTAACTCCCTCATTCATGTGGCTCAGGCAAAAACTTTGGCACTATGTCTTAATCTTTTCTTTGTCTCCCCTCTCTACTCCTAACACATCTACTCTGTCATGAGATTCCATTAGCTCTGCTTTCAAATACTATATCGAAAAGCTGACTACTTCCTACTCCTACCCCTGTTACCATGGTCAACCAAGCAATGGTTGTCTTGTAGCTGGGTTAGTGCAGTACAACCCCTCTCTACAAGCCCTCTTGCCTCTGCCCTTGCCCCAACCTCACACCCCCACCCCATCTATTCTCAGCACAGCAGCTAGAAGAATCCTTTTAAAAATCTAAGCTAGGGTTCGTAACTCTTTGCTCAAAGCCTCCAAAGCCCCTATTTCACTCAACCTAAAAGCCAAGGTCCTGGCAATGACTGCAAGGCTCTGCATGGTCTGGCTCTACTAACACTCGGACCTCATCTCCTCTACTCTCCTCCTTGCTCTGCTCCAGGTGCACCAACCTCCTCGCTGTGTCTCAAGCGTAACAGACATGATAGTGCCTTAGGACCTCTGTTGTAACTTTTCTCTCTGCCAGGAACGTTCTTCTACCAGATATCTACCTTACCAAATCCTCACTGTCTTCAAGTCTGCTCAAATCTCAGCAGGCCTTCCCTGACCACACTTTCACTGCAGTTGAACCTTCCCACCTTCTGGATCCTGAGCTCCTTTACCCTGGTTTGCTTTTTCTTTTCTTTTTAAATTGCATAACACCAACACTCTGCAAGTATATAATTCACTTTTGTATTAACTTTATGCTTCTTGACCACTCTCCCACCTAAAACATAAGCCTCATGGGATCTGTTCACTGCTGTGTCCTCAGGGCCAAGAACAGAACTTGGCCCATTCATGAACGAATGGAATCAATCAATCAAAGTTGTAAAGTGGAGAGGAATGTCCTCTAAAGCTCCCCTGGCCAGATCAAAGAAGTGGAGTTTGAGATATTGAAACATGTCCTGGGTCTTGCCCAGAAATGTATTTTAAGAAGTGATGGGGTCTTCATCCATCTGGATGTCCTGCTACAAGGGACTTGTGGCTGAATATCAAACATATCTCAGACCTTGAGGCACCTTTAATATAACCATACTTGTTGCTGATCAAATGGAAACTAGCAAAACAGCAGAAGCAACTTATTACCAATATTCATCTGGTTCACTCCATGTCTGCTGTGCTGTTCATACCTTCATAACTGAGTAAACTGCCCTTGTTCTTGACTTAGCCCTGTGCCTCAACTTTAGATGTCTGTCCTCACACTCGCAGCAGTCCAGACCTGCTTTATGAGAATGTCATTTATTGCCTTCTTTGGCCACTCAACTCAAATGGCTTATTTTTTTTTTTAATCAACTTTTGCTCCATTTCCTTTTTTACCACCTGGGTAAAAGAAGGCACTTAGATTAGTTTTCTATTGCTTTGTAACACACTACCACAAATTTGGTGGCCTAAAATAATACCTACAAAACATCAATTGTAATTAAGGAAATGCAAATCAAAACCATGATGTGATTCTACTTTATACCCACTGGCATAGTTCTAATAAAAAGGACAGATATAGCAAGTGTTGGTGTGCATGTATTCCCACTGTACACTCCTGGTGGGAGCTTAAACCAGTGAAGTCACTTTGGAAAACAGTCTGACCCTTCCTCAAAAAGTTGGACATAGAGTTACCATATGACCCAGCAATTCCACTCCTGGGTATATACCCAAGGGAATTGAAGATGTGTGACTACTCAAAAACTTCTCACAAATATTCATAGCAGCTTTATGCATAATAGCCAAAAAGCAGAAACAGCCCAAACCAAATGTCCGTTAACTGATGAATGGAGAAATATAATGTAGTATATCCATACAATGGAATGTTATTCAATCATAAAAAGAAATGAAGCACTGATCTATGCTACAACTTGGATGAACCTTGAAAACGTGCTAAGCAAAAGAATTCAGACACAAAAAGCCACATATTGTACAATGCCATTTATGTGAAATATCCAGAATAGGCAAATCCATAGAGACAGAAAGTAGATTAGTGATTTCTGGGGCTGGGGGAATGTAGAGTGATTACTTAATAAGTATGGGCTTTGTTTGGGGGCAGAGGCAATGAAAATGTTCTGGAATTATATAGAAATGATGGTTGTACAATTTTATGGCTATATTTAAAAAACTACTGAATTGTCCACTTAAAAAATGCCCATTTATTAGCTCACATTTCTGTAGGTCAGGAGTCTGGGAGGGCTTGGCTGAATTCTAATTTCAAGATCTCACAAGACTGAAATCAAGGTGTTGGGGGTGGGCATGAGACATATTGCAAGAATCTGCTTCCAAACTCGTTCACTTTGTGGGCAGATTACTGTCCTTGTGGTCATAGGGCTGAGGTCCCTATTCCTCACTGGCTGGCTGTCTCTCAGCACTTTAAGACTACTGGCATTCCTTCTTATATGGCCCTCTCTTTTTCAAACCAGCAGCAGCACATCAAGTCCTTCTTATGCTCCAAATCTCTCTGACTTCGCCTTCTGCCACCAGCCTAAGAGAGTTCTTTGCTGTTGGTGACTCAAGAGATTAGATTAGACTCCCTCAGATAATCTCCCCTCTCTAAGGTCAACTGTACCATACAACATAGCATAGCACAGTCAGGGGAGTATCATATTTACGGGTTCCAGTGAGTGTGGAGTCTTGGGAGCCATTCCTAGAAATTCTGCCATTACAGTATCTGAGAATTAGTTTAGGTAGACTTGCTGACAATTTGATCTCCCGGAAGGAGCAAGCATTCCCAAGCACCTGTTCCATCCACATGCTGGAGGTTCCATGAGTTACTCGTTTGTCTCCATGGTCCCCAGGCCAGTGCTAGTACATAATGCGTGCTTCAGTGAGTGCTCATTGAATGTTTGCTAAACGGTTCCTACTCTGTAAGGGGTCATTCATTGTTTACCGGGAAGGCAGACCCATACAAAACCCAGGAAGCTCCGGAGGCTGAGAGCCGTAAGAGGGAAGGTAAGCGCACGTGGTGTGAACACTTGGGAGGATGTGACATGGGGAATGGCTTCTTCTGACCAGTTAGATGAAGACAGGTTAGATGAAGACAGGTTCCTTCTGACCAGTTATATAAAGAAAGTAGCCCAGTCATTTCTGAGCTTGTGCTCACCATAGGGGTTATCCATAGGTGTTATTCATAGGGGTTATCCATAGGTGCTCACCATAGGGGTTATCCACATGAGATATATGCCAAGCATGTCCCCATTTTTGGAAGGCAAATCTCAAAAAGTGGGGGGAGGAGATAAATAGGCTCCTATGAGAAAATGTGCTATTCAAGGATAAAATAAGTTTAAATTTTAAATGCAAATGATTCCAAGAAAGAAGAAAAATGCGGGAAAAGCCAGGGGTAGGGGGGATAGTAGCCCGAGAGAACAATACAGAATTATATAAACTCTGCAGAGTGTCCTCTGATGCTCGCATTCATTCTTTCAGCAAATATCTACTGAGTGCTAACCATCTACTGAGGGCACTGTGTTAGGCACAAGAGCACATGGAGAAGCCAGGTGGGAAATGTGGTAGGCAGCCTCTACGATGGTCCCCAGTGATCCTCGCCTCCCATCACACTGTAATCACTTCCCTCTGATTATGAGTATCAGCAGAAGTAGTGGGTTGTCACTTCCACAATTAGGTTATAAATAGACGCGGCTCTGTTTAGGGTGCACGCTCTCAGTTCACTCACTCTAAGAGAAGCCAGTTGCCATGTTGGGAGTCGCCCCATGGAGAAGCCCACATGGCAAGGAGCATCAGCTCCAGCCAAAAGCCACGTGAATGAGCTAGACATGGATCCTCCCCTGGTGAAGCCTTGAGATGACTGCAACCCCAGCCAACACCTTCACTGCAGCCATGTGAGGGACCTGAGCCAGACTGCAGCTAAATTGATCCTGGATTCCTGACCCATAGAAACTGTACAACTATAAATGTGTTGTTTTAAGCTGCTAAATGTAAGTAGCAATAGGTAACTAACATAGGAAAGATTATAAAAGAGATTATAATACTCTCTAATAGTTACAATAAAGAATATATAGAGAATATACCAAAATCAGAGACAGGGCAAACACCTGAAGCTGAACCAAAGAGATGGCTTCAGAAAAGGGAGCAGGAAGGGAGAGGACCCCAATGGAGTGAGACTTAGGAAATTACTAATGGCAGCAAAAAAGGATTTCTTGTTTTGTTCAGGGTAAGAAAAGGAACAAAGAAGGCTTCTGTTGGGGCTGAGGGTGGTAGAGAAGCAGAACTCTCCAGCTTCATCTGCAGCTATTGTCTTCATATTGAGGTCCATGAGCCTCAAGCTGTGGCATTCCTTTCTCAAATGTGGCCACGAATGGAATTAGGTTTGGTTGGAGTAGACTGAAGAAGGAGACGTGGGGAGAGATTGTCCTAGAGCTCAGAGCTCTGCCAAGTACATTTTTCTCTTTAGGCCCGAGAAATCCCACTTTGAGTCCTGGGAGCACGTGAGGTGAAATGGGAGTTGCTGGTGACCTTTGAGATCTGGGGGATGGGAGGTGGCAGACATTGCCTTCATTTCCAGAAAGAATAAGGTGGATCCCAAGACACACAGATCAGGGTGCTGATGTTGATCTGGGGAGAGGGTCTAGAACAGATTCCAAAGGGATGATGTGTGAGCTCCAGGACCCAGCCCAGAGTTCTCTAAACAACTTAGGCCTACGCTTACCAGTTTTCTTGGCTTTTAAACAGCAAAGGATGAACAATCATTATCAAGATAAAGGTAAGGCTGTGAAAATGGCATGTCCTGATTTCATCTGGGCAATTGATACAGGCTTCATAAGTGGAAGAAAAATACAATCAGGATTGTTTGTAACCATTTGAATAGTTATGGCCAGAGATGACTAAAGGAACATTATCAAGGTATTCCCAGGAGACCCTCAGTCCCTCCTGGATACTACTACTAACAGTTAACATGTATTGTGAATTTCCACGGTACTGATAACTGTTCTAAGCACTTTCCATGGATCTTCTCATTTGAGTCTCAAAATCCTATGAGATATAATCAGCTCCATTTGACAGATCAGGAACATTAGGTGCAGGAAGTTTAAGTAACTTGACAAGGTTACACATTAGGATATCACAGAGCCAGGACAGGCATCCAGTGATCCAGACTTAATGCCTTTGCTTTAACCATGTGGTCCTATTGCCACAGAGATGGCAATGCCAATATTCTCCACCTGGAGAGAAGCAACTTGGCTCAGCCTGCATGAATATGAAGCAGGCTCAGATGCGGGGTGCGCATGCATGCAGCCCTATATTAGCGTGTGACTATGTGTGCAATGTGAATGTGCATATGCATGATATGTGCGTGCTGTGTGCTCTGAGCCAGGATGTTGCTGGGAAAAGCTGAAGGGAGAGGAGTGGGGCACTGAGAACCGTGCCCAGGGTGTTGGGAAGCAGCAAGAAGTTGGTCAGTGGGTCAAGCAGCCGGTCACCCGAGCAAAGAGGGTAACAGGTGGGCAGGGCTGTTGGGGAGGACTAGCCGGCTCCCACCTGCTGGGGCTGTCCATCAGCACTAATACTGGCAGTGCCTGAGGCCAGGACCCCCAGCAGGCCAGCCTCAGAGACACACCCTTCTAGGAGACATCCTTCCCAAGGTGGCAGAGACACCAAGTCCTGGCCCAGACCTAAGCAACCAGGTTCCACCCTGTTCCCTCTTACCCACCCTACGCCAGCGGCTAAAAGCTGCCTTGGCTAGCTCAGACCCTGAGAGCTAAGGGATGGGAAGGGTTCCGGTGGGGACACATGGCCAGTGGCTGTTCTTCCATATTCATCTGTCTTTAATATTCAGATGAATGGAAGTACATGACCTTGCTAGTGTTTTGGGGTAGGAAAGGCAAGAGAGTCCTCAGAAGTCATCTAAATCATGCCTTTTTATTTTTCAGATAAGTAAAACTGTGGTTCAAAGAGGCCCTGGGACCACCTGCGAAGATCCTGGGATTCATCAGGGGTCTGGTAAGAGCCAGAAGATTCGAACTGAAGTTTGGCTGCCTGGAGGGGAAGGGAGTCTTGCCTGGGTATGTCAGCAGGCGGAGGCTGTGAATAAGTGTGGTGGGGGAGATGAAATTTGGGGCTTCACAAATCCAGGTAGGGAGGGGGCCAAAGTCTGGCCAGCTGAGCAGGGCACAACCCGCAAGTGAGAGGCATGGAGAGTGAGGGAGCTGGAGCCGAAGTCATGATCTAGTGGAGGGGCAGGCACAGAGCTGGCAGGTGGTAGCACCAGGGCAGGGCTGGGCGCTGCAGGTCCAGCGTTGGAGAGTCTGGGATGGGGCTTGTGACTCCAGCGGGCCTGAGGACAGAGATGGAGGCCGGTGGGCAAAGCGGGGAGGATCTGGGCCGCGGCCGTGGGGGTGCTGGGGAGAGACGGGGGTGCGAGCACAGGGTCAGTGGGCGGGGAGGGACTGGAGAGCGCTGGGCAGGGCGAGGAGGTGGGAGCCGCGCTAGAGCGTGGGGAGGGGACCCGCAGTGGGCGCGCGGCCTTAGAGAGGGGCCAGGGCCGGGGCCGGGGCCGGGCCGGGGCTGCGGTGAGGGGAGGCGCGTGGCCGGCCGCCCCCAGCTGTGGCGTCGTTCAGGCCCGGCTTAGCGGTGCCGGGGCGAGGGATTAGGGGCAGTGGCCGCACCTGGCGGGGCGGCCGCAGGGCTAATGCTGTGTGACCGCCGCGGCCCCGCCCGACAACTGGCTTCATCCCGCCCTGGAGGCCTGTGGGCTCGTTAGCCCCGCCGGCGTGTGCGCGGGGTGCGGCTGCGGGCGGCGAGTGCACGTGTGCCGCGGGGGGCCCTGCCGCTGGCGCTGACGGCCACCGGCTGCGCCCAGCTCCAGGGGGTCCCAGGAGTGAGGCTGCCCCAGGGGCAGTGGGGGCGGGGGAACACTTGATTGTGTGCCCTGTGAGCTCTTGTCACTGTGTGATGGTGTGGTCCGGGGGGTCTGGGGGTGTCTCTCTGATATGACAATCCCTGTTATCACCCTATGTGGACCATGTGTCACTGTCCAGGACCTTAGCCCATATTCGGAGTATCTCTGTAACCAGACTGTCTATGGGACACCTCCATATTCTTAGTGTGTTTAGGGGTTTTGGGAAGAGCTTCCACCTTCCTTGGGACCTGCTGCTCAAGTTCCTTCTGCAGACACACCTCTGGGGCGCAAGACCCCCCACAAGCTCCTTCCCAGCAGCAATGTCTCAGCCATCCATCCTGCAGGGCCTCAGACCTCTGGTGCTGAGATGGAGACAGTGCCTAAGTTCTGGCACCTGGATTCCTGCCCTCCTTAAACTCAGGCCTGCTCCCTAAGCCCATCCTCATCCCAGGCCTAGCTCAGGGCCCCCAGACATGCTTTAACATGCCCCCTTTCCTACCAAAATAATTGGATCTGAATAAAGTTTGTGTTAGAACTGAGAAGTTTTATCTAACCTTATAGACGAGCCCCCAGGCCTTTGCACCTGCTGTTCCCTCTGCCTGGAAGGACACTCACTTCCCTTTTCCTAGAGCTCAGGAGCCACCTCCACTGGGAAGCCTTCCCTGCAGCAACACACTCCACACCATCCTTCCTTTTCCTTGCAGAACCTTGGATCACACCTGCTCCGGCTATTCTGATGTCATCTCCATCTCCTGGAGACAGTTGCTGCATGAGAACAAAGGCAGGGCCCAGACGAGGTCTGGAGGGATAAGCGGCAGGGATCTGGGCACTGAGCTGAGGCACTGGGCAGGCAGAGCCATTGCCCTCGCCCCTACCATGAACCCCTACAGAGATGCTGCTAGAACCTTGCTTTCTAAGGGGTAGGAGGGTCTGGCTGCCTCTGCCTCTACTCACCCCATAGACACACAGGCCTTCTCTCCATCCAGGGAGAACATAGCTGCCAAGAGCAGTCCTGCCCCCACACCAGGCTCCCCAGCAGTGAGGAGCTGGGCTGGGCTGTCCTCACCCGCCCTCTTGGCCTCACCCTGGCCCTTCCCTGGCCCTGCCTCGGGATGCCAGGACCCATAGCAGGTGCCTGGACAGGCTTGGGGATGGAAAGGGGGCTGGGCACAGAAGGCCAGCTTCTGGCCAAGAACAGAACTCATAGAGAAACAAGTTCCAGAATCCTCTTCATCCTCCTTTTCCCCACCCACTCTTTAGTTTTGTTAATAAATACAGCTACCATATACTAAGCACTTATTGTCTTCCTTTGCACAGTATTTGACACTGTATGTGCATTGTCTGTTTAATCCTAAATCAATCCTGAAGCGTAGATATTACCATCCTCATCTTTCTGATGAGGCAATAGAAATTCAGAGAGGCTATATCCCTTGTCCAAGGTCACCTGACTGGTCAGTGGCAGAGCCAAGATTCACACCCCACATCTTTCCATGCCCTTGTCCTCCAGTGCTGACCTCAGGCGCTGCTCTCCTCACCCTAGGTGGTGACTCTGTTATACCTCTGCCTCCCACATTAGCGTGGGAGCTGTGGGATAGCAAGGACTGTCCTGTCCTCTCAGTGAAGGAATTCCCAATGAAGGAATGAAAGAATGCTTGCGGAATATTAACTTGACTGTTAGAGGGCACAGCAGGGTAGTTACACACATGGGCTCAGGAGCCCAAGTGCTGGGGTTCAAATCTCAGCTCTTACTTGCTCTGTGACCTTAGGACACTAATATTTCTGTCTCAGTTTCCTCATCTATAAAATGGGCATGATAATAATATGCTGGTGTTGAGGAGACTGACTTAGGAAAAGTTCCTGTCCTATAGTAAGTAGTGCATGTGTTAGATATGACTCTTAGTATCTCCCACTAGATTAAAATGGGCCCACTCTCTGCTTGTATCCCCCGCACTTAGCACACAGCTTGCCTGTAGTAGGTCCTTCCCTTCCTCATCTATAAAATATGACTAAAAATATCCATCTGGCAAGATTAAGGGGATGTATGTAAAGTGCCTGGCACAGAGCAGAAGTTGGCATCAGTAGTAGCACCATTTGGGGGTGGGCTGTTGGTAGGATAATGGGGTGGGGGTAGAACCAGGTTGGGCTCTCCTGAATGTCTATTTTGGGATCCTGAGGCACAGTCTGCACCCAATGTCCTCCTCTTGCCCATGTACCATTCGGGCCCTGGTACAGAGGACACACAAAGCCTCACTCAGACGGCGGCCTCTCCACCACGTGGAGAAACCCCCATGCCAGTGGGTACCCTGGGACTAAAGTGCCTGATCTTCACCTCTTCTAGATCTTCCCCCATGGGACTGGCAGCTTAGTGCTTTGAGAATGGAGCCAGATGGACAGGGAGGCACCCGGGAGATCATCCCAAGCCAAACTTATTTAGGAGCAGAATCCTGTCTTCAGATAAATTCTTAGGTGAAACCCTGATACATAAAGCAGACAGAGGGGCCATTTTATTGCCATAAATTCATTTATAAGTTCACATGGATTACTGTTATTTCTTATAAAGTATGCTCTACTCACCAGCTACAAAAGAGCCTGGCACATAGTAGGCACTCATGAAAGAATTGTTGAATGAATGGTCAACCGGTGGAAGAAAAAATGAGGCTATTTTGATTAATGCAAATCTGTGAAATAAGGGGATACGTATGTATGATGGTTGAAGGATACTTCTGGCCCAAAATTCTGATCCAACATTTGTGGAATCCCTATAGCACTTCTGAATGGCCCAGGACTCCAGAGAACACAGTTTGAAATGACAAGTTTTCCTTTTGGTGGATGAGGACACTGAGGCCAGAGGGTCAGAGGCAGAGCCGGGCTAGAAGCCAGGCCTCCCAGTTCCCTCTCCAAGGCCTCAGGCCCTCCTCAGCCCCTCCATACATTGCATTCTAGGGCTCTGGGGTGGGGTTCTTCCTGTCCCTTTCACCCTGGCTGGGACGGCCTGTGTGCCAGGGGCTGCCATCCCACTCAGGCATTTCCCACCAGCCTCTGCCCCAAATCTAAGCCAGGCAGGAGCCAGGTTCCTCCCACTGACTCCAGGATGGGCTCTGTTCCTAATATCTGTCATCCAGGCAAGGAAGGCCCATGGCCCAAGATCCCTCTTGGAACCATGGGGCCCCAAGTGGCAGGTATCCCCAGTGAGTGACAGATTAGTAGAACCTACTTGGTAGGTGAGGAGCAGGGGGAATGAGCACAGCCACTGAGGGTCTGCCCAGGGGGAACACCAAGGAACACCCCAGAACATGGGCCCCACAGCAGCTGGGGGCATTTATGGGCCTTCCTATAAACTTCTGAGAGGGTAACTTTATCCTGCTTCTTTCAGCCAAGTATCCTCCTCCAGCAGCTGGTCACAAAGCTGGTTAATCTCCCAGAGTGCTCAGCTTAAAACCCGTGACTCACAGCACAGCCAGTGTGGGGGAGGGGGTGGCTGCCTCCAATACGTGGCGCCCAGAGTCAGCTGTTCTGGGGCCTTCTCTGGTTTCTCCAACTGAGTCCTGAGGTTTGGGGCCTTGTCTTCCTTCCTGGAGTCCTGCTTCTCACTGACCCCTACATACAAGCCATGAGAGGTCAGGGACCTGAGAGGAGGGCCAGTTCCAGGCCTTGGCTTTGGCCAAGCCCTCAGGCTATCCCAGAAATGACCAGAAGGCCTTGGCCTTCCAGAGAAGGGGAAGGTTTCAAGTGTAACTCTGGGAGGGGTTGGTCCTGAAATTGGGGTCCCTGCCTCACCTGCCCAGACCTGGAAAAATTCCCTTCAGCCATGACCCTCTCATGGCGGATCTTCATTCCCTGTCAGCATGTGACATGAAACCTGTGTATGGTGGCTGAAGTGAGCTAGCAAAAAGTAACACAAATGACAGGGGACCTCTGACTTGAGATCAGCAGAATAAACACAAGTCGAGTCAGGTAGAAAAGGTGGAGTAGTGTTTTGGCCTTGGAGAGACATGGGTTCAAGTCCCAACTCTGCCACCTACTAGCTGAATAGCTTCCCTGAGCCTCTGTTTCCTCCTCTGTAAAACTGGGATAGTAATAGCATTACCTTGGCGAGCTAATGTGAGAATCAAAACCTATTTTCCTGCTTAGTAGGTGGGAGCTATTAATATTATTGTTGTTATCGTCATCATCATACTGCTCAAAAAGCAGGAGAATCCATTTTCATTTGTCAGGGGACTTATGTTTGTATAGCGGGAGGGAAGCTAATGGTCTGAAAGGATTTCAGTGACACCTCTCACTTGGCAGGAAATCTATTCTGATGAATATGACTCTGTAAATGATAAGGGAGTATCTGCCAGCCAGTGGCATCGTGCTTGTTATGGTTGAAGACCTAACCCAAGAAACAGCTATAGCAGATACACGACGGAGGCTCCCACTGGTACCTCTACTGAGCAAAGCACAAATCGTGTGCTAACCCTTGCTCCTGTGATGCCAGTGATTCTCAATACCTTCTACTCCATCTGAAAAGTCCCATACTCATCCAAAGATTCCTGTGTGTAAGGAGGAATGAACCACTTTATAAGTTCCTGTTATGGGCCAGACACTATATTAAACACAAATATTTGACCATATCTAACCCTTACAACATCCCTTGGAGTGGGTATACTATTATCTACATGTGGTGGACCAATTATATTAATGAATCTAGTTCTTCACTCCTCCTCGTATTCATACCCTTTGCCTTATGATTTTGCAACTCTTCATATCAGGAGGCATATTGTGTATTTCTCCATGTCTCAGTTCTGAGTTCAGCCATGTAACTTGTTTTGACCCATGAGATATTAACATATATGAATCAGGCAGAGGTTTGGGAAATGTGCTTATGTTTCTGCTTGCACTTTTGCACCACTACCATTACCATGAAAACACGCCTAGGCTAGCCTGCTAGAGGTGAGGCCTGTGGAGCGCAGCTGAGTCGCCCAGTTCCCCAGCCAAGACCAGCCTGAGCCAGTAAAGTACAGCATGTGAGTGAGCCCAGCAGAGCCTAGGAAAACAGCCCAATCTAAATAGCCAACTGCAGACTCAGAAACTAAAGGCTTATTGTTTGAAGCCACTGGATTTTGGAGAGCGGCTTATTACACATAATTATCACGGTAATAGATAACAGATACATGCCATTAGAAAAAAAGACTTTATTTTTCAGAGCAGTCTCAGGTTCACAGTAAAATTGAGCAGAGCACAGAGAGTTCCTATATACCCCTGCACCTACACATGCACAGCCTCCCCCACTGTCAACATCCTGCACCAGAGGACATTTGTTATAATCAACAAACCAACACTGATGAAACTACATATCATCATCACCCAGAGTACACAATTTACATTAGCGTTTACTCTTTGTGATGTACATTCTATGGGCTTTGACAAAGCGATAATGACATGTATCCACCATTACAGTATCATACAAAATAGTTTTGCTGCCCTAAAAATTATCTGCACTCTGCTTATTCAACCCTCCATCCCCTCAACCCCTAGTTAACCACTGATCTTTTTACTGTCTCCATAGTTTGGCCTTTTCCAGAATGTCCTATAGTTGGACTCATGCAGCACGTGGCCTTCATCTTCATTTAGGACAAAAGAGAGGGAGATGGAAGGAGGGGCAGCGGGGCAAACCCTTTCACCTCTTCCTCTCTTCCTTGGGCACGGGCTATAAAATCACGGCAGCTATAAGTATTGTAGAAGCTTGTGTGTGTGAGATCCGGGCTTAACTATTGGGAATTCACAGGGGCTGATGGGTGTTAAACATCTCCAACATTCAGTAGGCAGGTCTGATCATTGAGTTTTGGACAGGTGAGAACTAACAGTAGCTGCTGGGTTTGTTTGGTTATTATTTATTTATTTATTTATTTATTTATTTATTTATTGAGAGAGAGAGAGAGGCAGAGAGAGAGTCTTACTCTGTCACCCAGGCTGGAGTGCAGTGGCACTATCACAGCTCACTGCATCCTCAACCCAGGCTCAAGCCATCTTCCCACTTCAGCCTCCCAAGTAGATGAGACTACAGGTGCTTACTACCACGCCCAGCTAATATTTTTATTTTTAGTAAAGATAGGGTCTCACTATGTTGCCAGGCTGTTCTCAAACTCAAGACCCAGGCTCAAAACCAGGTTGGTCTCAAACTCAAGCTGGATCACCTCAAGCAATCCTCCCACCTTGGCCTCCTGAAATGCTGGAATTCCAGGTGTGAGCCACCATGCCCAGCCAGTAGCTGCTGACTGAGTACTCACTATGTTCCTAGCTCTGTGCTTTGGATACACTTTTCCTGCATTCTCCTACTTCATAACCACAACAGCACTTTTTAAATTTATTTTACTTTATTTTATTTTATTTTATTTTTTGACACAGGGACTTGCTCTGTCACCCAGGCTGGAGGGCAGTGGCATGATCATAGCTCACTGCAGCCTCGACCTCCTGAGCTGAAGTGATCCTCCCACCTCTCAGCCTCCCAAGTGGGACTACAGGCACATGCCCCCATGGCCAGCTAATTTTTTTGTACTTTTTGTAGAGGCGGGGTTTCACCACGTTATGCAGGCTGGTCTCGAACTCCTGGGCTCAAGAGATCTACTCACCTCGGCCTACCGAAGTACTGGGATTACAAGCATAAGCCACCACGCCTGGTCACACAACAGCACTTTTTGAAACGTAAATTAATATTTCCACCTTTCATATGTGGAAATGGAGGCTCAGAGAGATTGAGGGACTTGTCAAAGTCACACGGTCAGTGGCAGAGTCATGAGTACACCCTAGGCAGTGTGACACCACAGCCCACTTGACTCCCACCACTTCCCTGCAAGGGGCACTCACTTCTCATCTTCCCTAAAGATTACCCCAGAACCTCTACTTCCTCCTCAGAGACATGACATCTGTATCCCTGGGAGACAGCCCCCCAACCTCTTGGCCTTATCTGCAAAATGAGAAGAGCATTTCTTATTTACCTAGCAGCAGTCAGCTTAGTATAGCAAATATTTCTTGCCTCCTTTTTTGTGTTCACATAATTTCCTGGGCATATCCCAGCCACCTCACCACATACAATATACATCTTACTGCCTAGGGCCCATGTCATTGCCAGACCCATAGCAGGTAGGCATATCAGTAGGATACAGATTAGACGGCTGTGATTACAAAAAGACCTAAAAATTTCAGTTTATTCTTTGCTTACATAAAATTCCACGTAGGTGGTTAAAGACTTATGTGGCAGCTTAATAATACTGGACACCCAGATTCTCTTTCTTTCTCATTGCTCTGCAGATCTTCAATCTGCAACTTCCATCACATGATCTAAGGTGGTATATTAGTTTCCCATTGCTGCTCAAACAAATTGCTACAAACTTAACGGCTTGAAGCAATTCAGACTTATCATCTTACAATTCCAGAGGTCAGAAGTCTGAATTGATCCTCAGAGGGCTAAGATCAAGGTTGGCAGAGCAGTGCTCCTTCTGAAGGCTCTAGAGGATAATTCATTCCCTGCCTTTTCTGGCTTCTAGAAGCTACCTGCATTCCTTGGCTCATGGCCACATCACTCCAACCTCTGCTTCCATAGCTACATTTTCCTCTCTGACTCTGACTTACCTGCCTCCTTCTTTCCCTTATAAGGACTCCTGTGAATACATTGGACCCACCTCGGGAATCCAGGATAATCTTCCCATCCACATCTGCAAAGTCCTTTTTGCCTTGTAACGTAATGTTTTCACAGGTTCTAGGGATTAGGATGTGCACATTTTGAGGAAGAGCCATTCTTCTGTCTACCAGATGGCCACTCCAGCTCCTGCCAATCACCCACATACCAACCAATGGGGAGAGGGAAAGAAGGCCAGCTCCTTCCCCTCAAAAGTCATAACTAAGAAGTTGCACACAAATTACTCCCACTCATACCCCATTGGCTACAACTTAGTCACATGGTCACAGCTAGCTGCAAGGGCATCTGGGAAATGTAGTCTTCTGCTAGATGGCCATGTGTTATGGACTAAATTGTGTCCTCACCTGGAAATTCATAGGTTGAAGCCGTAATCCCCAATGTGAGTGTATCTGGAGATAGGGCCTTTAAGGAGGTCATTAAAGTTAATTAAAATCATAAAAGTGGGGCCCTAATCCAATATGACAGGTGTCCTAACAAGAACAGAGACACCAGGGATGTGCATGCACAGAGAAAAGGTCATGTGAGTACACAGTGAGAAGGTGGCTGTCTGCAAGCCATGGAGAGAGGCCTCAGGAGAAATAACCTTGCTAGCACCTTGACCTTGGTCTTCCAGACTCCAGAACTGTGAGAAAATATATTTCTAGATTGAAGCCACCCAGTCTGTAGTATTTTGTTATGGGCTGCCCAAGCTGACTGATATACCATGTTTCCAAGTAAACATTATATCATTATGTTAAAAAAGTGAGGTATGGATATTGGAGGACAACTGGCTGTCTCTGTTGTGTCTCTAGCCAAACAAATGAATGAGTGATGCATGCTATATGTGGAGAAATCATAGCCTAGGATGCAGGACTGACCAGAAAATAGTGTCAATCTAATACGGAAAATGTCATGTTAGAAGCAATAATAATAGCAACAATTATGGAGCCACTTACTGTTTTTGCTGTTTTACATTCTTTACTTATGTTTATATATTTCATTCATATAATACATCCTTACAGATGAGGAAACTGAGACATGAGGACAGAGAGAGGGCACTGAGTCAGACTGGAAGCCAGAGATCTGGGGCCAGGCTATTAGAAAAGCTTCCTTATTGAGACATTCTGAACTGAATCTTCAAGGACAAGTGACAGGGTGGGCCATGAAAGGAGAGGGGAAATTCCTGGAAGAAGGAAATGGCAAGAGCAGAATTTTGGCCACATAAGTCATCCTGTTGGAGGAACCCATATTACTTCCCAGGGAACACTGAGCCATGTGGCCAGAAGATAAGTAGAAATGCATTCTGAAAGGCCTTGAATGCTATGCCAGGGCACTAGGACTTTATTCTGGAGGCAATGGGGAGCTCTGAAAGGGTTGTGCAAGGGGGACACTGCTAGATTTCTATTATAGAGTCATCAGTCCAGGGGCAGTGTTGGGACCAACTTAAAGGAGACTAAGAGTCAAGGCAGAGACACCAGCTATGAGGTTGCTACAATAGTGGAGATGAAGGCTGTCAGGGGCCACCCTACAACAGGGTAATTGGAGCAGAGAGATGAAGATGACTTCAAGAGATATTTAAGAGATGAAATCAGTAAGACTTAGTGGCCGATTAAATGAAGGTACAAGGGAGAAGAGGTGGGAGATGATGGCTAGGTCCTTACATTGGGTGACAAAGGAGGTAGTGGTGCTATTGAATGAGACAGAAAAATTTCCTGAGGACAGGCTGGATTCCAGGGGAAGGTAGTGAGCACATTTGGGGACATGATGAATTAGGGGAGCTTGTGAGATATTCAGGTGGAGATGTGAAATAGACAGTTGGATACATGAGTCTGAGGCTCGCAGGTGAGGGTTTGCTAGGGAAATGGATGTGGATGAATTTGTCTGTGTTCAGGTGGTGGGTATGTCTTGGAAATGAATAATGACTCCACAGAGAGTGAAGAAAGTATGGCCAAAGGTCAGAACCTGGAGGGAGCATCATCACTTCAGTGGCAGATGGAACAAGAGAAGACTGGGAAGTAGGTTTTAAAAGAATGGTCAGTGGTCAGAGCAGAACCAGAGAGGATGTTGTCTTGGAAACCAAGGGAATAGAACATTTTGAGCAAGAGGACATAGTCGTTGGTGACTTTAAAGGGCGTCCTATAAGGCAAGGACAGAGAAATGTCCCCTCAGCAATAATAAGGTTGTTGGTGGCTGTTTTGGTGAATAGGTGTCTCACCCACTTTCCTGTCTTTGGGAGTGAATGTGAAAGCAGGAGAAGAGGAGGAGGAGCCAGCGAATGAAGACACTCTAGAAACTTGATTGAAGATACCTAGGCATTATGCACCCCTGAGAGAAGAACACATCTCCTACAGAGCAGTCTTACCCAAACGAATCAAATCTTCATCTGACCAAGCCTCTATCCAACCAACAATTTACAGAAAATACAGAGAACAGGTGAACCTGTTAAAACACACCATAGGGGCCAGGCACACGCCTGTAATCCCAGCACTTTGGGAGGCCGAGGCGGGTGGATCAGGAGGTCAGGAGATCGAGACCATCCTTGCTAACACAGTGAAACCCCGTCTCTGCTAAAAACTACAAAAAAAATTAGCCGGGCGTGGTGGCGGGCACCTGTAGTCCCAGCTACTCAGGAGGCTGAGGCAGGAGAATGGAGTGAACCCGGGAGGCAGAGCTTGCAGTGAGCCGAGATCGCGCCACT
Source organism: Homo sapiens (assembly GCF_000001405.40). Classification (NCBI taxonomy): domain Eukaryota; kingdom Metazoa; phylum Chordata; class Mammalia; order Primates; family Hominidae; genus Homo; species Homo sapiens. The sequence continues at coordinate 17,706,620 of NC_000011.10, forward strand.
GCACTGCAGCCTGGGTGACAGAGCAAGACTTCGTCTCAAAAAACAAACAAACAAACAAACAAACAAAAACACCATGGGGATGCAATCTGAAAATCCCAGACTATAACAAACTGCAGAACAAGCAACCCAGTTTCCCAGTTTTTAAAAGTAAATAAATCGCAAGGGGAAAAAAGATACGGAGGGAAACTTATATGTAAAAAGACAGATCAACCAATCACAATTGTGGTGCAGACCTGTTTGGATCCTGATTCAAACAAACAAACAAAATTTATGAGACAAATGGAAATCTGCCTGGATATTTGCTGGCATAAGGAATTACTATTACTTTTTCTAGTATGCTAATGATACTGTGCTTATGTTTTAAAAAGAAGTCCCTATGTTTTAGATATGCATAATCAAATATATACAAATGAAATTACAAGATGTCTGAAATTTGCTTAGGATATTGTGCTTATGTTTTAAAAGGCAGTCCTTAGGTTTTAGACATACATAATCAAATATATACAAATGAAATTATGGGATGTCTGAAATTTGCTTCAAAATCATACAAGGGGAAGAAGTAGGCAGGGCATTGACAGGTCGGGTTTGGACATGGACTAATGGTTATTGGAAGTGGTAATGGGGTTCACAGTATTATTGTGTCTATTTCTGTCAATGTTCAAAATCATTCATAAGAAACAGTGGGAAAGCTTTGGCTTGGAATGGAAGAAAAGGCAGGGAAAGGCCTGAAAGGATGGAGAGCAGCAAGGCCCCAAGACCAGATGTTTCTTTCTCCCCATGTTCTCCCCACCTCCCTGGCTCTCCCAAGTTCCTGGGACAAGCCCACTCTGAGCTCCCATCCCATGATAGCTAAGTAGGAACAGAGACCCAAGACCCCTGAGTCAAATGGGCCAGAGGTCAGAGGTCAGGGCAGAAACAGCCACCACTTGATCACGGAGAAACCAAATCAGCGCCAGCTCCTGGGGTCCTGTGTCTGCCTTTGTCCACCATTGGTGGGGATGTCCCTGCTTCAAAGGCATGAGGTGGTGGAAGTTCATCCTTGTTCCTTCAGAGATTCCTGGGCATAAAGGGGCCTGAAGAAGCCCATTCCCTGTTTCCAAGATCTGGGATTCAGAGTTAACCAGATATGTAGAAGCAAGAGATAAGCATTTCTGTCCCAGAACCTCCATATCTAAGCATATGTGAACCCTGGGCAAGTGGCTTACCCTCTCTGGGCCTCAGGTTCCAACACCATGCAACGAGGATAAATGCCACTGGTGTTGGGGCAGGGTGGGGACACTAGCTGCTGAAATGTGAACTCTGCTGGACCTCAGCCTTCTCTGGGGATGCCTTAGCAAAGAACTGCCTCCTTGGGCCTCCCCCAGCCCCTGGCCCTGGCCCTGCCTGCAACAGCCTGTCTGCATCTGTCATCGGCCTGCTCTGCTCCCCTCTGGCCAGGCTTTGTTTGGGAGTGGCTGGCAGGCTAGCCCGTGTGCATGGTGGAGGCAGTGATTCCTGCTGCTGCAGGCAACACTTCACAGGCTGCATCATCACCCACGCTTCCAGCCACCCCTAACCCCACCATGACCCCCAGTTCCAAGAGGTCCAGAGTCCAGAATAACTAGGCCAGGCTCCCAACTTCCTCATCCCCACCCCACCCACTGCTTGCCCATGGCTTCCATCCAAAGAGAGATCAAGCAAAGCAAGAATAATTCCCAAGCTCCTACTGTGCACCCTGAGACAGGCATGATGCAAGCACTGTGTATACCTTGACAACTGAACCCTTACATCCTCCGTAGGTGCTAGAACCAGTCACATTTGACAGCTGGGAAAAATGAGACACGGAGAGGGGAAGTGACTTACCCAAGGTAAGTAACGAGCAGACACAGCATTTGAATCCAGGTGTATTAGACTCCTAAGTCCAGTGGAGACACATGAGGAACATAGCCCCAGCACTGGTGGTCCAGTCTCCATGTTGGGCAAGCTCAGCACCATATTCTCCTAGGCCAAGTTCAGATGGACCCAGGCAAGTTGTGCTCCATCTTTGGGAGAAGCAAAGGACTATGATATTCATGGTCCCCCAGTGCTCCTTTGTGGGGACCCCCAAGTTAACTTCTTTCCAGTCTGGGGAGCAGGCTTCTGATCTCATGCTGGGCCCTCGCCTCACACAGCTTCTGCTTCACCCCAGAGCTGACTGTGTGGTGTTCCAGCCCTATGTGGGCCATGTGGATGGAGTCAGAGGATGGGCAGCTGCCCTCCTGCCCAGAGAAGGGAGGCCCAAGAGGGAGGTTGAGAAGACACGGAGAAGAAGGGACTCTGCAAGACCTCCTCATTCCTGAGTGTGTATGGAGTCAGGCATCCAACGCCTCCATCCTACATGTGAAGAAAGTGGGACCCAGGAGGGGACAGAGCTGAGAGAGGGTCACGCAGCAGGGTGCAGCACAGCGAGGTGAAAACCCTGGTCTTCTGGCTCTGGTCCGGGCTCTCTCCACTGTATGTAGTCTCTGACCTCTTACTGCAGTCCTCTACCCCTGCCATGACCTGTTGTCTTGCCTGGAAAACTGGTGGCTTCACCTCAGACAGAGCCCACTCACACCTCGGGGTGCCTGAAGCAACAGGTCTTAAATGATTCAAGCAACCCTGGATCCAGCGTCAGCCACCTGAGGAACATCCCAACACATGTCATGCCTCCGGGCCTTCACCCATGCTGTTCTGTAAGCCCGGAAAGCCTTTCCCTACAGCAGCCCCCCGACCCACTTTGGGCACTCCTATTCATCCTTCAGTAACCAAGAAGAAGGATAGCAATATTTCCTCCTTGGGGAACTCTTCTTGGGTGTCCACAAGAGAGTTCATTGTTCCCTCTTGGTGCTCCCCCAGGGTGTTTTGATTATTCATTTATGGATTGCTCTTTCCCCAATAGACAGAGCTCTTTGAGGCTGGGGATGCTGTCTGAATCATCCCTAGATCTTACTGCACCTAACCTGGGGCCTGGAAACAGGGTGGGTGTCTGGGGAATGCTTGAGGGGTTGGGGGAGGTTAGGCCTGTTGAGGCGCATGGGCCATAAATCACCTTCCCAAGCCAGGGGGAAAGCAGCAGTCCAGGAGAGCTTCACGGAGGTGGCAGGACGGGATGTAGGACGGAGGCAAACCATAGACTCGCAGGCGGTGAGGGCATCATTCATGAGACCTCTGCCCTCCGTTCTTCTGCCAGGAAACCCCTGTCCTGGGTGCTATTGGCCAGGGATAAGCAGATTTTGGAGGGGGGAATCAGGCTTCTTCAAGGCGTTAGGTCTCCACTCAGAGGTATGTGGCTGGGGCAGCTGCTGGGGGCTGCAGCTGGTGTCTGTCCCAGAGCCCAACGGCTGTGTGTGCCTTAATCCCAGTCCTTGGTGCCCCCCAGGCTGGCAGGTGGACTGATGAGGCAGAAAGGAGGCAACAGGAGAGGGGTGGAGAGCCGAGCCCCCTCTCCAGGTCCCCACAGCCGCCCTCTGGATCTTGCTACATGTGCCACCCCATCACCAGGTCCTCGTCACCAGCTATCCCCTCAGCCCTGAGCTGCTCCTCCCTCAGCCCTTAGAGGGAGGTCTGACCTCCTTGAGGTAGGAAGATTCAGCTTAAAAAGTTCAAACTGGAAAACACAAAGAAGAGATGGATGTCACGGCATCTGTGCCCCTTAGCGTCTTCTTTCTGAATGGGGCTGGGGATGTTTAGGCACATAGGTGGAGACAAGCATTCACACTGGGACTGAGGTGTGGACGTACCTAACTTAGAATATGAGCAGGTGGGACGCATCTGTGGTGTGCACATGGCATGTGAAGTGTGTGTGTTCTGTAGGTGAGGGGTGCACAGCATGGGAGGTATACGCATGTGTGAGGTGTGCATGGACTATGAAGCATGCACAGTATATGAGGTGTAATATGTGTGATATGCACATGATGTGAGAGAGGAAATATCCCATATGTGGGACATACTGCTGTTGGAGGTTTACATGGCATGTGAGTTTACATAGAGTGTCAAGTGTATCCGGAGTGTTAGGTGTACATGGCATGTAATGTGTAAACAATGTGAGACTTGTACATAGTATGTGAGGTAACATGGAGTGTGAGGTGTGTGTGTGTGTGAGGTGTACATGGAGTGGGATATGTACACAATATAAGAGATGTACCCAGTGTGTAACATATTCATGGAGTGTGAGGTAGACATGGCACAAGAGAGATACACACAGTGCTTGAGATATATGTGGTATGTGAGGTGTACAGAGAGGGTGAACTGTACATTATGTGAGAGGTGTGCAGTATGTGAGAGGTGTACAGTATGTGAAAGGTGTGCAGTATGTGAAAGATGCACATTATGAGAGAGGTAGATGGAGCATAAGGTGTACATTATGTGACAGGCATAGAGGGAACGTGAGCTGTACATTCTGTGAGAGGCACATAGGAATTGTGAGGTGTACACTATGTGAGAGGTATACATTATGTGAAAGATGTACATTATGAGAGAGGCTGCAGGCAGCATGTGGTGTACATCCTGTGAGAAGCGTGCAGGGAGTTTGTGGCGTGCGTTCTGTGAGAGGTGTGCAGGGAGTGTGAGGCGTGTATTCTGTGAGAGGCATGCAGGGAGTGTGAGGTGTGTATTCTGTGAGAGGCGTGCAGGGGGTGTGCGGCGTGCATTCTGTGAGAGGCATGCAGGGAGTGTGCAGCATGCATTCTGTGAGAAGCGTGCAGGGAGTGTGAGGCGTGCATTCTGTGAGAGGCGTGCAGGGAATGTGAGGCGTGCATTCTGTGAGAGGCGTGCAGGGAGTGTGAGGCGTGTATTCTGTGAGAGGTTTGCAGGGAATGTGAGGCGTGTATTCTGTGAGAGGCGTGCAGGGAGTGTGAGGCGTGCATTCTGTGAGAGGCGTGCAGGGAATGTGAGGCGTGTATTCTGTGAGAGGTGTGCAGGGAGTGTGAGGCGTGCATTCTGTGAGAGGCGTGCAGGGAATGTGAGGCGTGTATTCTGTGAGAGGTGTGCAGGGAGTGTGAGGCGTGCATTCTGTGAGAGGCGTGCAGGGAATGTGAGGCGTGTATTCTGTGAGAGGTGTGCAGGGAGTGTGAGGCATGCATTCTGTGAGAGGCATGCAGGGAGTATGTGGCATGCATTCTGTGAGAGGCGTGCAGGGGGTGTGTGGTGTGCATTCTGTGAGAGGTGTGCAGGGAGTGTGAGGTGTACATTATCAGAGAGGTGTACAGGGAGCGTGCACTGTATATTGTGTGAGAGGTGTGCACAGTGTAAGGTGAGCACTGTATGTGACTTGTCTGCAGTTTATCAGGTGCACATAGCTATGACACCACAAAGGCATATGGAAGAATGCAGGTGAGGACAAACTGTCCTTCCAAGAAAATGTGCTTGTCAGCTCTGTCCTGGGCTCACACTCTGGACGCATGGCACAACCTCCTGAGCAGTGTCACAGGCAGAGGAGACAGAGGGACGTCCTCTGGCTTTTCAGGAGTCCTTTTATACATAAAGGAGAAGGCAGCTTTGAGAGGCCTTCTCCTCCATCCTTCTGCCTGCATCCATACCACGTTAGCTCAAGGGCAATGTGCTCTTTGAGGAATACCATACGTTGGTAATATTATTTTTACATCTGACTTAAATCCCTCATGCTGCAAGTTGAATTCGCATTTTTTTGGTGCTTTCAAATGTGAAGGTAGTGAACTCTCCTTTCATGTAGACCTCCTCACCCCGGGAGCCTAATGTCTTTAGGCTAGAAGAATAATTAGCACCTTCATGAGCTCTGCCTGCTTGAACACTTCTAGTCATTAAGTTATTGTCACCTTATTTGTGTTGTTTAGTAAACAGCGCATGTGTATTTCAAACCCCAGGAATCTAGTCCCACAAAGACCCCAGGGCTCACCTCTGAGGCAGAGAAAGTCTTTAATTACATAAAGAATAAGCTTGAAGAAGAGAGGCTGGATGAATGAATGAACGCCTCAGGTCTTTCCAGAAGCCAGGCATCAGTGGGTTCTTAAGCCTGGCCTCAGCTTCCCCTACCTGGTGGGCAGTCTCAGCTCCTGCTATTTTCACTCATCTGGCTTCCTAGTGTCTGGGAAAGAACCCGGAGTGAGAGGCATTGTGAGGGCTGCATGGAATGTGAGGTGCACATGGCATGTGGGGCCTCGTGGGGGAAAGAGCTGGGCGGGCTGCAGGGAGGGTCCCCCCATAACACCAAGCTCACATGGGTCACATCCCATGCCCTTTAGCCTCTTCCCTGGGTAGCAGCCCACCCTCATCTCACATCCTGAATTGGGCTAAAGCTTAGTTCTAGATGAAGTTATAATTAAATTTAAAAATCACATCTAGAGAATTCCCTCTTAAATTTAAGTACTATGTCAGTTTTGGAGGGAGTTTTTATAAACCTATTGAAGAGGGGAATAAACAGCTCTAGCCTATTATGCCTAGTTCTTCAAGAATCTCTTGGTTTGTAAGATATTCTTTCATTAGAAGTAACAAATTGGCCAGGTGCGGGTGGCTCATGCCTGTAATCCCAGCACTTTGGGAGGCTGAGGCAGGTAGATCACCTGAGGTCAGGAATTCGAGAACAGCCTGGCCAACATGGTGAAACCCCATCTCTACTAAAAACACACAAAAAATAGCCAGACATGGTGGCTCGCGCCTGTTGTCCCAGCTACTCAGGAGGCTGAGGCACGAGAATCGCTTGAACCCCGGCAGCAAAGGTTGCAGTGAGCTGAGATCGCGCCACTGCACTCCAGCCTGGGCGACAGAGCGAGATTCTGTTTCAATTTTTTAAAAAAGAAGAAGTAACAGATTGCCCATCAAACCCCATGCCCAAACTCTATCTCGTGCCACCCCCACACCCCCCAGCCCCTACAGCTCCAGGAGCCATGCCTGTCTGTACCCACAGAATCCTCTGCTCCTAGCAGAAGCGATTGTCCCATAGAAGGTGCTCAATAATTATTTTGTTCTCTCTGCCGGGAGCATTCTTCCCCAGATGCCACATGGCTAACTCCCAAGCCTCTTTTAACTCTTTGCTCAAATGTTACCTTGCCAACCTGACCACTCTGTTTAACACTACAGCCGACCCCAACCTGGCACCTCAATCCTGCTCATCTTGTTCTGCTTGTAATATTTTTCTGCGTGTATCGCCTTCTAACATCTATATAATTTATTTATTATTATGTGTATTGCTTATTGTCTGCCCTGCCCTGCCCGCATGTCAGTTCCACAGGAACAAGGAACATGGTCTGTTTCATTCTCCATCACATTCCCAGCACCTGAATAAATGTTTGTTGTATAAGTGAATGAATCATAGACTGGACAACTGAGAGTGGGAATATCCCCACCACCCCAATAGTGCCCTGCCCCCACCCCCTGCACACTGGGTGGGAAGGGCACATGCTGTTGGTTGTCTTCCTGTTCCCTCCCTCCACAGTGTGGACTCCTGTTCTTCAACTCCCAGCTCAGCTGCCAGACTCCTAAGCCCTGCTTGTCTGTGGGAGGCTGGAGAGTACCCCCAAACGGGGAAATGTGGCCTTCTGTGAGGAATCTCTGGGACCCTGTCCCTAATCTGGGACCATGTCTATATCCTGGCAATATCACAGTCCCTCCTGACCAACCCAGACTGGGCCCAGAGAAGGATCTATACCCATGTGGTGGGTGGATTTTGGCTTTCCCAGGGAGCAAGTTTGTCAGGGGACAGAGGGAGGCACTCAGGTTGGACCCAGGAACAGGAAGGGAAAGGCTGGGGACAGAGAGGGGACCTGGAGCTGGCCCTGCCCCACCAGGCCCACTCATGCTTTTACCTTCTGGCCCTTTGGCGCCCCCCACCTCCCGGCCAGATACGCAGCCTGTGTCAGCCCCAGTGCAGAGCCACAGGCCCAGCCTGGGCAGGGGCAGGGTGCGTGAAGACTGGGGCAGGTGCAGGCTGGATTGGGTTTCCAGAGGCTATATATATAAAGGCTGCCGGGAGCCCCAGGGCCGCTCCCTGAGGGCACAACACTGTGGGGGCCCAGCCAGGCCCACATTCCTTTCCAGAGGCCAGCTCTCCATTTATAGCCCCTGGGCAGAGCAGCCAAGGGAGCTGAGAGGGGAGGACTGGAAAGGGCAGAGGGAGAAGGGGCAGCCCAGGCAGCACTCCCTCCCCACTCCCCACCAAATGAGCCCCTCATCATGAAGACAGCAGAAGCCAGGCCCAGGGCGAGGTGTGCACATGCCCCCAAGCACAGAGCCTACCATTCTGGTCAGACCTGCGTTGAGGGGTGAGGGGGCTGCCAGGGGATCCCCTCAAAGTCCCTCAGCCCATTGCTAGTGGCCCCTCACAGAACAAGTCCAGCACCTGTGGACAAAGGGCACCCTTGACTAGACTCTGCAGTATAAGAGTTTGAATGTTTTCAGCTTCCAAACTTGGTATCCTTTTTCCCTCCGCCCCCAACCCAGCACTGGGACTAAAAGGACAACATGTCCCAGGTTGGACATACTTCTCCCTGCTCTGTGGGCAGCAGGGAAGAGATGATGGTGTTGACAAACCTCTCTCCAAAGAGGAGACGCAACCAGAAGGGTGATTCCAGGCAGGTGTGGATGCCAGGCATGGAGAGGTCTGAAATGGTCACCGAGTTCAGTGAGTTCCAATCTTTTTTTGAGCAACGGAAGCCTGGTAGCAAACAAAAATCCCACTTGAAAGCCTAATATAAAAATGGCATTTTACCACTAGAATGTCTGTGTGCTTTAAAACAGCGCTTCCTAATTATGGAAGAAGATGTAGCTGCAAATCAAGCTTAAAACTGTCAAAGCAGTTTAGATTTATAAGCCATAAGTGATAAAATATTAAATGTGTTTGGTAAGTTCAAACATATAACATTTACTTATTTATTGTAAAGGCAACTTGATGACAGCCCTGAGGAAGTTTTTAGAAACACAAAGCACAAAAAGCAAAGTTGTATTCACTTGTCTCAGCATCCAATTTATTTTGTAGTTTCTTGCTTATTCAGATTTGGGGAAAATCTAGATTTGCATAGATAAGTGGTTTGAATAGCTCACCTGGGAATCTCAGAGTACTCTTTAATTAAGTAGACTCATTCATTCATTTGCCCAAGAAATATTTATTGAGTGCCTACTATGCACCTGGCTTTCTGCTGAGCCTTGAGCAAGTAGGAAGAAGTATTTGTTTCTAAATCATCAATACAACAATTACTTACATTCCTCATTGTGAGTATAGTGAAAAAACAATAAGAAGACACATCGAGATGCCAAATCTCTCTATAGTATACCACTACAATATTGCAGCATGCCATGTATAATGCCCAGTTCAAGAGAACATGCCCCAGGCAGATGGGGTCTGAGCCTTTCCTGGGAAGAGCAAGTGTAATAGAACATGGATGTCTAATCATGTATGTGACTTCCCAGTTTTGAAGAAATTCAACCATCTTCATTAATGTCACAGTTCAAGACATTCAAATATATGCATAGAGATGCAAAGGGCGTGAGGCCACTCATTCATTCACTGGACATTTATCAGGTGCCTACTGTGTGACTGCCACTGTGATGGTTTTTGGAAATGTCATTGTGAACAAAACATCTTTGCCTTCATGGGGCTAAGTCAGTCATGAACAAACTAATGAAGAAGATTATAAAGAGTGGCAGTGCCTGGAAGGAAATTAACAGGGTGGTGTGAACCAGAGTATGGGGGGCAGTTATCTTAGAGGGAATGGTCAGTGATGTCCCAAGGAGGCAAGAAGATCTATTATATAAAATGCAGTCAATCTTGGGAAAAGCCCAGGGGATAATGCTATGAGTTTAGAGCAGCAAGGACAAGGCTCCAAGGCAGGATCCTGTTCAGAGTGTTAGAAGACAAGAAAGGAGGTCAGGCTAACTGGAGTAGAGCAATCAAAACGGATGGTGCCTCCAGGTGTAGTAAGAGACACAGGCTGAGGCTAGCTCATGCAGGGCCTGATAGGCCAGGGGATGGAGATGAGATTTTACTCTAAATGCAAGAAGCTGCTGGGGAGTTTGAAGCAGGAGGATGGCATAATCCCATTTACATTGTAAAGGTCTACTCAGGCTGCTATGTAACGAATGGATTATACTGAGGCTACAGAGGAAGTGAGGAGGGCAGCCAGGTTATTGTGGTCATCCAGAGCAGCAGTGTGACAGCTTAGTCCAGGATGGTGACACTAGGGATGGACTGACTTGAGACAGGTCTTAGAGGTAGAATGGACAGCTCTTCCTCATACTCAGACCTCTCCTTGGGAACTCCAGCCTTAAAAATCCCCCTGCCTAATCCACACTTCCATCTGGATATCCGATATGCATTTCAAATTTTGCCCAAACCTGGACACTTAATCTACCACCCACAAACCTAGTCTTCTCAACTCCATTCTTGCAGGAGTCATCCTTAGCTCCTTGCTTATCTCACTTCCCACATGCAATCGTGAGTAAATACTGCTAGCTCCATCTTGAAAACATATATCTAGAATTCAACCACCACTTTTCACCAGCTCCACTCACTGGGATTATTGCAATAGCCTCCTAATTGGTCTCCCTCCTTCTGCCCTTTCCCTCCAGTAACCAGCATGCTCCTGTTAAAATGTAAATCAGATAGTGATATTCTTCTCTTCCGCTCAAGCCCTCCAGTGAGATGGCTCAAGCCATCTCAGAATATAATCCTGTTTCTCTCTCTCTCACCCCATTTCCCACTATCTCTTTTACTCACCCTGCTGCAGACATATGAGCCTCCTTGCCATACTTTGAATCTGCCAAACATGGTCCTGCCTCAGGACTTTTGCACATGCTTATCCCTCTATCTGGCCCTACATATCTCCAGGTATCTGCTTCCAATTCTCTTCATTCAGGTCTCTGCTTAAATGTAGCAGAGAGGCCTTCTCTAATCACTCCATAATCTTCATCACTGTGTCTCCCTGCCTTGCTTTTTCTTCATAAGGCTTCTAACCTCCTGGCATCACATACTTCCTTGCTTATTTGTTCATTGTCTATCACCCTGCTTACATTGACAATGTAAGTGCCATGTAAGCAGAGTCTTGGTTTTGTTCATTGCTCTAGCCCCACACTTGGACTGGTACCTGCCACATAATGGATACCTAACAATATGTGGATTTCCGGGTGACCCCCTGCAGCTTGGGTGGGGTGAGGCCAGGACTTTGCTGCCTCTGCCAGGATTTAGAGTTACTGTCACTGCTGCTCCATGATGTAGACTTTACTGAATGAACAAATACAGGTGGGCCCTATGGAGTAAAGCGAGGTGAGTACTTCATGAAGGGAGACCTTCAGCACCACTACCAGCAGCAGAGAAGTGAAGAAGTTAGGACCCCAACAGAGCCCTCTGAGTTTTGTGGGAAGGGAGGACTTCTTAGGGCCCAGAACGGCCAGCTAGAATGCCTTCCAGAAGTTAGTGGGAAAGGCACAAAGATCACTCCTGCTTAAATTTCTGGTTTCCAGGAGGGGAGATCCAGGCAGGGATGTATGGCCAACGGAGATTCCTAGCCAGAGTGCTGAGAGGACTGTGTGAACTGCAGATTCAGGAAGAGGCTGAGAGACCCCCATGGGGGTGGCCGGTATGCTGAGGCTTGTATGGGAGCCAGATATCCCACATCCCATGGGGTGGTTGCCTCCTCCTGTTTCCAGCCTTTCCAGTGAGGCTGCAGGAAAGAGACACAGCTAAGGCCTGGAGACTCGTGGCACTCCGTCAGGGCATGGTACCACAGATGAGTTGTAAGCCTGCGGGACACAGCATCCAACTCTGAAAGCCCCTTGCTCGAATAACCCTACATCACCGCCTGAGGGCTTCCATATCCTTGGTCTCTTCAGACTGTCATCCCCACCACAATTACTCCAAGAAATTACTGTCATCCCCAAATCTATAACTGGAAACTGAGGCTCAGGAAGGAGACATGACTTCCACAAAATCACACAGTTGGGAAACTCTGGAGTCTGCACTCAACTGGTCTGCAAACCGCACTCTCGGAGACTTCAGGTGAGATGAGGTCAGGTTCTCAGGCCAGGTCCTGAAGTTTGACACCTTGGCGAAATGCACTTTCCTTGACTCAGCACCGCGAGTGAGGCGGAGCCAAGCCCCGAGCAGAAGGGTTTTCTTCCCAGCTGAAGAGGCAGCTCAGCCTAGACCCCAGGCATGGCACTGGACACCCCTGCTGTGGAAACGTGCAGATTTAGATGGAGGGGATTCCTAACCTGGGCAGGATCCGAGTTTGGAGAGATTGGCGCGAAGCTTTAGCAGCAATCTCCGATTCCTGTACAACCATAGCTGGGTTTCTAAGCGTCTAGGGAAGAAGGACTGGGCCCACGACCTGCTGAGCAACTCCCAGGTCGGGGACTGGCGGAATATCAGAGCCTCTACGACCCGTTTGTCTCGGGCTCGCCCACTTCAACTCTCGGGGTCTCTCCGCCTGTTGTTGCACTCGTGCGTTTCTCTGCCCCTGACGCTCTAAGCTTTCTGCTTTCTGCGTGTCTCTCAGCCTCTTTCGGTCCCTCTTTCACGGTCTCACTCCTCAGCTCTGTGCCCCCAATGCCTTGCCTCTCTCCAAATCTCTCACGACCTGATTTCTACAGCCGCTCTACCCATGGGTCCCCCACAAATCAGGGGACAGAGGAGTATTGAAAGTCAGCTCAGAGGTGAGCGCGCGCAGCCAGCGTTTCCCGCGGATACAGCAGTCGGGTGTTGGAGAGGTTTGGAAAGGGCGTGCCGGAGAGCCAAGTGCAGCCGCCTAGGGCTGCCGGTCGCTCCCTCCCTCCCTGCCCGGTAGGGGACCTAGCGCGCACGCCAGTGTGGAGGGGCGGGCTGGCTGGCCAGTCTGCGGGCCCCTGCGGCCACCCCGGGGACCCCCCCAAGCCCCGCCCCGCAGTGTTCCTATTGGCCTCGGACTCCCCCTCCCCCAGCTGCCCGCCTGGGCTCCGGGGCGTTTAGGCTACTACGGATAAATAGCCCAGGGCGCCTGGCGAGAAGCTAGGGGTGAGGAAGCCCTGGGGCGCTGCCGCCGCTTTCCTTAACCACAAATCAGGCCGGACAGGAGAGGGAGGGGTGGGGGACAGTGGGTGGGCATTCAGACTGCCAGCACTTTGCTATCTACAGCCGGGGCTCCCGAGCGGCAGAAAGTTCCGGCCACTCTCTGCCGCTTGGGTTGGGCGAAGCCAGGACCGTGCCGCGCCACCGCCAGGATATGGAGCTACTGTCGCCACCGCTCCGCGACGTAGACCTGACGGCCCCCGACGGCTCTCTCTGCTCCTTTGCCACAACGGACGACTTCTATGACGACCCGTGTTTCGACTCCCCGGACCTGCGCTTCTTCGAAGACCTGGACCCGCGCCTGATGCACGTGGGCGCGCTCCTGAAACCCGAAGAGCACTCGCACTTCCCCGCGGCGGTGCACCCGGCCCCGGGCGCACGTGAGGACGAGCATGTGCGCGCGCCCAGCGGGCACCACCAGGCGGGCCGCTGCCTACTGTGGGCCTGCAAGGCGTGCAAGCGCAAGACCACCAACGCCGACCGCCGCAAGGCCGCCACCATGCGCGAGCGGCGCCGCCTGAGCAAAGTAAATGAGGCCTTTGAGACACTCAAGCGCTGCACGTCGAGCAATCCAAACCAGCGGTTGCCCAAGGTGGAGATCCTGCGCAACGCCATCCGCTATATCGAGGGCCTGCAGGCTCTGCTGCGCGACCAGGACGCCGCGCCCCCTGGCGCCGCAGCCGCCTTCTATGCGCCGGGCCCGCTGCCCCCGGGCCGCGGCGGCGAGCACTACAGCGGCGACTCCGACGCGTCCAGCCCGCGCTCCAACTGCTCCGACGGCATGGTAAGGCCGGGACCCCAGGAAGTGAGGAAGTTAGGGCGGCGCTCGGGATATCAGGGACGCGTTTCCGAGGGCGGGGAGCTGGCCTTGCGGGAGGTTTGGGCCAGGATCCTTCCCGAGAGAGAGGACCCCCTTGTCCTGGGCAGCTGTCACTGGGGTAGCCTGTTTTGGAAGTGTGCGGGCAAGCGTTCGAGCTGCCCCATTGGGGGCGCTATTAGAACACTGCAGCGCGAACGTGAAGATCTTTTTCTCTACTTATCCCTACTTCCAAAATGTAAATTTGCGCCCCTTGGTGACTGTCCGCCCTTGGTTTGGCCCTGCATGTTGCAGACCTCATCTCCTACCCACCCGTAATTACCCCCCCAACCAGGACAGGTCTGGGCCCGGAACTAGAGCCTTAGGCTAGAGTTAGGGAGGGGGCGGCTACAGGAATTGGTGTTCGGGCCTCGAGCCGTCCCGCGGGCCTGACTCAGTCGCCCTTGCTGTTTGCAGATGGACTACAGCGGCCCCCCGAGCGGCGCCCGGCGGCGGAACTGCTACGAAGGCGCCTACTACAACGAGGCGCCCAGCGGTGGGTATTCCGGGCCTCTCCCTGCTCGCTCCTCCTCCTTCATGGAGCTGTCCTGGCCTCTATCTAGGACGCTCCCACCCCCACTCACACACGCCTATGTCCTGGGAAGTGGTGCAGGAGATGAAATACTAAGCAAGTAGCTCCCTGTCTTTTGGATTGTCCCGGACTCTAACTAAAGTCCTCAGTTTCCAATCTGTCTCAAAGTACTGGGCCCGGGGGTGGGAGGCTTGTCGCGGCCCCACCCCTGCTTACTAACCGAGCCCTCCCCGCGCAGAACCCAGGCCCGGGAAGAGTGCGGCGGTGTCGAGCCTAGACTGCCTGTCCAGCATCGTGGAGCGCATCTCCACCGAGAGCCCTGCGGCGCCCGCCCTCCTGCTGGCGGACGTGCCTTCTGAGTCGCCTCCGCGCAGGCAAGAGGCTGCCGCCCCCAGCGAGGGAGAGAGCAGCGGCGACCCCACCCAGTCACCGGACGCCGCCCCGCAGTGCCCTGCGGGTGCGAACCCCAACCCGATATACCAGGTGCTCTGAGGGGATGGTGGCCGCCCACCCGCCCGAGGGATGGTGCCCCTAGGGTCCCTCGCGCCCAAAAGATTGAACTTAAATGCCCCCCTCCCAACAGCGCTTTAAAAGCGACCTCTCTTGAGGTAGGAGAGGCGGGAGAACTGAAGTTTCCGCCCCCGCCCCACAGGGCAAGGACACAGCGCGGTTTTTTCCACGCAGCACCCTTCTCGGAGACCCATTGCGATGGCCGCTCCGTGTTCCTCGGTGGGCCAGAGCTGAACCTTGAGGGGCTAGGTTCAGCTTTCTCGCGCCCTCCCCCATGGGGGTGAGACCCTCGCAGACCTAAGCCCTGCCCCGGGATGCACCGGTTATTTGGGGGGGCGTGAGACCCAGTGCACTCCGGTCCCAAATGTAGCAGGTGTAACCGTAACCCACCCCCAACCCGTTTCCCGGTTCAGGACCACTTTTTGTAATACTTTTGTAATCTATTCCTGTAAATAAGAGTTGCTTTGCCAGAGCAGGAGCCCCTGGGGCTGTATTTATCTCTGAGGCATGGTGTGTGGTGCTACAGGGAATTTGTACGTTTATACCGCAGGCGGGCGAGCCGCGGGCGCTCGCTCAGGTGATCAAAATAAAGGCGCTAATTTATACCGCCGTGGCTCCGGCTTTCCCTGGACATGGGTGTGGGATCCGGAGGAAAATCCGCAAACTGGGCCAGCTGTCCCTCAGCGACGCCTGTAGGCGGCAGGCGGATTGCAAGGAGGAAGCCTGCTGCCTGGGGAAGGAAGGAGGGGTGCAAATTTCTCCAGTACGTGAGGAAGTTCCTCTGACCTTGACTACATTACTACACACGTCCGTGGCTCTTATGGAAGGGTACACAGGTTGATATGAGTATTTTTTAAACCCATGTCTGAGCTCGCCCCCTAGATATTCTGATTTAATGTTTCTGCCCCATATACCCAGGGCCAGGTATTGGTATTTTTTTTCAAAAGCTCCCCAAGTGATTCTGAAGTTCATTCAAGGCTGAGAATCATCCCCTCCATATAAAGTGAGTGAACCCAGGTGTGATAACCAGAAGAACCACGGGAAGGTTGTGGCCCAGGCATCACTTGGGGGCCTCGTTGGGTATAGAGGATGTGATAGGGTGCCCACAGCATTCCGAGGAAGATCTAAATGAGTGTAGACATGTGCTGTAAGCTCTCTGGCACTTACAGCCCATTAGTAATAGGTGTAACTGCAAAGAGATAGCATAGAAGGCCAGACAGGCACAGACACCTCTACCCAGCACCTAGAGCATCCCGACACTATCAGATTCCATAAGACAACAGGAGCCCGGATCCTGTGAGCAGAGCGGCATGTGGGCCAGCATCATCACAGATGGCATAGGTACTCTTCATCAGGCTATAAACTCTCTGAGAGCAGAGGAGGGGGCATTTATTTAGCCTGAGTGTTGGGGAGGGCTTCCCGGAAGAGTTGTCATTTGAGCTCTGTCTTAAGAAACAAGAGTAGACAATGTACTCACAATGCACACACACACACACGCACACACACACACACAGGTACCTGTGCCCTCCCCTGGGTCCAAGGCCCCTGAGGGATGGTCTGGCAAGGGTTCTTCCCCACTCACTTACCACCTCCCCACCCCCAACACACGCGTGCCATGAGGACCTCAGGACCTCCTACATCCCACCCCATATATGTTGTTCCTGAAAACCCTACAGGCCCACTTTCAAGGGTTTTGTTTGCCAAGTAGGGGGCCCTCAGGAATGCAGGCAAGATGTGATGCCAGAAGGAATATCCGAATATCCTCATTACCTGTCTGAGGATCCATTCTCTGCTCTCCCCAACACAGGGTGCCTAGGAAGCTGCCCAGAGCTGTTGTGTTACGAATGATCCTCCACTTGTCTTCTGGCCACTTCCCCACATGTCCCTTGGGATTCTTTATACCCTTGAGACCCCCTGGGGTCCATTCATGAATTCATTGATTCCACAGATGCCAGGTCTTATGCTGGGTGAAAACAGAGACTGTTGGATGCAGTTCCCGCCCTTGGGAAGCACACAAACATTTGACTAGGATGGAACCTTTTAGCAGCTGGTTACATCCTGTTGAATTAAGTACTGTACTGGAGGTGCATGTAGCAGGGGAACGCCATAGAAGCAAAGGGGAAGGTTCCCTAACTATTCTGGGGGAGATATAGACAAACAGGTAAACTTTAATGAGAATCTTGAAGGAGTTGGTCAGGAAAGAGGGGCCAAAGAAAGGGGCTACAAGCTGAGGAAACAGCAGGTGCAAAGATCCAGGGGTGAGAGAAAGAAAACTGCCTTTGTGGAACTGCAGGTGCCCATGGGGAGGGGCCAGAGGAAGATGGAATGGCAGAGGCAGGACCACAATGGACCTCATCTGGACTTTATCTCGAGGGCAGTAGGGAGCCACACAGGAATTTAAACAGGGGAAGGATACAAATAATTCTGTATTTTAGAAAGGCCAGTTTGGGCTAGCAGAATAGGTAGGAGAGAACAAGACTTGAGACAGGGAGATCTTTCAGGAAGCCACTGGGGTTGCTTAGAGGAGGTATGACATATCCTGAATTGGCTTGGGCCAAATAATGTGTCAGTGTTGAGGGTACAGCAGAGAACATTGAAGGCACAGTCTCCACCTTCCTACAGCTTAAAATCCACTGGGGAAGTAACCGTGAGATGAAGAACCAAGTGAATAAATACAATGTTATAAACGATGAGAAACACCGTAAGGAAAGGCAACAGGTGTAAGCAGAGGTGGTAATGCGGAGTGAGAAGGCAAGCAGGTCGACAGAGGAGGCAGAAGTTCTGCACCAAGGGAAGCAATTCTATACATGAAGAGGGTCCCAGTATCCTAGAGGGGGTCTGTGTGTAATTAGAAAAAAGTACCCCTTCTCTCCTGGGGCATTGCCCTGCACCAGGGATCATGACTAGGCAGGCAGAGAGCAGGCTGGACTTCAGCCCCCACTCACCTCCTCAGCTGGGTGCACTTCTGTAGTGACAACCTGCATAACTTCACAGTGCCTTGTGCGTGTAGGCCCTAGAAAGTGTAGAGAAGGGAGGAGCCTTGGATGACTCCAGGCTCTGGTTTGCTTCTGACTTGAGGCCGTGATTTGCTTCTGAGTAAGTGGTGGTGCCATTACACAGATAGGGACCTCAGGAGGAGAAGCAGGTATGGTGACACATCTAGTGTAGAATACTTCGTGACAGAAACCTTATTCAAACTAGCCTAAACCCCACAAGAGGGTGTGTTGGAAGTTCACGGGGCAGCTCATATCTGGAAGTAGAGCTATAAGCACCACGGCATCTATGCACCTTGGGAGCTAGAGCTCCTCTCACACTTCTAGGCTGTCCACTTCATGTCTCTGCTTGGCTTCACTCTCTCCTAGTCCATATTGGTTTTCTCCAGAAACTCATGGGTTACCATGGATCTTACCATTAAACCCAGTTAGAAAATTCCCAGCCTTGGCATGGTGGCTCATGCCTGTAATCCCAGCACTTTGGGAGGCTGAGGCAGGCAGATCACAAGGTCAGGAGTTCGAGACCAGCCTGGCCAACATGATAAAACCCCGTCTCTGCTAAAAATACAAAAACTAGCTGGGTGTGGTGGTGCACGCCTATAATCCCAGCTACTCAGGAGGCTGAGGCAGGAGAATTGCTTGAACCCAGGAGGCAGAGGCTGCAGTGAGCTGAGATCATGCCATTGCACTCCAGCTCTGGGCAGTAGAGCAAGACTCCATCTTTGTCGGGGCAGTGGGGAGAAAATTCCCAGGGAAGAAGTCTAGTTAGATCAGCATAGGTCATGAGCCAGGATCTGAACCCAGGCAGAGGGCTCCAGAGACTGCACTCTTGGCTGCCTTGCTCTGTGTCTTCTGCAGAGGATGTCAGAAGAGAGGAAGTGAGAAAAGTCAAGAGGGAAGGGAACAGCTGGAGACTGGATCACACCATCGAGGATAGGGTTTGAGGTCCCCTCCTAGCCTGTCCCTTACCTCAGTCCCCTCAAGGGGGGACAACTGGCTGAGCCTGACTTCACTTGCAGTGTAGATGGAACATCCTTTGCTCATGGGGCCATTTTACCTGCATTGGATCTGAGGAAGCACCAGGGCCATGCTCTCCACAGAGACATATGTATATGTCTTTACACATATGTGCTCATACAAAAGCACATGTGTACCCAGAGCACACCATCAGAGGCTGATAGACTGTGAAGACAATAAAGTTTAAGCTTCAGTTCCCCTCTCTCGTATGAGCCCCTTCTAAGGTCCTGGGGGAAACCCTAGAAATATGTCTATATGGTCTAGCTACTTTTTTAATTTGCCAAAGTAAATCACTTTTAACAATTGGTTATGACCATTGTCTCTTTCTGTTCTGACCCTTGTATTGGGTAGCACTCATGGGGATGTTTGGATCAGTCCTATCTAAAGGTATAAATTTCATTTGGGTTTAGTGGAATATATTTTAAATAAATGAAATATAAAACATAAGCAATAATGATGAACAATGATATAAATTTAAATGATTCTGACATTGAGAAGATAATTAGAACCACAAAATTTATCTAGATCATGCCAAAAAGTGGTTTATTAAAAGAAGAAGAAAATTTTCTAATAGATTTATGGAAAAGACTCTTGCATGGTTTAATAATCCCACCAGTGAATAATGGCAAATTACATGAACACATTGGGAAAAGATTTAAATTTTTTGCTGATCTGTTACAAACTACTGGCATCCACAAAGATAGCATAAAATTCATAATATGCCACTATAACAAGACCTCAACATCATCAACACAATTATTAAAGAAACTTGTCAATTAAAAAATATTTAAAATTAGTCACCACACAAGAAAACTCAAAATGCCTTGAGTTTTTACAGCCCACAGATGAAAGAAACTTGATTGAGGTTTCCTCAAATTTGACATCAATTCTAAAAATGTACATGACATTTCCAATAGACTTGTGAGCCTGAAATTTCCTTAAATTATCAATGGTACAAAACAAGTTTTGATCAACCATGTTGAAGGAAAGACTGAATAATCTCTCTATTCTCTGTATAGAAAATGATATTATAAAACCATTGTCACATGAAGAAGCAATCAAAGAATGTGCAGCCGGATGCGGGTGGAAAGAGGTAGGCAAGACTGAAAAAGACAAGAAAAAGGAGCAAGAGGTGGAAGGTAGATAGAATGAGGAGACGAGGAGGAAGATAAAGGCAAAGATGATGATGTGATAATGATGAAAAAACAAGTTGGTCCTACCTTCGTTTTTTTTTTTCTCTCATAAGGCATTTGAAACACTCGCACTGCACACAAGTCACTCCTATTTAAAAACATTCGATGAGAGGCTGTGCAATATTTGTTTTTATATTGCACAGGGTCATTTTTGTGTAGTTGGTAACTTATTTTTTTCAGAGAACACGTGACAGTGGGTTTTAATTCATGTAGAACTTTCCCAGTAGCAGGGGGAAGTGAGTCCTATGGTATGCCAATGGCTACATAATTCCCTGGGATCTAGGCCTGGCTGTGTCATTGACCAGCTCTAAGATCTTGGGAATGGGACTTAACCCACCTGGACTTTGGCATTTACTCTGTGGAATAAATTAGTAAATTTAAAAAGTATGTCTCAGTTTTGAAATTATTTCATAATTTGCTTAAAGCATTTCAAAGAAAGAAGAGATTATGAAGCAGATCTCTTACAGATAAGGAAACCGGGACCACAACAAACTGAGAAGCTTATTCTCAGCACAGGCAACTCAATTATAGACTCCTGGTTAACTGGTCCTTCTTTCTTTTACTTTTCCCAATTTTTAAATTAAGATATAACTCACAACCATAAAATTCACCTTTTTAAAATGCATAGTTCAGTGGTTTGTACTATATGCACAAGGCTATGCAACCATCACGACTGTCTAATCTCAAAACATGTTCATCACCCCCAAAAGAAACCCATAGGCATTAGCTGTCACTCTTCACTATCCCCTTCCTCCTGCTTGCCCCTGGCAACCACTAACCTACTTTCTGACTCTATGGATTTGCGTATTTGGGAAATTTCATATGAAAGGAATCATGTATAAAATTCATAATATGCCACTGTAACTAGACCTCAACAATTAACACCAACATCATGTTTTCAAGCTTCATCTATCTTTTTTTTTTTTTTTTTTGAGACAGTCTCCCTCTGTCACCCAGGCTGGAGTACAGTGGCGTGATCTCAGCTCACTGCAACCTTTACCTCCTGGGTTCAAGCAATTCTTCTGCCTCAGCCTCCCAAGTAACTGGGATTACAGGCACCCACCACCACGCTCGCCTAATTTTTGTATTTTTAGTAGAGATGGGGTTTCACTATGTTGGCCAGGCTGGTCTTGAACTCCTGACCTCAGGTGATCCCCCCACCTCGGCCTCCGAAAGTGCTGGGATTACAGGTGTGAGCCACCGCACCCAGCCAGTTCATCTATCTTACAGCGTGTAGCATACTTCATTCCTTTTTATGCTGAATAATAGTGTATTATACGGATATATCACACTTTTTTAATTCATTCATCTGTTGGTCACGTGGGTTATTTCTACTTCTTAGCTATTAGGAATAATGCTGCTGTGAACATTCAAGTACAAGTGTCTGTGTAAATGTGTGCTTTCAATTTTCTTGGGTATGTATCTAAAAGCAGAATTGCTAGCTATATCACAGCTCTATGTTTAAAGTTTTGAGGAACTGTCAAACTTTTCCCCAAAGCAGCTGCACCATTTTATATTCCCATCAGCAACATATAGGGGTTCCAATGTCTCCACATCCTTGACAACATTCTGTTGTTTGTCTTTTTTGTTAGAAGTAGCCTAGTGGGTGTGAAGTGGGTTTTGAGTTGCATTTCTCTAATCACATGTTGAGCATGTTTTCATGTGCGTATTGAGTATTTGTATGTTTTCTTTGGAGAAATGTCCATTCAAATTCTTTGCCCATTTTAAAATTAGGTTGTCTTTTTGTTGTTGAGTGGTATGGTTTGGCTCTGTGTCCCCACCCAGATCTCACCTAGAATTGTAATCCCCATAATCCCCATGTGTCAAGGGCAGGACCAGGTGGAGGCAGTTGGATCACTGGGAGTGGTTTCCCCCATGCTCTTCTCATGATAGTGAGTTCTCAATGAGATCTGATGGTTTTATAAGTGTCTGATGTTTCCCCTGCTTCCATTCACTACATCCTGCCACCCTGTGAAGAAGGTGCCTGCTTCTCCTTTGCCTTCTGCCATGATTGTAAGTTTCCTGAGGCCTCCTCAGCAATGTGGAACAGTGAGTCAATTAAACCTCTTTCCTTTATAAATTACCCAGTCTTGGGTATTTCTTCATAGCAGTGTGAGAATGGACTAATACATTGAGTTATGAGAGTTCTTTATCTAATCTAGATATCAGACTCTTATCAGATATAGGATTTGCAATTATATCTCCCATTCTGCGAATTCTTTTCACTTCCTTTGAAGCACAAATGTCTATTTTATTTTGATGAGATCCAAGATCCAAGTTATCTACCTGTTCCTTTTTTTTTTTTTTTTTTTTGCTTATGGTTTTGACATCACATCTAAGAAACGATTACTTACTTCAAGTTCTTCTAAGAGTTATATGACTTTGGCCCTAACATTTAGGAATTTGGTCCATTTAAAATTTTTAATATGGTGTAAGTATGGGATCCAAATTCATTCTTTTGCGTATGAATATATAGTTGTTTCAGCATCATTTATTGAAATGACGATTCTTTCTCCATTGAATTGTCTTGGCACTCTTGTCAAAAATTAATTGACCATAAATATATGAGTTTATTTCTGTACTCTCAATTCTATTCCATTGATCTATCTATCTATCCTTATGCCAATACCACACAGTCTTGATTATTGTAGTGTGGTAGTTAGTTTTGAAATTGGGAAGCGTGAGTCCTCCAGCTTTACTCTCCTTCTTCAATACTGTTGTGAGTTTTCTGGGTCCCTTGCATTTCATAATGTATCTTTAAGTAGTCCTGTCCAGGAGGTGTTTTCAGTAGCTACTAACTGTGCCTGGTACTACCCGGGACCTATAAATTGGCATAGAAATGTAAAGCAGGGTCTTGTTAGTACACAGAAAAAAATAGTTATATTGGAGGGAAGGTGATGATTTTTTAATTTCCAGTCATCTTCGATGTAGCTTATGTAAAATAAATGTATTAACTAAATATTATTCTGTAATTGCAAAAAAAGTTGCATCTGTTTTTGTTGGCATACTGAATGCTTCCAAATAAATGTAACTTATTTTAAATCATTATATAGGTGTGCCGTGCAGTTAATAAAAATATGAAGCTTTTTTCTGTATTTTTAAATATTTGTAGTATATGTCAGCTTCTTAAAATTTATATTTGGTCTTGAGTCCTTTTCTAAGTCTAAATAAATATTCACTTTTGTATCCAACTTTGTATTCTTTTTTGCTTTCTTTTTTTAAAAGAGTGACCCCCAAAACTTCCAGGCTTCAGGCCCTACACACCCTGGACCCACCTCTGCATACTGACCATGCTCACCTGCAGGCTGACACATCCACAGGTGTACATACAAGAGAACTTGCCAGGCTCTCCCTATCAGAGGAGCCGCAGAGGGAAGACCTTTAGGGTAGCCACGAGTCTCCAGCTGCTTCTGGGAGGAGAACTCAGTGTCCTCTGCACAGTCCTGCTGTGAACATGCTTGCAGGAGGGCCTGTACCCACCCAGCCTCCTTACATATATGCACACCTGACCATGTTCACCACAGCCATCATCTCATCTCACACTTCCGCACCTCCCTCCCACAGCCTGCAGGGAGAGGCATCCAGGCCCAGGGAGGGCTAATGCTCTGTCCCCAGGGCCACACTGACACCCTAAGGGACATTGCTGAAGGATGGTAGGAGTCCATGAGGGGGAGGGGGTGTAAGGGCTGGTCACAGAGGGATGAGAAGTGGGCTAGGGAGCCCGAGGGAAGGGAGAAAAGGGAAGAAGAGGAAATGAGGTACCATGTCATTTAATCCTTACCAGACATTGGTCCCTTTATGGATAATGAGGAAATAGAAGCCTAGAGAGGGAATGGGACTAGTTGACGCAGCTAGTGAATAGCAAAAATGGGATTTGTAACCAAGTCTGTCTACATCAGTGGTTCTCTCAACCGGAAGAAATTTTACCTCCCAGGGTACATTTGGCAGTGTCTGTAGACCTTTTTGGTGATCACTGCTAGGGAAGAGGCTTCTACCGACACCTAGTGGACAGAGGCCTGCTAAATATCCTGCAATGCACAGTACAGCACCCGGCCCCAACCCTGGCAAAGGATTACATCTGAGCCAAGATGTCAACAGTGCAGAAGTTGAGAAACCCTGGTCTAGACACCTTCCAAGAGTATTCTTCACCTTGGCCCCTTTCTGGACTTCCCATGGCCTAAGCCATGTTGGTGCCCCTGCCCCAGAGTTTCCAAGAAGGAACAGCTAGCTGTATACCTCGCTGCAGCTCAGCCCAGGTTACCAGGGTCACTGCTCAACCTACAGATCTGTGGCCAAGGTCGCCAATTTCCCACTACGGCATCTCTGGATTCAATCTTCCCTGACCATTGGAGGCAGGCGGTATGGTCTAGGGAGGGGATGTCTGCCACCCCCACGGCTTACCATCAGAGCAGGGTTACTATCCTCAAAGCCTTCTCGGTCAATACCCAGCTTAGGTTAGTTCCCAGCCATGGCCACAAGATGGCACCCCAGCCCACCAGGAGGGCTGAGGCTCTGGGCCTGGGAGAGCAGCATGGAGGATGTGCCAACCTGGACAAAAGCCTAGGGGCTGGACTTGGGCCAGTTCCAGAGCTTAGCAGGACCAGATCTAAGGCCTGCAAGTGCCAGGTGGGAAAACATAGGCCAAACTTGGCTTCAGAACTCCCTTCACCTTTTTTTTAGTCCACTCCCAACACCAGCTTATATTCTAGCCTTTCCTACATGAAGCTTACTGAAGCCCAGCAATCCCTCCTTGGGCCTAAACAAGAGAAATTCTAGAACTTAGATGTTAAGGATACAGGAGTTATTATTATTATTTCAATACAACAGTAAAAGCAAAAAACGAGGCACAGAGAAGTTGAGTAACTTGCCCAAGGTCACAGCTAGTCAGTACTGGAGCTGGGATTTGAATCCAGGCAGTCTGGTTTTAAAGTCTGTGCTCTTAGCCACTGAACATACCACACCACAACTGCTCCCACCCCCACCAGCCCCAGCTACCAAAGACCCTCTGGCACCAGACCACAAGCTTTCTTCTGCAAGGGAGGGGCAAATGGCTGCGAATAGGAGGTGCTGCTCCAAAGTGGAAAAGGAGTGAGGTTTTCAGTCTAGCTGGGGGTCTGTCGTTAGTGTTTGCGAGTGAGAAGCTAGGGAATGGTTAGTCATTCTTCCTCCTATTTCCCCCCAAAACCCTCTGTTTCTCTGTTTTCTGGTTTTTGGTTTTTGTTGATTTCTTCTGTGTTGCCCTCTTGGTTTTCCTAGGCTGTTTGCAAATGCTAGCATTCTCGCAGTGTGAAGGGGAAGTGAGAGAAGAAAGTTTGATGTCCTGTTCAGGATCCACAAGGGAGGCCATTCTTTGGGGCCTGGGCTGGGGGTGTGTCATCAGGGATCAAAGTGAGAATCCTAAAGTGGAACAGTGTGGGGCACATTGGGAACAGCTACCCTCTCCTGCTGGGGAGGCTCCTGTGTCTGAGTTTTCTCTGCTTACCTCTTGGGGGATTTTAGGGTGTAATGGGCTTTAGGGTGCAATGAATACCCTTTCACATTCCTTCTGCCTCCAACCCTGGCCTACCTCCCTCTTTCTAACACATCGTCCAGAGCCCCTAATCACCCAACCTTCTGCCTACCAGGAGCCCCTTGTTTCTCTCTGTCTCTCTGTGCCCCCTCCCCAACTGCCTGGGTCACACTGCAGCCCCCTATTAGGACTCGCCATGGCGTAGTGATGGGGCCCTGCACTGATTCCCTAAAAAACCCTGGGTAAGTCCCTCCTCCTGACTTGGTCTCCATTAGGTGTTCCAGACTCCCACAGTCTCTGCCACTTGGGTTCTAGGATCCCAGCCTCTCTCCTAGCCTTTCTCAAATCATCTGGACCTTAGTGAGGATCTACTGTATTCTGGGCACTCTGGAGGGAAGCAAACAAGAAGCCCTGGAGGAGCTGATGGTCCTTTTATGGAGATCAGATGAGCTATGGAGAAGATCAGGAGCCATACTCTGATCCCGTGTGGTTCTGCAGGTGAAGAGAGAGGTGAAGTCCTGGAACCCTATGGCTAGTAGAATCCCAGAAGATTCTTGGGTGAGAAGAGGGGCTGGACATCTGGGTAGAAAGAAAGGAAGGTTTGGAGAGGCTGCTTTCTTGTCTCTCCCCATCTTGATTTCTCCCAGCTGTGTGTGTGTGTGTGTGTGTGTGTGTGTGTGTGTGTGTGTGTGTGTGTATGTGTCTGCCTCTGTGTCCACCTTTTTCTCTTCCTTCTGGATTCTCCATTTCTATTTCATCTTCTACCAATGTTGGGACAGAATTTCCTGAGAACCCATGTCCCGGGGATCTGAATATGGGCCAGGATGGGCCACACCAGGCCGGGCCACACCAGGCCAGGCTTCCTTGTGGTTAGGAGATGGGGACTCACACTGGTCAGGGTGAAAGGGACACTCAAAATCACTCTCATCCCTGCATTACTCTGAGATTGAAGGGGAAACAGCTCCTATTTAGAGGAATCACACAGATCAATATCTGGAGGGAGGAGGTGCCATGCAGGCCCCAAAATCCAACCCTCTCTTTGTCTCTGCCCAACTCTGCCCATTTCTGACTTAATTTAGCCTCTCTGTCTCTCCCCTTGTCCTATTCCCATCTGTCAATCCTTGCCCTGCCCCTCTCCACCCCTTCAAGCCTTTTACCCACCACACACAGATTTTCCTGTGGCTAGATTGGGATTCCCCTGGCCAAGTAAGGAGAGCGATGTCTGTGGCACAGCTTTGTCCCCAGGCTCACAACGGCATCTGTGGGTCAGGGTAGAGGGACAGCTGTCTGCACAGTTAGAAAGTGCCAGCAGTAATAAAAGCCTCATAT
The DNA here is from genome assembly GCF_000001405.40 of Homo sapiens. Taxonomy (NCBI): domain Eukaryota; kingdom Metazoa; phylum Chordata; class Mammalia; order Primates; family Hominidae; genus Homo; species Homo sapiens. Next base: position 17,733,568 of record NC_000011.10, read on the forward strand.
CTTCTTAATTAAATCGCCCTTTGCCCAGGCATCCTGTGTTCGATTGGGTTGAGCTGGGATCAATAAGCCTCTTTCCCACCCCAGCCACCCCTGGAGACGGGCCTGACCTCCCCAGTCCTGCCTAGGCCCACCTGGCCACCTCCCCAGAAGGCTGGGAGCTTCTCAAGGCCAGAGGCTGGGTCAGATTCATCTCTTGTGTCCTTGTGCCTGGGACGGATCCTGAAACAAGTAAGGAGTAAAGGAGTGATTGCTTTACTGAGTAAACCAAGGCACTAGCAGCAGGCATGGGCCAGGAAGGCTTTGAGGTTCAAACTGGAACTCCCACCCCCAGGACCAACTGTGAAGATGGAGGAATCACAGCAAGCAGCAGCTCCCACCCAGCTCCCAGACATAACACCAGCTTATCACCCAGGGCAGTTGAAGCCCTAGGAAGTGCGGGGTGGGGGTGTCAGTGCTCAGGGAAACTACGAGCAGTTGCTGCTTCTGACCTCTGAGGGCAGAAGGTCCTTTTCATAAGGGGTCTCCACCTAGGGATCCAGGGTTAGTGTGGGAGAGTCCGTGAGCTTGGATGGATGTGGCACTCATGGGAGACTCCCTCTGTCTGAAGCTATAAAGGGCCCAGGGTCAGTAAGGAGTCCAAAGGGGTTAATAGGGGTCCAGGATTGATTGTTAGTGGAGGGCGTAGAGGATAACGTGGTGTGTGTGTGTGTGTGTGTGTGTTGGGGTTCATGCAAGACATTACCCATGGAAGGAACATGGGGCCTCCAGGTTCCGCGAGAAGGGTCGGTATTAAAGGATTCCTTGGAGCGGTCAGCACTGGTCCGGGCCAGGGTGTCTCTGATGACAAAACTCCGGGAGAGCTTTGTCTCACCAGGGATCAGATGGTCCCTGGTTTGGAAGGCAAGGGGAGGGTGCCAACGCCCTTCTCACCTCAGTCTGACCCGGGGGCGCGGGCCCAGACGTCTCTCGGAGCCCCCGCCCCTGGAGTGGCGTTCCCCGAGGGCGGACCGTGGGCGGGTCCCCCGGGAGCAGCAGGAGCCGCGCGGGGCGGGCGCCCCCAGCGCCGAGGTTGAGGGAGGCCGGGCTCGGTGCGGGGCTGGGAGGGGGGCGCGGAATCAGGGCTTTTTAGGACCCAGCGCGGCGCCTTCCTCCGGGGGCGAGTGCGGCTGCGCGCGCCGTGTGCCCGTGTCCGGAGAGCGGCGGGCTGGACGCGGACCGCGCGAACGAGCAGGCGACGGGCGAGCAGCAAGCGGAGCAGCAGCCCGGGCGGCAGCAGCGTCGCGGCGGCGGCGGCAGCGGCCGCTCCGCGCCTCGCCTCACCGGCCTCGCTGGCCTCACCTCGCCGCGCCCGGACCCGCCACCCCCGCCTCCCCGCCCGACCTCCGCAGCCCCCGTCTCGGCCGGCAGCGCCCACCGCCTGCCCGAAGCGAGGAGCGGAGTGCGGGGCGCAGAGGCACCGGAGCCAGTGCCCGCCGGCCCCGCAAATCAAACCCAGCCAGGAGAACCCCCGCCTGGCCCCGTGCAGCTCCGCGACCGCCGGGAGCTGTCCCTTCAGCACCGCCGCGGGAGCCCAAGTCCGAGCGCAGCCCAGCGGAACCCCAGCTCGAGCCCGGGCTCACGGAGAGCAGCGCTCGGCGTTAGCCGCACGAGCAACACCCCGGGTGCCCCTGCCCAGGGGGCCCGCCATCTCCTCCAGGAGGCGGGGAGAAGGAACGAGGAGGGCGGGCGGGCAGGCGGGCCCGCCGCCGGGGGGAGCAGGCAGCCAAGCAAGGAGAGAGGGAGGGGGCCGGAGCCCGCCCTGCGTCCCGAGCTGCAGCCCGGCCACGCAGGGAGGAAGGCAGGCGGCATCCATCTCCCCCGCGCCGAGAGCGCGCCGCGGCGACCACCTCACAGAGGAGCGCGAATTTCCCGGCCCTGTCTCCTCCCCTCCCCCTCCTGGGGGCTGGCCTCTAGTCCGGCCCCGGGAGCGGCTGACCTTTCCCCCAAAAGCTTTGTGCCGATTTCTCCATTTTCCCGCGGAGATGGGGACGGGAGCCCGGCCCCCCAACCCATTTTCCCCACCTCCCGGGGCTCGCTGCTGAGCCCGCCCCCCTCCCTCTTTCCCCCTCACTCCCTCCCTCCCTCCCTTTCTCCCTCCCTTTCTCCCTCCCTTCTTTCCTCCTCTGCCTCCTCCGCTGCCGGACCAGCTCCCTCCCACATCTGGCTCCTAGAGACCCCTGGGATCCCGCGCACATTCCCCTGGACCGGCACCCGACAAAGCGCCCGGAGAGGCTTGGCTCGCTCGTTGGGGTGGCCAGAGCCGCAGGCCTCTGTTCCCCCCGACGGCTGGGGGGAGGGGGGAAGAGGGCGCGCGCCCCCCTCCCCGGCGCCAACTCCCCCTGGCGGCCGCTCCCATGGGTGTCGCTGGGCCGCGCCATGCCTAAGGGGGCGCCGCGATGGGCCAAGGGGACGAGAGCGAGCGCATCGTGATCAACGTGGGCGGCACGCGCCACCAGACGTACCGCTCGACCCTGCGCACGCTGCCCGGCACGCGGCTCGCCTGGCTGGCGGAGCCCGACGCCCACAGCCACTTCGACTATGACCCGCGTGCTGACGAGTTCTTCTTCGACCGCCACCCCGGCGTCTTCGCGCACATCCTGAACTACTACCGCACGGGCAAGCTGCACTGCCCAGCCGACGTGTGCGGGCCGCTCTACGAGGAGGAGCTGGCCTTCTGGGGCATCGACGAGACCGACGTGGAGCCCTGCTGCTGGATGACGTACCGCCAGCACCGCGACGCCGAGGAGGCTCTGGACAGCTTCGGCGGCGCTCCTCTGGACAACAGCGCCGACGACGCGGACGCCGACGGCCCTGGCGACTCGGGCGACGGCGAGGACGAGCTGGAGATGACCAAGCGCCTGGCGCTCAGTGACTCCCCGGATGGCCGGCCTGGCGGCTTTTGGCGCCGCTGGCAGCCGCGCATCTGGGCGCTCTTCGAGGACCCGTACTCGTCCCGCTACGCGCGGGTAAGTGACAATTTACCCATCAGAAGAGCGGGGCGGGAAGGCAGCGTCCTGTGCCTCCCCGCGGGCAGGGGTGGACCGGAGAACTGGCGCCTAGGGAGTTCAGAATCGAAAGGGGGTGTGTGCGCATGTGTGCACGTACCAGGGTAAGAGAGGAAGGGTGTCCGCCGGGGTTCTGGTTTTCTATGTATGTCAGTCTGTGTGTTGCCAAGTTTAATATGTATGAGTATGAATGGGTGTGTTTGTGTGTATGAGTAGATTGTGTGTGCATATTTATGTAAGTGTGGTGGTGTGTATTTGGGTGGGTAAAGTGTGGAGTGGGAATGAGTGAGCATGTGTGTATGTTCGAGTGTGCATGAGCGCCTGCCCGTGAACATTTGTGTCTTTGCAGAGGTGCACTGTCAAAGTATGGACTGCTCTCGAGATTTCAGTGTGGGGAGGGAAGCTGGGAGCCCTTCCTCCTGTCCAGGTAAAGGCGCATCTGGAGCCAGCCATGGTCCCCCAAAAAGGCCTGAGGCCTGCTGGGCAGCTTGAGACAGACACCCCCTCCTCAGGGAGCAGCCTCCGGCAATTTTGAGGAAGTGGTCAAGAGGGCATCTCCATGGCTAATCTCGGTGGCTTGGAAGTTGGTGGAGGGCTGGGCTGTAAGGTAGGGGTGGTCCGTCTGAGCCCCCGATCCTGAGATCACAGCCTGTCCTTCCTCCTTGTCGAAAGCGGAGGGTGTTGGAGTGGGTCACTGGGCTTATGCCAGTGCTTCCTCTGGGACATCCCGTGGTGGGGAGAGGGGGTCGGTCCTTAAGGGTCCTTAAGGGGGAACCTGCAAGGAGAAGGTGTGTGAGAGGTGGGCGTGTCTTCATGGGCCACTCCCCTATAGCCATACCAGCTTGTTCCTAGGAAGAAAGGACACGCTGCTGCTGACCTTGGTCCCTCAGATGGCCTCTCTGGATCAGTTTCCTTATCTGTAAAATGGGGGAGGGGGCCTGGTGAACTCTTAAGGGCCTTGCTGCTGGAACATCAGTGACTGAGCCCAAAAAGAGGAACTGGTAGCAGCCACCCACCCTGGAAGAGACACTCCCAGCCTTCACTGGGCTCTGTCCTTAGAGGCCTAAAGAGAGACCCTAAGGCCTGTGGGGGAAGGGCAGAGTAGAGAATTTAAAGCAGAGCCCCTCCTGCATCCCTGAGCTGCCCTCACCCCCTACCAGGCAAAGCACTGCCTCTGCCCTGCTGTCTTTTACTCCGCATCTCTCCCCTCCTGCGCACTGGAGCCTGAGCCAGAGCCAGGGGTAGAGGGCTAGGGAGGGGTAGGAAGTTGCAGAGGAGAGTGGAGGGAGGAGACTTGGGGGGACCTCAAGTGCCCATGGGCAAAGAAAGTCTGTGTTTAGGCACAGACCTTGTAGATCTGTTAACTGAGATCAAAAACAGTATGGTATGTCGGGGCGGGCGGGGGGCAGGTAGCCGGTCAGTCTTATACCTTGAATTCTAGAACAACTGTGTTTATGGGGGGAGGCAATAGGGAGAGAGCCAGGCCCATGTTTTGCCACTGAGGACCCTCCCCAAGGTCACCCAGGGAGCTAGAGGCCAAGAAAGACTAGAACTCAATTCTCCTGGGACCCTATCCTCCCCTGGGCTGCCTACCAGCTCCTGCCTTTCCCCAGAGTGGACTGGGACCCTCAGAGGGCTTCCCTCCCCTTCCCTTTCCTGACAGAGGCCACCACAGCTAGAGGGTTATGTAACTGGAGGCTGTGGCTGAGCTGTGGGGAGGGGCTGGAGGAGGGGGATGGGAGGTTGAACTAGTGCATGTTGGGGTGGGGGTGGGCAGAGGCCTGGGTTACAGCAGCTGCCCATTCAGCCCACACTTGACCTTGGGCAGCATCTCCCCCACCAACTTTGGCCCCAGAAGCAAGGGGTAGGCTCAGTCTCCTGACTCCCAAGCAAGAGGCTGAGTCCCCCAGCCCCACCCTTTGCACTCAGTGTTGGGGCTCTGATCAGTGTCCTGAGTTTCAGGGCAGGCAGGGGGCAGTGGGGCATGTTCCAACCCCCTCCCCTGGCCCTCTCCTCCCACTGGACATTCCTAGGCTGCGGGTGGCCTTCACCCAAGGCAGACAAATGGGCCAGCTAGTGTGGTTTGAGGTTCTATTGGTGTGCAAAACCGTACAGAAAAGTCTTGAAAAAAATCTCTGAAGTGAATGCTCACTGAAGAGCGGACTCTGAGGGAAAAGCTGGGCGCCCGGTGGTCGGGGTGAGGCGGTACTGGGATAGGAGCGGGTGCTAGTGGGTGCTCCCCTTCAGCCTGTCTGAGCCACCTTCTCTCCCCAGTGGCCTCAAAGGAAGGTTGTTGTCCCTTCCAGCTCCCTCGGGGAACAGTTGAGGACACTGAGGCCCGTAGGAGGAGGGACCTGCCCAAGGGCACTCGGGAGCTGAGGAGGGCAGAGCGGGATTAGAACCCCAGCTTCCTGCCGCCCGCCCGGCTGGCCTAGCTGCACTGCGCTGCCTCTCTGCGGCTCATCTGCGCACAGACCAGCCGCCTGCCCGCCCTCCTCCCCCTCTGTCTTTGCTCTGCCGCCTCTGCTGTCACCTTTGTTTACCCCTCCCCCACACGGGGCCCCGAGACTCCTCACACCAGCGGGTCGGGACTTAAGTCGTTATTCTAGATCTAGGCCAGCATGTTGTGTGTGATCTTGCATATGTGTGTGAAGGAAAGGCTGTATGTGTGAGACAGAGGCTCTTTGTAAGAGAGATTGTGTGTGAGTGTGAGAGACTTGTGTGTGTGAGAATAAATGTGAGACTCCAGGCGTGTGTGTGTGTGTGTGTGTGTGTGTGTGTGTGTGTGGTGAGACTGCGACTCTGTGCGAGCTTCCTGAGTCCTTGTGTCAGGGGTTGTGTGTGTGAGAGAGGCGGATTCTGTGTTTTGGATGGACTGTGCGTGTGTGAGAATGAGACTGTGTGGGAGAGAGTGTGTATAAGGAAGAGAGACTGCATGTGTAAGAGAGATGCTGTGTGTGAGGTTTGGAGAGTGCGTGAGAGTCGAGGTGAGTGTGTCTGCGTGAGTGTGTGGCTGTGTGTGGCAAGTGTGAAACTGTATATGTGGAGCTCATGTGTGAGTCTGTGTGTGTGTGTGTGTGTGTGTGTGTGTACATGCGTGTACACATAAGGCAGGAGGCTGTGTGGGGTGGGGGTCCCTGTGTGTGACAGACTGTATGTGAAGGTGTGTGTAAGACAGAGATTGTGTGTGAAATCCTGTGTGTGACAGTGTACGTGATGTGTGTGAGAACCCACGTGTGTGTCAGTGTGCTGTGTGTATGTGAGAGAGAGGTCCTGTGCATCCCGAGTGTGTGTGTGCTTGAGGAAGATGAGATTCCAGAGCTGCTTCCTGCCCACTGCCTCAGTCTCTGGGACTCCGGAGTGGCCTAACTGAGGGCATTTCCTTTCCTCAGTAGAGATGCTTTTCTGCCCAGGCCACTGTCAGTGTGTGGGACGGGTGGTGAGGTCACCTTTCCCTGAGGAGCTGCCACCTACCCTGGGCCTTGGTGCTGGCCCTGGAGATAGGGGCTACATAGTCGGGGCGGGAGGGCCCATCTGAGTTCCTGAGGGGCAAGAGTGCCGGCTGCTGGCTGGGGCAGCTGCTCCCCTGGCCCCCTTTCCTGTGCTCTGGGCATCAGCCTGAGGGGATGAGCTGGGACAGGATGAGCTCCACGTGTGTTCTGGGTTGGGGGGTGGTGCCCCTGACACACACAAGACAATGATGATGGTGGTACTGTTTGGAGAGGCTATGAAGGGATTTCCTGGGGCCATGAGAATAAGAACTGCCCCAGAGGAGGTGATGCTGGGGCAACCTTTGAGGGGCAGGGAGGAGTTAACCAGGTGGAGAGGGCAGGGGGGTCATAGAGGTGTGAGAGCAGGCAGGGGAGTGTTGGGGCTGCCTGGCTTGAAACCTGCCCTCCTGTCTTCCTTGGGGGCCAGCTCAGGTCTGAGGCTCTTGGCTTTAGTCTCTGATTTGCATGTCATCATCAGGGACGTTGTTGCGTCCCATCAGGGCCAATGGTGGTCCTTGTGCTGCAGGCCAGAGTGTCCTGTGTGTGTGTGTTTGTGTGTGTGTGTTAACATCTGTTCCTGAGTCACTTGACCTTCCAAATGCCAAAGTAGTGCCAATGGCCCCCAAGCTGGGGAAGCCCCACCTCCATCCACCCAGCTGCCTGCCTCTCCTCTGACCCTTGTCCTGTGTCTGTCTCTCTGCCCTGTCACTGCCTCTTTGGAACTCGATAAAAACTGGCCTCCCCTCAGCTCCCAGGGAAGGAAATTTACCTGGTGGCGGGAAATAAAGCGCCCAGCCAGAGGCTTCTGTTCCTCCCTTGGGTCCCAGCCGACACAGGGCTCTTGGAGTCGTGGCTTGGCATGCGGAGGGCTGGGGGACAGAGCTATTATCAGGGGATTCTAGGCAGTGCACCCCCTTGCCTCGGAGCCCACTCCCCCAGGCCAGGGCCCCACTTGGAGTCATGGTACCATATGAAGGAGACCCATGAACAGTGGAGAAGGGGCTGGGTATGTTCACCTCCCAGCCACCCCAAGGGCCTTCCACCACAGTGTGCCCCCCTGCTTCCCATGATCCTTGTATGGGGTCCTCAGGTCTTTGAATGGTTCCTCCAGCTCCCCCCACCCCCCTCCCAGTAATGAAAATCATAAACCAAGCGCCTCCTGGTCAGAGCCCTGCAGCCCCTTCACCGCTAAATGGGAATAAAGTTAGAACCGTCCTCACGAGGTTGGTGTGAAGATAACTGAGGTAATGCTTGGACAGCCCCGAACCACAGGGCCTGGCATACAGTAAATGCTCAATAAATGTTGGCTACTATTATTACTACTGTTGGTTGTATTATCATTTCCCCTCCTGTAGACTCTCTCGTCTCCCTCCACCTCCATGTTCACCATCCTGGCTCAAGCCACCATGGTTCCCCTCAGGCTCACCTCCCCGGCAGCCCCCCAGCTGCTCTCCCACCTCCAGCCCCTGGCTGCTCCAGTTTATCCTCCACCTGGCAACCACAGAGGTCTTTTCAACTCACGGGCCTGTCAGATCGCCCGAGCCTGCTTAGAACCCTTCAGTGCTTCGCCAGCCCGTGGCCCATACTGTGGCCTCTCAGGCCCTGCCTGTCCCTCCAGTTTCCTCTGACCTGACTGTCTCCATCGCTTACCAAACCCCAACCACCCAGCCTCGTTTCAGCTTCTTGCACCTGCCAGGTTCCCCTGCCTCAGGGCCTTTGCACATACCCTGCCTTCTGGAGCGCTCTTTCCTCTGGCTCACCCCTCTTTATCCCCGACACCCCACCTCAAACAGCAGCTCCTCAGTGATGCCTTCCCGGGCCCCTAGGCTGGGTTGGAGTCAGAACCAGGGCCCTTCCTGGGAGAGAAGCTCTCTGATTTCTAATAAAATGTTCATTAGCAGCCTTGTTTGATTTGGGCTCATCTCTCCTCTAGACTGTAAGCCTCTGGCATGCTCTATAGAATAGGAGCTGTTATCATGACAGATGAGGAAGTTGAGGCCCAGAGAGGAGTGCTCTACCTGAGGCCCCTCGTGAGCGGGTTAGCTGAGGGCTGGCTGGGAAACTCGTATCTCCTGACTCCTGGCTCACAGGTGCTTTGTGTCACATCGCCTCAGAGCATTTGGAGTCTGTGCTCCTTGACTCTGAGCAGGAGGCCTGGCCTCTGCCAGAAGCTTTGGAGGGGATTGGCTGAAGTCTATCAAGGAGGGAGGTGGTGGTTGTCTCAGAGGTGGGGGAGGGGGTTCAGTGGGGGCTCATTCCAGGGTCCACTGCCTGGGCTGAGGATCTCAAGGCCTCCACGACAGCTGAATATAATGCCTCTGGCTATTCTGAGCGGTCTCATGACCAGGGGATTCACTCTAGACCAAAAGGTCAGGGCCTTGAGCCACTGCCTCCCATCAGCTCTGGGGCCAGCCTGGCTACCACCCCAGCGTGAGCTCCCCTCTGCTAGGTGCAAGGTTAGAGGAAAAGGAGGGCCTGACAGGCTGCAGGGGTGCTTTGCTCTTCAGTCCTTATTCAGGGGAACCATTTAGGTGGTAGGGACCACTTCACATATGCATGGGACTATTGCAGGGAATGGGTGCTCCCAGGCTACCTCTAGTCAATATTTTCATTCAGTGAAAATAAACAGGCTCAGAGAGGGAAAGACACTTGCTCAAGACAACACAGGGAATCAGTGAGACTCAAACTCACAGCCTAGGCCTCTGGTCCCAGGGCCTGACCATCTGAATTTCTTTTGGCTCTCAGTTTTACAAGAACACCAAACCCCACCTGGGCGTGCTGTTCTTCTCTTATCTACTCCCATTAATTTCCTTCCTGGGGGAAGTGGAATACACAGATACCTGCATTCCAAGGACACGGCACAGCTGATTGAGACCTTCTCACGTCAGCCAACCCAGACTTGACCCAAATCCTTAGGATTCCCCAAGCAGGATTTTCCAGAACCCCCTTCCTTTCTTGAATCACGCAGTGTCAGACACTGTCTTAAGGACTTGATTTATATATCCTCATTTATTAATAATTCTCACAAGGCTCTCAAGGCTGCACTATACTATCACGCCAATGACACAGACAAGGCTGCAGAGGCTCAATGAAGTTAAGTAACTTACCCAAGGTCACTTAGCTCATGCGCGGTGGAGCCAGCAGTCAGACCTCAGTCTGTCTGACGCTGGAGCTCTATCTGTAACTATTACACAGCACTGCCTCCTGTCCATGTTCCAGGGATGGTGAGGCCTGTGGCTTGCTGTGCCCCAGGTTTGAATTTCCGTCTGGGTCTCTCCCTCCCCACCATCCACTCTTTCCCAACAACCTGTCCAGAACCTGTCAGCAAGTTCTGGCCCCTGGGTAATGGCAGGTGAGGGCCCTGCCTGGCCAGGCCATGGGCTAAGAGGGCGCTCTGTCAGTCCCAAGGAAGGTTTTGTGACAGTGCCTCAATTGTCCCCCCACTCCCATCCATGCAGCCCCTGGGACTCCATATGGCCTAAAGTGAAATGCCAGGAGGATTGGGAGGATCAGAAGCTGCTTGTGCAGGGCGGCACATGGTGGGAACGCTGGCCGCCCCTCAGCTCGGCACTCCAAGGCCTTCTGCCCTGGAACCCAGCCACAGCTCCTGCGGCTCCCTTCCGCCAGCCTCCTCCCTGGTCCTCATTGGCAGCCCTTTAACCTCTGGGGTTTTGGTCATCTATTCCCCTCACTTCAGTGTCCTCCCTGCTTTTTGCTGAACGTGAAAATCCATCCCTTAAGGTTCCTCACACTTAGCCTGGCTGCTCCTGCCCTCGCTGACGTCATGTTTTTGGGAGTGAGGGGTATGCACTGGGCACTGAGTCATCCAGTTTGTGAGATGTGAGCTGGTGATGAGTAGGTCAGTTCTGGAGGCTGGGGGCTGGGGACAGGCGGGCCCTCAGGATTAGAGACCAGCCCCGGTGTGTGGAGAGATGAGGCCACAGGCAAGACCCAGGTTGTAGGCATCAGACACCTGGATTAGAGAGGAATCTAGCCAGGCTGTGAAACCAGCTGGGCTACCTTGAGCAAGTCCTGTGGCCCCTTCATCCTGCAGTTTTTCCACCTGTAAAATACAGAGGTCGTGCTAACTGACGGCTAAGGCTCTTCCCAACTCTGACATTCTGGGAGTCCAAGAATTCTAGGCTTCAGCTTCCCAGAGGAGCTGGGGAAACCAAGCCAGTCCTCCCCTATTTCTCCTTCTCTCTCCCAGCCCAGCTCCTCCCCAGGGCACGTGTGAGCAATCCTGGCAAAGGTCCTGGCCCAGAGCAGGCAGGAGCCCAGCAGGAAGGGGTCTAAAAAGCTTCCTCCTACATTCATTCAGCCTGCCTCATCCTGTCCTCACTCATTCATTCAAGGCATAGTGATCGCACCCCTGCCTGACGGGCTCCCCCAGCCCTCTGGCAGGCACAGACCTGGGGGGATCACCTCTTTTGGGGGTGCTTGCTCAGGCCTATGGACAGCACCCATTGCCCGCTTCTCCAGGCCCTTCTCTTCGCTTCCTGCCCTTAGGGAGCTGCAGAAAGGCCCACTTGGAGCTCCTGTGTGCCAGGCTGTGGGGTCTGGAGCAGGGGCAGTGGGGCCAACTTCTATGGTGTAGGGCTGCTGTGGGGAAGGGCGCAGGGGATGGGTGCTGTGCTGGAAGGGCCAGGGCTGGGTAGGGGTGTTTGCGATGGCTGCTATGGGGGATGGAGGGGTGGCTGCTGGAGGACTCCCACCCATGCCTGACCCTCAGAATTACCTGGGATGCTTAAAGTTCATACTCCTGGGAAACTCGATTCTTAGATCAGGGAGGGGGAGAATGTTCCCTTCACCCCTCAGCACAGCTGAGGCCACTGCTGAGTGAGGGTACATCGCTGCATTGGGGCCTGAGAGGTGTGGGCTCCTTCCATTCAAGGTGTGGCCCTCTGACCAACAGCAACACCATGAGGACATTTGTTAGACGTGAAGCCTTTCAGGCCTCACCCCAGCCCTGAAACCGATTCAGAATCTGCATTTTCACTCCCCAGATGATTCATGCACGGTGGAGTCTGAGAAGTGCTGATGCAGGCAGCGGCTCCAGTCGAGGGCCAGCCTCAGGACACAGAGGGCTGGATGGGCGTGTGTGGGTTGGCAGAGTGTCACAAGCAAGCCGCTCCTTCCTGAGGCTGAGGCTTCGATGGCAGGGGGACTGGGCCTGGGGTGAGGCCCCATCACAGCCATGGCAACCGCATCCATCTGGTGGCTCCCACTGGTAGACCTTGGGAGTCATCCTGGACTCCTCTCTCTCTCAGACATCAACCAACCCTGTTGTCTTCATGTTTCAAGTACACTCGGAATCTGAGTGCATCGCACCCCTCCACAGCTACCCCCCCGTGGAAGCCCCTGCCCTCTCTTGCCTGAGTTCTTCTCTCAGCCCCAGCTGCCCCGCCCTTCTCTCAGGGCAGCCAGGGCCGGCCTGGCAAAGTGCTATCGGACCAAGTCAGCCCTCCGCTCCATCTCACGCTGGGGTCTGGGCTTCCTCAGAGGATGCAGGCTCCACTTGAGTGCCCCACACCCAGCATCTCCCTCTGCTGTCTGCTTCTCTCTCCCTCCCTCCCCCAGCCTCCATGGCTTTCCTCCCCAGCGCTGCCCATGCTTCTGCCTCAAGACCTGCGCTGCGCTGGTCCCTCCACCTGGCATGCTTTTCCCTTGGGTATCAGCTCTCACACCCCCTCCAGGTCTATACTCAGACATCATCAGCCCAGATGACACTTCTCCGGCCCCTTCCCCACTTCGTGCTTTGCTCTTTTCTCCTTGGCATTAACCACCATCTGATGTACTATATAGTTTACTTGTTTGCCTTGTTTATTGTCTGTTTCCCCACTAGACTGTACAGTCCATGAGGGCAGGGATTTTTGTCTCTTTTTCCAATTGCTCTGTCTCTAGAAGCTAGAGTAGGGCCTGGTACATAGTGGGTGCTAAATAGATATTTACTGAAAGAAAGAATAAGCAAGTAGGGTTCAAGGCCGAGGGCAGACATGGGCACCGTGCATTTGAACCTGTTCCTAGCTGAGCCTTCCTTTCTGGCCTCACGTGGGAGCACAATCCCTCCATCCCCTGAGCCTGGAGCAGCGAATAACAGGCAAAGGCTGGGGCAGCGCTAGTAGGGGGTCCAAACCCCAATCCAGGCAGGGGCCCACCTGCTGGTGTCACCACCCAGGCCCAGATGAAGCTCTTCACAGCTTAACCCTCTGTCTTTTCGAACTTCTTCTCTGCGCTGCATCAGCCCACCCACCATCCACAACCACAGCTTTGAGGCCACGAAACTGTTTTCCAAAACCAAGATGCACAAGTTCCTACGTCCCACTTGGTCCAGCCCGACCCCCGAGTCTGACTTCTCCTGGACTCCGTTCCTCCCAAAGGCCAGCCAGGCTCTTTTCCTACCTCTCCTTCCCCATCTCCTTCCATGTCCACCTCCTTCCCTTCCCTGTCCCCTCCTTGTCCCCTTTCCTCTGTAGCTGTGCTTGTGGAAAGTTCTAGGCATTAGTCACTGGCTTTCAAAATGGACTTCTCTCCTCCAAAGTCTAGGATGGTTTCTGTCCCAAATCCCCTGCTTTGGGCCTCCTTCTGCATTCAGTAGAAAGTGTATGGGCTTTGCATCTCCCCACTCCCCACTGCTTCCTGGCTACACGATTTTGGGAATATGACCTGGAGCCCCTTTCTCTGCAAGAGCATAGCCCCTTGAACCATCAGGCCTTCGATCGAATCCCAGCCCCACTACCTTCCAGCTGTGTGACCTTGGATAAGTCTCCTAACCTGTCTGTGCCTCAAAAGAGGGGTATTGATAGCACCTGATTCATAGGGAAGTTGGGAGGATCCAATGTGTTAAGCACTTAGCCCAGAACCCAGAACATAGTAAGTGCTTAATTGTTGTGCATTCCATCATCTTTTTACCAGCTCTCGGCCCTGCGAGATTCAAATCGTCACCCGTTACCCACCTGTTTCCTTCTTTTAGCTCCTGACTCTACTATCAGATGCTTCTCCTAGGTGGCAGCTCACCTACCGTGGTCCCTGGGGTCCCTTCCTCCAGTCTGTCTACCAGGGGCAGACTTCAGAGGCGTCACCCTGGGAGGCAGGCATGGATTCTTGCTTGGTTCTCCTGAGCTCCCTGTGTGTCCTGGGCAGGTCACAACCCCTGTGAGCCTCGGTCTCCCCATCTGTGGTTATGGGCCGCTTGTCCCTGCTCTTCCTCCATCCCCAGGTGTGGCAGGGTATAAAGGGGAGGATGATGGAACGTCCGCCTGCCAGGGGAGAGGGAGGGAGGGCCGCTGACATCAGGCCTTGGTTGGGAGCCAAGCACAGGGACCTCAGATGCCGACAAGTGTGCCAGTGTGGTAGGGCTGGCGGGCGGAGGCCATGCATCACAGCTCAGGTCATTGGAATGTCTCCTCTTTAAAGGGGCTGCTCTGGCACAGGGAGGAGCCTGGGGGCTAGGGCTGGGGGCTCCTGTTGGGTGCCCATGGGCGGTGCCCACTCTGAAGCTGGGCTGCTCCGCCAGGCCGACGCCAGCCTGGGTGGGGACGAGCTAATATTAGCTGGGGCGGCCCCAGCCAGCTGAGCTCAGGGGGGCTCAGGAACCAGCCTCGCTGGGTCAGGCTCAGATGCTGCCTCAGTGTGAGCCATGGCAGCAAAATGAAGCTTTCTCTCAAGCCTCTGCAGGGCGTCGGATGCCCCTTCCACCCTGGCCAGCCCCAGCCCTTCCCTGTTGGCCTGGCAGCCTGGCTCTGGCACCCCTGCCCACAATGCCACTCACCTCACCTCTTCCTTCCCCAGTGCAACACAGAAAGCTCACAACTCCTCTCCCCACACTCCCGCTTTGCACATAAACACAGTCCATGAGCCATTTCCCTGCCAGGGGCTGCTGTCAGCACCAATTCATCCATCCAGCCAACAAATATTTATTGAGCATCTACTATGTGACAGGTGCTGCTCAAGAAGCTGAGAATAGGGCAAAGAACAAAACCACCAAAAATCCCTGCCCTCAAGTTCTTATATTCTAGCTGGGCAAGATATGACAGAGGCAGGAGCCCAGGGCGCACTGGAGTGGGCAGTTTTAACTCGTGCGGCAGGGAAGCGTCACTGTGAGCGCAGGTCATATTTCAGCAAAGATTGAAGGAGGTGAGGAAGGAGGCCACAGGACACCTGGGCAGCAGAGGAAGTGAGATGTGCAAAAGCCCTGAGCAGCTGTGTGCCCAGGGTTCAAGGCGCAGCGAGGAGGCATATCTGGGGCTGGGCTCGGAGTCAAAGGACAGTGGTATATCAGAAGGGGTGGTGCTCCTTCCACACAGACAGAAAGATGGAGGAATGTACTCTGGGGACTCCAAAGAAGGGAGGCTAGGAGGGGGATGACAGTTGAAAAATTACCTACTGGGTGCAATGTCCAATATTTGAGAGATGGGCACGCTAGGGGCCCCCATACCCACCATTATGCATGTAATGCCCATTTAACAAACAAGCACATGTACCCCTTAAATCTAAAATAAAATAATTTTTAAAAGAAAGAAAAATCCACCCCTAAATCATGCAAAGAAAGAGTCGAGCTACCCAGAACCCCACTGGCTCCTGACAGTGGGGTCTGCTCTTGACGGGGCCTGCCCCATGGGTTCCCTGAGTGTTCCAGCCCAGGGCTCAGTTCTCATTGCCCTCTGCTCCCCTCCTGCAGCCACAGGGGCCTGCACAGGGTGGGCCTGCGTGGAGGGGGCTCCTGCTTCTGCATGGAGGGCCGTAATGAGGGGCCTCTGGCCTCTTCCTGAAGGTCTGTGGTGCCCAGCAGGAGATGGTGGGTCCCATACACGGTTCTCTGAGCTGGGTGTGGGGCTGGAGAGAAGTTGGTGAGGGAGACAGAGGGTCGGGGGCCTTGCCGGGGAGAGATCATGTGAGCTCTTTCCAGTCACACAGGCCTCCGTGGTGCTCACAGGGTTCTCACTGCAGGTGTGCCGGGAGAAGATGGCTAGTGGCATGGGCACAGGCCACACTGGAGCCAGACTGCCAGGGCCCAATTCTGGGTCTGCTAGTTCTTAGCTGTGTGATCTTAGTAAGTCTCAGTCACCTCAGCTGTCAAGAGGGGATAACGAGAGTCCCTACTTCAAAGGGCTGCTGTGAGAAGGCAATAAGTCACAGAAGGCCCTCTGGCTCACTGCACTGCGAGCACTGGTGCGCACGTGATGCCCACGATCACTCACACCTCTTGCAGATAAGGCATCTTTGTGGGATGCTCTGCAGACACTCGCCTCACCCCACCTGAGAGGAGAATATGAATCTAATACCTGACAAGCGGGCTACCATACCTGGGGAGGCTTCGATGGGGACCCAGCCTTGCCAGGTGGCTCCCTGGGGACCTTCTCTGCCCACATAGGTGGTGGGGCAGAAGAACATGACTTCCGTGGGCCTCATCACCAGAGCAGGGCAGTGAACACACCTCAGGCCACAGCCACCCACCAGGGCCAGTGTCTCGCCACTTAGAGATGAATGTTTGATGCTCAGCCTCAGGGGCTCTCTGAGCAGCAGTGAGGAACACGGCCACCTGCTGGGCCACCTGGAGTGAGCTGGAGCCCTGGGCTAAGGGGAGAGGGCTGGGCCCTGTAAACCCACGTGTGTGGCTGTCATCTGCTGAGGGTCAGTCCTATGCAGTGAGCTCCCTGCAAGCTGCCGTGGGTGCTTCTGCCCTGACCCCTGTTCAGCCCCAACACCTGGAGTATGGTCTTGCCTTTTCGGGCTCAGCTTCTTCATCTATAAAGTGTGCATAATGGCATCACCAGCTTCTCAGCGGTGTTAGGAGAATCCGTCAGACCAGAGGCAGAAAGAGCATTAGGGAGAAAACACAGTTCTGAGTGCCATGTGCAGGAAGAGGCCACCATCTCAAGTGCAAGGGGAGTGTAGGGAGGGGACAGGCTAAAGGAGGGTGCACAGGCCTTTGGGCCTGGCCAGGCCTGGGTTCTGATCCTTCCTCTGCCTCAGTGTGGACTCGGGCAGGTGGTGTCTGGCTGAGCCTCAGTTTCCTCGTGTGTAAGATTGGATGATAGTTTGTATTTCACAGGCTGTGGTGGGTCTCAGAGGGGCAAAGCCCCCAGCACCGTGGCTGGCACATGGGAGACACTCGCCAAGGGCTGGATCTGGTGACCTGGGGTGCCATTGTCAGCAGGTCCTGGGTTTGGATTTTCCTGGGTATAAGGAGGCCCTGGCTGAGCCACAGAGGCAGGGAGGGAGGCTGTAGAAGCCTCAGCCGGTTGCCCACAACCTCAGGGCCAGGAGCCACCATCACCAATGATATATTTAGAGTCACAAAGGTCAGAAATACCAGGCGCTGGCTTCCCTTCTAGGCGGCAGGAATCGTGTCTCCCGAGGCCTGGCTGTCACCAAGCAGATATTTTTTCCTGTCTGGCAGTCTGAGGATTGGAGTAAAAGCCTGGAATGTAGGAATCACAGTGGTTTGTGCTGGCTTACTGACACTTTCCATGTCCCCAGCCCTTTCCAAAGCCTGTGGTGTGATCCTTGGGAGCCCCACCTGCCCTGCTATTCCAGATCACCCTGGGCCCCAATGTGCATCATCCATTCCCAACGTGCTCCGGCTCCCTGCCCTTCTGCCTTTGCTTATTCCGTTGCCTCCACTGAGAATGCCCACTCCTCCTCCTCTGCATTTCTGAAATGGATGCTTCCTGCTAGGCCGGCTCTCATGGCTCTTCCTTTAGGGAGCCTTTCCCGACACCCTCTACCTCCTGGAAGAGCCTGCTCTGCCCTTCATGCTTCCAGAAAACCTTTCCTGTCTGACTTGAGGCCTTTGATCCACTGACTATCATTCTGTGACTCTCAGACTCAACCACAACCTCTTGGAGGACAAGGGTCAGGTTAGGCAATAGTAGTGCCTGTTACATAATAGGGAATCAATCGATCTTTGCTAAAGCTATGTGCCCCTGTGAGGTGGAAGGGTTAGGTAGTATACCCCTCTTATTGATGAGGGAAAAATGGCTCCCAGAGAGAATCATTTATTTGTCCAAGACCATCCAGAAGAGAGCAAGTGGTAGAAGGATTAGATCCCAGGTCTTCTTTTGAAAATAAATCAAGAAGGTCAGCTAGAGCCATGCCAGTGTTCCTTCTGGCTCTGGGATGCTGTGGTTCTATGGTTAAAAATGAGGTAGTGGGAGAGACCGACGAGTAATGGACGAATAGATGAAAGAATGGATAAAAAGACGGATATGTGGATGGATACAAGTGAATGGATGGAAGGAGGGACATATGGATTGAAGGAGACACAGCTGGGTGACTCAGTGGATGGGTAAACAAATGGCTGAGAAGGATGGATGGAGGACCATGGATGTGCTTCTCCTTGCGTGCCTTCAAAGCGGAAGTCCCACCTCTCACAGGATGAACACATCCTGGACGATGGGACTTGGAAGCATGGACTTCAGGGCAGTAGGCAGAGTGGAGTGGCCCAGTACATGTGTGCAGAAAGTGGGACTGCCAGATGCAGGAGGTGGGATGGTTTGTGGAGTGAGAGAGCTGGGAGCTGGGGACAGAGACTGGGCTGAGGGACTGGCCCACTCTCAAAGGTGAGAGTCCCTGATGGCAGAGAACCAGGACCAGGCTGGAAAGAAGTTCCAGGCAGAGTCATGTGGCCGGCAAGCCCTCAGGACCTGTGGTTTTCCAGACCTGCCTCTGGCCAAAGCCTGAAGGGCAGTCAGTGAGTGGGGGATTGCCCTTTGAACCCTAGGCTGTGTGAGAGAGTCTGTGGTTTCAGTCTGCTCCGGAGTAGGGAGGTCTCTCTTCCTCCTCAGGTCCCCAGCCTTGGTGAGTGAGAACCTCTGATAGCTCAGGCAGGATGTGTTCAAGGAGGCAGTGCAGCTTCACCAGCTGCAGAGAAGGTGCTGAGGAGGGGGCCCTCCTGAGGCCGCAGAAGACCCTGGCTCAGGTATACCAGGATCGACCATCTTCCCACCGCTTTTTGCTATCAACCCCCAGGTGTTAGCCATGAACTCCAAGGCTTTAGTTCTAATTGCTTGTGGACCAGTGAAGGGACCACAGGCATAGGTGGCCAATGTTGAGCTTGGTGGAGCCTGGATGCTTAGATGCTTCTGGCCTGGAGCAGATTCTTCCAGCTGGAGCTAAGTCTCTCCATTTGCACAAGGCACAGCACTGTGAGCTCCAGGCTCCCTCCAAAGCCCTGATCTAGCATTCCCCAGCACCAAGCTGCACCCCCCACACATATACACTGGCCCGGCGATCTCCCTGGGAAACCAGGTCCCGATGAGAGTGGCTGGTGTGCCGCTAACTGCTCATTACAGTCACGGCTGCAGCTAAGTATAGCTCCAGCACACACAAGACTAAGACAACAAGGGAACGTCTTCCCATAAAAAAGCTCCACATGCAAACATGCAGACATCTGCACACACAGGCTCCCCACCCTCGTGCAAACTCATGGCCTTGCACACACATGAATGCATACTTGCACCAATGCAAAGCTTTATCATTTATTTACTCAGTCATTCAATAAATGTTTGTCAGGGGGCCAGTAGAGTGGTTAAGTGCATGTGTTCTGGAGTCAGACAAAATTGGGTTTCAAATTCTACCTCCCTCACTTCCCGGTTGTATGACCATGGACAACTTAACCTCTCTGAGCCTCAGTTTCCTTCTTTATAAAATTGGGGTGGTGGCCACCTTGTGGACCAGTGGTGTAAAGGTAAATGAGATGGGGGCATGTCAGAGCGCTTAGAATAGGCCTGGCTCAGAATGTGTCAGTACGTGGTAGCTGCCTTCATCATTACTGTTGAGTACCTACTGTGTGCCCAGTTCTGCACTCTTATTTCTGGAGATGGTTGTGAAAAGTAGTGCCTGGTGCATAATAGGCATTCAGTAAATGTTTGATGATGGAATGAATGAACAAATGAATGAAAGCTGCATAGATGGGTGGCTGAAGGTCCTCAGAGCTTTCTTCTTTCAGGAGGAATTCACCCTCCGTTGACTTGCATGCAGGCTGTGTCTCCGATAAGATCTAGATGTTCTTGTGGGTAACACAGGGATTCCAGAGATAGAACAGGAACCCGAAGGTGTCTGGGCCACCCCTCATTTTGCAGATGGGGAAACGGCAGTGCAGAGAGGCAGCAAGGAGCAGGCATTGTCCCATGCCAGTCAGTAGTCAGTGGCCGGAGCCCAAGGCTGCCACCTTGAGCCATCCTAGCACAGTGGCCTAGCATAGCAGGTGGTGCCTGGTCAAGCTGCAGCCCCTGAGCCCCAGGCAGCTGGAGTCTGGAGCCTGGAGAATGCTCAGGCTACAGTCCTGGTCCCGGCTTGGACAGCCACAGGAATCATGCAGTCACACATCAGTCAGATCCCTGGCTGGGCTGTCAGTCAGGCTGGGGCCTCTGGCCGGCACTAGGCAGGGTTCCATCTGCCAGGGAAGGGACTTGGGTCTAGCCTGGGTACAAAACAATCTTCAGGATTTGAAGGTCCTGTCATCGTTCCCGACCTTTGAATAAACCAGCCGCTAAACTGCCTGGGCCATCTCCTCCCATTGCGCCTCTTCAAAAAGAAATTGACATTTCCTGGTGCTTTTTTAAGCCCAGGCTGGCTGGGCCAGGCCCCGGCGTGGGGGGTGGGGAGGGGGCGGGTGGCAATGGGAGTCACACAGCCTGAGTCTCTCCTCACCTTGAGTGATCTCAAGACGCTGGGAATAGACATGGTCTCATCTCCTCACCATGTGTCCCAGATTCCAATTCCGATGCCCAGATTCCAGATTCGCCACTCCAGTGCCCGCATCCAGGTTTTGAATTCCACAATCCAGTGCCAGTTCTGCCCCGTAGACAGGACTCAGGCTGTTGGACTACATCATGAGCGCCTTCAGCTGGCCTGTCTGCTGGGAGGGAAGGATGTATCTGCCCTCTCTCTGGAAAGGAACTCTGTGACCTTGTGCGCACTCTCCATGAATGACATGCATCACTCATGTTCATGGCTGGTGGGGATTCAGGCCTTTGTTCACTGATTGTGCCCATTGTCAAGGAGATGAAAGTGATTGTGCCTGCTGCCAGTGTAGACATGAGTCTGCTTTCAATGAATGCACTCATTGCCAGTGTAGATACGGCTCTGCTCTCAATCACTGTGCCCACTGCCAGTGTAATAAACACTCTGTGCAAAGATCAAGGATGCCCATTGCCAATGAGAGCATAGCTGAAAGATCAGTGATCATGTCTATGGCTGGTTGAGTCACAGATTGGTGTATGGAGATTATCTTTTTACCAGTGTAGCGCTTCCGTTACTGTGGTCAGTGCCCATGTAAATGCAACTCTGAAATCAACGATTGTGTACATTGCCAGGGTAGACGCAGATGTGGTATCATTGAATCAGTGACTGCCCATATTGACAAGGGGCAGCAAGCACCAGCCGCCGGGGGCTCACTTCTGAAGGAGGCTGCAGGGAGTAAACCATTGTGCCCATTATGCAACTAGAGGGAGTGAGGCAAGTGGACATAGGACCCATGTCCACGACCTTCTTTCCACAGAGGAAACCTATGCTTGTGCTCCCCATTTCCTGGAGGAAGGAGCCTCCTTTCCCCTACTAGTTGGAGTGTTTGGCTGGGTCTTTGAGGCAGGGCCACCCTGACCCTCAGATTCAGCCACCTCATGGACCTTACATTCTAGAGGGGGAAGAGAGTCAAACAACAAACATGAACACTAAGTAAATTAGACAGTGTCAATGCCAACACGCAGCCAACTGGATACTTACAACAGAGACCTGATTTCAAATCCTGCTGCCACTTCTGAGTTACGTGGGATTTTCTCGCACATCTTAACCACTCTAAACCTCAATTTTCTTATTTTCTTATAGGTAAATTATACCTTGATAAAGCTGAGGAAAGTTGGCATCTTAGATGATCTGTGCTGGGGGGAACAGCAGAGTAAGGAAAACCAGATTTTCCTTACTGGAGGTGTTGGTTGAGACTTGAAATAGGGTGGTCAGAAGCACCCTCTTGGGGTGCCATGAGGCAGTGAAGGGGTAAGCCATAGGCGTACCTGGGGAAAGGCGTTCTAGGCAGAAGGAACAGCCAGTGCAAGAGCATGGAGGCAGGCGTGTGTCTGGCATATTTGAGGAACATGTTTGAGGAGGCAGATGTGAAGATGATGGTAGCAGGGAGGAGTTTGGGGAGATAATGGATGACCAGATCAAGTCGGATCTGCAAGCCATTGAGAAGACCTTTGCTCCTCCTCTGAGAGAAATAGGGCGCCAGTGCAGGATTCTGAGCAGAGAAATGACACAGTTCGATTCATGTTTTAAAAGCTGTGTTGAAAACAGTCCTAGCGCACCAGGAATGTTGGAACCTGGGAGACCAGTTAAGAGACTGGTCTATTACCATGACCCGGGGGGAAAGGATGATGGCTGGGACATGGGTGGTCACAGCAGTGATGGGAAGGGCTCAGATGCTGGGTCTATTTTTCAAGCAGAGCCACGAGGATTTCCTTACAGATTAAATGTGAGATGTGACAGAAAGAGATGTGTCAAGGATGACTCCAAGGTTTTTGGCAAGAATGTCCTGGAAGGATGGAGACACTCTCTCATGAGATGGAGAGGCTGCAGGGGGTGGGGGTGGCACAGGAGTTCAGTTGACGTGTTGAGTTTGAAAGAGCTGGTAGAATTCCATCTGGAGATGCCAGGGAGTTGGATGCTGGAGTCCTGAGTTCAGGGGAAGGGCTGGGCTGGAGATAAGCCTTTGAGAGTGTGCTGTTTATGGGTATTTGAATGATGGTGGCCTTTAAGTCATAAAACTGGGTTAACCACTAAGGATGTGAGTGTAGATGAAGAAGAGGAGCAAGGACTGAGCTCCAGGGTGCCCCGATAGAGACTGGGGAGAAGAGTTGGCAAAGGACTCCAAGAAGGAGCAGCCAGAGAGGTAGGAAGAAAATCCAGAGGCTATGCGGTCCCAGGAAGTGCAAGAAGAAGGAGGGAGGGATCAGTGGCATCAGATGCTGCTGGTGAGTCAGGAACATGAGGCCTGAGCAGCGCTCCCCTTCTCTCTGCCTAGAATGTGCTTCCTTGCACCTTGCATTTCCCTAGTTGATTCTTATCCATCCTTCCAACCTCTGCACAGTTGTCACTTTCTCCTGGAAGCCACTCTAACCTCAAGACTTGTTGTTAAAGGCTTACCAAATGCCTGTGCATTCCCCTTGATGCCCCTGTCAGCTCACATAGGTACATATTTGCTTGTATGGTTAATTGATAAATGTCAATGTCCCCCTCTCCTACTCCTCCCCCAAGAAGCTGTGGCTGTTTTTGCTCACCCTATACCCAGTACCCTGTATAGGCCTGGAATAAGATGTAAATATTTGTTAGAGGGACACAGGTGGGCAGTCAACTGTGGTCCCACCTGGGTTTTGTCCATTACCCTCCCTGAGCCATTTTTATTCCCTTCCCTCCAAACACACACACACACACACACACACACACACACACACACGCATGTACATTGGGAGTCAGGACCCCTGACTCGATACAAACACACAAGTGGGCACAGGAGGGAAATTTCCTAGTGAATTCCAAGTGGACTCCATTCCTAGCTCCTCCATGGAGGTTGGAGCCTCAGTTTTCTCATCTACCAAATGGAAGCCATCAAGACTGTCCTGCTGATGGCCCAGTTGGGGGGCGGGGGTGTGTGTGTTGTACATATAAGATCCAAAACATGAAGATGTGCTATATACTGAAGAAGGCTGTGCCTATTGTCATCATAATGGGAAGATAAACAGCTTTCTCCCAGGACTACCTGGGGGTGATGTGAGAAAGATTTATAAGTGGAAGTAATAGAGCATAGTGGTTTTGGAGTCAGAGAGACCTGGTTTCAAAGCCCACCTAACACTTTCCAGCTATGTGGGGGATTTTTGCACGTCTTAACCACTCTGAACCTCAGTTTTTTAATCTGCAAAATGGAGGTAATGATGCCTCCTTCGGAGAGGCTTTTAAAGATAAATGAGATAATGTTTGTAAAGTGCTTGACCTCTGGTGAGCATGCTATTATTACTGTATAGCAGAGGACAGAGAAGCTCAACAAAGGTAAATATTCCTATGGCCAAGGTGGTTATGAGGATTAAAAAGGGTAAAATGTGCCATCCATTTAGCCACACACAGTGAGTGATGAACAAAAGCAGACTCTGAAGCAGGTCAGGGGAGATGGTGCAAGGAAGAGAGCATGAAGGAAGCCCGAGGAAGCCTGGCCTGCAGGAGGGATGTCTCAGGGGCATGTCCTGAGTCTTATCTGCAGGTATAGGCAGGACCATCACAGGGAGGAAGAGGAGCAGGTGTCTTCTGATGACCCCAGAGGGCAGACCTGTGATTGCTGGGAAAATGAGACAGGAGGTTGACTTACATGAGAAATAAATGCATGTCTCTTAGACTGGTTCAAAGACGGAATGAATGGCCTCGTGAACTTCCCATCACTGGTGGTGACCAACACAGACATCTGTCTCAGGGTCACTGCAGATGAGATCATTGAACTGCCCCCTTGAGAGGCCTATACAGGCATACCTCGGTGATATTGTGGGCTTGGTTCCAGACCACAGCAATAAAGTGAATATCACAATAAAGCAAGTCACATATTTTTTGGTTTCTCAGAGCATATAAAAGTTATATTTATACTATACTGTACATTATTAATTGTGCAATAGCATTATGTCTAAAAATGTACATATCTTAATTTTTAAATACGTTATTGCTTCAAAATGCTAACAATCATATGAGCCTTCAGTGAGTCATAATCTTTTTGCTGATAGAGGGTCTTGCCTCAGTGTTGATGGCTGCCGATTGATCAGCGTGGTGATTGCTGAAGGTTGGGGTGGACATAGCAATTTTGTAAAGTAAGACAACAAAGAAGTTTGCTGCATCAATTGACTCTCCCTTTCACAAAAGATTTCTCTGTAGCATGTGATGCTGTTTGACAGCATTCCATCCACAGTAGAACTTCTTTCAAAACTGAAGTCAATCCTCTCAAACCCTGCTGCTGCTTTATCAGCTGAGTTTATGGAATATTCTAAATCCTTTGTTGTCATTTCAACAATGTTTATAGCATCTTCACCAGGAATAGATTCCATCTCAAGAAACCACTTTCTTTGCTTATCCATAAGAAGCAACTCCTCATCTGTTCAAGTTTGATCATGAGATTGCAGCAATTCAGTCACATCTTCAGGCTCTACTTCTAATTCTAGCTCTCTTGCTATTTTCATCACATCTGCAGTGACTTCCTCCACTGGAGTCTTGAACCCATTAAAGTCATTCACGAGAATTGGAATCAACTCCTTTTGAACTCCTGTTAATGTTGCTGTTTTGACCTCCTCCGATGAATCACAAGTGTTCTTAGTGACATCTAGAATGGTAAATTCTTTCCAGAAGGTTTCAATTGACTTTGCACAGATTGATCAGAGGAATCAGTATCTATGGAAGCTACAGCCTTATGAAATGTATTTCTTAAAGAATATGACTTGAAAGTAAAAATGACTCCTTGGTCCATGGGCTTCAGAATGGGTGCTGAGTTAGCTGGCAGGAGAACAACATTCATCTCCTTGTACATCTCTATCAGAGCTCTTGGGTGACCAGGTGCATTGTCAATGAGCAATAATATTTTGAAAGGAATCATTTTTTCTGAGCAGTAGGTCTCAACAGTGGGTTTAAAATATTCAGTAAACCATGCTATAAATAGATGTGCTATCATCCAGGCTTTGTTGTTCCATTTCTAGAGCACAGGCAGAGTAGATTTAGTCTGATTCTTAAGGGCACTGGGACTCACAGAGTGGTAAGTGAGTATTGGCTTCAACTTAAAGTCACCAGCTGCATTAGCCCTTAACCAGAGAGTCAGCCTGTCCTTTGAAGCTTTGAAGCCAGGCATTGACTTCTTCTCTCTAGCTATGAAAACCCTCAATGGCATCTTATTCCAATAGAAGGCCGTTTAATCTGCATTGAAAAATCTTTTGTTTGGTGTAGCCACTTTCATCAGTGATCTTAGCTAGATCTTCTGGATAACTTGCTACAGCTTTTCCTTCTCTATCAGCATTTGCTGCTTCTCCTTGCACTTTTATGTTATGGAGAGAGCTACTTTCCTTAAACCTGATGAACCAACTTCTGCTAGCTTTAAACTTTTCTTCTGCAGCTTTCTCACCTTTCTTAGCCTTCCTAGAATTCAAGAGAGTTAGAGCCTTGCTCTAGATTAGGCTTTGGCTTAAGGGAATGTTGTGGCTGTGTTTCATCTTCTATCCAGAACACTCAAACTTTCTATCAGTAGTAAGGCTGTTTTGCTTTCTTATCACTCATGTGTCTACTGGAGTAGCACTTTCAATTTCCTTTTAGAACTTTTCCTTTGCATTATTCAGACTTGGCTGACTGTTTGGTGCAAGAGGCCTAGCTTTTGGCCTATCTCAGCTTTCGACATGCCTTCCTCACTAAGCGTAATCATTTCTAGCTTTTGATTTAAAGTGAGAGGCATGAAACTCTTCCTTTCACTAGACCACCTAGAGACCATTGTAGGGTTATTAATTTGCCTAATTTCAATATTGTTGTGTCTCAGGGAATAGAGATGCCTGAGGAGAGAGAGAGATGGGAGAACAGCCAGTCAGAACTCAGATAACATTTATCAATTAAGTTTGCCATCTTATACGGGTGTGATTTGTGGTTCCCCAAAACAATTACAATAGTAGCATCAGAGATCAATGATCACAGGTCACCATAACAGATATAATAATAATGACAATTTGAAATATTGCTAGAATAACCAAAATATGACACAGAGACAAAAAGTGAGCATATGCTGTTGGAAAAATAGCACGGGTTGCCACAAACTTGAATTGGAAAAAAAATTGCAATATCTGTGAAATGCAATAAAGCAAAACGCAGTCGAACGAGGCATGTCTGCATATCCTATATGGAGCGCCTTCCTACTCACTGCCTAATCTGGGAATCTTATTCACGTATTTCTTATTCCAATCTGTGGCTTTCCCAAAAAAATGTTTGAGGCACCTAAGACACACCTACCACAGAACCCTTAAAAATAAAGAAGAAAAAATACATGTAGTATAATGAAGAAAAGAAATAGCTATACCCCAAACCCAGGTAAAGGATTCGCCTAGAATTGAGCACTAAATTTAGCCGAGCTCCCTGGCAGTCAGAGCAAAAGAGAAAATGTGAAGGGTTTTATGACTCATCATTTACTAACAGAAATGTAGACAGGCGTACTAGGAGACACCTGCTTGTTCTAAGCCCTGAAACACAAGAGGAATTTCCCACGTGGGATCCTGGTATTGCTCCAAGTCTAAGATGCTAATGGGAGAGGGTGAGAGGAGACCCCCGTTAGCCTCCGTATTTATTTACCATCTGCTCTCCAGGAGGAAGGCTCAGTCCACAGGAGCAGGTGCGATATGGGCTCCTGATTGGTCCTTCTGGGGACTAACATTCAGGTTTCCTGGCCTGTGGGACTGCAGGGGGCACTGTGGGACAGCACACCACACTCCCTAAGGCCTCCCCTAGGGCCCTCTGTACCTGCTGGTGGCCAAGAAAGGTCAGAGTCGCCAGATCCGGCTACAAGGGCACCTCCATGCCACCTCGCATGGTGGGACCTCTGCACGCGCTGCCTGCTGCTTAGGGGGCTTATGGAAGGCAATGAAGTCCGTTGTTCCCGAGGACAGTGAGACTGATCCAGTGCTGAGACCTCAGGCAAGATTCTTTCCCTCTGAATGGCAGCTCCTCATCTAGAGAGTGACATGATAACACCGCACTGGGCTGGCACGAGGTTTAAACGGGACAGTGCATGGGAAGCCCCGGAAGCAGGGCCTGCCCAAGACTCAGGAAGCTGTTGTCATCTCTTTTCTTGTTACCAGAGTTAGGCGGGAAAGTCGGCAGCTCTGGCTTGAGCCCCACTCATCGTGCGACCTTGGGTGTCCTTTCCCTCCCGACACCCAAGACAGGCAGGGGTCCACGTGGAAAACCCTGCAAGCATGGGGACAGGAAGTCCCCCTCACCTCGAGGACCATGTCTCTCACTGACTGGAGGCCACAGGGCTGGATCTTGGACACACCTGGACTCGTCCACAGGAAGCTGGCTGTGTGCTGCACTGGCGGTTCCCACCAGGCTGTCCTTGGCTCCTGGTCCCTTAACAGGCAAGTGGTAGCAGAAGCAGAAAGAATTAGAGAGAAAGGCCTAAAACTTAACACATTTCTCCCTTTAACTATTGCTCTGCTCACCTTCCCACCTCCCTCACCTCTTGGTAATTTGTGAAAAACAAAATTCTGTGTTTGGATGTTTGTTGTTTGTGCAGGGCCGCCTCGGCCAGCTCCCGGAATGCCAGTGTGCAAGGGAGCCAGCAGTCTTGGGGTTTTGCCCTGGATCTGGGGAAGTCCTAGGCACCTGGCCTTTTCTTCCACACCCCTCAATGTTGTCTTACTTCCTGGAGTGTGTTATTTTAAGAATGATGGAACTGCATCTCCAAGAGGTTACTAGGCCATAGGCATATGGTTCGTGGCCGAGCTGGGATTCAAACTCAGGTCTCTGGAGCCAAGTCCAGGCCTCCTTTCCTTCCACCATGTGGCCTACTTGCCAGCACCTACCGTGGTCCGTTAAGCATCAGACCTGCCTAGCATGTGGGTCTTATCTGGCCCCATGGATCCCAAATGCCAGGATTGGCTGGTGGCATCAGAGCCTCCTGGGGCACAAATTAAAGGTGAATTTCTGTTCCCACCCGTAACTACTAAGCCAGAGTCTCTGGGCTCTGCGCTTGGATCTCCCTTCAGTCACTCTCCCCAGCACTCTCCCTCCCCTGCCATCCTGCCCATCACACCAGCATCTGCCCACTCCTGCCTCCTTCGTTCCCCACCAACCACCTCCAGGGAAAGGTTCTTACTCCCAGCTCTCCTTTCTACCCTTCCAGGGGCATGGGTTTAGCCCCCACCAGGGCCTCCTTGTTGCTAAATCCAGAGACAGCTCCTCCGGCCCCATCCCACGGGATCCCTCTGAGGCCGTCTCCTCAGGGACACCCTCTCCCCTTTTACTGCAGGACAAGGGCTGGCCATCACTGGATATTGGTCACCTGCTGCTGGGCCAGGCTCAGCCTCACTCACACTGCATGGGCTGAGTGTGGGAAGAGACGGGTCTCTGAAGGACAATGGTGGTGTTTTGTGCCTCAAACTCCCAGGCACCTCCCAGCTCAGCAGTTCCCGTTCCATGACTAGAAGATTCTAGGCTTTTCTACATGATCCTAAACCTTTGGAGAGGACCAGGGCGGGAGGGTCCACCGGAGCTTCAAGGTGAGAGGCTCTGTGTGGAGGCTCAGCGGTGTGTCTGAACACTTCCTTCTTGCTCTCTGTGTATTATTTCAACTCACTGTTACAACCACTGGGAGGCAGACAATGAAGGCTCAGAAAGGGACAGTGACTTGACCACAGTCACCTGGTTGAGTCAGGCCTGAAAAGCAGGCGGGTGTGACGTCACGGTCCTGCCGTTTCTGCTCCAGCCACTACCTCCTCTGATGAGACTCCAGCTGCTTTGACTGGATCTTGAAGGCAGGTGGGCCTGAGGGATGAGAGGGGCCTGGAGGGCTGGAGGGATACTGCCTGAGCCAAGACTTGATAAGAAAATCGCCACACTGGAGCCCAGTGCTGATGCTCCTGGAGAACGTGGTTCCCCTCTCTGGTCCTGCTGAGTGCTCTGCACCCCTGGGCCACTCCCTCACCGTGCTGCGCCTTCGTCTCTCCATTCCCACCCGCCAGGCAGCTTTTGCAACCTCCCCCGAGGACCTCCTCCATCAGTGCTCTGGTCTTCTAATGACCAGGTTTCCACAAGCCCAAGGTGCCACCGATGTAAGACATGTGCGGATCCAGGAAGAAATACCATTCCGGGATGTGTGCATTTTATATGTTTCAACTTCCAAAAAAAAGATACGCATCTTGGGATGAAAGTACCATAGGAACCCCTGCCACCTCGGGATGGGCCAGCCCAGCTGTTGTGGGGGCTCTTTCTGGATATGACCCAGGTGTAGGGTCCAGAGAATGAATTCAGTGAGGTGAGCCGTTGTCTCTTTGGACGTCTGCGCCGGGACGCTGCCTTTTCTGGCTCTGGCTCTCCCCCTTCTCAGATTGAATCCTGGGATGGAAAGTGTCACTGTGGAGATGCAGGGGGCTCCTGAGCTGGGCCGGCTCAGCCCCCCACCCTGCCTATCACCTTCCTCCAAGTCCAGGACAGTCCCAGGGAAAGGGGCACACCCCTGGGCTAATGAAGGAGTGACCATCTCTGGCATAGAAAATGGTCAGGGCCCTGGGTTGAGTCTCGGCTCAGAGAACACGTGCCCAGAGTGCCCAGCCAGACCCTGGTTCCCTGGGAGATGGCCCGGACACGCACATGCACACTCACACCCATGCACTGCCCCCCACACACACTCCCCACGCACGCAATGCACACACCCACACCCACACACAGACCCCCACACCACCCCACACATGCAATACACACACACACACACAGACCCCCACACACCACCCCACATGCACATATACACACCCACACACACACACCCCCACACCACACCACACGCAATAACACACAGACCCCCACACATGCACAAATACACACCCTCACCCACACACACCCCCACACACCTCCCCACACATGTTCATATACACACCCACACCCACACACAAACCCCCACACCACCCCACACACACAATACACACACACACAGACCCCCACACACCACCTCACACATGCTTATATACACATCCACCTCCACACACACCCCACCACACATGCACATGTACACACCCACACCCACACACAAACCCCACACACCACACATGCACATATACACGCCCACACACACACACACCCACACACAGCAGCCCACACATGCACATATACACACCCACACACAGACCCCCACACAGCACCCCACACGTGCACATATACACGCCCACACACACACATACCCCCACACATCACCCCACACATGCACACACCTACACTTGCATAGCCCCCCACACACCACCACACGTCTCCATAGACACACACACACCCCCCCACAAACCACATATAGCCCTATATACACACACACAACACAAACCACACATAGCCCCATAGACACACACATACACACCACACATCACACACCACACATAGTCCCATACACACACACACACCACCGCACACAAAGTTCCATACACACACTCACACACACCACTTCATACCTGTCTCCATACACACATGCAAACACTCCATATGTGTTCCCCACACACCCCATACATGTCCACACACACACAAACACATCCCATATCTGTCCATGCACACACATGAATCACATACAGCACACGTAGCGACCATTTACACAAAACTTGTGCACAGGCCTAGAGTCAGGTTATGTAGACATGACACACCTACCCCACACTGACACTACCTACCCCGCTAACACTCCCCCCAGTGCAGACTTCCCCAAGCAGGCTGCCACACAGCCGTGTTCCTGGAACATGCTCACACACACTCTGCTCACACCCTCCACGGAGCACCTTGGGGAGCTCCTCCCGCCCACTGCCCCTTGCGCCGGTGCAGCATCTGGCACCCAGACGCTGCGCTCGGGGGCCAGGCCTCCTTTGCCTGATGGTGCAGGCATTTATTGACAGAACAAAAAAGGGACTGGACCCCTAACCATCCCATTTCCTCCCTGCCCTCCCTCCCATCCCCCAGCCGGCCCAGCACACTGTGAGCATTCCCGGCCCGCGGAAGTCCAGATGAGGCTAATTCAGTTTCTAAACCCAACTCAACTGACAATTTATTTAGGACAATTGGCCATCCCGCCTGCTCTGCATCACTGACTCCGCATGGATTAACTCAAAGGCTGCACACCCCCGCTGGGCAGATTTAATTAGGCGGAAAAACTGACCTGAAGCCTCTGGGGGCCTGGGGCCTGGATGTCAGCCAGGGCTCCCCTGATTAGCTATCACATGCCCCCACTGCCCGCAGCCCTGCCCTGCCTCAGAATCCTCAGAAAGGACCAATCCAACCCTCACTGCACCCAGGATGAAACTGAGGCCCAGAGAGGGGAAGCAACTCGCCAAGGTCACACAGCAAGTGAGCAGCCACACTGGAATGTTGGTCCCTGCACCACGTTACAGTCATCGCCTTGTTCCTGAAACGCCAGACTGCATGAACACAGCTCCCCAAGGCGAACCCCCGAACAGCTCCGATCCGAAAGGCAAGCACAATTTTCTAAAGATGACTGTGGCATAAATAATTCATAAATGAAAGTCATAGCACATATTGGTCATTTTAATAGATAGTAAATTGCCTTTCTGATTTGTGGTTTCAGGGGTGGGGTTATGGTAAAAATAACTTGGTGATTTATAAAACATTTTCTTAAGTCAACAGATCGTTAGTAGGTTTGTCTGACTTTACAGCCAACAGCTTCACCACCCTGGTTACCATAGAAATGGGATGCCTTGCTCTGTTGCCATGGCGACCACTTTCTAGAACACAATTGGTGGGTCTCTCACGGTTTGTGATTTGGTTTGGGGGGAGAAAAAGGCCAGAAACTACCAGTTTGGGTTTATGCCGCATTGTCAGACGATCTCGCCTGTGTTGTCTCGAAATTCTACAGGGTGGCAACTGCCATGGCCAGCCTGGGTGACAGTTGCCTGAGGGCTGCCCAGCAGAGCTCCCTTTGTGCCCCCTGTCAGGCCGGCAGCCCAGGAGGGACTGGCCTCCCAGCAGGCCTGGATCCTGGGTGTGGTGGGACTCAGCTGCTGCAGGCATGGCGTGTAGAAGGGAGATAAAGTCTGACAGGTCACACAAAATCAGGAAGCCCATGGGTGATGGGCACAGCCTAGGGTCGGGTAATCCGGGAGATGGCAGCCTGAGCAGAGAGGGCGGAGGAGGCAGAGGCAAGGTGGGCTGGAGCTGCCTGTCCTGCAGGAGGGGGACAGACACTGAGTCAGTTACACCTGGGGTCGGGAGAGAGAAGTCTGCAGGGAGCTGCCGGGGCACAGCCAGGGCCTCCATGTGCTCACAGTGCGTATGCTGTGCTGTTACCTCTGCTGCATTATCTGTGTGTGCCGAGTGTGTATGCACGAGTGGTGCGTGTGTGCGCCTTGCAGTGCAGCACCCAAGTGTTTCTGGTGGTGTGTGGCGATGTGTCTCCGCATGTGCTCCATGGGCTCCTGTGTTTACTGTGTGGTGGGGACACTGTTGTAGTTTGTGTGCCATGTGCACAGTGTCTGTGCTTAGGTAATGGATGAGACATGTGCTCTGCGTCACTGTGTGTGTTTGTGGTCTGTGGGTGACTCTTCCATGTCTCTAGGTGGCTTGGATTGGGAAGCAGATCACTCATGTGGGAAGCAGTCCCCTAATCTTGCCTGTGACCCTACAGCCCCGGGGATGACAGCCCAGGGTTGTCACATAGGCTTTTCTGAGGCTTACCAGGCAGAGGGTCCCTCTGCTGTTGACATTATACCTTGCTAGACAGGGGCAGTGTCCCCACCCATGGGGCTGCTCTTATTCCAGTTGCTAGCAGATTCTGGGCAATGAGGCCTAAGAAGCATTCAGATGTGGCTGGCTCCAGCATTTGGATCCAGGTAGCCTTGCTCTATCACTGGGGATAGGCACAACCTGCTCTTACGGATTCTGAGCTGTGCCTGTTAGGCTCCTAGACAGAGCCATTTAGACACAATCAGGGGGCGCTCTGCAGTGGGTGGGGCTGGGTTTTTAACTCCAGGAGCTTTGGCGACTCTGGAGGCAAGAGCTTAGGTTCTAGAGCTCAATACACTTGGGAGGCCGAGTCTGGCAGATCACCTGAGGTCAGGAGTTCAAGACCAGCCTGACCAACATGGCGAAACCCCATCTCTACTAAAAAATACCAAAAAAAAAAAAAAAAATTAGCCGGGCGTGGTGGTGGCACCTGTAGTCCCAGCTACTCAGGAGGCTGAGGCAGAGAATCGCTTGAACCCAGGAGGCGGAGGTTGCAGTGAGCTGAGATTGCGCCATTGCACTCCAGCCTGAGCAACAGAACGAGACTCTGTCTTAAAAAAAAAAAAAAATTAGCCGGCTGTGGTGGTGCACACTTATAATCCCAGCTACTTGGGAGGCTGAGGTGGGAACCCGGGAGGCGGAGGTTGCAGTGAGCCAAGATCACGCCACTGCACTGCAGCCTGTGTGACAGAGCAAGACTCCGTCTCAAAAAAAAAAAAAAAAGAAAAGAAAAGAAAAGAAAAGAAAGAAAAACACTTGGATCCAAGTCTCAGCCTCATCACGAGCTTTAAAACCTTGGCTTAGTCCCCGAACCTTTCTGTACCTGCATTTCCTCCTTGAAGCAATGGGGATATGGCCCCGTCTCACCAAGCTGGTGTGAGGACTGAAGGCACATAGTAGGTCCTCAAGTTTTGGGAGCTCTTTCCTTTCTCCAGCCAGCCCTGGAGAATGGACACAAGGGACCTGGGGCTTCGTTGCTCTTGCTCCGGCTGTGCCTGTGGCTGACCTCCCACTGGTCTAGACTTAGGAGGACACTGGGATCTGAGCAGGCTGAGGCATCTTCCTCCACAGCACTCTAAGCGTCCCTTGGGATTTGATGTTGCTGGGGCTCTGCCTGTAACAGAGGAAGATCAGGCCTCACAGTAGCAGAGGACAGGAAGGCAGGCGCCCAGGGAGCCTGAGCAGTGTGAGAGGCCTGGCCTCCACCTCTCCTGACTCTCCCTGGGGAAGGTGTCTTTGCACCTGGACCTGGCTTCTGCTGCCTGCTCCCCATCCTCCACTCCTTGGGCACTGGGGCCCAGAGAGGAAAGAATCTAGACAGGCAGTCCATTGGTCCCTGAGAAACAAAGACTTTTTACCATAATCTTATAAGGCCTGAGTTTTCCAATCAGGATCTGAACTGAGAGGAGCACTTGAGATGAGAGCTCTGAGGGCTGTGGGGTTGCCTGGGAGTTACCAGGCTCCTGGGACATCAGTGCCCTGTCTGGGCTGTTCCTGTGAGCCTCCCCATGCACTAAAGAGCTGGAGTCGGAGATGGGCTTGCTGCCTCCCTGGGGTGCATTTAGAGACTCCTGGGGAACTCCCTTCAGTTGCTGTCTCCTGTGGGCCAGGGCTGTGAAGGGGAACCTCACCTCAGGGGACGGGTCACTTAGTAGGGCCCTGAAGGATGAATGGGATTTTTCCAGACAGAGACTGGCAGGAGCACTCTCCAGCAGAAGGAATAGCAGGTACAAAACCACGGAGGTGGGGAGACACTCTGTGGTCAGAAATGGCAGAGAGCTGCACATGGCAAGAATGTTGGGTGCATGCAGGGAGAGGACCCTGGGAAATCAAATGAGGCCAGGACGTGGAGAGCCTCGTGTGCCAGGCTGGGGAATTTGGACTTTCTCTGTGGGCTGCATGGGCAGAGCTGGGATTCCAGTTGAAAGCACCCTCTGGTAGCCAAGACTGAAGTCTAAACCTGCTTTGATGGCAGTGACCCTGCCCGGAGAGAGTCCCATATGAACAGGGAGTACAGTGGAGAATGGATGTTGGTGGGGGGGGGGGCGGTTTGGGAATGGGATGTCCTGGCTGATGGGGCAGTGAGGAGGGGAGGTGCCTCCAGCCTTCAGCCAGGATTGAGAGCCAAGTGTGCAGTGGGCCCTGCCTCTTGGCACCGTTCGGTCATCCACAGTGTGCTTGTTCCTCTCGTCCCATACAAAGGCCAGGGCAGGGGGTGCAGCTGGGGGGCCTGCCCTGCCCTTAGGGAGTCTCTGGGCTGTGAACGCCAAGCTCCAGAATGCGGCCTTCTAGGGGGGATCTGAAGCCAGATACCCAGCAGACCAGGATGTGTGTTTTAGCTCCAAGAGCCTTGGCAACTCTGGTGATGGAGAGAGCTCTGGAGCTCATTAAACTTGCAGCCAGCATGGCAGCCTCTTCCCGTTGCTTCTACATTGTTTTCCTGGTCTACCTCTGTTGTGCTCCAGGTCTGGTCTTTCTGGATCTGGGAGCCATGGCTTTGAGCCTCTACCCTGCCTCTCTCAAGTGCGCCCACATTACTCTGACCTTTTTCCAGCCTCTTCTAGTTCATAGGGCTGAGGGTTCAGCTTTTCAGTCCACTGCATTGTACTTGTCTCTGAATGTATCCTTCACCTGAGCTAGGCAGGGAGCTCCCTGAGGCTGGAATGAGGCCTTATTCAACTCTGTGCCAGGCAGAACTTGGTGCCTTGTGAGGAATGGATGGATGGGTGCATGGGTGGTTGGAAGGGAGGGATGGAGGGAGGGACACAGGAAAGAGGGAGGGAGATAAAGAAAAAAGGAGGGAAGGGAAGATGAATGGATGTATGGATGGAAAGAAGGAAGGGAGGGAGAGAGAAAAGAAGGGAGGGAGGATGAGTGGATGGATGGGTGTATGAATGAATTAAAAAGGATGAATGGATGGCAGGGAAGGAGAAAGGAAAGGAGGAAGGGAGGATGATGTGCTGGTGAAAGAAAGGAGGGATAGGCCAGGTGGGGTGGCTTTCGCCTGTAATCCCAGCACTTTGGGAGGTCAAGGCAGGAGGCTTACCTGAGGCCAGGAGTTCAAAACCAGCCTGGACAACATAGAGAGACCCCATCTCTGCAAAATAAAAATAAATAAATAAATTAATTAATTAATAAAAATTTAAAAACAGGAAGGAGGGACAGATGGATGGAAGGAAGGAAGGCTGCATATGGACCACACTTGATAGTGGCTCAGGAGACAGTTTTCTGAAAATCGCACAATGCTCTGGAACCAACAGGACTAGTAGTGTCCCGTTGGCATAGCTTAGGCAGATCTCTTCCCGTTTCTGGGCCTCAGCTCCCCGTTCGTAGCATGTGGTGTCTCAGAACAGATCATATCTACAGGCTACTCTCACTCTGTCATTCTGAGATGCCAACTTTGTCACTTCCCTTTGCTCCCAGCTTCCCTCAACACAGAATGTGGTTTGGAAGGTCCACATAATTCTTGGTTCCCAGATCCCTGCCAGGTTGAGTGTCAGGCCCTGTGACCATGGTTAATCCAAACAAGACTGTTCTGGGACTTCCAGGGCACCCCCTGGGTGGGGGAGGGGCATCACTGCAAACAAGGCGGCCTCTAGGGGCAGCATGGCTGCCTCCTGCTGTTGACACAGGGCGCGACCTTGGCCCTCCTCCAAATGATCTATGAGGGCAGGTCAGAGAACAAAGGTGTCACGCCTTGCAGACTGTAGCCCGGAGCTGCCTTGTGGAGAAGGCACTGCTTTGGCCATGGCTAGGCAGGGAGAAGGGGGACCCAAAAGGGTGGGGTGCAGTGAGGACATGCAGGCGGGAGTGACTATCTGGGCCCCTGAGAGAGGGCTGACTGGCAGGGGCCCATCCACCCAGGGCAGGGCCAAGGGAGGCCACAGTGTGTTAGAGTCCCGGCGGGGCTGGCAGGAGACTGTGAGAAGAGACCTTGCCCCAGAATCCAGTCTGAGCAGGAGGGTTTGAAACTCAGAAAGCTGCTTGATTCTGTCTCCTCGGTACCCATGCCTGCTGCAGGCTAGAGAAGCCTAGGGGGTCATTAGATGAGGCCTCCAAACCAAACCAAAGGGTCTCCCAAACCTTTTTGCTGGGGGCTCAGGGCCAGAGCAGGTGGTTCTGGACAGGCAGGGTGATCCTGGCCATTTCCTTCTCATTGGTGCTGTCTGAGAGAGTAGGTGCCCACACATGTTTGGGAAGCCCCAGGCCTCCAGCAGCTTCTTCCTCCCTCCCACTCACACCCCTACCCTAGGGCTGGAAAGGAGTCAAGCAGAGCCTATGGATTATGGTGCCTTTGGGGATCCCTGGTGCAATTCTCCTCCTGATGCCTGAATCCTCAAACAGTCTCTCTCACAAAAGATCATTCAGCCTCTATTTGAGTACCTCCAAGGACAGGGAACTCATTACCATGTTGTGGTGCAAGTTCCTAGGAAGACA
Source organism: Homo sapiens (assembly GCF_000001405.40). Taxonomy (NCBI): domain Eukaryota; kingdom Metazoa; phylum Chordata; class Mammalia; order Primates; family Hominidae; genus Homo; species Homo sapiens. The sequence continues at coordinate 17,771,015 of NC_000011.10, forward strand.
GAGAGAGGGGGTACATTTTAAAAAGCTGTCTATGACCATGGGGAAGACATACATTTTTTTCAGCTCTAGGCAGGATAGAACCTGAAAGAGACCACATGAGGGAGGTACAGACCCATGGAAAAGAGCAAAGAGCCTGGAGTTGGGAGAACAAATGGAGATCTGGCCTCTGAGGGGCTTCATTCCACTCTAGCTGCCCCCTCTTATTTCTTTGCAAACTTCAGCCCCAGCAGGCTAGCTAAATGGGCAGGGTAGCTAAATGCCTTAACAAATCAGCTCCAAATCACAGTGACTGAACACAATGGAAATTTATTTCCCACTCAGGTAACAGTTCAATGTGGGTATGTGGCTGATGTCTTTCTTTTCAGGGACCCAGGCTCCTTCCCTCTGTAGTTATACTAGTTATTGGGGCTTCCACATCTAGCTGGCAATAGGGGGAAGAAGACAGCATGGAAGGCGGAGTAGGAGGGTTTTAGAGCCTGCCCTGACGGTCGTGCAGGCCCCCTGTGCCCTGAGGAGGGAAATGTAGCACGTGCTGCAGGGGGCCTGGTGCTGGCATCTCCCCCCGCCTGGCCCTGGGACTGGACAGAGGCAACCCAGGCTTCTCCACTCTGGGTGGGCCTCCCTCTGACACTGTGTCTTTATCCCCACAGTATGTGGCCTTCGCTTCCCTCTTCTTCATCCTGGTCTCCATCACCACCTTCTGCCTGGAGACCCACGAGCGCTTCAACCCCATCGTGAACAAGACGGAGATCGAGAACGTTCGCAATGGCACGCAAGTGCGCTACTACCGGGAGGCCGAGACGGAGGCCTTCCTTACCTACATCGAGGGCGTCTGTGTGGTCTGGTTCACCTTCGAGTTCCTCATGCGTGTCATCTTCTGCCCCAACAAGGTAGAGTTCATCAAGAACTCGCTCAACATCATTGACTTTGTGGCCATCCTGCCCTTCTACCTGGAGGTGGGGCTGAGCGGCCTGTCCTCCAAGGCAGCCAAGGACGTGCTGGGCTTCCTGCGCGTCGTCCGCTTCGTGCGCATCTTGCGCATCTTTAAGCTGACCCGCCACTTTGTGGGCCTGCGGGTCCTGGGCCACACGCTCCGAGCCAGCACCAACGAGTTCCTGCTGCTCATCATCTTCCTGGCCTTGGGCGTGCTGATCTTCGCCACCATGATCTACTACGCCGAGAGGATAGGGGCACAGCCCAATGACCCCAGCGCCAGTGAGCACACGCACTTTAAGAACATCCCCATCGGCTTCTGGTGGGCCGTGGTCACCATGACGACCCTGGGCTATGGAGACATGTACCCGCAGACGTGGTCCGGCATGCTGGTGGGGGCTCTGTGTGCGCTGGCGGGCGTGCTCACCATCGCCATGCCCGTGCCCGTCATCGTGAACAATTTCGGGATGTATTACTCCTTAGCCATGGCTAAGCAGAAACTACCAAAGAAAAAAAAGAAGCATATTCCGCGGCCACCGCAGCTGGGATCTCCCAATTATTGTAAATCTGTCGTAAACTCTCCACACCACAGTACTCAGAGTGACACATGTCCGCTGGCCCAGGAAGAAATTTTAGAAATTAACAGAGCAGGTAGGAAACCTCTTAGAGGCATGTCGATCTGACCTTTCACCTCTGCCCCCTGTAGCGATGATTCCAGATCCAGTCAGACTGCTTCCTTAGTTCCGTGGGTGACCCCGGACCCCGCACTCAGTCTGGAGGTGTGGAGCCTGGGGGCCCAGGGAGATGCTGGGCGGCCAAATTCAGCAGGCAAGAGCCTGCTAGAGGAACCTCACTGGTGCCCCTGGGTAAGGAGGTTGACGCGGTTGGTCTCGTGATGTTCTGAAGAGACAACGCGGCCCGCCAGGTTGCTGAGGACTAACTTAGCAGGAGCCAGGGGGGCTCTGCTTGGTGGGGCAGGAGTCCGGTGTGAGTCTCTGACTCAGGCTACTGACCCGGTGTTGGGACAGAGTGGGGGCGGGTGTGATTTGGAAACGCTAGACAGCCTTTGATCTGGTCCTTACCATGGCTCCCTTCAGGCTGTGTAGATGGCAGAGATGGTGCATGGGATCTGGGCAGGAGGGTCCCTTGCAAAGGCAGGTGCAAGGGTTCTCACCCCCGGCAGAGCCTGTCTCCATAGCTGAGTAGAATTCCTGCCCTGATTTCGGGCTGCCCAGCTCGAGGTCCTTCCCAGGAGACGCCTGTAGCCCTCCGTGACAAGCTTACTTACCCCATAGCATGCTGAACCAACTCATCTTCTACCACCACTCTAGAGTTTAGCCTTTATCTTTAGGAACCTGTTGAAGTGACTCTAGCTTTCACGTTGTCTGTTTGGGTTGATGGTCGAGTGGGAGTTTCCGGTGACCCGATGGAAGCGGCTGCCGAGCAAAAGACTAGAGGGGGCCACCACCCTGGGCAGCTTAGATGAAAGCGCTACAGACCAGCAACAGCCTCCCACCGAGGGTTCTCCCCGTTTCCAGCGGTAGGGACTGCAGCAGCAATATAGACATCCCAACCAGTGTACAACCACTTTCCCGTGAATTCACTGGGGGCCGGGAGGGGGGAGGGGGGCATGAAACAATACTAGTCACCGTGGGATATATTCTAATATTCCATGGCTAGTGGTTTGTTATGGGACTATCTCAGTTTTATGAGAACCTGCACATAGCACATAAAGTTGATCATGGGGCTCTGGTCCGAAGATATAAAGCCCATAGTCTACCTCTACCCATGGAATACCATCGACTTATTCTGTGGACACAGGGATTTCAAAGGAACAGATGACCCAGAGAAGAATGACAGCACTGAGTAAGAAGGAGTGCCAGGTGAGCAGGAGGTTGACGTGACAGGTGGCATTTAGTCTATGAAGGACCTCCCCATGCCCAGGTCTGGCAGGAGGCTGCTGGCTAGCTCAGCCCCAGGTGGGGAAGTTTCCCCCTGGTTTGGGTGGCCTCCCCCAGTGGATGATTGATTTTCTTCCCTGCTATCGCGCTCTCTGACCCACCACCCCATCCCAATCCTCTTCTGGCTTTACCCCACAGCTATGCTGGCCCGAGCACTACCCTCAAGGCCCATTTCTTTGCCCATGGGGGTTTCCCGGTCCTTTCACCCTGCCGCATACCCTTCCCTTCCTGGGATTTCTGTAGGTGCCTGAGAGGAACATGGCCAGGGGTCTCCGAGGCTGAAACAGCTCCGAGCTCTCTGCTTTGGATTAGCTAGTTACTTGATTTCAGGAGCTACCAACAGGGCTCTGGGCCTCTAGGAGGAACGCGTGGGCTGGCCCAGGCCCCAGCTTCCATGTGGGCCTGGCAAGAAGAGCTCAGCCTGAGTGGCATCACTGTGGCACTACCTGGCCCTTCCCCTGCATCCTCCCCGACACTGGATCTTTCAGGAGTGTTGCCCCAAGCACAGGTGCCCTGGGCCAGCCAGTCAAGAATCCCCAGTGCTCTCCAGGCAGGCCCAGATTCCTCTGTACTCTTGGACAATGACAGTATTATCCTGTGCGGAGTCCCCCTGCCCCCCAGGGAGTGCAGATGTGTTTGTTCAGACATGCACACCAGCTAATCCCAGGACACAAAACCTGTAAAACCCATGCACTCCTGTGGGATTGCCCCTGAGCTCCACAGTCTCTCCCCAGCCCTGCTTTTGAGAGCCACTTTGCCCTGGTCCCAGGTTTCAGGGGCCCAGACAGTTCTGGCTTGGACAGTCTCTGTGGCTGAGGAAGTATTTGGGGCCCTCACAAGCTTGCCCTCTGGAGCTTGGATGCCTGGATCCCTCCTGCCTCCCCCGTCACCAACTGTGCTCCCAAGCCCTTCCCAAGCACTCACTTCCCGGTGGTGTTGGTGCTGTCCTGATATCCTGACCCCCGAGGCTCCAGCCTCATCCCTCACCAGAACACTTCTCCCTCCAAAAGCTGGCGTGTGAGACCCCGGCTATCCGCCACCAAGAGGAGTTGCGGTCTTTAGGGGCGTTGTCCCCACCTCTGCACCCCAGAGTTCTTCCCATTCACCTTTTTTCCTGCTTGCAGCCATGCACCTAGATGGGCATAGGGTTGGGGTGAGTTTGTGGGAGAGTGAGGGGGAGGCCAGGGGCAAGGAAGGTAAATGTGGTGGCCCCACAGGAATTGTGAGAGATGAGATGCAGCCCCCCAAGGCCTTTCCAGTCTCACTGTACCCCCAAGGCAGTCTAGTGGCCTCGCCAAAACCTGAGCTTCTCCAATTCCACTTTTAAAACCAGAGTTAGGGGCTGTGTGTGGCACGCTGGGTTCTGAGGGCATCCCTCCCGCCCCCCCAGGCCAGCCCCCAGTGGTGCCAGCAGCACCTGCCCCTCACCTCCACCTCTTGGTCTCGTCTGAAGCCTCAGTCTGTGTGTCTGTCCCAGGGACAATCTGGTCTCCTCCTGTGTGCTGTGGCTGGCATGGCCTCAGTGTCTGAGGGCTTGTCCTGGGAGGGGTATCAAGAATCCAATTCTCACCTGGTTGTAGGACCTCTTGGGGGATGCTAGGAGGGCGCCCTGGCACAGCCAGGGATTGCCTAGGGCTGAGGGGCCCAGGAGAAGCTACTTCTCTCCCAGAAAGGGGCTCCCTCCTGCATCTGCAGTCGGATGCCCAGACCGCCCACTCTGGACAGCCCACAATGCCTCCTCCGTCCTGCCATGCCCATTCGCATGTGTCTTGTCCATCTCCGCTCCTGTGATGTGGGTCAGTCCTTTGTGGTGCCGCGTCCAGGGCTGCAGGGTCCCACGTCAGTGAGCAGTGGGTGGCCGGTGGAGGGGGTGGTGGTGGCCGGGCTCCCTTCCTGCCCATGGCACCTAGAACAGCAGTGAGGTCTCAGAGAAGCCCCCGCCTGGGCTCCCTGGGAGCTAACCTTGCAGCCTCTGGGTTATCTTTGGCAAAGGGGTCTAAAGTCCCCTATCCCCAGCCCCTCTACTTCCCCTGCTGGGCAGCAGTGGCTGCCCAGTGAGTGGTGCTATCCATGGAGGGGGGAGGGAGCTGGGCAGCGCTGACTAGGCGGCGGGTGGGGCTAAGAGAGTTTCTGCAGGGACCCAGCTGCAGGGTCAGCAGCCTGTGGGCCCTGAGTGGGGTCTTTGTTGTCCTCAGGTGGGCTGTGGGGGAAGTAGCGGAGAAATGAAGTGACGCCAGGGGCCAGGCATGGGTGTTCTTTTCCGTGTTGTTCACATTTTCTCTCTTTCTCTCTCTCTCCACTAATCATGTTTCTCTCTCTCTCCTCGTTTTGTTGCATGACTTGTGCCGGTTCTCGTGATTGTTCCCTGCTCGTGTCTCACAGACTGTCCCCATTTAGCCTGAGACTTTTTTCCTGAGTCCCCAGCTGGGCAGATCCCTCAGGGCTAAACCCAAGGAAATGCCCAGCAACCCCCAACCCACCCCAGCCCCGCGTGCGCCCCTCCGGTGCCCGCAGCTGGTGTGAACAGTAAGTACTTTGGCGGTGCCTGGAGACCAGGGCAGAAAAGCCAGCTGTGCTGACTGAGGGCCCAGCCTCGGGTTCTCCTTGCTCCAAAGTTTAAAAAAAAATGACCCTCTCGCAGATGCTCATCTCAGCCCATTTCAAGCCTGGAAACCATCTCTGAGACGCTGCCCATGCTGCCATTTCATCACTGCAGGCCTGTGGGTCTAGTGGGGGCCTGGGGGCCCTGGGCTGGGGGAGGCAGGGCCCCCAGCCTCTGGAAAGCAGGTGGGAATGGAGGCTCCTAGCCACTATCTCATCCAAAGGATGGGGCAGGGGCGGGGGCTCACACCTTTGACCCTATTCATGGGTTCCCCAGATTTATACAGTTGGCCCCTCGTTGGTTTCTCTTTCTTCAAGCCACCCCTCTGGAGTTGGGGAGGGAGAATGCCCCAGTTTCTGAAAGCATCTTAAACCATAGATAGACGAACAGCCCAGGGGCCTGGGCCCCTTCACAGAGCAAGACTTAAGCTTCCCCACCCAATCATTAGTCCCTCCTCAAAGGTTAGGGTTGAGAGAAGCAGTAGGCCCTAGGGGTGTCCCGGGAATCCCCCAGGAGGGAAAGGTGCCAGGCTATCATCCCTCCAGGGATCCCTGATGGATGTTCCTTGTCCCCTGCCCAAAACCATCCCGAACTTTGGGCCCTTTAGTGATTGTGAGAGCTGGGAGCCCCCAGGGCCTGGGGGCTTGTGGACAGAACCAGTGGGCGGGGGCCCAGCATTCAGAGCCAGAGAAGGGTCTCAGGCGGCACCATCTCCACAGAGGCAGAGGCAGAGAGAAGGCACCCCCCTCTGACCCACCCCTCCCCAGGCAAGAACTGCAGGCTGTGGACACCTCCCCTGGCAGAGGATGGCCAACAGAGACTCAGCAAGTCCTCACTCCCCTCCCAGAAGGAGACGCTGCCTGGGAGGACCCACTGTTCTCCCCTTGAGGAAAATCCATGCAGGGTGCTATGGGCCTCAACCCCCACATCGTCATCCGCGTCCTCTCCATACTGTTTCCCTCCCCTCTCCCAACACCCTCCTCCCTCAGCCCGGAGACCCTTGGATGGAAGACTGGGCCAGCCAGAGTGGGAGGCAGGACCAGCGTGTCTGCGAGCACACGTGTGTGCCTGCAGACATGCCCCAAGACCCCAGAGACGCCCCGGCCCCAGTCACATGGTGTCAGAGTTACCTTGGCAACTGGCCTTTTTGGTTCAGAGTAAATTGGGAAGTGAAGCCCCTGGGATTTGTCGAGAAACGCACTGTACGTGAAATGCTTTGCCATCTTGTACGAAAGACTTTTTTTTTAAGTTCCAAAATTATGATGGGATTTTTTTGGATTTGCTTTACGAATAAATCTGATTGGTCCATTTCTCTTTTGACTGACTGCCTCTTTGTAGTGACATGATGTGTACACGGGCGGTAATCCCACCCACGTGCACGCCCAGCGTGTGCACGTGGGGAAGGATCACTTCTGCGTGTAGTTACATGATGTGAACAGGATCACGGGAGAGTGTTCAATCGGGTGGACATTGTCTCCAGCCTTTTCCCCCCACTCTACTCTTTCAGAGAGCCTCCCCTGACGTGGTCGTGCCCAAGTTGGTTTCCCTCTTCCACAAAAGGGCTTGTGCTTGAGGCTGTCACCCTAGATGAAGTATTGGAGTTGGCTCCACCCTGGCCAGGAAGATTCTGCTTTGAGGGCAGAGAGTTTGGGGCAGGTTCGGTCCTCAAGAGTGATGGGATGGGGGCAAAGGCCAGTCAGGGCTACCTCTGTCAGCTCCAGAGGCTTCCACGGCTCTGCTCCGAGATCGCAGAGAGACAGAGCTCCTTGCTCTGGCCAAAGTTTGCCCCCCACCAAATGTGCTCCCAGACCTCCTCCCAGGCTTCTTCTCAGGCTGCCACAGAGGCCAGAACTCCAGTTTCCCCCACCCAAGTCCATCAGCCGCTGTTGTCTTCTACACATTCATCTGCCTTGCTTTGCCGGGGACACTGACCAGAGGGGACAGAGGAATGGGAGCCCCTCCCAAATCCATGTCCTGCTGCCACAGCCTCATGCATACATCCTTGTTGTGCCTGTGCAAGCTGACCAGGCCTGCTGGGGACAGCATGGAGTGGAAGACACTGGCTTGATATGTGTGGGGACCAGAGCAGACTGAGTGATCAGCTTGGGTCCGTCCATGTGGGGGACGGAGCAGATGGAGTGGTCAAATTGGGTCTGCATGGGCAAAGAGGAGACTGTGTGACCAGGACTGGTCTGTATGGGGGGTCGGGGCATAGAGTGACTGGACCAGGTCTGTGTGGGAACAGAGTAGACTGTGTGACCGGGCCTAGCCTGTATGGGGAACAGGGCATACAGAGTGACCCGCTTGGGTCTTTATGAGGTTGGGGTCGGGGGGGTACGGGCGCAGGCTGAGTGATTAGATGGGGGGTGGGGGTGGTGTGAACCAGGTGATCAGATGAGATCCAAATGGGAGATGGGGTAGAGTAGATGAGATGGTCTGTATGGAGCTAGGGAAGCCCGAGCAACTGGCTGGCTGTGGACGGGAGGCAGCCGGGCTCTGGTCAGCAGCAGAGGGGTCCGGAAAGGCCCCTCTCTGGACTGGAGTGTTTCTGCGTGTCTGTCTGTCTTCTCCCTGAGCTCTGTGTCTGGCTCTCCCCCATGACTGCATCCACACCATCCTGTTTCATCGGCCCTGCTTGGGGCCCGGGGCCGGCCCCCAGCACCACACCTGCTGGATCCATCACCAACTCATCTTTTTGCAAACTTTGAGCAAACCCAGGAGTCCCCACTCCCAGCACTGTGGGCAGCCCGAAGGCTGCCTGAATGAGCTGAACCCCCCACCAAGCCCCCTGCCTTGTGCCCTCCTCGCTCCACAGCCTGCCCGCTTTTCCGTCCTCAGGGACGCTCAAGCTGCCCTCTGCCAATACCCCGCTTCTGGCCTGTCCCCCCCTGCCCCCCACTAAACAGTTTTCAGTGTCTCAATAGCTTCTGCTTATATGTTTGAAGATTCCAAACTGAATGGGGAGGTGGCGAAGGCCGCGCTGGCGAACGAAGACTGCCCCCACATAGACCAGGCCCTCACTCCCGATGAGGGCCTGCCCTTTACGCGCTCGGGCACCCGCGAGAGATACGGACCCTGCTTCCTCTTATCAACCGGGGAGTACGCGTGCCCACCTGGTGGAGGAATGAGAAAGGGTATGTAGAGGAAGCTGGAGCACCGTGCATCGTCCGGGCCGCCTCGCGCTCCTGCAGATGGGTGGGCAGGGCGGCGGGCAAGGGCGCTGAGGGGCAGGCAGGCACACCGAGGGGGGCAAGGATGGAGGGAATCTCCCAGGGTCGGCCCCTGGAGGGCTGAGGCCCTTCCCCCCAAGTGAGATGTCAGGCTGGCAGAGAGAACTTGAGGCCCTGGCAGCTGTGGGTTGCTGGGAGTTGAGAGGGGATTGGACAGGTTGACTTTAGGCCATGACCCCAAGGCAGGGGTACCCAGGAATGCAGGAGGAGCCTTGACTCCCCCAGGCTGCTCTTGCAGATGGCAGGTCAAGTCCCAAAGGCAAAGTGATCTCTCCTCTCCCCTGATTGAGGAGGGCAGTGGAGTGGGCCAGGACCCTGTGAACTTAGCTACACAAGATCCGTGTTCTTGGCATGGAAGAGGCATCCTTGAAAGATAATCAATCCACAAGCCAGAGGGAGGAGAGGCAAGAAGAGAGAGATGTCTTCAGGGCTTGGGGGTAAGGCCATTGTCCTTGCAGTCAGAATATTGCTAGTGGCAGATCGAGAACTTGCCAAGAGAAGGTGGTTGAGCAGGACGGTCCTGCCCCTTCCATCCGCAGCACCCACAGGCCTCTGCCCAGGGTGTGGTCAGCACCCTCTTGTGGTTGGCGAAGGCTGAGGCTGCTGGTGGCCCCTGCTCCAGGTCTCTTTGTAGTCAGCACGCTAGGCTGTCCCCACTGGAGAGAGAGGCTTCTCCTAGAGCTTCAGCACCGGCCGGGGAGAGGCTTGGGGTGGGGGCCCAGGGCGCCCGAGCTCAAGGCTCCAGGCACTGGCCCGGACCTAGAAGGCAGAGGGCACCTTTCTTGGTGCAGCAGACTGGCTGGGCAGCTCGTGCATGTCTTGGAGTGCCTCACACGTGCACACGGATGCATGCTGAACGGGGTGAGCAGGCTGGGTCAGAAGAGGAGCTGGGTTTTTGAAAGCAACAGTTGGTGCAGCCTATGGTCATTCACAACTGCTCCAGTATTTGAAGTGATTAAACCACACGCAGGAGAAAACAGAATGCAAAAGCAAAGGCAAACCTAGAAGAGGAGAGGCAGCCCGCACGGAGACGAGGGAACGTGGTTCTGGTCACTGGTGCTTAGTTGTGCCCACCTGGTCTAGGCTGGTCTCTGCTTCTCTGCCCTGCCCAGAGGTCCTTTGAGCCGGGGCACGGTGCGCAACTCCCCGCATGGTGCTGCATGGCGGAGGGCTGCCAGCCTTCGGGAGGGTCCCATCCTTGGCACCGGCCATGGATGGGCCTGATGTTCCCCTTTGCGACTGGCTTTTTCCCAGTTGGAGGTGCTAGAATGCCCAGAAGCAGAATGCCCGAGGAGTGAGGGGAAAAGCAGGTAGACGGTTCCCAGTGTCTGTGCCCTGCCCAGTAAGCTCTCGTGGGCTTTCTGTCTCCATCATCTTGAATGTTAGACTGATTGGTGTGGCCCCAAAGAGCAGACAAGACAGTCTCTTTACTGTGGTGCCAGAAGCACAGAAGGGAGTGTGGGACAGGAACAGCGCTGCTCCCTGCAGTGGCTGGGAGTCCAGCGGTAAGCACTGTCCACAGGAGATACCCATTCCTCAGTCCCACCGAGGCTTAGGTGCCAGAGTCTTTGGGAGGCGCTAAGGGTGAAGTGTCCCCACCTACATCCATTCGGCCCGCGCTCTCATGGAGCCACGACAGCCGCCGAGGACTTGTTTTTCTCAGGCTAATTCTGAGCCAGAAGGCATGCAGGTGTGTGAGTCAATGTGCAGAGCAGAAGTAGGGACTCATCCCATTCCCCCAGGAGGGAGAGAAAGAGGCGTGCTAGGCTGGCTCAGTGCATGGGCAAACCAAGCCAGCTGGAGAAGAATCTGCCTGCCTCTGCATGCGGCTGTTCTGTCTTTCCTCCTCCTTCTTAAAAACTAAGTACCAAGCGGGATGGGAGAGCCAAGAAGAGAAGCTCAAGTGTTAATTGTATTCTTTACATACAGATCTTTGCAAAGAAAGCCCTGTCATTGCTAAGTATATGCCGACAGAGGCTGTGAGAGTGACTTGACCAGGCGGCTTGGCCGAGGACACTGGTGGCTATTAAGCATCTGGGTGGACCTGCAGCCCCTCCTCACCCTCGGACAGAGTAAATTCACGCCATGCAGGTTTGCCGGACGAGTCCGAGTGGCCCAGGCATTGTACTAGGACGGACGTAGCTTTTTCTACGGCCAAATGGTAACTGACCGTAGAGGATTTCTTTTCCTTCTTTTCATTTTTTAAAATTTTATTTTATTTGGGGAGGGGGGGTGGAGGGGCTCCTTAGCATGACTTGCATGAAGTTAAACAGAAAACCCAGCAAACCAAACCCACCAACCCCCTGCAACTGTATGATTACCCTGAACAACAATAATGAAAAGAAAAACATCAAAGCCCTCTATTTTCTTTCAAAGCTCTTGACTTTCACACACGTTGTTGGAGCCAAACTGTAACGGCGTTCAGTAGAAACCTGTACATTTCTGGGGGTGAGGGGCGAGGGGAGGAGGGACAGAGATGGGGAATGGATTGCTTCCTTTTTGTACACAAGATCAAGAGGAAAGCTTCCAAAAAGGGCAGTCGGTCAGTCATCGGTCATATTGACCTCACCTTCATAGTTCATCTCTCACGTGGAAACTGAGAACTTTGCTCCAAATAGAATTGTGGAAACTCGCACGGCTGCCTTCTTCCCCGTTTGGCATGCTTGTGACCCAGCGGATGTCTCCCCAAGACCCCTGACAGCAGCTAGTCTAGGTTGATTCTCTCATCTTATCGGTGTGTAGATCCAGTGTGACCAACTTTCATAACAAATTGTTCATAGTAAATAATCACCACCGTATGGATTTTCCAAGTGTTCCATTAAAACCAGGATGTAGAGCACCAAAAGATCAGGACCACGGGAGGAGCAGCCTCCTCCACCTTTACTAAGGCACAACCTGGCATTGTATGCAATTTAGTACTTCAGAGTAAAAACCTGCATGCCCAATGTTATGCAAAGCGATTCTAGCATGAAATAAATTTTGTATCATGGTTTCTGTATAGTCTAAAGCAGATTTGTTTTCCTGAAGCAGTCGGAGGTTTGCAGAGACACACTTCTGCATCTCGAATAAATATAGTATTTTCCCAACAGAAACAGAGGACAGTAGCTTGGCTTTGGTCTGATTCTAAAATTAGTGGGGTGGGGGGGAAGGATGATATTTTTGAAAAACACATGCTTGAGTTGAAAAAAATGCAACATCTCAAGCTTTCACTGCAGCTCACAACATTTCCTGGAAAGAGAGCAATGATGCTTTAGCTCAACAACCTCCCCTCCCTGGGCCCTGGCCCCCAATAATAAAAAACTGACTTTTGAGATGAAGCATGAATTTGGGTTTTTATTGCCTTCAGGCAGTGTCGTGATTCTGGTCTGGGCCTCTGGTCCCCTGTGGCTGGGCTGGGGGTAAACCTGGGCCCTGGCTGCTCTGGTCTCAAGGATCCACCCTTAAGGTGCTTGTCCTCTTGCTGGGGGAAAGTCAGGCCCTAAGGAAAAAGTTGTCCTCTGCAGATTGGTTGGGCAGGGTGGCCCCTTGGGCTGCAGATCCTGTTGGGTCAGGGGAGGGAGGCAGCTTTCAAAGGCACAGGGCTTATAAGGACCTAAGACCAGCAATTCCTCTAGGGGGTTCACCTGACCAGGAAACTTCTCCATGAATCATGCCATACTGATGGGTCCTTGAATCGGGCCATGTTAGAGCTCCCAGCCCCTTATGCAGACCGTGGTCACCTCACTTCTAGGGCCATTCTTGACTCTGATGAAGCCAGAGGTAGGGTTTGACTGTCAGATCTGGGTGCCCTACCCAGCAGAACCCTTGCCAGGACAAGTCTGAGGGATGCCCTCATCACATACCCCTCTCTCGGCCTGGAGGCATCTTGGGAGGGGTAAAGCCCTCTCCTAGGGATCGTGACTGTCTTGGGTTGTTCACTTGGTTTTGGTGGCAAAGTGGAGGTTTGGGGTTCCAATTCTTTTCTATCCATTAGAGACTTCAGGAATGTTCAGGTGGAAAGCGTCCATAATGGTCATGAGAGTCAATCTATGAGCATTTTCCAGATGAGGAAATGAGGCCCAGAGAAGAGAGGGATCTGCCCAGGGCCACAGACAAGTAGGTGTCAGTCTTCCCCTGATTTTTTTTCCCTTGATGCCTCCCAGCATGGCATGAGTCCATGATCAGATGGGTGGGTGGGAAGCTTCAAGTGTGTATGAAATTCTCATCTAACAGTTTTTCATCATCTCCAAGCATTGGCCTCAACTTCCTGATGCCCCATGCAGTCCAGGAAACAAGGGGTTGGGGTCCGTGGAGTAGTGAGTACTGTCAGGCCTCTGCCCGGGGCCCCTACCAGGGCTGCCACCACCATTCATAAGCATCAGGATGCACAAGCCAAGTAGCCTCCGCTGCTGCAGGGAGGGTAATATCCACTCTACTTAGGGATCCACAAGCAAAGAAGTGCCCTGGTGGACTCAAAGTGGGACTCAGCAAAAAGCCGTTAGGAATATGGGTTTCCAGGGACACAGCAGCTAATGGGGAAAGGGAATTAACATGAACTGAGTATCTACTACATGCGGGCATCTTACACACGTTATCTAATGACAGCTCACAATCACCTAACAGTCCCATTTTACAGGTGAAACAAGGTGCAGAGAGGTAAAATAATGGCCCAAAGCCACAGAGCCAATGTGTGACAAAGCCAGGGTTTTAACCCAGGTGGTCGGAATCCAGAGCTCAAGTTACAACTGTCTCAAGCTACTTGAGGCCTTCAGGGGCTGGCCATTAGGGGTGGAAATGATAGGAACACTAGAGTGGCTGGTCCTAAATCCCAGGACCTCAGGACCTGGCCTCCTGCCCTACTTCATGAAGTGCCATGAATGTGACAGGAGGGAGCCACTTCTGATCGTGCCCCAAGCCTCCCCGACACACAGCTGGCCAACCTCACTCTCCTGCTTAAACACCTCGTTGCCCTAAGATTGGAGTTTCAGCTCCTTCAACTAGCTGGCAAAGCCCACTGCCTCACCAGCCGCTCCTCCCTCCTCCCTCCGCACTGCAGTCACTCTGAAATTCTGAACTTGTAGCAGTTGCACGGACCCGCGCCCTCCCTCTATCACCCCCACCCCTAACTAACTCCCTAACTCCCAGTTTCAATTGATCACGAAGTCACTTCACCCAGAAGTGGTGGATGCCTGGGGCTGATGAGAAGGCTTTAAGCCTGAGCCCTAGGCCTGGATTCACCATTCCTAAGCACAATCTCACCCAAGGCTGATCTCATGGCCCTCACAACCCACCAGGGCCAAGGGTGGTGGGGGTGTCAAGGGATGATGGGGTACTTGTGTTCAGGAGGGGAGGGTGAGTATGGTAGTTAGGGAGGGAGACGTCCCACCAACATCTGGTCTGTGCTTGACCTTCAACCATCACTCCAGGGGCCAGGCCAACGACCAGGGAGCACAGAATGGGGCCTGCTCCCCTCTTTCCCTTCCTTCTCACACAGGAGGAATATGAAGACTGATTCACTTAGTTCACTGAAGAAAAGTAGTTTTTAAAAATGAGTATTTTCTCAAATAGCCACAGTTCTTACAGCACATTAGCTTACCAGGTGAATGATGTTGTCGTAAATTGACTGTCAAATGGTTATGATATTTGTAAAAGGGCTAAAAGTAAAGGATGAATAGTGACGAGAGGATCAGAGAGCCCACTCATTTAACCTCCCCCCTACGGTGGGTGGGGTGTACTGATGAATTAATTCATGGGCATTTATTGGGCACTTCCTCCATTCCAGGACCCCTCCTTGGCAAAGGGGTTCCAAAATTGACCAAGACCTGGTCTCTTGCTCTCAAAGAGCTCACAGGCTATTAGGAATGAGGGGCTTGGACATCTACAAAGTCTGAGAATAACCAATAGCAATCAAAGGGTGCAGAAAAAAAATCTGGGAGACATTGTCAACACCTCCTCACTCATTATCTGATGAGTGCTTTCAGACACTCATCAGATTCAGCCAGTGAAGGAGCATGGAGAGCGCCCATCTGCCCAACACTGCTGTCGGGAAAGGCAAAAATGGAGGAACTCAAGGTGATGGGATGGTCTATGATGTCTTCTAGTGCCAACAGCCATTCATCCTTCCACATGTGGATTATCTGCACCTGTCTGCTTCTAAGAAGGGTTTGACTCAGTTCTGAGAGTCTGAGGTTCTGCATCAAAGGGCTCGGGCTAATGCACCACCTGATCCTGTTTCAGGCTGGGAAGGAACTCTGAGACACTTCTTTTTGGTGCTCACAAGGAGGTCATGGGAGAGGCATTAGGACTCAGCAGCAGAGGCCTTGGGATTTTGGTTTCTTCCAGCAGGTGCTGAAAGAGGTAGGAGGGAGCTCTGAACTGGAACCTTGTGAGAGAGAGTGCGTTGGTTCTTTGTGAGTAGTAACTGTTCAGGCAGTACGGGCCTGAGTGCTATCCGGTGTGGGATTGCTTTCTGGCCTGTGTGTCTGATACAGGCCTTTAGGACAGTGGGTGGTGGGCCAGTGTCCTTGGGCTTGCTCCCATATGGATCACCTCTGGGCCATCTGACTGCTCCATCTCTGTGGTTTGTTTGGTCACCTTGGCAAGTCAAGCTCCGAGTGCATGGAGATATCCTTCTTCCCATTCCTCAAGTTCTTGGAGACTGTACTGGCCTCTATTGGTCCTGAGAGGTGGGGAACCAAGGGATTTGCTGGCCAGGGCAGCCATGTTTCTAGGGTACAATATTGAGAGGACTCCATGCACGATGTTCAAGGTCAGCCTGTGGCTGTCAGTGGTCTCTATGTTCAGGCCTGGGAAGCTCAAGATTGTCCTCATCCTCCTCTCCTGAGCTGAACTCACTCCTGGTCCCAGGGCTACTCTCCATCAAACCCTTGTCTCACTCAAGGACTTAGCTGGGTCACTTCCCAATCAGGACCCTGGCCTGGTAGTGAGGTTTATGACCTTGAGATGGTCCCTTCCCCCCTTTTGGCCTCCATTTTCCCACATGAACAAATGAAAATGTTGAATAAAATCAGTGGTTTTTAAACTTTCTCAAGGACCTCTTGTCAAACGAAATGTTATGTGAAGCCCAATATAGAGAAAAACTAAAGCTGCTTGGAATAAGATGTGTTGGGGGGCGGGGGTCGGGGGAACCTGGACCTCTATCTACCTGGCCTCCTTGACCCACAAGGTGGCCACTGAGTTCTCAGGAGACTCCCAGGGCTCTAAAGGATGCAGCGTGACGGCCACTAGGCTGGATGGTCTTTCAAGGGCCTCTAGCTTTGGTATCCTGGGATTTTGTAACTTGAAGCCACTGCAGCCCAGCCCTCACAGACTCATTCTGAGTCACAAGGAGGCAGCGTGGGATGGGTCACAGACCTGGGCTGCCTAGCTGGTGATACTGCCACATGGTTCTCCAGAAAAAGTCCATTCTCTGAGGTCCTCCGGCAAAAGGCTTGCTGCGAGTCACAGCAGAGAGAAAGGTCCTATGTCCCCCAGAGCCACAGGGAAGTCAGGGAATGGGGATCTGGCCTGGTCTCCATCTTACCCGAGGGCCCTCTTCCTGTACAGGCTAAGGCTTGAGGGGCAGACGGTCAGGGGTCAGAGTCTTTGACGTTGCTATCCCTACAGACTCCCCTTCACATGCTGTGGCCTGTCCCTCATCTGAAACAGTATATTTTAGCAAGTATAGTCACACAAACAAGCTCCAGCGCCTTGGCTGACTCAGATGAAGAAAAATCTGAGAGTTTCGTCGGTTCTAGCCTCTCTTGCTGTCCTAGGGTTTTCCTCTACTGGGTCTTCCCGGAAGTCTTGACTCTTCCTCCACATACGCCTCTCTATTCCCCTCCACCCCTACTCCAGAACCTTCTCCCTCACCCGCAGTCACCAAGATAAGAGCTCTTTCCTGTTTAAGTATCCAGTCATCTGATCAGGGTACCTCGATATCCTTGAACTAGAAAACCATGTGCTCTGGGCCTTAAAAATAAAACCCCAGGAGGGGCTGCTCTAGGCATGGCCCAGGAACCCTTTGTTTTGCTGAATTGAAGGCTGCTGGGCCAAAATAATGAAGGACCTAGAACTGGGTTTTCTATCTCCACCAGGCAGCGACAGGCTGGAGACTTCCTACTGGTGTGTTAGCTTTCCATATCTTTAGTGAAGACCTAACCCCTCATTCTCCTCTGCTGAGTAGAAAGCATGTCTGTCTCCTTGAGCCCCAGGCACTAGGCAAGCAGCCTGCCATCATTCTGGTTTGTGGTCAGCCTAACCATCACTGCCTCCTGAGCCCTTCTTCGGCCAACCCCACAGCCCAACAAAACAATTCTCTGGGAAGGCTTTTGGTGGGAAAAGCCACTTTATTAAAGATTCTCTATCACAGTCCCCCATTTCTGGACCAGTCAGATTGGCTTTGGGTTGAAGTTTCTGATTGTCTTTCCTTCCAGTTTCTCTCTTTGTCCATGGCTTTCTGAGATTCAGTGTCCTCGATGGCATCTGGGGAAAGGTAGGTGACCTTGGGGTCCTGGACCAATGCAGGGTGAGCTGGCAGCTGGCAGAGGGCCAAGGAGTGGCCAGCCCCACAGCCCACAAGGAGTCCTGACGATGACAGCAGAGCCTGCACCGGCTTTGGGGCCCAGACGTTGGCTTCAGTGCCATCTCCGCACATGCCATGCTCATTCCAGCCCCAAGAGTAACACACTCCACCTGTGAAGGAGAGGGAAGACTGCTGTAGAAGAGGTTTTGGATAATAGGGCTGAAACATTCACCCTGAGGGTACAGGTATCATCATAAACCCCAGTTCACTCAGGAAGACGCCAAAGCTTAAGGACACATGGCGGCATCCTCCCCATCCCTACTTCCTTCCCTTCCCCTGAGGGCAGCTGCCCTCCTGCCCCTGAGGCATGCTTCCCATTCCCACAAAACTCATGACTGCTCATGTTCCAAGCGTGGCTTTCCTCCTCGGCCCTTCCCTACTGTCACCACCACATATAATCCATCACCAGACCTACTGACTCTGCCTCCAAAAACATCTCAAATCTTTCCCCATATTTTTCCATCTCCTCAGCCAGCTCCAGCCTCATCCAGGCCACCATTTCTCTTACCTGGGCCATGCCAATAGCCAACTAACTAACCCAGCTGCTCACTCCATCCACCCTGATCTTCAAAGAGCATCAAGACAATCTTCGACAACTGCAAATCTAATCACGTGTCACTCTGCTGCTTAAAACCCTTCAGTGCCTTTCCATGGTCCTTAAGGAGGCCTTCCCTTGGCCTGTGAGGCCTGAGTGATCTGGCTCCTAACTATCTTGGTGTCCTCACCCTGCACAACTCTTGCCCTCCCTCTTTGCATGCAGAACCCTGGCTTGTTTTCTGTTCCTTAAGTATGTCCAGTAGGGCCTTCCTATCTCTCAAAGCCCTCAGTTTACTGGGCTTCCAGACCTCTTCATGTTTTCCATTCCAGTTGTCGCTCAGAGGCCAGGGTCCCTGACCACCCAATCCAAATCAGATTCTCATGACTGCCCTTGTATTCTTCCCTCATGAGGATCTGGCACTCTGTAGTGAGGGATGATTTGTGTGGTGATGTGTTTACTGTCCCCTCTTCACTAGACTGCACTCTGTGGTGAGGGAAGAAGCGTGTATACTTTCTTCACTGCTGTATCTCTAGGACAGTGCCTGGTACACAGTTGGTGCTCAACAGGTGTTTACTGAATAGATACAAAAATGAACAAATTCATACAGCCAGAAAGTGGCCAAGCCAACATTCATGCCCAGGTAACTCCAACAGTCCACCCATCATAACACGTCTTCCTAGGTTTTAGACACTGTCCTAGGTCTAAACTCATTCATGTTTTTCTGTGGTCGTTTAAAAAAAATCTTCTGGACATAAAAATAATACATCTTCATGACAAAAGAAAAGAAAAGAAACAATGGACAATATGGATGTGTAAGGAAAAGCAAACTTGCAGAATCTTGCCCTTGCCACTACTAGGAATATTTTGGATATCTCTTTCAACCCTTTAATTTGTGAAATTTATAAATATTTGTATATATGTTTGTCCTGCTTTTTAACATTGTAGCACAAATATTTCTCCATGGATTGTAAAGTATTCAAAAAGTAAATTAAAATTAGCCAGACATGGTGGTGCATGCCTGTAATCCCAGCTACTCAGGAGGCTGAGACAGGAGAACCACCTGAACCTAGGAGGCAGAGGTTGCAGTGAGCTGAGATTGTGCCATTGCACTCCACCCCGGGTGACAGAGCGAGACTTTGTCTCAAAAACAAACAAACAAAAAAGTAAATTAAAAATAATTTTCTTCTCAAGATGCATTAAAGAACAGAAAATAATTTAATAGAAAGACGCAGATCTCCACCCAGATTAAGAACATTAGCTAGCATTTTGCCATATTTGCTTCAACCCTTCTCTTAAAAAAAATCTTAAAGATACAGTTTATGCCCCACCTCCCATTCTTGTCCCTCTATCCAACCCTCCTTCCCACAAGTAACCACTATTTGAAGTTGGTGCACATCATTTGCATGGTTTCATATTTTTCTACATAGATGTGTCCTTAAATATTGTGATCTGTTTAGTTTGTTTTAAAGACTTACACAAATAGAATCATTCACATATTTTTTTTTTTTTCTGCAAGTTGCTCTTTACACTCATCATTGTTTTCGAAATTTATCTGAGCTGGTAGTTACAGATCTAGTTCAGTTATTTTAATTTTAACTGTGCATAGTATCCCATTATGTATAAATCATATTTCACTTACCCATGTCCCTTCTGATGGCTAGTTATTTAATAATATCATTGTTGCTGTTTTATTATATAACAATGGAAAATATATAGTATTATGCAACAACAATACTAATATGGTTGCTATTATAGACAGTATTGCAATGAAAGTCTTTGAACATATCTCCTTGTACAAACTGGTATTTGTACAGGGTGATCCCTGGGAGTATATGAGTCATGCATGTATATGTAAGCATGTTTATGTTTAGTAAGTGTGGCCAAATATCTCTCCAATGACTAGACATTTATATTCTCATCAACAATAGATATGAATTTGTTTCCTTAGATCTTACCTTTAGACTCTTGCCATTCTCATGAGTACGTTCAATTAGTTTGCATTTCCCTGACTACTAGTGAGATGGAGCAGTAGCGCTTTCTGTTGATTACCCGTTTAAGTTGCCTCTTCTGTGAATTGTCTATATACATTCTCTGTTTTGTTCTTTGGTTGTTTGCCTTTTCCTTATTGATTTGCAAGTATTCTTTGTGTATTATTTTGTTTCTATGATTCTTTGTTGTTATGTGCATTTGGAAGTATCTTCTTCCAGAAGTCTGTGGTGTGTCTCTTCACTTGGTTTATGGTGTCTTTTGTTATACACATTTACTTATAATGGCTGCCTAATTACCTATTATGAAGATTAAACAATTTACTTAACCTGCATTCTATTATCAGATCCATAGGTTGTTTCCAATTTGTCATTATTTTATATAGCATTGCTATGAACATCTTTATGCATGAGTCTTTGTCTGTCTCTCTAATTATTTTCTCAAATTAGATTCTTAGAATGGGAATTCCTGGTCAAAGAGTATAGGCATTTTTGAAATGCCTGAGTACTGTTTTGAGTACTGCCAGAATACTTTTCAGAAAGGCTACTTGCATATAACTTCAGCAATCTGTGAGAATCTCTGTCTTACTCTAGGACTGCAAGTTTTTAATAGTATTATAATGTTGAAAGATCTTCCTAATTTGAAGACAAAAATGGTATCTCTTGTTTTAATATGTACTTTTTGGACTACCATTGAAACAGAAAAATAATTACAATGTTTATCAGATATTTATATTTCCTCCTTTGTGTACTATCTGCTTATATCTTTTTCCTGGTTAGTACAGAAGAGTTTAGAACTCAGGCCCAAGAGCCAGATGAACTGGGTTCAAATCCCAGCTTCGCCACTTACTAGTTGTGCCGCTTCAAGCAAGTTACTTAGCATTTCTATATCTCAGTTCTCTCATCTGTTCAATGGGGACAGTAATACCTTATTAGAGTTGTTTACAAGGGTTAAATGAGTAAGTATAGTATATGCAAAAGACTCAGAATGGCGCCTGGCACATAGTACTACATAAATGTTTGTTATTGTTGTTGTCACCTATTAAGAGCTTTGTTGTTTGAAAGACTTTGATTTTAAGAATATTAGTTCTTTCTCTGCTATATTTAGCATTACTTTTTTTTCCTCAGTTTGACTTAAAATTTTGTTTTCAGTCTTTTGATAAGTGTATGGTTCTACGCAGTAAAAACTTCTTTTTGATAGTTCAAGGATTTGAATTTTTAAATCTTCTTTACATTTAACTCATTATCCACTGAAAACTTGTTTTGCAGACCACTCTATCAAGAGGGTAGCTGGCTGGGCCCCGGGATTACCCTTCCCTTCCCTTTCCCTTAGTAGGAAGGCAATCACTGGCCAAAAGCTTGGGTTTAGGGAAACACAGATGTCTGCCTGTTTGGCCCACAAATGCGGAAGCGCATACAGAGAGGATGAACCCCAGGCCACATCTCCTACAGTTAAGCAGGAGTTCCAGCCAGGTTGAGCTGAGGCACGAGGTAGGGAGAGTGGAAGAGGCTTGGTACCTTTGCGCCTAGTTCGGCACCTGGTATGGGCTTTGTGCCCGGCCCTGGTGAGTGGCACCAGCTGACCGTCAGCAGGGATGGGGGTGGGAGGAAGGCAGAGCTGACCTACCAGCAGGACACAGCACAGTGGGAAGCTGGCAGGTGCCTCTCCTCCAGCCAAAGGGAACACACTCTGAGGAAGCTACGCCTGGGACCGGGGTAGCCAAAGGACTAGAGCCAGGATTTTCATGCCCACTGGGTCGAGAAGCCTGGTAAAGGCCCAGTAATATCCCCCCGCAGTACTTCCAAAGAAAGCTGGACTTTGGGTTAGGTGCTCTGTGTACTTTATCTCATTTAATTCTAAGAACCATGTGAGGCAGCCACAATTTACAGATTATTCTCATTTTAGAGAGAATAAAACAGAGGCTCTAGAATCCAGGCAGGATGGCTCCAGAATCTGTGCTGAAGTCTGCATGTTACATCCCAGGGCTTGTCAAGCTTATTCTATAAGGGGCAGATAGGAAATACTTTAGGTTTGAGGGCCATGTTAGGTCTCTGTCATGTATTCTTTTTGATAACCCTTTAAAAACCATTCTTAGCTTGCAGCATCACACACAAAGAGGCTACAAGTCAAATTTGGTCATAGTTTGCCATCCCCTGCTCCACACATATTATAGACTATGGCCTATGGACTACGCTATGCTGTCCTGGTCCCACCTTACCACACAACTGTGTGATAATGGTACGTAGGTCCCCACTGACTTCATAGGGTTGCCATGAGGAGGAGCAATGCCCCAGCACCATGCCTGACACAGTGACAGCTCAAACCCATGTGGAAAGCAGATCATGGGAATAGGAGGAAAAGGCAAGGAAAGCCACACCAGTGGCAAACAGCAAAGAGGAGATGGAGGGGCAGCAGCAGATGAGAAGGTCTAAAGTAGAATGATAGGAAGTTTGGGGTTTCCAAACACTTTAAACAAGCCTATAGGAAAAAAAAAGCCAGGATGCTGAACTCAGAAAAGCAAAGGATTGGTTATCCCCTTAACAGAAGGACTTGCAGCAGGACATCTTTCAGTAATAAGCTCCTCCAGCATTTTAGAATAGGTTTCATTCACCCCCTAACCTCACTTAGGGCCACCTTTTCAGGGGCACAATGAAGCTGGCAAGGCCCTCCAGACTCAGCAAGATGCTACTATGCAGGCTGTTCTCACACAGAAGTAAGAGGAAGGAGAGTGGCCTACAGAAAGCCTCTCCCTAAGCGACATGGAACATGGAACGTCCAGTTTTCAAAACAGGTAAGTTAGAGGACGATCCCTGGCTTTACAGAGGGCTCTCTGCAGTGTGCTTGGCACTTGTCAGGTCTTCGAAGACACCAGAATCCCACCTGGTTGACGGAGATCTGCTTTGCTGGTCCTGGGGCACATGGCTGAGACTTGGGTGGAGAGCCCCATATTTACAGAGGGATTCCCTAGGCCCTTGGAGTTCAGGCCTCCTGCTCACAGGGCTCAATCTAGGCTGTGACGAGTGATGGAGCTCACAGCCCACCACACTTGCGTCAGCCTAAGAGCCCTGCAGGCAACGGAACCTCAGGACTGGCAGGGTCCCTGGCACAAGCTGGACACAATACCCAAATCTGTTCAGGTCTGTGGCACCTGCCCGAGCTTCTTGGCAACTAAGTCCTCATAGGGCCTTATGGTGCTGGGACTGCAGCCCAGTGCTAGGGAGGGGGCAGCATTTCTGCTGGAGGACGTTGCCAAGGAGGAATAAACACCTGAGCATGTGTGCAGAGCCTCCTGGTTGTCTCTTGAACCACAGAATAAAGACATTTCCCAACCTTTCTTGCAGCTAGCTAGGTGTGATCAGTGAGGGTCAAGCTGAAATGTTCTGTAATTGCTTATGGGACTTTTCCTTAAAAGACAGATGGCATACACTCTTTGCTCCTTCTTCTTTGTCCCTCTTGCATCCTGTCACTGGGAATGTGGATGCGATAGCTGGAGTTGTAGCCACTACCTCTGACCATGAGCATGAGGGCTGCGACCTAGGGATGGTGCTTCTCAGTTTCATAAAAATGTCACCTTAATTTCCACGGCAACCCTCGGAGGTACTACTACGTCCATTTTACAGATGAAGAACCAGGCTCAGAGAGGTAAAGTAATTTGTCTATAGCCACACAGCTATTCTAGTCAGGACTAGAATCCAGGACTCCCAAATCTCAGGCGCCTTCACTAGTTCCAAACCATGTGAAAATGGTAACAGAATCATTGAATACTTGGTATATGCCAGGCCCTGTGATAAGCACTTTGCAAATATTCATTCACCGAATCCTCACAACAAACTTGTGAAGTGCAATCTAATATTATCCCCATTTTGCAGAGAGATGACGTGAACTGTGCAAGGAAACAAGAGGCAGAGCTGGATTCGAACCCAGACAGTCTGGCTCCAGGCCCTCTTCTATTTAATATTATACTGTTCTCTCTAGCAAAAACGTTGCTTCCCAGGTAATTAAGAAAAGGTACAGAGTAACAGTCCACCTATGGGAACGCAGGAAGTAATGGAAGGCAAGAACTCCAGCTGGCGAGAGAAAGATACTGTGCAGAGGAGCAGAAATCTCCCTGAGCCCTGTGAGCGCTGGGGCTGAGGCCCTGCCCCCTTCTGCATCTGCTGGGCAGTGGGAAGAGGAGGGAGAGATAGGCACAAGAAATTAGGTAGCGAATGGTCCATGTTGTCTCCTCCTGTCTAAGAGCACGCATAGGCCTAGACCAACAGTCAGGACTGCTCTTCTGCACTACCAGGCTGACGGAGAGGAGGGGTGAGGTTTGAGCGCCCTCATAGAGAGGAGGGCTCTGGATTCTGGTACATGTCAGGAAGGATGGGGCGGGCCTTGGAGCAGGGTAAGTTTGGGAGACACTTCTGAGTGTTTAGCCACCCAAGCTCATAGGGATCCCATCCTTTTGGCAGCAACTGGTAGAACTGTCCCTAGGGTCCTGCTGTGAGCAAGGAATGGGGAGTGAGGAATCCCTGAAGTGGGCCTCCTAAAGTGCTTTGGGTCTAGATGGCAACAGCAGGATGGAAAAAGGGGATCAGGTCCTCACGTCCCTTGCCCTATCCTTTATGCTGAGGCTGCTGGCCTGGGTGGGAGAAATCAGGCAGAAACACAGCCTGGTCTAGGTCCTCCCATGGAAAATTTCCTGTCTCCACAGCACCTATGAGACCAAGTCCAGGCCCCTTAGCTGGCTCCCAAGGCCCTGAGTAGTCTGTCTCTCATCACCCCTGTTCCCCAACTCAGTGTTCCAGCCCCACAGGCTTGCTGTCGGCTCCCCGAATTCACCCAGGCTGTTCACATTGCCATGCTCTTGCCCAACCTTGAGTCCATTTATTTCATCATGTGGGTGCCTTTTCTGGTTTAGGACTTGTGCTGCACACAAGACCCAGAGAAGAGGAAAATTCATTTTGTGCCCTCAGGGTCCCCATCCACTGAGGAAGACAGCCATGGGAAAAGACAGTTATGGGAAATGATGGCATGTGTACACAAGGGGCATGGACAGTGGTGTTTACTGTAGCACTGTTTGCAACTGCAAAAGACTGGGGGGCTTCAAGAACATTCACCAGTAGAAGATGATTTCAAAAAGCCACGGCCCCCTTCAGACTAGGATCCTTACATATTAAAACTTTTTTTTAACATAAAGTTATGCAAAGCCCCTATATATTTTTATATGTACAAATGGAAAAGAATACATCCCAAATTGAGAACAGTCTCTGACAAAGACAGGGAGAAATGGGGGAAGGGTGACCCTCATTTTCATTTCGTTCAAATATTTTAAAAAGCAGTAACACAGAGATGATTTTAAAAATAATAGTATTTCCAGGGACAGAGGTAGCAAAGAGGAGAGGATGACCTAGGAGACACTGACCCAGGAGGCCATGCAGAGAATGGCCATGAGAATGGCTATGAGGATGATGGTCCTATTGGGCCTGGCAGAGGACACAGGCACTGTCAGTGTTGGGCCCTGCTATGGTTTGAATGTGTTCCCAAAAGTACAGGTGTTGGAAACTTAATCCCCAATGCAACAGTGTTGAGAAGCGGGACCTTTAAGAGGCAATCAGGTCATGAGGGCTCTGCCCTCATGAATGGATGAATGCTGTCACTGTGGGAATGGGTTAATTATCGTGGGAGTTTGGTCTCTTTTTCTCTCTTTCTTGAATGTTTGCTTGCCCTTTTGCCATGTTATGATGCAGCAAGAAGGTCTTCCCCAGATGTGGCCCTGTGATCTTGGACTTCCCAGTCTCCAGAACCATTTATTGAGCTAAATAAATCTCTTTTCTTTATAAATTACCCAGTCTGTGGTATTCTGTTATAGCAGCAAAACATGGACTAAAACAGGCCCTTTCAGGAATTAGTCCATCCATCACTCTCCAGGGCCAAGGATACCCTCGAGGCAGGAGCTGAGGCAGCAGAAAGAAGCTACTCCAGAATCAAAAGTGGGGCTGTTCACCCACAGGATTACTCTGGGGATGTTTCAGGTTTGTGGCCCACATTGCTTCAGAGAAGGCTGTATGTGGGAAAACAGACAGGCCTAGGGTCCCCTTCACACCAAGATCCACAGCAGCCCTGAGAATGAGGTGAGAGGAGTAGATGGGGGGTGAGGGTTGGAGGCAAGGAGGCCAGCAAGGAGGCTGTGGCTGTCCACCAGGTAAGAAAAGGGCAGGGCCTGTGGAAAAAGGGTTTGGGGAAGGTAATGTGCAAAATACAGCCAGGATCTGGCCACTTCTCACCAGTGCCATCACCCCTCAAGGGCTGCCCAACTGGTCTCTCTGCTGCCTCTGTTTCCCTGTATGTTCTATTCTCCACACAGCAACTTGAGTGATTGTGTTAAAACCTATGTCAGACAAGGCACTGCACTGTTTAGAATCCTTCAGTGGCTTCTCCTGTTACTCAGAATAAACAACAGCGGGTCTCCAGCTCCTTCTCTAACATCATGTTCTATCATGATCCACTCTGCTAACATCACCATAGTGACACTGACTTTCTTACTGTTCCTCAAACAGTACTTGCCTCAGGACCTTTGCACTTATTGTTCCTGCTATCTGGAATGCTCTTGGCCCTGACAGCCACAGGTTCATTCCTTCATGTTGTTCAGGTATTTGTGAGAGTCCCACCTTATTTGAGAGGCCTTCCCTGACAACTTTATATGAAATAGCAGTCTACCCCTACTCCCGTCTTATCTCTTCACCTGCTCTATTTTTCTTCATTTTTTTTTTACAGTTTATTTATTTTATGATCTCTCTCTCCTAACAAAACACAAGCTCTTTGAGAGTTAGGTACTCTGTTTTGTTTGCTGCTATATCCCAGTACCTGAAACAGTGCTTGGCATAGGTTAGCGCTCAATGCTGTTGTGTGAATGAAAGGACAAATGAATGAATGGCAGTGAGAGAATGGAGCTGCTTCTTCTCTCTTAGAGGGCCAAAAGGGAACCCATGGATGTGGAAAGCAGCAGCCATGGGCACGGCAATTGTAGCTCGCTATCAGGAAGAACGCTGCAATGACTGGAAGACTGCTCTGGAACATAGCTGGTGCTCTGCCACAGGTCCTGAGCCCCCAGGACAGTCCCACAGTGGGCAGAGGCTGGGCTGAGACAAACCAAAAGTCCTTCCAATCCTGGAGAATTTGTGTGGTGGTGTGTGTGGATATGGAAGTGTGTAAGAAAGAGAAGGAAGGTGGACACAGAAGAGGAGAGTGGGCAGATACACGCTCCCCAGGCTGGCTCCTTCAAACCAGACAAAAGAAAGGCCTTGGCTCAAGTGATAAATAAGTGTGTTGAATTGATGGGTTCTAAGCTGCAAGGCTAGGACTGCTCTGGAACCTCTTCTAGAACCCCCTTGCTCAAAAGGTTGCCCAGTTCTCTCTGTCAATCACTTTCCCTCTACATAGGAGGAAACTGAGGCCCACAGTGGGGCAATGCCATGCAAAGGTCCCCACTGGCCTACCTCCCCGCTCCTCTCAACCACCCCCTGGCATCACTGCAGGCACCTCATCTGACAGCAGCCCAGTGAGGCACGTATTGGATCAACACTGCATGGAAGAGAAAACTGCATTTGGGTGCGGTTCAGAAACAGCCAAGCTGGGACAGGCAGAGGCCAGCCCTCCCCACCCCCAGCCCCAGGAGTAGGAGGCTGCTGAGGCTGCTGTGGACACATTTCCTCAGTCACCTGCAGTGAGAGCGTGCTGTGGCACGTTGGCTCCAGTGGGTGACTATTCTTAGATCTAGGGAGCTATGATGACGGATTTAGAACTTACAAGGTGGAAACATGTTGGCCTGTTTTATAAACAACTGAAATCCTCCCTACAGACTGTCTTTCTGAATTCTGTGTTCTCTCAGAACTGCTGGCTTTCTGGGCTTATTGGCTGCCTTGCGAGAGGGGGCAGAAAGAGAAACTAACCCTCTTGAGGGCCTACTATGATCACATATGGCGTTATGGGCTTTTGTATCACCCATCTCATTTAACAGCTCTGGGAAGAAGATATTTTGGTCACACTCTGTGGATGAGGAAACAGGCTGGGAGAGGTCCAGAAGCAAGCACACCCTGTGATGTGGTACAAGAGTGAGGCTGTGGACCAGCAGGTCTGCTGTGGAGCCTGGTGCTGCCAAAAGAAAGGTGGCCCTGGCAGATGGAGCAGCAAGGGCATGCACACAGCACCTTCGGATCTGAATCCCTTCAGGTGTTGCTCTCCTGTCCTCCAAGATTTCTTCAATCCTGGTGATACCTCCTCCCTCTGTATGACCTGGTAGCTTGTCCCCATTGCCTACCAGGGCCCCCTCAGCAGATTCTCAGTCATCATCATCCCTCTAGAAGTATGGTACCCAGAGCTGGCTGAGGTCCAGAGATGAAGGGCCCACCAAGATGCACACATAGTCCCCAAGGTTCCACCTCTGTTAGCTTAGCCTGAGGCCACATTCGCTGCTTTGGAGGCCAAGTCCACTTCCCCTTGCTGAACCCGCGGCCTGCAAAAACTCTTAAACAGTTTCTGGAGGACTTGTTCTCCTATCTCTTACCTGGCCTGGCCCGTATGCTGGTGGTTTAGACCTGGCTGGGACTTTCAGGTTGTTTCCATTAAAAGTCATCTTATTAAATGAACATGCCAATCTCCGAGGGGCACTAGCAGAGGGGTGGAGGAATGGATGCCATTCTGGGACCAGGAGCAGCTGCACTGTTGCCATTCCTGAAGCCTGGTCACCACCAGAGCCTCCTTACCTTGCTCTCCTCAAGCCTGTTTGGGAATCACCAGTGTGCAGAAGAGGAAGCTAGGGAATTGGGGCAATAGTGGAGGTGGTAGTAAGAAGGTCTGCTCTGGAATCCAGTGGCAGGTCCAGAAGAATCCACATGCAGGAAGATTAGGGTACTAGAGTTCACATGGGGACGGATGACACAAATCTGAGACAGAATTCTCCCTAGAAGTTCCAATCACTGAATAAATATTGTACCTACTTAGTATCTGGTCCGTGTCTGGTGCTATGCCCAATTCAGTTCAATTCATTTTGTACACATCAACTAGGCTCCCACAAAGCCCAAGTGCTGGGTTAGAGAGCTGAGCGTCCATCCCACAGTGACAGCACAGGGAGATGAGGTCCTGGAAAGATTTGCTCAGGAAGACCAGGCAGTGGCTAATTCCTGAGATGGATCAAACCCCGAAGGGAAGAGAGTCTTTCTCTTATTTATCTTTTTTTTTCTAAACAGTAAAATTTTATTAAACTTCTTGTCAATAAAAATTATTACAATACAAAATAGGAGAAAACTAATGGGTTAATACTTTTAATATATATTAATGAATTTTTTTCCTTTTAAATAGACTATTTTTTAAGAGAAAATGTAGGTTCATAGTAAAATTAAGCAGAAAGTATGGACAGTTCCCATAATACTTCCTGCCTCTACTTACTTCATAGCCTTCCCCACCAACATCCCGCACCACTGACACACCATTGGCGCTCAAAGTGGGTGGTTTACATTATGGATGATCTTGGTGTTGTACATTATACGGGTTTGACAAATGTATAATGACATGGATCCACCTAATTATAAGGTCATACTGAATAGTTTTGCTGCCCTAAAAATCCTCTGTGTTTTGCATACTTATTTATCTTTTCATCTGCCAGAGTTGCAGAATAAATGAGTGGAAGAATAGTTATAGAGTGCCAATAATATTCAAGCAGTTGCAGAGAATATAGCACCAAACAACACACAAGGTCCCTGTCCTCAAGGGGCTTATACTCTAATGGGAGAAACAACAAGCAAGTAGTCATACAATTCAACAGAATGCAGCTAGTAATATGAGTTATAAAAAAACAGTATATGATTTAGAAGGGCAGGTAGTTGGGAAGTCCTCCCCAATAATGTGGCCCCTGAGTTGCGACCTGTAGGACAAGAAGGAGCCAGCCATATCTGTGGGAAGAACTTGGCAGGCAGAAGAAATGACAATACAAAGGCTGGAAGGAGGAAGGCATTTTGCCAGTTCCAGATATAGCAAGGAGGGTGACCACGTGTGTCTGGGGCCAAGTGAGCCAAGGGAGAGGCAGGCCTTAAAATTGAAGGGGAAGGCCGGGCACGGTGGCTCACACCTGTAATCCCAGCACTTTGGGAGGCCGAGGCGGGTGGATCACGAGGTCAGGAGATCAAGACCATCCTGGCTAACACGGTGAAAGCCTGTCTCTACTAAAAATACAAAAAATTAGCCGGGCGTGGTGGTGGGCGCCTGTAGTCCCAGCTACTCGGGAGGCTGAGGCAGGAGAACGGCGTGAACCTGGGAGGCGGAGCTTGCAGTGAGCCGAGATAGCGCCACTGCACTCCGGCCTGGGCGAAAGAGCGAGACTCCGTCTCAAAAAAAAAAAAAAGAAAGAAAAAAAAATTCAAGGGGAAGCAGGGCCTTGGGATGCCAGGTGAGGAGTTAGAAGTTTGAGAATGCTGAGAAGCTAGAGAGGGTTTTAAGCAGGGAATGACAAATTCTGATTTACATTTGAAAAGGCTGCTCTCTGAAGGCTGGATTACAAAGGCAAAATGCAGGGAGCAGATTTAGGAGGCTACTGCATTGCAGAGAACCAGGCAGTGCAGGAAGGTGGCTCAAAGTAGGCTGGTAGCAGTGGGGACGGAGATAAATGGATTTATAAACTGTTTTGGATATAGGATTTCTAGGACCTGCTGATACATTATATATACAGAGAGATAGGAATTAAAACTGATTCCTTGAGCAATGAGTGGATGGTAGTGCTATTTATGAAGTTGAGGAGGCCTGGAGGAGAGATAGGCTTGGGGGAGAAAATCAAGAGTTCTGTTTTGGACATTTTAAGATGTAAGTGCCTATTAGACATGAATGAATGAATGTATTCCCCAAATACAGACCTCTGGTGAGCCTAAGAGATGATAAACCTGAGACCTGGGAAACCGTGTGAATAACAAATTGTAGGAGCTACCAGGTGAGCAGCGGGCAGCTCAAGAGGTAACACTGTGCTTATGGTTCGATGGGGCCTAATTTGGTGCCTTCATCACTCTAAATTATAGCTCCTGTTTTTGTTTTTTCTTGAATGAAGTGCTTGACTGGGATGCATACATACTACATGGGCTAATAATATAAATTACCTTTGTGAATGTCCCTGTTTCATAAAAAAACACATAATATTTGAAAGGAAAATTACCATTTCAGATCATTATAACCACCGACCCAAGTTCTCCTACTGGTCCCATTGGAAGTAGCATTCTTCTCTAACCCTGCTGAGCTGCCAGGACTGCTGCGCTGGGAAACCCAGGCACAGAGCTCCTCTCCTGAAGCAGGGTGTCAGCAGGAGCAGTGGCATTCCCAGAGGATGCAGTGTTTGCATGAGACCCTGCAGCCAGACTCTCTTTGGGACATCTAATTTCCAGGTAGTATGAGGCCACCCAAAAATGAGGCAGCCCTGAAAGACCCTTAAACATTGGTTCTAAGAATAAATACACAAATGAAGATAAGGAAGCCCAGTGAGTTCCACTGGGCTCCCTCCCTGCATGACTATACATGTCTCCACCTGGGACTACTCAGCCTCCTGTGGGCTCAGCCCCTAGTGGCAGATTCCCCTCCCAGACAAGGGGGCTAGAGACTTTGAGGCTGAGGCGAGGCACATTTGTCTCAGAGTGTGAATCTTTCAAATGGCATTCTAGCTCAGAAGAAAATACCAAGTCTGGACCTTAGCCTATAAGGTCCTATACCATCTGATCCCAGCTACCTCTCTGATACCCACTGCTGCCACTCGCGTCCTCACCTTTCCTAATCCACTCCTCTTCAGCCACACTGGTCTCCTTGCTCTTCCTCCAACTGGCCAGTCATGCTTCCAGCTTTAGCCTTTGCACCAGCTGTTCCCTCTGCCCGGAACCTTCCTCCCCAGATAACCATATGGCTCCCTCCCTCCCTCCCTTCAATCAGGGCATCATTCAAATGGCACTTTCTCAGAGGGCCTTCCCTGATCACCCAATTTCATCCTTTCATTCTCTTTATACTGCTTAATTTTCCTTCCCAGCACGTAATACCCTATCATATACTTTTGTTTGTCTGTTTCCCCACCAGAATGAAAAGCTCTATGAGAGCAAACATTTCATTTTATTCAACTGCTGTATCTCCAGCACTTAGAAAAGGTATGAGTATATAAAAGGTGCTCAATAAATATTTGTTTTAGCAATGAAGAGTTGTCACTTGCCCCAGGAGGGGCTCATTCCCTTGAGGGGAACCCAAATCAAAGTGCTGGGCAGACCATCTACTGGGATCACCAATCTGAAGCAACTGCTATATTGTGTGTGCACACCCACACATGTGGCAGGGCAGTCAGGGTAGCCCATGCTAAAGGCATTCTGTAGGGTGGCTGCAGCCTCAGTTATGGAGGAAGGGAGTTATCAGAGCTAGAGGTTGAACAGACCACCTCCAACTCTAGGATCAACCCTGTCCTGGCAGGCCTAGCCTAGCCTAGTCCATCCCAGCCCTTCAAATGAGCACCCATCCATCTGCATGTAGGCTGACCCTCTGCTTTCTGAGATGAAGGAAAGCCAGCTGGGCAGTATATATCTCAAGTCCTCACCCAGTGGGTCAGAGAACTGGGAGAGAGTTGTTGCTGCTCAGTAGTTTTGGAGCCAGACAGGCTTGGATTTGATCTTGCCTCTGTCACCTACTGTATATACCTAATTCTTGGTTTCTTCATCTGTAAATAAGAACAATCGTCTTTTCCTTGCCTTTTTCTAAACGAATATGTAAAGTGCCCAGCACAGACTCCATCACGTGACACACGCTCACTGGACACTTGTTCCCTTCCCCATCTTCCCCTCTGCTGTTGGGATTGCCCACATCTCCTGCCCAGGATCTACTTCTCAGCCTTCCTCGATCTGGTGTATCTTGAGGCCAGCTATTAGTGAATCTGGGAAAACCGTCCAATACAGGGGCACATGGCAAAATTGTGTCATCCCTTCTCCTTCTTCCCATCTCCATGGACCCCTTGCATGGAACAAGTAGGTAACATTTGACACAAGTTCTAGCCGAGGGTTCAGATTACTGTTTGTCTGAGGCATTCTGACAGGCACAAGCCACTAAGCATTGCTATGGAAACCATTTTGTTCTTCTCTGCTGTGTCATTTGTTTTCTGGCACGGTTGCAGTTGTGGTACCGGGGGAAGGGCAGTGGAAGAGGTACCCAAGGATCAGACACCTAGTGGGGCCTATGTTCCTACAGGATTGTATGACCAAGGCTAATTCCTGCTTCTCCCTGGGTCTTGCAATCTCCAACTCTCAGAAGTAGGACACTATTTTTCAAACAGTGGCCCGATGACCATCTGTGCTGGTAAACAATCAGAGTCCTGATGCCCATCCTATACCAACTGTCAGAATCTCCCTCAGAGCTGTGACGCACAACAGAGTTTGAGAACCACTGCTGTAGGAGTTAGACTCGCTAAATTGTTTTCAATCTCCCAGTGCATGAAACAGGCAGCACTGAAGTTATTCTGACTGGAGCAGGGATGAAAGGCTCAGAGCCCTATCCACTCAGCCTCCCACTACTCCCAACTGGCTCCATGGAATCCTACAGCTTCCCAGACCATAGTTTGGGAACCACTGGACAAAATGATTTCTAGAGGCTTCCCTAGAAGAGAAGTCAGCATTCATTCAATCATTCATTTATTCACAAATATTTGTTAGGTGCCTTCCTTCTTTACGCCAAGTATTTGTTTGAAGTCAGTAGCTCCACTATTACTTAATCTCTCTTGGGCTCAGATTTCTCCTTTGTAAAATGGAAGCATAGTATTTGTTTTCCCTACTTTACTGGATTCTTCTAACAATCAAATAATCATGAGACCACCTATGAAAAAGTTGTTTGTTACCTGGAAGAGACTCTGCAAATAAATGCCAACAACTATTATTATTACTACCATTAGTGGTATATCTAACTATCTCAAGTCTATAGAACTAAGTTAAGTCCTCAGAGGCCTCAATGGACTGTTACTCTCCTACTGTCTGTAACTAAACTTCCAGAAGGTGTTGCAGGGTTTGGAGAACCATTGGTCTAAAAGCCTCCATCTAAAAAATATCTTTTCTGAGGGCTAAGAATATCCCTCAATTTGATGTCTTCTAAATAGAACATTTCTCTATTATCCCAATTTACTTCCATGATCATATATTACTTTCATAACAAAAAAAGTTTGGAAAACAAAGACTGTTGAAAATACTGTCTGATGCACACAGTTCTCTGAGAAACTCTTTATCTAACAGTTTAAAATGAATTCAAATGAGATACTCAGGCAAGAGAAAATGCAAAATTTTCCCTTCCTAACAGCCACATGGCTCCATGGCAGTGTGGGGCTGAGTGTCAGACCTGGGCTCTAAGTCTCAGCTCTGCCATTAACTCAACACGTGGTCTTGGGTGAGTCACTACCTCTCACAGGGTCTCAGTTTCTGCACCTATAAACTGAAAGCACCAGCTATGGTGATCTGCAAGGGCCCTCCCGGATCTGATGGTTGATGTTCCAGACAATGAAGTGTAACTTTCCCAATATACCCAGGCTGTAATTCTACAGCCTATCTGGCTGTGCTGGGCGTACAGCCTTGCTGAGCTCACGGTGGCTCATGGATACAGTGCTCTTCTCCTCAGTCACTCATGTGGAGTTTTAGACCTTCCAAAGCTCCATCAGCCCCACCACAACCCTGAAGCAAGAAGGTCAGAGAATAAGCACCTTGGGAAGAGAGGTGGCTCATTTCAGAGCTGCAAACTTGTAAGTGACAGGGTCATGACCAAAATCAAGGTATTTCAACTCCAAGCCTAGTATTCTTTACCTCATTGGGATCATATCCTAAAAGAACTACAGACCCTAAAAGCTTCATGCAGTGGAAAGACCACCAGTGTTAGAGTCAAAAGATGGGTGCGATCCCCTCTTCCTGCTCTCCTGTGTGTGCTTCTGGACCAGCCACTCCCTATTACTGAGACTCAGTGTCTTTATCCATAACATGGGGCTATTGTTCTGACAATTCCAGTGCTGTGGTGAGGCTCATGGAAGAGTGAATGGAAACCTTTTGTATGTTATAAAGTTAGATGTCAGTTACCATGAATACCATTTATTGGGCCCAAAGGTAGGGAGGAATCCATCCCATTTGTCCTTCAAGAAACCCAAAGCCCTGGGAAGTTTAAGTCCTGGGCCACAGGGCAGCTGGATATGAAACCTGAATGAGCAAGTCACTTGACTTGCAAGCTGAGCTACACAGGACAGACTGTAAGCTTGGCCTGGCTCCCACCCTATGGAGACTAAACTGCACCAAAGCTGAAAACACTAGACAGAAGTATAGAGCCCAGCAACATGGATGGTTCCTTGTTCCCATCATTCGCACATTCAACTAGTCAACAAACATTCCTCTAATATCAATTCTAGATAAAGTGATATTTGGGTACCTTATGTATGCAAGGAAAGAGAAGGAGGAAGGAGCAAAGATGAATACGATGGTCCATTTATGTGGAAAATAACTAACATTTAATAATGAACATTTCCTGAGCTCTTACCATATATCAAGAACTATGCTGTACTATTTCTGTTATCTCATTTCACACCCACAATAAGCCAAGAGGGCAGGAATGTTCTGGATCACTATTTTACCCTTGAAGAAGCTGAGGCTTAGCTGAGGCTCAGGCTCAGCTGAAAACTAAGTGGTGGAGCCAGGACTCAAACCAACGTCAGCCTGTCCAGATCCTAAATTTGTAACTCCTAGTTCCACAGCCTCTGTATTGCTGGGTGACCTTAGGCAAGCATCTTCCCATCTGAAATGTAGAGATTCAATTATTCTAATGGGCACGAGAAATATCACAAACAACTGTGACCCAAAAGAGAAAGGGAGAAGTGCCCACTTGAAGTGAGGTGAGGCCGTCACTTCCCGTTCCTCAGGAGAGGAAAGCATCAGGTAGAATCTGGGTGGCGTGATGACTTTTGCCAGACAGGGCTCAAACCAGCAGGATTCAGAGAGGTATGGCTAACATCTGCCTACCTCCAACAAGGTCTGTTCTCCCACCAAACTCAATTGTGTACCCCATCTACACACTCTATTTACCACCCCACCCCTGAGCCAGGACTTTGTTCATGCTGCCCCCACCTCCCCTTACTTCTCTCCTCCAGGAGGTCTCTTCTGATGCCGCATCTCTCCCCCAACAGAAAAGCTTTAACAACCACTCAAATACTATTTCATCAAGAAGCCCCCAACTCGATGGAATAGCATTTTCTTTAAGACCCTGGTCCTTGGTGAATGGCTCCCCTGTCTCCACAACTTGCTCTGTTTATAATGGAGAAGAGCAGTGTTCCTTCTCCATCTGAATCTGTCACAGTAGCAGATGCCAGTAAGGGTTGCCTGGAATGTCCGGACATGTGATGCTGCCATGGTAACAGCAGACCAAGGTTCGGAATGCTTTATCCCTGATGAGCTGCCCCGGCAGTGCCATGCCAGGCTGCTTGTGGAATCTTCCTCAAAGAACTCCCCCCCCACAAAAAAAATTCACCAAAACCCATGCAACAACAACACAACCCATTAATGGACAAGCAACTGCTGAGCACTGGTGCCAAGGTTCAGCTCCTATAAACATACTTTGGGCCACTCACCTGGTCCCTTTACTGATAAGGAAGCCAGGCCCTGGCTGTCTGCACTGTGGCTCACCCAGGGGGTAATGCGGTTTTTAGCTGGCTCAGCCAACGAAGCAGGCTGTCCCCAACTCCAGCCCCCAAATTACCACTTCTCTTGTTTGATGCCGCCAACCAGGGATCTGCCGGCGTGGACCCTGGCAATTAGCACAGCACTTGCATTTGTTGGGGAATTAGGAGCCACTGATTACCCTAATTCCACGTCATTTACAGGCAATGAGTGTCAGCCTGGGATTGGCCTTTCCAAATGGTGGCCTACAGGGTGGCATGATCATGACTTGACTTTGAAATGGAAGCAAGGGCCTGGTAAGCCAGGCTGTGAACCAGGAGGGGAGGCAGGACTCATATCTGAGCCTAGCTATATGGCAGCCATTGCCTCCCCCAGTCCTGCCCACTTAAGGGAAATGAAGACCAGAACAAGGTGTTTCCAAATTGAGAACATGCCAATTTCTAAGTCAGTCCTGACCCAGGAAGAGAGCCCATTTCCCTTTGATAGCCCTGCTGACCCCCTAGAATGTGCAGCCACAAGATTAGTGTCCCCTAATCTGAGAGTTTCTTGGGGCTAAAGGCCTGAGTCAAACTCTTACTGGCTGAGCAGGACCCTCACACTCTGCCTAGGCTCTCCTGACATCCCACTACCAAGGGCCTGAACTTCTTATCTGTCCTCCAAGTTGCTGCCTGGCTTGGGCCCCTTGGAATGTGAATGTGCAATGTATTAGTCCGTGCTTGTGTCGCTACAAAGAAATGCCTGAGGCTGGATAATTTATAAAGAAAAGAGGTTTAATTGGCTCACAGTTCTGCAGGCTCTACAGGAAGCGTGGTGCCAGCATCTGTTTCTGGTGAGGGCCTCAGGAAGCTTCCAATCATGGTGGAAGGCAAAGGGGGAGCAGGCACATTGCATGGTGAAAGCAGGAGCAAAAGAGCGAGCAGGGGGAAGTGCCATGCGCTTTTAAACAACCAAATCACACATGAACTCAGAAAGAGAACTCACTTATAACCAAGGAGATGATACAAAACCACTCAAGAGGGATCTGCCCTCATGATCCAATCACTTGCCAACAGGCCCCACCTCCAACATTGGAAATCACATTTCAACACGAGATTTGGAGGGGACAAACATCCAAGCCATGTCACCCAATGATAATTACCTTAAGACGCTTGCTGTCAGACCCCTGGTCACAAATGGGCCCTCCAGGATAGTGACATTTCCAGGATAATATAGGCCCCTACACCTTGTATGACTGATCCCTATCTCAACCCAGCAGGGGCCAACTTCGTAGCTAGTATTCCCCATATTTCTACCCTTTCCTGCCAGTTTGCTGTAAGAGGAGCCAATTGGCTTGTATACACTTTATAGGGTCATGACCATGTGGAGCCAGCTAACTGAATACTTGTCCATTAGAGAACTTCTGGATCTCTCCAAAGGAATATATAGGTATTGGGGTTTGGCTGGACAAGTCCTGACAACTCCCTAATTCAAACTCTAGGTTCCTTGAAAATAGGGGGCTAAACCCGGTCTTTCCAGTCATTCATAAAATGTCTATTTTGTCTTACTTGGTAGATATCATAAGGGATATAAAATGAACCATTCATGGCACCTGCTAGCAAGGAATAAATAATCTGAGGGATCAGAAGAGACTTCCTGGAGGAAGAAGAAAAGTTAGGGGAGAGGGAAGAAAGAGCATTCTAAGTAGATAGAACAGTGGGAACAAAGACCTAGCTGGGGGAAGGAGGGGATTGCAAAGATAATGGTGGTAGTTCCACTTGGTGGAAGAAGACGTGGTGCAAAACATAGCAGAAGGAAAGAAATTTGGGATGATAAGTACGGGGCATATGGCAGATGGCTCAAGAAATATAATCCTCAAAAAGCCTGACTAAAGATTTTGGACTTTATTTCATAGCCAATTGGAAGCCACTAAGGCTTTTGGACAACAGAGTAGCAGAATCAGATCTGTGCCTCAGAGGCAAAATCTGGCATAATAACAATCATCAATATTGTTCTTGCCATCATGACAGATCACATTTAGGATGCACTCACACGATGCCAGGCACTTTTCTAAACACTTAGACTGAGTGGGAAGGAGGGTCTAAGGGAGATCATTTGGAGGTGGAGGCAAAGTCTAAGAGGAGGAGGACAAACAAAGCCTGAGCTGTCTCAGTGGCAGTGGGACGCAGAAGAGGGCAGGACGGAGAGAAAGCAAAGAGGTGGGACCAAGAGGACTTGGCATCTGTGAAGCTGTGGGTACAGAGGGGTGAGAGGAGTCAGATAGCCTTAGCCAGGAGACTAGGAGGATGGAAGTCGCAACCAGGTCTAGGATATGTGATTCCTTGATTCACAGTCCTGGTAGATGAATCTAGAATCCAACCCCAAGGATATGGCCAAAATATCCCTTGTCACCCTGAGTTCAGGAAAACATTTGGGGAGGAACAGACCATGAAACAAGGGCAGCTGTCCCAGGAAGATTTATTCTCCCACACTGTGCCCTGCTCCTACCAACCTAGTACCTGCTGGTTGGAGTGAGAAGGAAAGGACCTGGAGAGAAGTGGCCTCTCTTTCTTTGACCCTAGTGTATTCTTGGTGGAGGTCTTCTGTCATGATATGCATCAGACTAGGGTCCCCATTTAGGGAGAATGCCCTGGTTCTAACCTGCCTTATTTCTCTGTCCTTAGGTATCACTGGGGTGGCCCCAAGCCCCTGAGGATTAGGGCCCTCAGATGGAAGGCAACAGCTGCCTGCTCTGATATTTCTCTCACTTCTTGTATCCCACACAAACCCTGTGCTCTGGTCAGAAGGGCTTCCCACACTCTGCCCTCAGCCTGGGATCTGTCTATCCTCACACCTCCCCATCCCGCAATCAGGAATGCCCTTATCCTGGGCTAATCCAAATCCTAGCCTAGCCTTCAAGGCTCAGCTCAAGTCCTCCTTCCTCTAAAATGTCTACAACAATCATGCCTACACTGAGCTATAGTTAAATTTCAGAGCAGCAAGGGCATCTACAGATCATTGGCCCAACCCTCAAAATTCTACCGAACAGAAAACTGGGGCCTGGAGAAGACAGAATAAGGGCTATGCCTAGAACCCAAGTCCATAGCATTCCCTTGATGAGCTTCCCATGAACTTTGTAGTTCTTTATTTCACCTGTCCATGTCACAGATTGTGAGACTGTCTGTGAGGACGATGACTTTTGTATCTCTTTATCCTCCACTGTGCTTAGCACAGAGCCCTGGGTCACAGGTGGCTCAGGAAATAGAATCCTTAATAGCCAAAGACTCAGGAAGGTAACAGGTCCTGAGGAAAAGCAGGATACAGGTGAAGAAAAAAAAAAAAAACCACCACCAAAAACCTCCTTCCAGCAATTCTTCTCTGTTCTGGGATGCAAGCCAAGCCTAGCCACCGGACTGGGGGTGAGAACAGAGATGATACATTCAAAGGAGACTTTTACATCCGAAAGAGATTTCTGCATCCAGTATCAGTGTTCTAGCCCGGAGCCTCTTGGGAGAGCAGCTTCCAGAGGCTGGCAGAAGGGGTCATGCTGAGGTCAGCCTCCAGCCTAGGGACACTGGTAATGGTGGTGGAAGCAGCTGAGAGAAGATTTTTCTTTCAAAGCTGAATCTTCAGATCTGGGGAACTAAAAGAACCCTCCAAGATCACCTAACCCAATTCCTAAATGTTTCAGATAGGGAACTTGAGGTCTTGGTAAGGAAAGAGACTTGATCAAAGTCACACAGTACATTAGGGTTACAGCCAGGACACAGTTCCATGTCTCTTGATCCCAACCCAGGGTTCTCTGCAGGACAACTTTTCTCATCTGGGTCCCACATGGACGTAGCCAGGAGAGCAGCTGGTAGGATTAAATGGCCACCAAGAATTTCTACACTGCTTTTTAAATTGTCAAAACTCAATTGCTGATAGACTTGTGATGCAGGTTTAGAGAAAATAATGGGTTTGACTAAGGCTCCAAGCTAAGAAGCCACTTGCTTGTCAGATCATATCAAGCACAGATTTATCTAGTTCAAAAACCCGTCGTTTCCCATTAGCTCATGCTTCCAGACATGCTGCATCTAGGCTCAGCGTGGAGGAAGAAAGACAGGACAGACAGACATTCTGAGAGGTTTGACAAAGAATTCCATCAGATATACACTTCCTGG
Source organism: Homo sapiens (assembly GCF_000001405.40). NCBI lineage: Eukaryota > Metazoa > Chordata > Mammalia > Primates > Hominidae > Homo > Homo sapiens. The sequence goes on from NC_000011.10 coordinate 17,811,640, forward strand.
CCAAGTCCCTCCTTTGCCCCAGGCACTGTGCTGGGCGCTCCGGAGGCGAAGAATACGATCCAGGAGTGGAGAGACTAAGTAGGTAACTTCCAGGGAGCTCCTAAATGAGCAGTTATAAAGATTGGAAGAGAAACAAATTCAGTCCTTCAAATTCTGAAAAGAATGAGGTTGAGGAACAGTAACAGACAGGGATGTTGTAACAGAACAGGCTGGCAGGGTCCACCACAGATGTACGTGCCACCAGCCAAAGTCATTTCTGTACTTGCAGAGCACAGCACAATGCCTGGCACATAAAAGACACTCAATGTAGAGTTGCTGAGTCAATGCATGGGTGAATGAAACTAGCATCCCAAAGGGAACTGAGGTGCAGTTCCAGTGCTTGCAGAGAAAAGGTCTGCCCACCAAATGTGGTCCTGCCCCCCTCCATCTGCAGAAGGGGCAGGAGGCAGCTGGTGGGTCCAGAAATGCTGACAGAGAAGGACAGAGCTTCCAGCCCCAACCCACTTCTCCATGGCAACGAGCTGACAGAAAACTGCACGGGAGACTGAGAAACCAGTTTTAAAATAAAGACACAAAACACTCTCAGTCTAAAATCACACATGCAAAGCAACAGCTCCTGCCTCTCAGCCCCTTAAGAGGGGTAGGCACAATCACTAAGAAAAGTACCTCCTTCCAACCTGCCCATTTCTCTGCCAGGGGCCCATGGGCCTCCCCTCCTGCTGTATACTCCTCTAAGAGCTGCCAGGCAGAATTCCTCTTGCTTTGCAGTATATGCTTCAGGGCATTGCATCAAATCTGACAAGCAATGGTAAAGCTCCACCAGGGTTAGATCTGGCAGGTTCTGCAGCAAACAGGCTGTCTGCTGCTGGCTTCATGTAGAATGGCAGTTCATAGCAGGGGTGGCTGTGGCACAGGGGCCAAGCAGGAAGAGTAGGGCAGGGATCACTTTTCTCCATTCTCCTCCTGTTCAATCCTGCTTCATCCTTCAGGGCTCAGCTGTGTTTGCCTTCATCTCTCCAGGATGACTTAATTGTACCTTTGACTGTAAACCCAAAGCCCTCTGTTTACATTTCAAATACAAAACTTACCAGTCTACTTTTCATTATACTGCTTACTTACTCTGCCCCCAGTAGAGAGCCTGGCATATGATAAAGCCTCAATAAATGTTTTCTGAATTGAATCAACAGCATGAGAAAACATGTTAATCTGAGTAGCTGGAGACCAACCTCCTTCTGGTTTATGGGAGTCCACTCAGACTATCATTTCCCTCCAAAGCCTCGGGTGCTTGGAGAGCGTGAAGGCAATGTCACCTCCTCTCCGACATCAGATCTGCTCACTACTTTTCTGCCAACAGGACTGTGTGCTCTTCCCTACTGTTCCATGGACATCACCGTATTCAGAAGGGTACCCTAAAACAAGCTAGACTAAGGATCCTGGATTCAGTCCCAGCCTTATCACTTCCATCTGTGTAAATTTAGGCAAGTCATTTAATCTCTTTGAACCTTAGTGGCCTTGCTTGAAAAACAGAAGTACCAATTTCCATACCAGTATCCTGTCTACCTCACGAAGCTGGTGTGAGGACCAGAGATGATGAATGGTAAAAGTGCTCTGAAAGCAGCCAAGTGGTGTCTGTGCAAAGATGAGGTGGAGTTTTGTTTCCAGAATCTTATAAAAAGGTAGCTGAGGCCTAAGCTCATGAGGTGACTTGCTCATGATCATGTGGGGAGACAGTGGCAAAGCAGGGTTCCAGTCTTCTAATTCTTGGTCCAGAGCTCTTTTCACAACCTTTTGCTACCTTAGAGATCCCATCTAAAACATTCTTCAACTTTGGCAAAAGCAATTCCACATTCCATTAAAATGAGAAGCATTTTGGATCACCTGCAGAGTATAAATCTCTGTCATGGAATGGAGTCCAGCTCTCTACTTCCAGGCAGAATGCCACCTGAAACATTCTAGGCAGGGAGTTAACTCTTACTCCCCCACAAAAATCTTTCCTTACAGTCTCTCAGTCACTGCTAACTAACCTGTGCCAGAAAGGTCATCCTGGTAGCTGAAATATTCTCACTGTGGCAGAGCCCACATCTTCTGATCAAACCTCAGAAACAAAAATAAGGAATGCAACACCGCAAACATTAGAGAAGCAGATTGAAAACAATGTGTACAGGATATGGAGGAAAACTCGTTATCTGTATATCTGTGCCTGGAGCACAGGTTCAATGGAAAACCACTAAAGCTATCCCAGGGCTTGACTCAGGAAGTGGGGACACTGCTTCCCTGAGATGTAAACTCAGCAGAAGCAGATCTGAGAGAGACAGAAGGGACACACAGACCCCACTGCTTAGGTTCTAACAGCTTGTGGGCCTACATGCCAGAGACAGCATTAAGTGAAACCTCTTCAAACCTCAGCAATGACTTTAAAAAGGAGGGAGGAAGGGAAGTTGGAAGGAAATGTCTTTGTTGAGAACTCTAACCCTTACATGGTATGATGGTTAATTTTGTGTCAATTATGGAAACCAGTTGTTTGATCAAACACTAGTGTAGATGTTTCTGTAAAGGTATTTTTTAGATGTGACTAACATATTACAGTGAATTGATTTTAAGTAAAGCAGATTACCTTCCATAATGTGGGTGGGCCTCATCCAGTTAAAGGCTCTAAAAGCAAAGACTGAGGTTTATTGGAGAAGTAATTCTATCTCCAGACTGCAACAGAGAAATTTTGCCTGAGTTTCCAGCCTTTGGACTCAATTCTTACCTGAATCTCTACTATGGATTTTAGACTTACTAGCCCCCACTACTGTGTGAGCCAATTCCTTCAAATCAATGGCACTCTCTCTTTATCTTTCTCCCTCTCTTTCTCTGAGATGGAGGTAGAGGTAGAGATTTAACTTATTGGGTCTGCTTCTCTGGGGAACCCTGATGAATACACATGGGATGGGATGCTTTCATCTAATTTACCTAATTTCATCCTCCAAATGACCCTTGGAGGTAGGTTTTGCTATTTTGATGCTTGTTTGCACATGAGGAAACCAAAGCTTGCTAACTATGATTCCAAAGCCCATGTATCACCCTAGGTCTGTGAGGAAGTGGAATTTCTCTTAAGAACTCTGGGACAGAATTCCTGGCCAAAGCAAATAATGTTGCTGATTCCTCTGAGTTCTCCTTCTCCTTGGGGATGCAGTTAACACCAAAGGGAACTAGGAGTATGAACAATTTTGCTCATTCAAGCAGGATGACCTGCTTTTACAAAACATAGTCTTCAGGATGGCTAGGTGCGCTCAGGCCTATAATCCTAGTGCTTTGGGAGGCTGAGGTGGGAGGATCGCTTGAGCCCAGGAGTTTGAGACCAGCCTGGACTACGCAGCAAGACCTTGTCTCTACAAAGATAAAAAATTAAAAAATTAGCCAGGTGTGGTGGCATGAGCCTGTAGTTCTAGCTACTTGGGAAGCTGAGGCAGTAGGATCCTTTGAGCCCAAGAGTGCAAGGCTGCAGTGAGCTACCATCGGGCCACCACAGTCCAGCCTGGGTGACAGAATGAGATCCATCTCTTAAGAAAACAAAAAACAAAAATTACAGTCTTTAGGTTATGATCTACATTCTTACCTGGGATCTGTTTCTGGATTTAGGGTTTTGATCTATATAAATACTTCGGGGTTTCATCACTTTTAAAAACTGACCTGGCCGGGCATGGTGGCTCACGCCTGTAATCCTAGCACTTTCGGAGGCCGAGGCAGGCAGATCACCTGAGGTCAGGAGTTCCAGACCAGCCTGGTAAACATCGTGAAACCCCATCTCTACTAAAAAAAAAAAAAAAAAAAAATACAAAGATTAGCCGGGCGTGGTGGCACATGCCTGTAGTCCCAGCTACTCCAGAGGCTGAGGCAGAAGAATCGCTTGAACTCAGGAGGCGGAAGTTGCAGTGAGCCAAGATTGTGCCACTGCACTCCAGCCTGGGTGACAGAGCGAGACTCCATCTCAAAACAAAACAAAACAAAACAAAAACCGGCCGGGCTTGGTAGCTCACACCTGTAATCCCAGCACTTTGGGAGGCCGAGGTGGGTGGATCACGAGGTCAAGAGATCGAGACCATCCTGGCCAACATGGTGAAACCTCGTCCCTACTAAAAATACAAAAATTAGCTGGGCGTGGTGGCAGGTGCCTGTAGTCTCAGCTACTCGGGAGGCTGAGGCAGGAGAATCGCTTGAACCCAGGAGGCAGAGGTTGCAGTGATCCCAGATTGCGCCACTGCACTCCAGCCTGGCGACAGTGAGACTCCATCTCAAATAACAACAACAAACAAACAAACAAAAAACACTGACCCTCAAATACTAAGGGGAAGATAATGTTTTTGCTAGTTAATGAGTGGTCTTCCTCCTGAAGGCAAATCCAGGCTATAGATTGTTTCCATTGGGCTACTGTTGGAAAGTGGGAAGACTGCACTCTGCTTGAATAATGAGCCCTAAAAGGGGCTGTGCTCAGGTAGAGCAAATGAACAAGCAGCCCTCATTCTGCCTCTTCCAGCTCCCCTTTCCTGATCCAGAAGTCTCTCAGCACCATGGTGTCTCCTGAGAAAGGGGGAGTATTGTTTTTCTGAATAATAACTCTAGTCTAAGGATGGATGAAACCCTCTTTCCTCAGTTCCCATTAGTGCAGCTGAGACAGGGCGGTATTTGCAAGAGGAAGTTTACTAAATGCTAGGGGGAATGAAAAGGAAATAATCACAGGAATCCAAACATATCTATAAGCAAGCAGGGCTGCCAAGATGAGGTTTGTGACTCTTTAATAACTCTTCTCTCTCCAAAGGGCTGGAACATAACATCTGCAGCAGCTTTTGCTAAGCTTCCTGCCATTTGAACTTTCAGCAGTTTCCACTTGGTCACTATCTTGCTTATTGCCTCAAAGGCATGGCCTCCCAGAACAGTACTCCCCAACGTGTTTAAGGTCACATAAAAAATACTGAAGTTTGGCACATAGGTAAATGGAAAGGTAAGCGTGCAGTCTGACACCACTTGCTCCTGCTAGCTCAGTCCTGGCCAGCCACCCCAAAGTGCTGAGGCGATCCTTGTCTTGGTATCCTGGTTGGGAAATCTGTCCTGCAGAGTCTTGTCTCTTGTGGCCTGAGACAAGATCCAGAATCAGCTCTGGCTCTGGCCTGAGCCAACCCCCTTCATTTCTGGGTTCTGGTCTGAGAGTGCTGCTTCCTCTTCAGGTAATGGGGCTGGAATGTGGTGACAGACAAATGACTTCACCTTCAGATCAGATCTCAACCCTCTCCATAGGGAAGCAGCCTTATATGTGATATACCAAATGGTCCTTCAAGGACATGGAAGAGTGCTACTTGCCCTAGAAGCCTGTCCAGACAGGCACATTGTCTCTGTATCTGCCTAAAGACCAGAGATCTCTCCTCTCCTCTGCTGCTGGTGTTGCTCTGTCAAAAAGAGTTGCCTGCATGTTTACACAGCTGCTAGGGTCTATGAGAGGAAAAAGCTCATGATAATAATAACAATAACTAACATTTACTGAGAACTTACAATGTATTACTATTAGATACTATTACTCTAAGCACTTTCCATGTATTTTTTTTTTTTTTTTTGAGATGGAGTCTCGCTCTGTCGCCCAGGCTGGAGAATGCAGTGGCGCGATCTTGGCTCACTGCAAGTTCCGCCTCCCGGGTTCATGCCATTCTCCTGCCTCAGCCTCCCAAATAGCTGAGATTACAGGCACCCACCACCATGCCTGGCTAATTTTTTTTGTATTTTTAGTAGAGACGGGGTTTCACCATGTTAGCCAGGATGGTGTCGATCCCCTGACCTCGTGATCTGCCTGCCTCAGCCTCCCAAAGTGCTGGGATTACAGGCATGAGCCACCACGCCTGGCCTCCATGTATTAACTCATTAATATTCACCACAACTCTTTGAATTAGGATCTATCATTACACCCATTTTACAGACAAGAATGCCAAGACACACAAAGATTAAATTATTTGATCAATATAACAAAGCTAGTAAGTGGTAGAGCTGGGATTCAAACCCAGACAGCCTGGCTCTGTATCATTTAATCCAAATAACAACTCTGCAAGGTTAGTGTTATTAATGCTGGTTTGGTTGAGGAAACTGAGGTTTGAGCACTCTGCTAAGATCACATAGCTAATAAGGGGCAATTTAAGTATTCAACCCAAAGGCTGCACCCTTTCTCAAGCTCTCCTTGGTAAGGATGATGTTATAACCACTCCAACCTAAACTCAGGGAGGCCAGTTGACTTCATTTGTCCTCTGGGTTGAAAGGCCACAGAACCAGAAATGGATGCCCTCAGCCATCAGGAAGGCTCTTCCAGCAGGTGACTTTGGATGAGCGAGGTTTCCAAACCACTCTATGCATATCCCATCTTTCCCTAAGACGGACAGACTTGAGGATTGGGAGAGCCAGCCTGCTATGACCACGTGTACACTTCTTTGTTAGAGTTCATGGACACTATACAGTTACGGTTTTCTGGGTGTCCGCTCTGCCCCAGGCATAAGTGAACTTACTTGTAATCAGGATTGAGTGAGACACGGGAAACAGCATCTCCCAGTGGAAAGGGCAAAGGCTCAGAGGAACTCAGACCTCTGAGCCACACTACCTGGGGGGATTTAGGCAAGTTTCTTAATCTCTAAGAGTTTCAATTTGCTTGTCTGTAAAACAAGAAAACAAGCAAATATATTTTCCTTTTTAGGGTGATTATAAGAAAAAAATGAAGTAGGAAATTTTACAGAAAATATCTACTAAGTACCTACAGTGTGCCGGGCTCCATACATATGTACCTTATTTATATTCCACAAAAATCCCATGAGATAGATACATTATTATATCCATCACACAGATAAGAAAATTGAGGAACTGAGAGACTGAGTAATTGGATCACTTAGCTGTTAAGGAGTACAGCTAGGATTTAGGCCCAGGGTATATACTGCCTGAGACTTTGTGCTTTAGTGCTCTGCTGTGAGTCCCACTCTGCTCCTCCACAACTGCCTCCTTTTCACAGGTCTCTCCAGCTCTACTCTCCAAGCTGCAAAGGCAATGATCTTTCTAAAAGGTCAAACACTATTACTCCTCTATCTAAACTCCGCCCCTGATTTCCCCTGCCTAAGGTGATCTTAAACTCTATAGCATGGCATTCAAGGCCTGGTCCTGACCCTGCTCCTAGCTCCTTTTCTGGCCTGTCTCCCACTCCACCTCCCACCAAAACTGAAGTCCTTGCCACCTAGACTTTGAACCTGCTGTTCCCTATACTTGCAAGGCCCTCTCTCCAAAGGAGGGAAACTCCTACTCATCTTTGAAAGCCTAGCCTAAGTATCACCTCCTCCTTCCCAGATTTCTTCAGGCAGCTGTCTAGCTTTCCTCTATGCTTCTGCAATAGCTCTGTAATAACACTATTCACCCATAATCTTATTTGTCAGTTTATATCTCTATCTTCCATGGTACGCCAGTGGTTGCCAACATATTTGAGTCTGAAGACTCCTTTTTAATATCAAAGAATTTCAGGATCTTCATATACACCAATCAAAGCAATACTTAATAACCAAGAGTCACCATTAATTCAGTAAAGCCTATAAATGCAACTGTATTTTAGTCAACACCATGCCATCTACAATATTTGAAAACAATGGTGCATGTAGGTGTATGTGTTATAGACTCTGAGGACTCCAAGGCTGCAGAACCTCCAGTTTGGAAACAATTGCTCTGCTCAGCAAGAGAGTTTTTTGATTAAATGAAAGTAACATTCATTGACCCTATTATATTCCAGGGGTGTGCCACTCACTTTTCATTTTTATCTCCTTCAAAGCTCAAAAAAATCTGTATTCTTCAGATAACAAAACAGAGGCTTGGAAAGCTAAAGTGCCTCATCTGAGGTCACACGGTGAATGAGAGGCAGAGCAGGGATTTGGTTCTTGATCTTTTTCTACTCTGCCACTCTGCCTCCGGTGCAGGACCAAAACATGTTCATCTCTGAATTTCCAGTGCTCACTCATGGCAATGCTCAGGAGGAATGAATAATACAAACCCAGAGAGTCCTTCTCTACACATCTCAGGCCCTCCAGCTTATATCCACCCCAGTCAGAGACCTTCCCAGTTGTAGGCAAGCATAGGAGCCCCTCACACATCAAAGAACCAGAGGTGCTGGGCAAAACTCTACGATGGTAAAGCATGGCCCACTTTTGCTTTTTTGTTGTTGTTGTTGTTGAGATAGGGTCTCACTCTATTGCCCAGGCTGGAGTGCAGTGGCACTATCAAAGCTCAATGCAGCCTCAACCTCCCAGGCTCAAGCGATCCTCCCCGACAGCCTCCAGGGGAGCTGGGACTAAAAGTGCACACCACCACACTTGGCTAATTAAAAAAAAATTTTTTTTTGTAGAGGCGGGGTTTCACTATGTTGTCCTGGCTGCTCTCGAGCTCCTGGGCTCAAATGATCCTCCTGCCTCAGCCTCCCAAAGTGCTGGGATTATAGGCATGAGCCACTGCACCTGGCCCTACTTTTCCTTTAAGTGCTATTTCCCTCATTTGGTGGGTATTCCTGCCCTTGTCCTGAACTCCAAGCCCCTTCTCTTCATTGTCACCCCCATCCCCACTGCCCTCCCTCCCCCAAACTTCCTGCCCATATCCACTGCAGCCTGCTCTCGATCCTCTAACAGTTCTCTCAAACTAGCTCCCACTAAGGTCATACTGCCTGGTAATAGCTAGGTGTGGCTCCCTGCAACCCCCTCAACTGGACACTTGTGTATTAAGCCAAAGGACAGACTTCTAAACAATTCTGGTCAGTGTGCCATGGGAGGAAGAGAATGGGCTTCAAAGTCGGACAAAGCCAGGTTGCAATCACTGGTTCTGCTACTTCCTTTTTGAATTACCTTGGGCAAATCACTTAATTTCTCTGAGTCTCAGTGTCTTCATCTGAAAAATGAGGATGATAAAACCTACCTCATAAGGTGAATATACAAAGACCTTACAATCTTGGACTGTATAGTGGGTTGAACAATGGTCCTCCAAAAGATGTTAGTCAATGCCTTAACCCCCAGAACTTGTGAATGTGACCTTTTATGGAAAAAGGGTCTTTGCACATATAATTAAGTTAAGGATTTTGAAATAAGAAGCTTGTCCTAGATTATCTGAGTGAGCCTAAATGTCATCACAAGAGAAAAGCAGAGGGAAATCTGACACACAGACAAAAGAGGAGGAGGCAGTGTGACCATGGAGGCAGGGACTGGAGTGATGTGGCCACAAGTCAAGGAATGGCAGCAGCCACCAGAAGCTGGAAGGGTCAAAGAACAGATTCTCCCCTAGAGCCCACAGACTCTCTGCAGATGTAACCAAGTTAAAGACCTTGGAATGAGTGCAATCTCTCTTCTTTATAAGAGAAAGAAGAAAAGATGCATCACACAGAGAAGGCCACGTGAAGACAGAGGCAGGGTCAGGGTTTTTGCAGCCACAAGCCAAGGAATGCCTGGAAACACCAGAAGATGGAAGAGTCAAGAGAACTGTCTCTCCTAGAGCCTCCAGAGGGAGCATGGCCCTGCTGACACCTTGATTTTGGACATCTGGCCTCCAGAAGTGAGAGCATAAATATGAGAGAATAAATTCCTATCATAAACCACACAGATTGTGGTACTTTATTATGGGAGACTAATAATTTTTAGGTTACGAATACTAATAATTATTCATATTATTATGCTAATACACACTGCCTATCTCCTTAACTTATCATGTATCACCCCTCATCTCCCTCATACAAACTACGTTACAAGAATGCAAGCTTTGGGAGAATGGAACCTTATCTAACTTGGTCATTATCAAAACCCTAATGATTAGCATGGCACCAGGTAGACGGTAGGTGCTCCATACATTTTTTTAAATAAATGAATTAATTGCAGTTCCTCAAACATAATATGCTATGTCATGCCTCCATGTCTTTGCATATGCTATTCCCTCTGCCTAGAATGCCCTCCTCATTCCCTTACAAACACCTATAAAATTATCCTTCAAAACTCTACTGAGATATCACCTCTTCTCTGCATGCCTTTCCTTATCACATAGATTAATCTCTCTATATTAATTCCGTGCCAAGTACATTGCTGTAATACAGCAGTTCTTACATTGCACTCTAATCATGTGTATATGTGTCCATCTCACTCAAAAGAGAAGAGCTTCTCAGAGGGCAAGAGAGTAATGTGATTTACTGCTTCTAAGTCCTCAGCATCCACAACATAGGACACAGCTACATACACGTAGAGCTTCCCCCTCCTTCCACATATTTCAGCACTGAAAGGGCAATTCTCCCCAAAAAAGGGGTAAATCTTACCAGCCTGAGGCCCAGAAATAAGCCTACAGGATCCAAAGAGTCCATGAGCCCCTTCTAGACCTATTTCCAAACTCCCTCTAAACAGAAGCCATAGACAGAACCTTATGACTGCAGAATCCTGGGAATGGTATTGTTTAATTAAACAGAGACTCAAGTCACCAGCATCTGGCTCAGGCTGGGCCTCTGGGACTTGAGCAAGCAACATTTCATCATTAGGAGGAAAGGAGATGACAAACTCTTTCCTGAAAGAACCCAGCAGGCAGGCAGCAGAATTACTGGATGTGGATAAATAAAACCATTATTTCCAAATACATATCCCAGGCAGCACTAAATGCATTCTCCGTATCACAGGCGATACTAAATTTAGAACTGGCAGTTTGAGTCATATGCTGATTCCTAAAGAGAAAAACTAAATTCAAGGGGGAAAAATGAAGTGAAATATGAAAATAAAAATGCAATCTTAGTCTATAAGAGCAAGCTATCAAGAGAGGTGAAGGGGAAGTTACCCACACAGAAATTCTGGCTGAAAAAGAACTCCAAATGGGGACAGGGCAGGGTTTTGCTAGGTACCAGCAACTGCAGCCTTTGGGGAAACCTCTGGAGCGGCTCCCTGTGTGGAGTTTCAGAGAGGCAGGAGTGGAATCTGCATTTGAACAATAACGTGTGAAGCACCCAAAGCCATCCCAAGGGCCAAGGCTCACTGATTCCAAAGTGCCATCAGGCACACTGTCTCACTGAAGTTTTTTTCCTATCCTGCAGTGAAGGTACGTCACCCCCATTTTACATCGAAGAACCGAGCCTAGAGGGGTCAAGTGACTTGCCCAAGTCATACCATCAGTGAGGAGGAGCACAGAGATTTCATTTAATAAACTCTTAATTTTAGAATAGCTTTAGGTTTACAGAAAAGTTTTAAAGATAGTACTAAGTTCCCAAATATCCCTCCCCCAGTTTCCCCCATTGTCAACATCTTATATTACTGTGGTACATCTGTTACAACTAAGGGACCAGCACTGGTACATTACTATTAGCCAAACGTCATATTGTATTTAGATTTTGCTAGTTTCTCCCTAATGTCCTTTCTCTGCTCCAGGATACCGTATTACATTTAGCCATCATGTCTCCTTAGTCTCCTCTGGTCTGCTACGGTTTCTCCAACTTTGTTTTTGATGATCTTGACAGTTTTGAGTACTAGCAGGTATTTTGTAGGATGTCCCTCAATTGAGTTTTTCTGATGTTTTACTCATAGTTAGACTGGGATTATGGGCTTGGAGGAGGAAGACCACAGAGGTGAAGTGTCCTTATCATCACACTATATAAAAGTTATATACTATCAACATGATTTATCACTGATGATGTTAACCTTGGTCACCTGGGCAAGGTAGTGTTTGCCAGGTTTCTCCACTGTAAGGCTATTCCTCACTCATCCCCCTCCCCCAACCCCTTTCCATGCTCTACTCTTTGAAAGCAAGTTAGGTGCTCCCAGGAGGAACAGTTTGGATGGAGCCTGAAAGAATAATAAGATATTAAAGTGTCAAAGGACATCCCAAGTAGAGGGAACTGCAATGTAGGTAAGTGCAGGCATATCTGGGGAACAGGGCTGGGGGCAAGGTATTGGCAAACGGGGGAAGAGAAGGCGGGGAGGGTGGCTAGGCCCAAACTGAGTAGTGCCCTACAGTCAAGCACGGGGCTTGGACTAATCTGTAGGTGAGAGCCATCTCCTCTCATCACCTTGCTTAGGGCACTCAGGGTACTGCTCAGGTGCTGAGAAGTGGGACTGTTTTATGAGTGAGATGCTGACTTCCAGCTTCCTTTATTCCCCACAATTCTCCTGCTCTTTGAGGCATAGATTGCTGGTTACCTACTTATTATCCATTCTCCTCTTCTTTCCTGGTAACAGACTTCAAATTTTATTCAGGATAAACATATGCCCAGCTAAAAGTCTCACTTCCCAGCCCTCATGACAGGTTTGGCTATGTAACTAGGCTCTGGCCAGTTTTTAGTTGACATTGCTTGGTACCACTTCAGGGAAAGTGCCTTAAAAGGGCCTCTTTTTGGCCGGGCGCGGTGGCTCATGCCTGTAATCCCAGCACTTTGGGAGGCCGAGGCGGGCGGATCACGACATCAGGAGATTGAGACCATCCTGGCTAACACGGTGAAACCCCGTCTCTACTAAAAATACAAAAAATTAGCCGGGCGTGGTGGCGGGCGCCTGTAGTCCTAGCTACTCAGGAGGCTGAGGCAGGAGAATGGCGTGAACCCAGGAGGCGGAGCTTGCAGTGAGCCAAGATCGCACCACTGCACTCCAGCCTGGGTGACAGAGCGAGACACCGTCTCAAAAAAAAAAAAAAGGCCTCTCTTTGTCCTTTCTCCCTTCTATCTGGCTGAATATTGCTAGCAGCCATCTTGGACCTTGAGAAAATCTTGAAGACAAAGGCCTATGTTAAGGATAGTGAAACAGAGAGATAGAAATAATTAGGGCCCTTGATATCTGTAGAACTATTATAGCAATCTTGTGGGGGGATATCATCAGACCTGTCATGCGTGAATGTATTAGTCTGCTTGGGCTGCCATAACAAAAAATACCACAGACTGGGTAGCTGAAACAACAGAAATTAATTTTCTCACAGTTCTAGAAGCTAGACGTCTACAATCAAGGTGCCATCAGAGTTGGTTTCTAGCAAGTCTCTCCCTGGCCTGCAGATGGCTGCCTTCTTGCTGTGTCCTCACATGGCCTTTCCTCTGCATGTAAAGGGAGAGCAATTCCTAGTGTCTCTTCTGCATCTCATAATGATATGTCATATTAGATTAGGGCTCCATCCTTAAGACCTCACTTAACCTTCATTACCTCCTTAAATACCTTATCTCCAAATACAGTCACATTGGGGGTTAGGGATTTAATCTACGAATTTTGGGGAGAAACAATTCAGTCCATAACAGTGAGAGAAAATGCTTCTGTCTTGTCTAAGCCAATATTATTTCCGATGTCTAGCAATGTGCACACACTTTCTTAATGATAGACCTCCAAAATCCAAGGAACACCTTCTAAAGCTTCCACCTTGATGGCCTTGTTATCTGAAAGTCCAAAGGAAGGTACCAGAGATGGCATTCTTAAGTCATTTTGAATGCTGATTCATTAATCACTTTCATCCATTCAACTGACAAACATTTACTGAGCATCTACTATACGCCAGATACTGAGTTATGTGCTGGGGACACTAAAGTAAATGAAAATGGTCCTTGACCTCTAGGGGCTTATAGTTTTTATTGATTTACTTACTCTAAGCTCATCTCCTTTGAAAGGGTATTCCTATAATACAGTAAATAAAATACAAGCGGAAATTCAAAACCATGGAAAGGAGGCGTATCCAAATGCCAGCCCTAGGAGCTTATATACATGCCGAAATTGAGCATCCAGGTTGGCTTTAGCTTCCTAGCAACCATGAAAGAGCAAGAGAGCGTGACTTGGTTCTTGTTTTCTGAAAGGAAAATGAATCCCAATCACTCACAGAAGTCAAATGTAAGCATTTTCTTTTCTGAACAAACTCTACCTAGTGTTTGTGGGTGCCCTGAATGTCCTGGAAAGTACCATTTTCTGATCAAATCCTAGTCAACGTTCCTCTAAATTCTATGTGCAGTTCATTAGCTCTTAGATACTCATTGAATAAAGCCAGAGAGTTCCATGGTTTGCACACATGCTTTTGGTTTCCTACTTTAGAGCTTATGGAAGACTGTGAGAGATCACTTCACTCACAGAGAGAATGGGGACTGGTAAATACAGAAAGCTCTGAAGCTTGGACATTAGGTGTATGATTTTAAGAATAAGAAACAGCAAGATGGTATGACCCTAGAAAAGGGCCAGGGTATACAGAAAGATGAAACATCAAGATGAAGTCAGTACACCTCACTCACAGGGTTCCTTTCTTGGTGTATCACAACAGGCAGCATCTTATAAGAGAAAGAGTATGGGTTTGAATCCCAGCTCTGCTACTCTATAACTTACTAGCTCTGTAATTTTGGGGGCTTTAGCAGCCCAGAGACTCAGTTTCCTCAGATAAGATGAAAATGGTGTCTACCTATCATGGGAATTAACTACCAAAACATATATGTAATCTCTGCCATAGTGCAATTATGGTAACAAAAGCCTACATATAAGGGCCTGATCTGTGCCAAGCACTGTATTATACACTTGACATGAATTATATCATTTAATCTTCACCATAAGGTAGATGCTATTCAAGAATTCGAAAACTGTTGGTTTCTCCCCAAAGCTATGCCAAGCCATATCCTTTGATATTTCTGAAAGGAATGTATCAGTGCTTAGAAGCCTCTTTGCCAGATCCACTCCATGCAAAGCAGCTATATTGACACTAATTTTGTAACCATCTGCAATCCCAAAAGTTTGCCGCAACTGGTATAGACTTTTAATTCTCGGGCTCCCCAGTGGGAGTTTGAAGAACTCAAACCCTTCCAAGAGGCTCTTTTTAACCTCCATTTGCAATGGGAAGAAAGACACTGAGGAATTTGGAGCATGCTATTCAAAATAGAGTGCCCAGGCTGCACGGATGGGGAGTGGGAGTTACTGTTTAATAGGTACAACATTTCAGTATGGGAGAATAAAAATGTTCTGGAGATGGATGGTAATAATGGTTTCACAACAATGTGAATGTATTTAATGCCACTAGACTGCATGCTTAAAATGGTTAAAATAATAAATTTATGTCATATATATTTTACAATAAAAGTAACAATAGTAATAATAATAACAAATAAAGTAACCAGGGCTGTGAGGAATCTAAACATCATATATGATAGAGAATATGTGAAAGAATTTAAGTGTTCTGAAGGAAAAAGTTTGAAAGCTCTGGTTTACAGGACAATGGTACTTACTACTTATGAAGCATATCATATATGTCAGGACTTTACCTAGATTATCTTTATTCTCCAGCAGGGCCCTGCAAGGCATTCCTTGCTTATAAGGATCACACAGCTAGAAAGTGGTGAAGATGGGATTTGAATTCAGCCAGTGTTCTTTCTTCTATACCACGCCGCCTCTCGTTCAAATATTAAATAGATGCCTGGATTTTAAAATGCCGAAAATTTATCTCAAGCCTGAGATTTTATTATTCTGAATTGGGATGTAGGGGGTAGAAAGGTCAGATATCCATCTTCTTGAAGGCTCCCTGTACTGCCAGGGCATGTAGGTAAACCTCTCAGCCTATTGAATCCTGCCCTCTAGGGGCAACCATTATGATAAGAGGAAACTGGAGGGTCCTTGAGATCAGAACCAGAGGCAAAACCAGGTTGATGCTGCCAGGGGACTGCATCAGGGCCGCTGGATCATAATCAGCTCCTATGGCTGGGGAGGGAGCCATCAGCCAACAGAGAACACAAAGTAAGCTCCAAATACAGAAAGAGCTACTAAAAGCATTTCTCCCCACAGTGTAGTCACCATATCCCAGAAGAGAAATTTTGAAGAGGAAGAGAAAGACAATGACACAGGAATAATTAGAGTTCGGTGAGAAGGCTCTGAAATCTGCAGTGTATGTTCAAATCCTAGCCTATTGTTCTGTTGGTAAGACTTGTAACAGTTCTGGAGCTGCAGCACAATCTCCTACTTGCCTTGGGTGCCCTCAGAAATCCCTCGGCATCACCTCCTACTCTTCAGTTACCTCTCGCCGCATCACTGAATCTTGCCCTCCAGAAAAACAGATTTGGGAAATGATCCTCAGGTCTAACTCAGTATCACGAACTTCCAGATAACAAAGGTATTAGGCCAGAGTGAAAGGATGAGTGGCAAGGAAATGGGTTTTCTGCAATGCTGGCTATTGATCAGAGACTCCTAGACACTGAATCTGTATTTTTCCCCACTGGATAAAGATGTAGACTTGCTGACCATTAGTTTGCTTCAAAAAGTGGAAGAGCTTTTTGTATAAGAAATGTTTGTGAACATTCTCTTAAAGGAAAACATAGCAGCACTAAGTTCTTCAAGAATGATGAGACAAGCCTTGAGTGAAAAAGGCCTGTGATGCAGCAAGAAGGGGCTGATTCCTGGATGCAACAGAACTCTATTCTGCATGGATGGTGTTACCTGCAGCTGCAAGTTCCACTAGGGAGCTAGGGGCTAGTGAAGGCGGAGTTGAGATACCCCGTATCTACTGTGTGCTGCCTGGACTCCTCACTCTCAAAACGTGTCTGTATCCTTGAGTGAGTAAGTCGGGAAGTTGATGTAATCTTACATGCGTGTGTGTTACAGGTATGAGTGTGTGTTTGTGGCCTCTTTCTACCAATCCACAGATTCTCACTGCATTTCCTCCAGCTTCCTTCAAGAATTTTCTCTTTAAGCTTGTAAGCCGGTACGCATTCATGTGAGCTCCACAGATGGCCTGCACCGGCAGCAGGAGTCTTTCCGAGAAGAGCCTTGGAATAGTGAGCAGAGCTGTGGCTGACCAGCCCTGCCGTGTGGATCCAGCTGGAGTCAGCTGGGCTCTACTCCACACAGCGCACGGCTGTCGCCTGCTCACTTCAAGTGGAGGATCTGGCACTTATTTTAGGTCCTTATAAATAATACATTTTGTCATCTTGATTCTTCAAGGCCTTCTTTTAAGCTATTTTTTCCTCTTTGGGAAAACCGCTTTTACTCTACAAGACAGAGTTGTTCATAAATCAAGAGGAGTTCCTGGTGGCCAAAGCCTAAGTTCCTGACTCCAGAAGAAGTGGGCAGCCACCCAACCTGATTAGTCAAAGCCTCATACCAGAAGAGAATCTTATTTTAAGGATGAAAAGAAATGTCCAACATCTGATTCCTTCACCTCCAACCCAGAAAGTCCTAGTGCCTGAGCTTTAAATACGACATTCAACCCCTGCTTCCCCGAGAGTCCCTACAGGCTCATCAAGGTCAGGAAAATACTGAGGGTTCTTACCATCCGTAAAATGGGAACAAGGCTTCCTGTGTATAATTGTCCAAGTGTCTGGCATAAAGTCAGGGTTCAGCCTGTGAGCTCCCCGTTAACTCTTCTAGTCCCTTGCAACTCCCAAGAAGATACATTTATACTTTGAAAAATTGTTACTTTCTTCCTTCTTCACAACCATGAATCAATCACAGAGGAAGTGTTTTCCAGTTAATATGGCACAAAGAAACCTAGTAGGACAGTGACAAAGTGCTGAACTGGAATCAGATAGACCAGGGCTTGAGGCCTGGCTCTGCTACTTGTTACGTGACCTTGGGTAAGTTCCCTAATCTCTCCAGACTTCAATGTCCTAATCAATAAATCGGACAAACCACTAACTTTATAGTCTCTTGCAAACTTTATTGTGCATAAAAATTACCAGGGAATACTGCTAAAGTGCAGATTCCGATTCAGCAGGTCTTAGGTAGTACCTGAGGTTCTCCATTTCTAATTAGCGTCTCCCTCCCTGCCTCTGGTTTGTGGACCACCTTTTGACCAGAAAAGAAGAACATGAACAGTCAAGACATGTTGTAAGTTGTAAAGGGCTATGCCACTTTAAAGTCTGATTCATTAACCATTATCGTTTTACCTTAAAACACAAAGAAGACCATGAATTAACCCTTGATTCTTTATGGGTAAGCAAAATAGTGATTATTTATCTAGTAAAATAACAGGAGCTGGGGTAAACCAGTTGTCACCAATCCTCTCCCCACACCACCCAAAAAAAAATCCAACAACTACTAACCAACAAACTGCAACACTCCTCCTATCAGCTGTGAAAAAGTAAACCTACAAACAAAATCCCTAATAGAGCTTAAAACTATTTCAGATGAAAACTTTTAGGGGTGACAATGTAAACTACCCTGATCCTCAAAAAAGCATTGTTTTAAGACCAAGTGTTTATGACTAAACCTAAGTGTTGGTTTTGAGTATAAAAGCAGATTTGGGTAGGTTGAAAAAGAAAACAAAAAACACATAAACATTGAGTTCCTGAGATTAGTTTGATGGAGGAGGAGAGGAAATTGATGACAGAATTTAATGGAATGGAAGAAGGAAGCCAGTGACAAGGACTGTAAAAAGGGCTTTCCTCCTTCTTGGAACAATCCTATACTCCAAGGCCAACTCCTTGGTGACACCTTTCCTGACAGGCTCAGATAGAGGTGATTTCTGCTCTGGTTGCCAAAGCACTAATACCCACCTCTCTACCCATCCTGGGGCCAGTGCTTATCACACTGTATTGAACACTCACATTGATCTCCAATCCCTTAAGGTCAAGGACCACATCCTATTTATATTCTCAGCCTGGCATAGTGCCCTGGCACATATTAGGCACTCAGTGAATAATGCTGATTGAATGCATGAAGTAGGGGATGTTGAAGAAAAAGTTAATGACCTTTCTTCAGGGTTTGCCTTTCCTGGAGCTATTCATTCATATATTCACTCACTTGGTGTCTTAGTACATTTTGTGCTGCTATAACAGAATAGCACAGACTGGATAATTTATAAATAATAGACGTTTATTGGTTTATAGTTCTGGAGGCTGAGATGTCTAATATCAAAGTGCCAGCATCTGGTGAGGGCCTTCCTGATGCATCGTAACATGGTAGATGGCAAGAGAGTGAGAGAGAGGAAGAGAGAGGGAGAGAGAGAGGAAGAGAGGGAGAGAGATGGGGAGAGGGAGAGAGGTGGAGAGAGAGAGAGAGAGAGAGAGAGGGAAAGGGGGAGGGAGAGGGAGGGAGAGAGAGAGAGAGAGAGAGAGAGAGAGAGAGAGAGAGCACATGTACATGCAAGAGTAAGTCAGGATGAACCGACTCCCTCCATAACAGCATTAGTCCATTCATAAGGGCAGACCTAAACACCTCTTACACGTCCCACCTCTTAATGCTGTTATAATGACCAAGTTTTAACATGAATTTTGGAGGGGACAAACATTCAAACCGTATCACTTAGTAAGCATACATTTTCTAAGTGTGAGTACTCAGACCATTTACTGGTTTTCAGTGTATTTCAGTCTAAGAAATATTTCAAATTTTCTTTATCTCAAGACTGTAAACTTAATAATATGTGATAAGTAAATATGTATAAACTTTTAGCATCTTCCCAAAGTACTTTTCTATTTTCACGGTAAACTGAATATATAATTTTCCTATTTTAAAACAAGGAAACTGAGGTCCAGGAAAAAAAACTATCTAAGGCAGAATCAAACTTTAGGTAAATAAAAATCACTTGGTGCACTTGTCAAAACTACAAGTTCCTGTCACCTACCTCCAGAGATTCTGATTCAGCAGGATGAGATAGAGCCCAGAAACCCACATTTTAATATTCCCCAGGTGATTCTGATGCAAGTGGTCTACAGACCTGGGGCAAGACCCCTACACAATTAAAGTCCAGTCCAGCACTCTCCTTCAGGCTGGGTGCCTGGCCTATTCTGGAGGTCAGCACGGGTTGCAGGTTGTCTCAGGGCTTTGGTTTCAAACCTAGAGTCACAGGATGGGAGGCAAGTCACATGTATGGCACTTTCATGGGGCCTGGTGGCAAAGCCAAAACCAGGGACACACTCAGACAATGAGGGCAGTTCCAAGAGCCCATGAGTAAAATCATGAAGCCAGAATAGTAGCTGGCAAATGGATCCCATTTCTGAGGACTTAAGAGCTGGAAGGCCAGGTTCTGGAAAAGAATTAGGCCTTCTAGGGAAGAGGAACAACAACAACAATTGCAAAGAGGCTCATTTGGGGAAATACTGGAAGTGTTTGATGTATTTATCTTGGCTCTATACCCTTTCTTTTCCACTTTGAGATAGCCTACCAAATGGACAATTCAGTAAAGAACAATAACTGAAGACAGGGTAAGTTTCCCTCTTGTCTGTCTTCCACATCCAAGTCCTGCTGACTGGACCTCTATGTTCTCTCCCATCAGCCCCTTCTTCATCAGCCCACTTCCAAAGCCCTAATTAAAGACCTTGTGCATTACCTTTCATCTGAACTGTAAAAACATCTCAAGGCTCTCCCTGACTCTTGCCTCTCCTTCAAACTACCTCCCCTAGAAAGCCTCATTAATCTCCCCAGAGCATAGGTTTCATCACAGAGTGTAAAAAGTCCACTATATCTGAAGCTAGAAGATCTGGTTCTGGCCCCAGCTCCAGCACCATCATTAACTAGTTGTCTGACCTTGGGTTAGCAACTTCCCCTTTTGGGATTCTGTCATTATGTGTGAGATGGCGATATGGTTTGGCTGTGTCCCCATCCAACTCTCATCTTGAATTCCCATACGTTGTGGGAGGGACCTGGTGGGAGGTAACTGAATCATGGGGGCAAATCATTCTCGTGCTGTTGTCATGATAGTCAATAAGTCTCATGAGATCTGATGGTTTTAAAAAGAGGCATTCCCCTGCACAAGCTCTCTCATTTTTTGCCTGCAACCATGCACATAACATGTGAGTTGCTCATCCTTGCCTTCCGCCATGATTGTGAGGCCTCCCCAGCCACGTGGAACTGTAAGTCCAATTTAACCTCTTTCTTTGGTAAACTGCTCAGTTTCAGGTATGTGTTTATTAGCAGTGTGAAAATGGACTAATACAGTAAACTGGTACCAGTAGAGTGGGCTGCTGCTGAAGATACCCGAAAAAGTGGAAGTGACTTTGGAACTGGGTATCAGGCAGAGGTTGGAACAGTTTGGAGGGCTCAGAAGAAGACAGGAAAATGTGGGGAAAGTTTGGAACTCCCTAGAGACTTCTTGGAGACTTGCTGGATGGCTATGATCAAAATGCTGATAATGATATGGACATGAAATCCAGGCTGAGGTGGTCTCAGATGGAGATGAAGAATTTGTTGGGAACTGGAGCAAAAGTGACTCTTGTTATGTTTTAACAAAGAGATTGGCGGTATTTTGTCCCTGCCCTAGAGATTTGTGAAACTTTGGAAAGAGATGATTTAGGGTATCTGGCGGAAGAAATTTCTAAGCAGCAAACATTCAAGAGGTGACTTGGGTGTTGTTAAAATCATTCAGCTTTATAAGGGAAGCCAAGCACAAAAGTTTGGAAAACACCTGACATTTTCCAGCCTGACAATGCACTACAAAAGAAAATCTCATTTTCTGAGGAGAAATTCAAGCCAGCTGCAGAAATTTGCATAAGTAACGAGGAGCCAAATGTTAATCCCCAAGACAAGGGGGAAAAATGTCTCCAGGGCATGTCAGAGCAGCCCCTTCCATCATAGGCCAGAAGGTCTAGGAGGAAAATATTATTTTGTGGGCTGGGAGCAGGGTCCCTGTGCTGTGTGCAGCCTAGGGACTTGGTGCTCTTTGTCAGCACTGGCTGAAAGGGGCCAACGTAGAGCTTGGGCCGTGGCTTCAGAGGGTGCGAACCTCAAACCTTGGCAGCTTCCACATGGTGTTGAGCTTGCAAGTGCACAGAAGTCAAGAACTGGGGTTTGGGAACCTTCGTCTAGATTTCAGAAGTGTATAGAAAAGCCTGGATGCCCAGGCAGAAGTTTGCTGTAGGGGTGGGGTCCTCATAGAGCACCTCTGCTAGGGCAGTGCAGAAGGAAAATGTGGGGTGGGATTCCCCACACAGAGTCCCTACTGGGGCACTGCCTAGTAGAGCTGTGAGAAGACGGCCACCATCCTCCAGAACCCAGAATGGTGGATCCAATGACAGCTTGCACTGTGTGCTTGGAAAAGCTGCAGACACTCAACCCCAGCCCGTGAAAATAACCAAGAGGGAGGCGGTACCCTGCAAATCCACAGGGGTGGAGCTGCTCAGGACTATGGGAACCTACCTCTTGCATCAAGTGACCTGGATGTGAGACACAGTGTCAAAGGAGATCATTTTGGAGCTTTAAGATTTGACTGCCCCGCTGGATTCTGGACTTGCATGGGGCCTGTAGCCCTTTGTTTTGGCCAATTTCTCCCATTTGGAATGACTGTATTTACCCAATGCCTGTAACCCCATGGTATCCAGGAAGTAACTAATTTGCTTTAGATTTTACAGACTCATAGGCAGAAGGGACTTGCCTGGTCTCGGATGAGACTCTGGACTGTGGACTTCTGAGTTAATGCTAAAATGAGTTAAGACTTTGGGGGACTGTTGGGAAGGCATGATTGGTTTTGAAATGTGAGGACACATGAGATTTGGGAGGGGCCAGGGTGAAATGATATGGTTTAGCTCCGTGTCCCCATCCAAATCTCATCTTGAATTCCCACGTGTTGTGACAAGGACCTGGTGGGAGGTAATTGAATCAGGGGGGCAAGTCTTTCCCATGCTGTTCTCATGATAGTGAATAAGTCCCATAAGATCTGATGGTTTTAAAAAGAGGTGTTCCCCTGCACAAGCTCTCTCATTTTTTTGCCTGTCTACCACCCACGTAAGATGTGAGGTGCTCCTCCTTGCCTTCCATCATGATTGTGAGGCTTCCTCAGTCACATGAAACTGTTAAGTCCAACTAAACCTCCTTCTTGTGTAAATTGCTCAGTCTCGGGTATATCTTTATCAGCAGCATGAAAACGTACTAATACAGATGGAGGCTGAACTAGGTTATATCCAAAATCCTTTCCAACTCTAGGATTTTTCCAACTCACACCTGCTTAAAAACTTATTAAACTTATTAAGTTTTTAAGCAGGCATCTTTTTGCCCATAGAATTAAATATATAAATGCTTTACCCTGGAACATCTGAGGAGGAGGCCCTCTGTGATGATCTGATCCTAACCTTTTCTAAGCCTGTTCCCCTTAGCCAAACTGAAGTATTCCTACTTTCCTAAACAAGCCTGAAGTTTTTTGCTTCCTCAATACTTTGGTCATTATTTTATTTTAGAAATCCTACTACACCTATTTCAATGTGTACTATTCCTACCTTTTTGAGGTCCAAATCACATGGATCTCTTTTACGTTTTTCTCTTTGTGCCCATAGGCTAAAATCAAACTTTTTCTGCTCTGATCCCTCTAGTACTTCTCTCAGCTGGTATTTCGGTTCCCCTCGGCCTGGTTCACACATCTTTTGTCAGCTCCTTGAGAGCATAGCCTGTGTGTGTCTCCTACCCACTTAGCACAGGGCCTTGCACAGAGAATCACTTAACAAATAATTGTTGGATAAATGTTGGGAAAGTGGATGATCCCATTTTAGCTAGGTCCTGAATTTCAGTGGCAGCCAAGGCAGAGAAGAGCACACATTGGACAAATATTATTAATAGTTTCCAGTCTTATAAAACAAGAAATACAAATTCCTGTTACAGTGAACAACTTTTTCTGGAAATCAACTCCAAGGATACAAGCCACAAAAAGATGCTACCAAGCTTGGCAGTGTAGTATGTGCACACTGTTCATTAAGGCCTAAGATGATTTTCGTTGCCAATACCGGTTTGGGCTGAGGTGCTCAACTTGATGGCTGAGGATGACTGTAAGCTCCAGGCAGTTGCATGGCACAGAGCACAATCCACAGAGCACATCCTCATAGCCACAATAGCTCCGTCTAAATTCTGAGCCCTAGGGTGGTGGTAAGAGGCAGACTTCCTACATATATGGTGTACTTGGAAGGGATTTCCTCCTCCGACACTCCTACCCCTGGATCTGGACTGTCTCTGCTTATTCTCTGTCCATCTGGGTCAGAGTCAAGCATGTATATGTTATATCTCCCTAACTACACCATCAATTCCTGCCTGGAAGGACCTGTATCTTATTCATTTTCCTATCTCCCTCATGCCTAGCACAAAACCTTGCTCATAGCAGATGTCAATAAATGTTCTCTGGATGGATGCTCAAATTTGGATCAAATTGACTCAAATCCCAATTAAAATCCCCAGTCAGGAAGACAAGATTTAATTTATTTTTTTCCTACAAAAAGGACAATCTTGCTGTTTAATATAACTTAATACATTTTCTTCACAACTCTGAGACAGATGCAGGTTCTGTTTTTAGACGGCATATCTGAAATGTTGTAAAGTAGTGCTGGTTTTGATATTTTATTCTGATTAAATTTGAGGCATATTAGAATTATAAATGATAACTGGGCTTGCTCTGAACTATTCATCATCCTACAATCCTAGGGTGTGAAAGGCCTTAGAGAACAACCAGGTGGTTGTATAGCTGAGAGAATGAAAATTTAAGAGCTGGAATTAGAACCCAGGTTGGATGGTTGACTGGTTAGGTAGAGAGTTGATTAGTTTCTTTTCCTTGTTATTTATTCAGCAAACATCACTGAGCACATACCATGTGCCAAGTTTTGTGCTGGATTCTAGGGATACAGAGCTGGCAAAGACAATCACAGCCACCAGTGAGGTTACAGACTAATAGCTACTTCCTGATTCCTTAGCCCAGCACATTTTATCCTCTTCAAAAGAGCTAGACTTTCTGTTCAGAAGAGCTTCCTGGAGAAAAGGACCAATGTCCATTGGGCAAGAAGGCCTTGCATTTACTGGATCACTACAGGTATATGGGCCAAGGGCATCCACTCAAGGTCTACTGGACTGGGCTTACTTGAAAGCCTCATACTTTCATGCCTCCTTCATGAGAATATTTCTGAGGCTGCATCCAGACTCAGTAGAAAATGGGGATTTGATTGGTTAGTATTCAATAGAACAGCTATTTTCTTTCCATCAACTAGACTATAGCTTTAAGACCTCTATTGGTTCCTGATGCCTAAAGGATTAAGTCCAGTACCCTCAACATGCCACACAAAGACCTTCATGGTACAACCAATAATGTAACACATCAGTGCATATCTCCTAAACACACTGTCTTGTTTTCTGTTTCTTGAATATACTCCTTTCCTTAAGGATTCTGGGCCTTTTCAAGTGTTATTCCCTTTTCTGGAATGCTCTCTTGCCTAATCCCCTTCTGAGGTGCAGTTTCTCTATGAAACTTTCCCTTACTTCCCCTATGAAAAGTAAGTCCCGTCCTTCGAAGTTCCCACCTTCCCTGGACTCTTCTTTGCCATTATACCACTCACTGAGATTCACCTATCTACAAGTTTACCTCTCCAGAGACAAGGGGAGTCCAAAAGAACAGAGCCCTATCTTATTCACCACCAGCAGAACACCAGCCACAGATAAAGTACTTGCTAAAAGACTGCTGAATGAATGAATCATTCAGAAATAGCTCCCCTTTTCACTTCTCCAAGCTATCTTTTAGAGGTATAAGAACTAGCCGCTATCTATAGTCCCTCAAATTTATGGAGGTACATCCTGGCAGTCAGGTCTATTACCTCTGACGTCCACCCACTGCCAGGTAATACCCTTCTCTTCTTCCTTACCACACCCCACACCCCCATCCCCAAGTTTAGGAGCTGAAACTAGCTATTAATTTGATCTATACTAATTGAGTACTACAGCACTTACTATTTTGTCTAACACAGGGTCTGGCTGAGTAAGTGATAAATAAATGAATATTTATTGAAAGCCAAATGAATGAGTTCCCCTAAACCTCATGTTGAAATTTGATCCCAATATTGGAGGTACAGGCCTGAAGTGTGATGTTTGGGTAAAGGGGGACAGATCCCTAACGAATAGTTGGATGCCCTCTGTGGGGAGTGAGTTGTCACTCTATTAGTTCCTGGGAGAGCTACTTGTTAAAAAGAGCCTGGCACCTCCCCTCTCTCTTGCTTCCTGTCTCACCATGTGATCTCTGCATATGTTGGCTCCCCTTTGTCTTCTGTCATGAGTGGAAGCAGCCTGAGGCCCTCACCATAAACCAAGCAGAAGCCGGCGCCATGCTTCTTATACAGCCTGCAGAACTATAAGCCAAGTAAACCTCTTTCTTTTTTTTTTTTTTTTTGAGACAGAGTCTTGCTCTGTCGCCCAAGCTGGAGTACAGTGTGGCACTGTCTTGGCTCACAGCAACCTCTGCTTCCCGGGTTCAAGCGGTTCTCCTGCCTCAGCCTCCTGAGTATCTGGGATCACAGGTGTGTGCTGCCACCACGCCCGGCTAATTTTTGTATTTTTAATAGAGATGGGGGGGTTTCACTATGTTGGTCAGGCTGGTCTTGAACTCGTGACCTTGTGATTCACCCGCCTCGGCCTCCCAAAGTGCTGGGATTACAGGCGTGAGCCACCGTGCCTGGCCAATAAACCTCTTTTCTTTATAAATTACCCAGTCTTAGGTATTCCTTGATACAATCACCAAATAGACGAAGATAGTAACCTTCAGGGCATGCACAACACTAGAAGTCAGAAGACCTGGGTGCCATATGTGGCCTCTCATGAAGCACAACATAACAACACGAAAGAGTCCAGGTAAAATGTCAAAGTAAGGGAAGCAACCTGTTTTTGCCTTAGAGAAAGCTAGGAAAGAAGAAAGCCCTGTGGCTAGAGAGGCCAGGGTAGGCTTTAGCGGTCCAGAACACAGCCCTGGGGCAAATGTCAGGGGTGCAGCATGCCAGGGAAGGATGATGTTTCCTGAACTGGCATAAAACTAAACAGGCGGTATCTGACAGAGAGACTTGAAGTGGCCTCTGGGCAGTAGGGAAGAGTGTGATAGAGAGAGCTATGGAGAGGACTTAAGCATGACCTTAGCTTCCAAATGTATTTAGTGGGGTGCAGTAGAAAGACCACTAGATTAGAAGTCAGAGGAGGAACTAGGGAAAGGAAACAAGTATTGACTGAGCACCTCCTCTATTCCAGGCTCTGTGCTGGGCAGTTTACACACATTATCTCATTCAGCCCTTATCATCACCCTCCCAGGGAGATATTAATATTCTTATTTTATAGAGAAACTGGGGCTCAGACAGGGAAAGCTACTTTAGCACTCTGAATTTCAGGATGCTTATCTGTAAAACCGATAATAATAAAACCCCTCTCACAGGTCTAGTGTGAGAATGAAAACGAGATACGGTGTAGAGCACCTACTACCATGCCAGGTGCTTTGTAAATTCTACTCTAATTATTAATATCAATAACTACTTATAATAACTAGCTTGCACAAGGTCATACAGCTCATGAGTGCCATTGGTGGGATGTAAATGCTGGATGGTGTTTACATTATGTCAGGCTGCCCCTTAGAAGACCAGGATTTGAAAAACAGCCCTGCCAATAATTAGTTGGGTGACCTAAGACAAACTATTGCACCTTGCAGAGCCATGTTCTCTTAATCTGAATAAAAGGGCCAAGAACCCTGCCCTACAGAGCCCACAGGGAGGCTAGGCAGATAAAATAACTGGTAAATACAGAGCTTTATTGTGTACACAGATGGAACCGTGATGACTATGATGGATACCCTGAACAGGGACAAATGTCTTCAAGTTGGAGTGGTTCAGGTATGCTAGATGGTGACATATGAAGCCAGAATTTTGCCTTGGGTGTCAAGGATTTTGCAGGCAGCAAGCAGCCTCTAGTTTACAATGACTATGCTTGCCCCAACAAAAACCTAGTCTGTATCCTCTTAATGCTCCCCATGAAAATAAAAACATTGTGAACCTCCTAAGACACCATCAGAGACACACTTTAGGATTTTATCCAACACATTAGAAAAATAATTCCTCATAAAATCGGCTTTAGTAAAGAGTTGGCATGGGAAAGGGACACAGTCAGAATTCTTCCAGGGGTCAGATTGCAAGAAACATGCCACTCTCAGCACCTGAAAGGATTTCTCTGTAACGAAGACTGAGTTCTTTGGGGAAACTTAAGATGGGTGGGCTGTTTGCTGAGCTGGTGTCAGTCCTCAGGCAGAAAAAGGACAGCGTGTCCCAGCCTACCCCAGGCTGCCAGTGAGCTGACACATGCCCTGAATTTGTGTTCTGTGGAGCAATGAATGTTCTCCCTGTGCAGAGCATGCAAACTCAAGCCATGTGCACACCATCCACGCGCACATGCCACAGGGCTGCCAGCTGATCAGAGGCTCCGAAGCCTTCTCCCCACCTCACATCCTGAGGTGTTGGCTCCTGGACTTAACTCATTTGACCCTCACACACAAAACTCTGCAAGGTATTATAAACCTAATTTTATAGACTAGAAGAGGGAGGTTCAGAGAGCCACCTGCCTAATTTACATAGCTAGAAGAGGTGGAGCTGAGATTTAGCCTAGGTCCTTCTGACTTCAAGGACACATCTGTCCTTGGCAGATTTGCCTAAGGCAGACTTACTTTTCAAGACAGAAAGCAAAGCCAAGAATCAGAGAATCTTAAAGCTGCGATTCTCAGTCCACCATGGGAAGCAGTCCCTCTGTCCCACCTGACATGTGGTCACCTGGCCTCTGCAGGAACATCTGCCCTGACAGGGGCTCACCATCTGCTCCAGTTATAAGAAGTTCTTTGTTCCACTGACATAGAGAATGCCAGCTTCCCCTGAGTGCCTAAACTGGCATAAATATTTCATCACTCACTGCACTGTATTTTAGATACACTACAGGATATTTTAAAGGATACCAGCTCCCTTTTGTGATGGTAATCGCGGTTCCAAATTCATGTGGCTTGTGAGTTTAGATTTTCACAAGGCAAATGTTCTTAAAGCATGTATCTATTTCACATGGGTATTCACAGATCCTATCACATGGTGCCAGGGCTGGATGAGTCACACCTCTGCCCACCACCCCCTTCCTGCCCGCCAGTCCAGCTCTCCTCTGCTGTTCTACAGAAGGACACGAAACCTCCTCTGACACTTCTCTCACCCTCACCTGCTAACCTGGACACAAAGAGTTGCTTTCAGGCAACAAACCAGAACACATAGCAGTGGTAAGGTGGGGTGGCTCAGAGTGCCCAGCTGAGCCCTGTTCAAAGTGGAGAACTGATGTAGTTACTGTCTAGGGAGACTGCAGAAGAGAGGCCCCCAAAGACAGATTGAAGAGTTGCAGCTGCAGAAGAAGCCCCTGACAAGCCAACCCCCTGAACTCAAGGACAGGTTCCCTTGATGAAAAGTCAGCAGCTCAGCATCCTAGAGATTTAGTATTCTCTAAAATCACAAGAACAGCAAAGCCAGATGGGTTCTGGGGCTGTCGCTTCTGAAGTACCACGGGTCCTTTCTGACTTGACATTGTGTCTACCATATAGTAGATATATATTAATAGCAAATATCTTAATAAATAAAAGCACACATGTCAAACACAAATATCTCAATCACAGATTTGGAAAAACATCTCAAACAACATGCATCAATATCTAAATTGTTTCCCCTAAAGCAGCAGAGTCTCTCCCCAGACTGTTCCTGTTCCTTCTTAGGCTGAATTCTCCCTTTTCAGGATACTCTGGTAAGGAAATAGAACCACAAGGGTGGGAAGCAAACCATGAGTCCTCAGGCCAGCTACCAAACAAGGCTGACCCCCAGAGAGGCTGGATCTGGGTCACATTTCTCGGGGCATCCTAAGGCCATTGTGGCCTACCCTTGGTGGCCATGGGCATGGAATATCCATACCCAGATGTCTAAAAGGCACCTCTAGTGCAGTGTGTTCAAATTCAGATCAGATCTTCCTCTCCAAACCTGTTCACCTTCTACTGTTTATTTTTAGCTTAGCGAATGGCAGGGCCATTCCCACTTATGCACCCAGAAACCTGGGGCTTATGCTTCACATCTTTCTTTTCCTCACAGCTACATTCAATCCATCATCAAGTCCTGCTAATTTTACCTGCTAAATATCTCAAACCATGTTGTCCTTCTTATCTCCACTGTTACTTCTCTCACTCTATCCAGCATGATTTCTTACTGGGACCATTGCAAAAGCTCCTTAACTGGTTTTGCCACATCCACTTTTGCACCCTCCATCAATTCTCAAGGCCATTGTTGGAAAGATCTCTTGTAAATGTCAAATTGAGCATAATGCCCTCCCCATGAGTAACATACACATAACCACCTCTGCTTCAAATCCTTCTATGATTACTATGAGCTTAGAATAAAAAGAAAAGAAACTCTTCACATGGCCTGCAAGAACCTAATCTCCCCCTCCAGCCTTTTCTCTGTACTCAAATCATATTGACCTTCTCACTTCTTTGAAAGCGCTAAGCTGCCTCTCACCATGGGGGCCATATTTGTCCATATGCCTAGAAAGCTTTCTCTCCACCCTACCCACTCCTTTCATCTAATTATAACTCCTAGTGATCCTTCAGATCTCAGCTCAGATGTCAATTCCTCAGCAAAGCTATCCTTGATCATGTGAAGTAAGTGAGGACCCCTATCATACATTCTCATAGTACCTTGTCCCTTTCTTTCGTAGCATTTATCCTAGTCTGTAATTTTGCATGACTGGTGCAATTTTTTTTTTTTAACAGTGTCTGAGTCCTTCCATAAGACTTAAGCTCCTTGAGGGTGAGGGATCATGTCTGTTTTATCATCATAGTATCTCCAGCTTTTAGCATAAGGCCTGAAACATAGTAGATAGTCAATAAAAATCTGCTGAATGAATAATACACCGCAGCTATTCACTGAGTTTATTCCAAGCAATCATAACAGGTCCCTTTCTAATAGTATTTCTGAGGTTCTCTTGAGTCTGGATTAGACTAACAGAAACTGTTGATATTTTTGCCACCTCTCCTTATCTCTCTGGTATCCACTACAGTGAAACACCTTCTATAGATGAAGACACCACAGCATTGCCATCATTACCACAGTTACATTTATTGAGGATTTACTTACCATGCATTAGGCGTGGTACCAAGACCATGCATCCGGTATTCAGTTAATCCTTTCAGTACTATGAGGTATACATTACTAGCCCTTTTTTGCTAATAAGAAACAGAAACTCAGAGAGGATTTGCTAAAATATGGTGGGGCCAGGATTTGAACCTTGGTCAAACTTGAAAGTCTACAGTCTTAATCATAACCTACTGCCCTATAAAATGAGCTAATAATAACCACTCATAGTGATGTCAAAGGACTGAAGCACAGTAGGCACTCAGTAAAGGGTGGCTGTTATTTCTGTGGTGCTGGAGGCATTGTGGGGAGTGATAAGCACTTACCATTTTGCCCAGAAGAGAACTAATCTGGCTGCCTTCTAGGACTGAAACAGCTGGACTTGGTTTGAAAGAGAGACTTTTATGAAAAGCAGCATGCTGTGGCAGTTCCAACACAGAGTGTGTGAAGAGAGGAGCTGATATGCTAACGAAACCAACGCACAGATTTTTAGCCCTGAGAACCAACCATATGAAATGAACTTGAGTTTCTCACAGCAAGCCCAGACATCAAGCCTGCATAAGGATCCCCAACCTATAATAGTTCCTTGAATTTCTTTTGTTACTTGTCTATCTCCTGTAGCTCACAGAAACAGAGAGAACAGGCCACACTTAAAGTCAGGAGATTCTAAGTCTGAATTCTGATATGCCCAGGGTTGAGCAAGTGGGGATCCACCAAGATGCCTGGGCCTCAGTGAGAACCTCAGTGTCACAGGAAGCCAGGAGATGACAATGAACTATATTGTCATCCTCTGCGGCCTGGCTTGGGGTTGATCTATTCTTCTGAGTCTTCCTCCCTCCTTTTACTGTCACTCATCACTGGGCATGTAAAGGAAGAAAAGAAGCTGAGATACTTGAGTTCCTACTATATGTCAAGCACTCTGCATCCATATTTTCATGTAGTAAGTCAATCCTAACAACAATCTCAAGCAACAGGTGCCATTCTCCTTATTTTACAATCAAGGAAACTGTAGTTTAAAGAGATTAAATGACTTAGGAGAAATCACTACACAGTAAGAGAAAGAGTTGAGATTCAAATCCAGTTTTCTTAGATTCCAAAGTCTGTGGTCTTTCCACTTACTGTTCTGAAGAAATCTATAATGACTGAGGATGCAGGAAACATTAAGGACATTACTTGGATGTGTATAGGTGGTATAAAGCCATGAGAGCCCATTCATTCCCTCCTTCCCTTCATTGCACCCACTGTTCACTGAGCACTACCAGTGTGTCAGACATTGCACTGGAGGACGGGGATAAAGAGATGGGTAAGATACAGCCCCTCCTCCTCAGAGGTTCACAGTCTAGTGAGAGGAGCACTCTAGGGAAAAAAGGAAAAGAGAACAATGGGAAACTGAGCAAGAGAGAAAGAAGGCAAAGGATCCTAAAACATCAGAACCAGAGGGGTTCAGGGAAGACAACTACTCAAAACCTGGCTACATCACCTGGAATTAATTACCTGGAGGACTATCAGAACTAAAAATTTCTAAGCACCCAATTCCCAAATCTATTGATCTGGAAGTGGGCCCAGGAATGTATATGTTTAATAATTATCCCAAGTGATTTGATAGAATAGTCCAGGTGACTAAAACCACTGATCCAGACCTTTCACTTTATAGATATGAGAACAGAGGGGCAGAAAGGGCAAGTGACTAGCTCAAGGACACACAGGAATCAATACTTCAGACTCAGGTATCCAATTCACAGTCAAATGACCTTTAGTCATTTTTTAAAAATTAGAATAATTTTATTTTTATACATTATATACATATTTATACATTCACATGACATTTTATGTACATGGATTAGGTAGTTCTTGACAATGTTATATGTTTACTGAAAAATGACTTTTTATAAAAATAAAGCTTGGAAAATAACAAATCAATTTAGAAGACTAAAATTATCCATGGATACACAGAACAGATATAGGTTTTCATAATTAAGAACAGTATTTTCACCCTCTCGTACCTCTGACCACCTCTTTCCTAGGCAGTCAGTATAGGGCAGAAAATTATAAATTAATCAAGGATAGTGCTTCAAGGTACTGGTTCCCAGACTGTGATGGACATAAAGAAAGAGCAATAGACAAACAAGCATTTTAGTATTTGCCAAAGCCTTGCGTCTTCCTCCACCCAGAATGGAGATGTCCTGCCCACTGAAAAAATGATGGGCCTCCTGTTGCCAGCTTCTCTGCAGTGATCTCAATCCCTTTGCCTCACAAGAGCATCAGAAAGGTCCCCTGCCCTTCCAGCTTTAGATTCCTTTCATTGGCTACATGTAGAAGACAGACATGGGCCAGGGGTATAGAGAGGCTCTACGCCAGAGGTGTCCAATCTTTTGGCGTCCCTGGGCCACACTGGAAGAAGAATTGGGCCACACAAAAAGTACACTAACAACAGCTAATGAGCTTAAAAAAAAACAAAACAAAACAAACAAACAAAAAAAACAGAACAAAAAACCCCTGTTTTAAGAAAGTTTACAAATTTGTGTTGGGCTGCATTCAAAGCTGTCCTGGGCCACATGCAGCTCGCTGCCCGTGGGTTAGCAAGGCTGCTCTAAGACAATGAGTGTAGGTAGGCCCTTCTATAGGTCCTCTGAGTTCATGGAGCAACTTCTCAGCAGCCATCTCCACCAGGTTCCCTTCTTCTGTTGTTTCACTGTGGTTTGCCTCTGTAACTGCTTGTTCGAGAACTCTGTCAGCAAACTCTACATGCTCTGCTTCAACTTCTTCATGTCCATTTTTTTTTATAGCCTTAGCATAACAAAGTTAAATTTGATTTACCTTTGGGGGCTCAGCTATCAAAGCCTACTCCTTCTTCTACTCTCAGGCCATCGGCCCTGGGGCTGATAAGGAAACACAGAAGCAGTGGTTAGAGGCGTAAGTAGAAGACTCAGTAGAGCTCACTGTTAGAAAAGCCAAGTGCAGAAAGGGTTCCAAACAGGGGCACAGCAGCAGTGCTGAGTGAAGAGGCAGCCTCAGTAGGAATGGGGTGTCTCAAGACTTGGGCTCAGCTGACTGGCCTCTCCATCCTGGCTCTGTTCACTGATATACTAGGCAAGACACACCCTTCTTTTAGCCTCATTTTTCCCATTTGTAAGTGAAGAAATTGAATTAGCTTGTGTCCATGTTTCCCATCCAGATTCTGAAATTTGAGATTTTCATTTTTTTTCCTTTGGCATTGGATACAAATGACTAAGACTGATACTGTGACTCATGTTTATAATCCATAACCACAGAGTCTGAAATCTTAGAGCTAAAAGAGATTGACCAATACAATTCTCTCTTTTCTACTCATTTGATGATAAAGAAACTAAGGTCCAGAGAGGGCCCACTTCCAGGTCTATAGAACTGGGAATTGGGTGCTTAGAAATTTGCAGTTCTGATAGTCACCAGGTGATTAAGTTCTGGAAGGGCAGGAACTATCTGTCTTGTTCTCCACTGCATTACTGGCCAGATTTTTTTAAATGCT
Organism: Homo sapiens; assembly: GCF_000001405.40. Taxonomy (NCBI): domain Eukaryota; kingdom Metazoa; phylum Chordata; class Mammalia; order Primates; family Hominidae; genus Homo; species Homo sapiens. Next base: position 17,845,959 of record NC_000011.10, read on the forward strand.
TGTTGAGTGAATGAATGAACAAATAATCTCCCTCCAACGTCATGCAGCCTGGGACCAGGGAAGTATCCTTACTCCTTGCCTGGAGGTAGGGGCAGATAAGACTGAAGCCACAGACTGCTTCTGGCCCCTAAAGGGATGGTGCTCTCTAGCTGGGGAGACAGAACAGAGCCAGGAACAAATTCTCAAGGTTGGTGGTGCCAGCAGCTCTTGGCCATAAAGTGGGCTTCTACTAGAGTCCTTCGTGCTGTGCATAATGAATCACGGTATGTCAATTACTGCATTCTGTTAACAAGCTCATGTCCACCTGTGTATCGCCAATGAGTGCCTTGCAATTTGCCACAGCTCTGCAGTTAATACACGGCAGAACAAGTGGGGCAGAGGATTCTGAAACACTCCAGGCCCAGGGAAATCAGGTGGTTGGTTTGTTTTTGGCAACTACTGGGCTTGATGATTGGGCAGCAGTATGTAGAGATGTATTCTCTCCTCTCTGGGGAAAGGGTCTGTGTCCTGGGTCTTTCCTGTCCTGATTCAGATAAGTTCAGATGGAGAACACCATCTTTGTATTTTTTTTTCTCTGAAGTATTGAACAAAACGGGGCAGAGGCAGAATGGTAATTAAAAAATCACCTCCAGCATGGTTTGATGGTCTGGTCATCCGATCATCAGCACTGAAGTCTCTCACAGGATTCAAAAATGGCTCCATGACACATGAACACTGTGATCTTGAGTATATCTCTTAATTTCTCTGCAACTCCATTTCCACATCAGCAAAACTGGGATAATAATACTTACCTTGCAGAGATACTGCAAAGATTAAATGAGAGAATGCATATTGAACCCAGAATGGTGGCTGACATGTAGCAGGTATATAATAGATGAGCCTCCTAGTATGTTAGAGGTGTTTCCTGAAGGGATTCTAATCTCCTGAGGAAGACTAGGGCCCAAGACCTTAAGCAAACCCAGGCAAGAGCCTCTGTGTCTTAGATGTGTGTGTGTATTACCCCCTAGTGGCTCCACAGTAATGATTACAACTGCAGTCATGTGAGGATGTCAGATCTGCACCTCACCTCCACACTGGCTGTGCGAGAAGTGAGCAAGCCTCCTGGTGACAGGGGAGGCTGTTCCTTTATCAGGCAGCACCGCTGCAGCCCCTGACCTACTTTCTTACTAAAAATAGCTCTTCTTAGGTCACTGCCGCAAATTGAATTCCACTGCTTCACTGCACCCTGTAAGCAGGTGGGTGGGCGCCAGAGCACATTTGGTGAGCTGCAAGCCTCTGCTTATGTGGTGCATTGCTGCCCAAGGATGCTAATTCCACATGCCTGAGCAGACGGCAGAACGTGTCTGCACTCAGCAGGGCTGTACGTGACCCTGCTGGGGTTCCTTTATTTGGGGGGAAGGGGGACAGGGAGGGGCAGTGAGGGAAATTCTAGATCCAGTTTTGAAGTCTGACAGAACTGAATTGAAACACAGCATCCAATGCTTTCTTATTTGACCTTGGGAAAGTCACAACTTCTCTTTGCCTCAGTTTTCTCATCTGTAAAATGGAGAAAATAAAACTGACCTTAAAGTATGATTGTATAGATATTTTAAAACGCTATTTACAAAGCAGTCTTTGGCACAGAAGAGGAGCCCAATAATGAAGCTAGTACAGGTATTCTCCATTGTATGGCCTGTTGCTCCACATGCCCTCCAGCTAAAGCCTCTCATAGCAGGGGGAGCAAGGGACAGAAGGCCAATCAAAGAATTAGGAAGATTTTAAGCTGAAAGGGCTTTAGCAGTACTGAGGTCAAAGGTTCTCAGACATGGCTGAGCATCCCAATAACTGGTAGCCTGTTAATAATACTGATTCCAGGTCCTTATCCGGGAGACTGGGACTCAAGAAGTCTGTCTAGGGGCCAGGGTATCTGCAATTTAATAAGCTCTCCAGGTGATTCTGATGAACTGCCAAGTTTGAGAACCTCTGAACTAGGTCAGTCACCTTGTTAAAGTAAATGAGTAAATGAATTACTACTATTTTTCTTCCATTATAAGCACAATGCATAGTCATTATAAAATATGCAGAAAACATGGAAAAGCAAAAAATCAAAATAAAAAAGTAAAAATTCAATCATATATTGAGTGATTATTAAATGCCAGGCCCTTTGCTGAATCCTAGGGATTTGTTGATAACACAATTCTGACCCTAAGGAAGGCCCAGTCTATGTGCAGAGATGGAAACAAACAAGAAGACTGTAACAGAGGACATATGTGTTAGAGCCAAGTTACAAATTTTATAGAAAGAAGGATGAAGGAGCAACTGATTCCACCTAGGAAGTCAGGGAAATTTGCAGAGCTGGACTAGAAGAAGAGCAGATATTCATGGCGAGACAAGGGAGTAAAGGGAATTTCAGGAGGAATGAACCAGACATACAAAAGCATACAGGGATGAAAGGTATTTGTTAGGAAAATGTCCTAAGGTCACCATAGTGAGGTCACCATATACAGTAAATAGTGGTGGCACAAAGACAGCTGGTGTGAACATCTGGGTCTGGATCATGAAGGGTGTGGATAACATCAACAATGCTTCCTACACTGGAAAGTATATTTCCCAGTATATTTTTCATATGTGCCTTTTTGTTTTCATTTTTACATGACCAATGCTGCAATTCTTACTTAATAAACACTACAAATTAGTGAAGCAGATAGGTCATCTTTTATCCATTACCAAATGTTAGTAAAATTAGGTAGCTCCTAATTTTACTAAATTATAAAAAGACTATGATGAACATCTTTAACCATAAAGTTTTTTTCCATATTTAAGATCTTTCCTTAGAGAAGAATGCTAGGATATGAATTAATAAATGAAAGTGAATGGACATCTTCAAGGCTCTTGATAATAGCTCCAAAGGATTTTCCAAAAGTGGCACAGATGTTTTTATAAATGAGGAGATAAGGCCCAAAGAGGTTCCATGTCTTGTCCAGATTATACAGTCGAATGGGGCGGTACCAAGAGCAACATCTGGGTCTCCCAACCCCCACTCTAGCTCTCTTTCTTCTGACCACATTGCTTTTCTACAAATCATAGAGAGATGAAATAATATCTATTCACCCAATGCTTCCAATCAATTCTAAGTATTTTAGGTTGGCAATGTACATGCATAGGAGATGTGAGTAACATGTGTGTGTTTACATGCACATGTGAAGCTCTATATACGAGTCTATTTTTCCATCCTTATCATGTATGCTCCCCTACCAATGACAATTTTTGTTCTAGCCAAGCTGAGCAAATCTTACATTGTCTTACCTCCACACCGTTGATCCTACATGAAGTATCTCTTGTTCTCCTAGTCAAATTCTATGCATATTTTTAAAATCCAAAAAGCATTTCCTGACTCTGGGCACTTACTATCAACAAGAGTCATACGTGATACTTACTTTATTGCTTTGCAGCAGCTCTGGTATTGATATAAAATTATTTAAGTTTTACCTATACAATAAAAGCTGCCTCCAGCTTCTGTTATTAGAAAGGGATAAAACAACCCCCCCAACCCCACCCTTGAGGCTAATGAAAAGACTTCTAGCATTTGATGGGCTGAAGACAGGTAAGGCCAATCCCTTGTACCTTCTATATCTACAGTAGTAGACATCTTGGTAGACTGGAAAGAGCACAGGACCAGGAGACAGAATAATAATAGCTTCCATGTGCTGAGGACCTACTCTGACCAGGCACAATGCTGGTTGCTTTATATACATTATTTAGAATCCTTAAAATTACCCCCAGCAAGGGAAATATTATTTGACCCATTTTACAGATGAGGAATCTTAGGACCTGAGAGATTAATTTATTCACGGTCAATACCATCAGTAAGTGGCAAAATCAGGATTTAAACTCAAGTATGTCTTACTCAAAAATCTATGTTTTTTTCTGCTTTACTATATTATGTCTCAGCAAATGTCATTTCAGTTCTATCTCTGTTACTTTCAAGATACATGATCTTCTCCTGGTCTTTTTTTCTGTTGCTATAACCGAATACCACAGGCTGGATAATTTATAAAGAAGTTGATTTGGCTCACAGTTCTGGAGGCTGGAAAGTCCAAGAGCATGGTGCTGGTATCTAGTGAGGGTCATGCTAGGGTGGACAGGTGGAAGGAGAAGAGAACACATGCGAGAGAGAGCTTATATTTTTAACAAAGCCACTCCAGCAATAACTAACCTACTCCCACAATAATGACATAAATCCATTCATAAGGGTTGATCCCCCATGACCCAATCAGCTTCCAAAGGCCCCACTCCCAGCACTGTTACACTGGGGACCAAGTTTCTAACACAGGAATTTTTGAGGAGCATATTCAAACCATAGCAGATGCCTAACAGGACATTCATGCTCTCCAAATCCTAGCCTCCTCAGTAACAACATGGGGATAATCATCTTCCCATCCTGCCCTTTACTCCCAACACACACGTACACATACAGGGCTGTTGCAATGATTAAATGTTATAATGAGTGTAAAAGACCCAGACAGACATATGGGTTGTTATTAGAGTCCTGAACAGCACAACTGATCATTCTGGTGATAAATGGACATCCTGCCAAGATCCTCTGTCACTTAAAGAGAATTTAATTACGCTCACTAGACAGCTCCTTCTAGCATCAGAGAGTGAATGTTTGCAATGCATTTCATAATGACTTTCAATAAGGCCTGAAACCAAGAGGTTAATACTCTGAGAAAAATCCATTAACCAAAATACTGCATTCTTGGAGTACTCTGGTAATCATGGCTCCCTGGGATATTTTCCCACTCTATCACATATATGTATGCATTTCTATATACACTTGCACACATCTTTCACTGGCAGCCTATTTCTAGAAAGCAGGATTCAGCAAAAGGGAAGCTGGGCTTGGATTCCACCACCAGGGGGGCAATTGTAAATGGGCTGGGGGACATTTATTTCAGTTTTCCAGAGGTTTCTGGTGAAATGTTAGGAGACCTGGCTGAGGTGTCAGGAGACCTGGGTTGTAGTTCACATTCTGCTGCTTATTCACTATATAACATTGGACAACATGCTTGACTCAGCCTCGATGTCCTTTTACATAAAATAGGGATGATACCTACCTTAGATAAATTAGCTAACCTCCCTAGGGCAGTATTTCCTCTGCTGTGAAACTGTCACAATTACTATGTATATATCTGTACCGTGTGCTGGCCCTGTGCTGAGGGCTTTGCATGTATTCTTTCACTCCTCCTTACAGTCCTGTGAGACGGGTGCTATTATCTCCAGCTGACAGAAGAGGAAACCTATGCTCAGAGGAGTTCAATAATTTGTACCAGGTCATATAACTGTTAAGTTACAGAGTTAGGATTCAAACCTTGGTCCCCTTGATTTGAAATGCAGTGCCCTTAACCTTGAAACCACATTCCTACTTACCAGAGAGCTGTTGCAAGGAAGAAATGAAGAAACATTAATTATTATGTGTCTCCTGTGTATCTAGTAGTTTGCATCCCTCTTCTGTAAGACACATGAGTACAAGGATGCTCTATAGAGCCCCCGCACATGAGGCTGCTCTGTGACTGTGGGGCCCTGTGTGGGGATATGTGCATTTTGAGAAGGCAAGGGACAGACAGGACCTGGTAGAAAAGTATTTACTGCTGTGCTCCCCAAAGTCATGAAGTCAGCCATACTAGAAACATGGATGAGGGTTATGGATGAAATTTCTCCGAAGTTTTAAAAGTTGGAGAGTTAAAGGCTGGCGTGGCAGTGACAGAATCTTGCTGAAGACTAGAGTAAAACACTTGCATTCATGCATTATTGCAGATTTTTAAGCTGATGTATCCAAGGTGACTGTGCTGGACACTAATGAGGAAAAAGATATGACTGAAATGGCAGGAGTACGTGCCTTCAGAGAAGCTGGACAACCCCACCCCCACTGCTTACACAGAAAGGATGAAGGGACACAAGGAAGAACCCACATTTTGAAATCTTAGGCTGGATTGAACTAAAAATAGACCTGTGATTCAAATGTCTATTACTGAGTTCTCTGCTTTTGCACTCTGGAAACCAGGTTGTTTCACTCCCCATCAAATCTACCTCCCTAAGGTGTTCATTCCCACAGCTTGGAGACACAGCAAAGTAAAAACTGCTGAGAGTCTAATGAGTGTGTGGTACCATGCCGGGCCCTTTATACCCATGATCTCATCTGTGCTGCACAATAACCTTGGGATGCATGTACAGAGGAGGAAACTGAGGCCCAGTTAGGTAAGATGACTTGCCCAAGGTCATTCAGCTACTAAGTGGCAATACTGGGAATTGAATGAACTCAGGTCAGTCTGACTCCCGAACCCATGCTCTTTCAAACAGAAATCCTTGCTACATTTCAAAGAGGCAGAGCTTCATTTTAAGCTTAATGAGTAATGAAAGCAACATTGCTCCCTAATTTACCTTCTGGCTCTGGGAAGGACCCAGCAAGGCAGCCATTTGAATGATTCATTCCTGTGACTGACAAGGAGACTTCTCTTGGTTATAGCTTCAGCAGCTGCTAAATCTGCTACACACCACCCCACTTCACCCCCTCCATTTGGCTCAGGTAGGTGGAATTATTTATGTAAGAATTTCAGTGGCCTCCTGCCTTAAGCATGATTATCACAGACTTTTAAGTGATAAAAATGTCATAAATCATAATAAAGGACAAAAGGAATCAGGGTCAGGGAAGGTAACAGGAAAGAAGATATTCTGAAAAGCAAAGAAGTAGGTACAGATGCAACAGGGTAACTCTCAGCATTTACATAAACACTTTCCTAGCAATTTATTCATCTGATCCTCATAATACCCTGGTAGATGTTAGTATCTCCATTTTACAGATGAAGAATGTGAGGGTTAGATCTGAGGTCCAAGGTCAGACCGTGGGTAGGATAAGAACCCAGGTCTCCTAATTCTCGCTCAGTGCTTCCCATAAGCCACTCACCCAATAAAGTGAAGACAGAAATCCATGAGAACTATCAGAGAAAGAACTCTGTAGTCTTGCCCCTCTGCATGACAGGACCAGGGAGGGGAAAGTGGCTGCGACAGTATCAGAGAGTAGTAGCACGGAGTCTGGAACTGTGGGCTCAGGAACATTTTTCAAGTCCCACCTTAGATATATACTACTACATAATTGTGTGACCCTAGGCAACTCATTTAATCTCTGCCCTGATTTCCTCACTTGTAAAACATAGCAAACAATAGTACCCACTTCATATGGTGGTTGTGATGACTAAATAGAAAAAAAAATACCATACATGAACAGTGCTTGGCGCCAAGGCAAACAATCAGTAAGTGTTAGCTGTCACTGTTTTCATCATTATCATCATGAACGTGCCCAACACACTGCTTGGCACATGAGAAATGTTAAGTGAATGTTCATTTCTTCTCCTTCCCCTTGCTCCTGTATTTCCCAAGGCACCACACCCCCATCTGTTATCTGTAGACCTGTTAAGACGAGGTCTAGGGTTGAGGAAGAGCACACAGTGCTTCTTCCCAGGCAATGTGACTGGGCTGGCCTTGTTTACTGGGGCAGTGAGCTGCTACACAAAGTCATTAATCATACGTGGTGCTATGTGCTTTCAGGTCACTCTGCAGAAATGGACAACTCCATCTGGTTTTTCCTCAGGGAGACAGAGCCTTCCCATGTATCCACGTATGGAGTTCCTATTGAGGACTCAACCTTTGCAATAGCTTCTTGGAATCTGGAAAGTCTACTAAGGTGAGTTCGTCCCTATAAAAAGGGACCAGGAGGCTGGGCACGGTGGCTCACGCCTGTAATTCCAGCACTTTGTGAGGCCGAGGCGGGTGGATCACCTGAGGTCAGGAGTTTGAGAAGCCTGGCCAACATGGCAAAACCTGTCCCTACTAAAACAAAAACAAAAAAAACATATATACACACACACAATTTAGCCAGGCACAGTGGCGCACACCTGTAGTCCCAGCTACTCGGGAGGCTGAAGCTGAGGCAGGGGAACCGCTTGAAATCGGGAGGCAGAGGTTGCAGTGAGCCAAGATCACACCACTGCACTCCAGCCTGGGGGACAGAGCGAGACACCGTCTCAAAAAAAAAAAAAAAAAAAAAGGACCAGGAAAGCAGTCTTTGCCCTGGGCCAAATTATTGCAGCAGCAAAAATAATCACAGAATAGTGACACTTACATAACATTATTAAAGCTATCACAACACCATACCCTATAGCAGGGCCACTTAGCACAAACACTGTGTACATATACATAAAGAAAAAAACTGTAATTAAGTAGCTCTGCTTCATTAAGCTTTCTCTACAGAACCAACTCCCCGACTTCTCTACAGAGCTGAAAGTTTTCATTCCAACCTTCTACCAAGTAGTCCTGTTTGGGTAAGATGCCTAGTGTTCCACAGGCATCTTACACTCAGCTATGCTAAAAAATAAATTCATTACCTTGCCCAAAGCCTATTCTTTCCTCTCTCCAGGCATCTCTCTTCTCAATGATGACATATCTACCCAGTCTACCAAGGAGAAAAGGGTACCACATCCTTGATCCTGCCCATTCTTCCCCTTCCTTTCTCAATCCTTTTCATATTAGGCCACTTAATTACTGACTAGCAATGGCTTTCAAATCTCTTCCGTACTTCCTATTTCTGCTGCCACTGCCTGTCCTTCCTGACAGTTTGCCCTGTGGATTTCAAGCTTGCTAGCCAGTCTCCACAGTTGTACAAGCCATTTCCTCACCAAAATATCTTAATTTGCATCTCCTTCTGGGTCTGTTTCTCTAGTTGAACCTGGACTGACACACTCTGTCTTTGAAACTAAAACTAAATTCTTATTTTAGTAGAATAACATTTTGTTTCTCACCTTTGACAGGTAAAAATTGATAACTGGATCATGCTAAGTTCTGGCAAGGATGTGGAGCTATAGAAATCTGCATTTACTGCTTCTGTCAAGCATCAGGCACTAAGCTCAGTCCTTTATATATATTATCCCGTCTAACTGTCATAGTTGCTCTGAGCATTTTCATTCTTTATCTACATAGGGAAACTGAGGTTCAAGGAGGTTATAATTCACTCAACGTTGCATTGCTAGGAAGGAGCAGAGCTGAGTTTCTTTCATGGACTTAGTGTCCCTCTCAAAATCACGTCAACTTCATTTGAAAATTATAATGAAACTATTAAAACTATAATATTCTTACTTTTTATACAAAATTATTATCTTTCTTTTCCAACCATACTTGTACTTGTTACAACCTCAGAAGGCCTATATAAAGTAAAGCGGGGGAGTAGGAGAGCCAGAGTATTATCTTTATTTTATAGATGTGCTATTGGAGCCCTTGGAGGGCGAGTAAATTACTTAAGGTAATTTAAATTTCATTTTAAAATTGAAGATTAACAAAGGTACCTGGACAGTTTAAGGAGCCAGATTAAAAAGACATCTTCACTAGGGGACAGTCAGTACTGGATTTGGAAACTGTCACAGTTTTAAATACAGTAGTGCCCCCTTATCTTCAGGGGACATGTTCCAAGACCCCCAAGGGATGCCTGAAATCTCAGATAGTACCAAACTATATATATTTGCTATTTTTTCCTATACAGTAACAGGCGGATAGTATATACATCATGGACACACTGGACAAAGAGATGATTCATGTTCTGGGTGGGATGGAGTGACATGGCATGAGATTTCATCACGCTACTCAAAATGTGAAACTTTTGCATTATTTCTGGAATTTTCCATTGAGTATTTTCGGACTGTGGCTGACTGCAGGTAACAGAAACTGTAGAAAGTGCAACTGCAGATAAGGGGAACTACTGTTCTCCCTCTGAGACACGATTTGAAGCAAAGGGGCCTGGGCTGAGTGGTGGGAGATCTGCTTTCTTAGTCTGCCTGGGCAGGTCCTCTGGCTGGCTCACAACTGAAACATATCACTGCCCCTTCTAAGACTTGAATATTTCACTTACAGATGAAGATTGGGAACAGTTGGCTTCTGAGATCCTTTCCAGCACCAACCCACTTTAATTCTATAAACCCAACATTCCCAAGTATACCATGGTCATCTGTACTTTGCAGGCTCTCTCTAGAATGGACAAAGGTTATTCTGCAGTGTGGGCACAGATGTGGTCCTGTAATGCAAGATACTGAAAACCACATCCCCACCCCTAACCCACAAATTTCCTCTCTAGGCCTCTTTTATAGGAATGTCTTCAGACTACCCCACTGCCTATCCCACTGACAATTTAAAGGCAATATAACTAACAAGCTCATCCTTTACCCTCTGTCAATATCTCTGCTGCCCATGGCTGGCTCCCCTGTGCTCTGGCCTCCCTAGTGCAAGCTGACTCAGTCAATACCCAAGACTTACCATTTCTACCACTAGGCCCTCTCTTATATTGATTCCCAATTACACATTACTTTGTTGACTTCTTTTCATATTCCACCCTTTAGATCCTGAATTCATCATCCTTTGTGTAATAAATTCCCAGTTTTCAGAAAAAGTGAAATGGTCCCCTTCTATGCCTTCATGGAGACAGGCTGCAGCTGGAGCCTTTTGGCAGCCAAAAGAGACCCCTTTGCAGCTCTTAACAATCTGTTACTGAATAATTTGAGAGAATATTGCTAATTATGAACCTGTGTCTTTAGATACCCAAGTCCTTAAGCTGCAGAGTACCCAGGACAAGGTTCTCCTCCTTGAGCAAGTTACCCTCTCTGCCATAGTTTCCCCATCTGTGAAACAGGTATAATAATAGTACCTACCTTACTGTTGATGTAAAGAATCAATTAATAATGTATGTAAAATGTGTAAAACCACACATAGATCAATAATGTCAACTATTACTGTTATTATGGTTCAATAAATATTTGACAGTTGGTCACACAGTGTGTTGGCTTCCTGGACTCTTCTTCCCCCTTAACTTTCCTAAAAAGCCAAGCTATTGAAGTCATTATCTTTTTTTGTTTCTTAAATCACATTTGAGTTCATATGGTGAGCCTTGGCAGAGCCCCCAAAAATAATGAAACGAAAGGAAACATGTCTAAACAGGTCTACAATTTGGCATAGCACTGGTTTGGTACAAACCTATGCAGCCTAGGGAAATGGAGAATATAATATCTCCAGTATGGGTGAGTAGCAGAAACTACCCAGAAACAAGCCAAGTCAAGGGCTCCTGAGGCCATGGACTGCTAGGTCACAGTGACAAAGGTGGGACCTTTGGAGCTCACCTCTAAAGTTGCCGACGTTCTATCTCCAGAGGGGTGTAATGTGCCAGCTGAAGTTAGGACTTGTGGGTGACCGTTCCGGACATAGCCCATAACTTGCTGTGTGACTTAGGGCAAATCATTTCCAAACTTAGGCCTTAATTTCCTCTTCTGTAAAGATTAGGCTGTTTCTAAAGTCCCCTCCACCATGAAAGTCTGTGGTTCTATGACCCCAGGGTTCTTCTTACATTAGATCAGCTAAGATTTTGCTTCTCCCCGCTCTGAAAAGCAGTCCCTCCCAGACTAGAAGCATATACGTCTTCTTTGGCTACCCTCGCCATTTGGCAAAATTAAAATTTTAAAAAGCATCTGTCTAAGAGCTCCCCATATTTTTCCCCCTTCTTGCTATGTAATGCCATTTGGTGAAAACTTCTTCAAGTAAGTTCCCAGCTGATCTTAGTAAATTTCCTTCACAAGAAGTATTCATCTCAGAGGTGCTGCCCGAATAAAATGAACAGACTCACAAAACTCACAAATACAAAGGCCACGGTGCCAAGGCTTCAGCTTTGAGTGGCTTCCCTTCTGTCATACTGTGCAGTCACACAACTTCCAGCCTGCCTCACATTCTCAGGGCCACTGTGGGACCACTTTCTCTATCCTTGTCAGCTGTGGCCTACAAAGAGCAGTAGGAACTTCCATTAATCGGGATAGATTGAGCCCACACCTTTATCTCTATTTCCTTCCAAAACCCTCTTAAGCCAACTGTAAAGGAACAAAGAAAGTATGAATCCACCAAGAAAAGAGGAATAGAAGAAGAAACAAGATAGTTCAACACATTTCAGATGAATACCACAGATGAAGGAGGTAACTGATTATGCAGAGTGGAGGAGGCTGAAACCCTGTGCCTGCTGCAGGGAACAGTGAGAAGGAAACAAATTTTGTCTTGGAAGACAATGAAAAGCCTCAGGACTGAGAAGCACCAAGTGTCTTTGAAAGTCGGGTAAGGATAGGGCTGAAATCAGAGGCGTTGCCTGAAAGTATATTTATGGGGGGTAGTTAGATGCCCAGATTCTCCCCAACACACATAACTAGGCAACCTATCTCTTGCTATACCTAACGAACACCACACATTTATTATCTGGCGAAACTGACCCAGGGCAGCCCTGGACCTGGAAGAAGAGTCATCAGAGGGTGGGAGTGAGGATCAGAATGAAACAAATGGGTTAAGTGAGTAAGTGACAGTCTATGTAAAGGATGATGGGACTCCCCCCAGCCCCCTTCCGGCATCCTGCTCCAGAAAGTCAACAACTAAGCATATACACCCCAAGACAGAAGATTAGGGGAAAAGTTCATAAATATTGATCTCTGGAAGTTTACCAATGGAAAAGCTTCCCCAACTCATCAGTCCAAACATCTTACAAGGAAGTCAGCAGCCAGTGCATCCTCCCCATGCCCACAGAGTCTCATGTAGTATCTCTTTTCAATATAAACAGCCAGCTAAAGATCATCAGATCTTTAGAGAGGAAAACCTCTGTATCAGTTAGAATCTCAGCAGAAGACCACATCAAACTGGACAGCAGGTGAGAGTTTAATAAAGGAACCATTTACAGAGGTATGGACAATGTTTATATTCCAGGACTACTAGATAAAACTAGAGCTCTACCACCTCTAAGCCTGAAGAAGTAAGGGAAAGGAGTGGTTACCCTTGGAGAGGGTGAATTGGAGAGGGTGAAGTTAAGGAGAGGGACACCAGACTGGAATCCCTGATAGAGGGATGCAGCCATGGCAGGTAAGCAGGGAGAAGCTAGGAGAATAAATACCCTGACCTCGTTGTTTTTCAGTCCTGAGATCTGCCGTTCCTCTCATTAGCTGAACCCAACCAGAAGCCAGAGGGCCAGTTGATGCAGGCCATAGAGAGGCCATCCTCCCTAGGGATATATGGAGTGTGAAAAAAGGTGGATAATGCATCTACAGGGCAAACAAAAAACATAAAGCACAGTCTCCAGTGTGAAAGACAGAACCCAAAACAAAGAAATAGAAAATTAAAAATTGGAAAAAAACAGAGTCAAGGCAGAGAAGAAAACATTTGTTTAAACTCTATAATTAATATCCATAGAAAAATGATAGATGATATGGCAATATAAACAAGAACAGAAAACTATTTTAAAGGATTAAAAATAAGAAAGAACCTTAGAAATTAAAAATAATAGCTGAATAAAAGTTCCATTAGAAAAGTTGGAAGATCAAGTCAAAAAATTTTCTCACAAAGTGGTAAGAAAAGTAAAAACATGCCCAAGAGGAAAGAAAAGATAAGAAAATTAGGAGTCAGGAAATTCAATATACATTCAATAGAAGTCCCTGAAAGACAGAACAAAGAAAAATAAGGAAAAAATTGTAAAACAATTTCAAGAAAGATTTCCCAGAACTGGCAGGCCTAAGCCTCTGGACTGAGAAGGCTCAATAAATACCAGAACAATGAATAAAGAAGATACATATCAAGGCATGTCATCATAAAATTTCAAAACACTGAAGTAAAGAGAAGTTCCTAAGAATTTCAAGGAAAAAAAAATGGCAACGTACAAAGAAACAGGAATTAGAAAAAGCAGCAGACTTCTCAATAGTAACATTAGATGCTAGAGGACAATGGGAAATGCATGCAAAAGTCAGAATGAAAAAAATTGCCAACCTAGATTTCTACAAACAGTGAAAGTGTCAATCAAATGTGAAAATAGAGTAAGTATATTTTCAGAATTTCAAAGAACCAAAAAATTTATCTTCAACTCCTCTTTTCCGGGAAAGGTACTGAGTCCTGTGCCCCACCAAAATGAGACTAATCTAAAGAAGAAGGAAGATAGGGAACAGGGATTTAACACAGGGAAATGGTATAGAGAAGTCATCACGTAACCACGGTGCAGGCCTAGAGTAACCATTTCAGAGTGGAACAGAAAGGCTGAACCCCAGAGTGGCATGTGGTGAAAGTGGGGGTGGGGAGACTGCTGAAAGAGTTGACGTCTTTGACCATGTTGCAAAGCGTGTAAGAGGTGTTTTATAGATGTTTTGGAGGCATTTGGGAACAATTAGTAATTGGTATATAGAAAGTCAGTTAAAGGAAGGGGAAAATAAACAGGCAAGTTTAACTCCAGGAAAAGAAAAGTATAGCATAGGAACCATATCATGATATATTACTTGGCTTAGCAGTGAGAACAGTATTTACACTACTCATAATAATAGACTAATGACTTAACTACACGTGAGGATGGAGGGAAGGGAAATGAAGGTGGTGGTATAAGATAATTAAATTTTTATTTATAAGAAAGCAACAGATAAAATTTATTTTAAAATTGATATCTTAAATAGACATTTAGTTTAGAAATATAGAGATAGACACCCCAAAATAATTCAAAATGGTTGGCTCCGGAAATTGGACAAAAGAGTGGGAAAAGGTGAGGCAGAAATTGCCATTACTAAGCCTTTTAGTATTTAGAAAATTTTTAAACTATGTACATACACTATTTTGTAATAAACAAAAGGTAATCTAATTTAAGAGTGCATGCTCCAGAATCAGATAACCTAGCTCAAATCCTGGTTTCATCAAATATGAGTTTAAGATCTTAATAGGTTTAGCTTTTCTGAGCCTCATTTTCCTCATCTGTAGAACAGGGTTATATGTTAAGAATACAGAAGCGTATGTAAGATACACACACAGTGGATGTAACAGTGTGTAAGAGCTTAGTGAGACAGTGTAAGAGTTGAGTCCGGCACTTGGCATACAGTAAGTTCCCTGAGGAGCAAGAAGGGATCATCATGAGATGGTCAGATCACCTCAGCTTTGTTTCAAGAGTGAAGGCTAAACCCTCTCCACCCTAACACCCACAATAATCAGGTAGCAAGCAGTGAGGGAAAGGGCCATTTCCTATGTCCTCTCACTTCATCCACAAGGCTTAGCTTCATATTGTGTACCCAGGAAGAACATTTCCAGTAATGCATGTCTGTGGCATTGACTTAAGAATAGAGGAGCAAGAGAGATGACAAAGAGGGCCATATGGGAAGCAAGGCGAAACACCAGAAAGAGCACTGAAGTGAGTCAGAGGAAACAGAAACAGACATTCTGAGCACCTACTCTGTGCCAAGAGCTTTTCCATAAACCACATAATTCGCTCCAATGATACACACATACAGAAGCTATTATTATCTCAGTCTTTAAGGATGAGAAACCCACAGTTTAGAGAGGGTGGCAATCTTGCCCGTGGTCAGATATCAAGATATTAAGCAGCAGAACTGGAAATGGAACCCATGACTTAACAACTCCAAGGCCTCATGCCCCTTACACTACATTATGCTGCTTGGGGCAAATCATGCAATCCTTCTGAGATTCCATTTCCCCACTGTACAGTAGGGATTGTACTTTCTCTGAGAACTTCAGAGTTACTGTAAGAATGAAAAGAGTTGGTGAGTCAAAGAGCCTGATACACTATGAAGCAGTGAGCACACATGAGGACCTACTGACACATGCATGCGTGCCGCAAGGGCTACACTGTGGAGCTTCCTAAGTCAGCTGTTTGGCTTGGTTGTCATGGGAAGAGAAAAGGGCTGGCTTTGGCCTAGGCCTGGAGTTGCCAACTAGAATGGGGCAGAATCTGGATAAAGGAGTCTGATGGGGATTCTAGAGCCACAGTCAGACTGTAAATCATGACATCCCCTATCCAATAGGTCGGTAGCATCTTGTCTCGCTAAAAAGCAAAAACTTACCAAATTAATATCTTACAAAGCCACAAGATTGAAACCACTGCCATTCCTCCCAGGTTTCTCTGTTGAACAGTACTAGCTTCTAAAAATAGATCAAATCAAGTCATTTCTCTGCTTTAAAACCTTTCCTGCACCTTTACCCCACAGGATGAAGTTCTAGTTCCTTAGCCTGACATTAAAGCTTTTACGATCTGAACGTAGCCATCACTGTAGCCTTGTCTCCCACTGCTCTGCTCCCCTCCAGAGGCCCTCATTTCCCCCAGTTTGCCATGCCTTCTCCATACTTTTGTTCATGTTGATCATATTCCCTGGAATACCTTTCTCTTCTTCATACTCATCCGTTAAGACCCACTTCAAGGATCATCTCTTCTAAGAAGCATTCCCTAACCCCATGTTAGGATGAAGGTGTGAATTTACAGCTAAACAAAACAGCCTCAAAGTGAGAGAGCTAGTAGAGACCTCAAAGATTATCTTACTCAATTCTCCTATTTTATCCATAAAGAAAAGGAGGCCTGTAGAAGGAAAGTGGCCTGCCCAAGGTGTCAGCAGCTTGTCTAGTACTCAGGTATTCTGTCCCAGTACTCTTCCTATTGCATGGTACAGCTTCTTAATAAATGAATTCATGAATGGACAAATAGGCAAACCGAATGTTGCTAAAGCACTGCCCAGGGACAGCACGGTGAATGAATAGTCATAGCTGTTCTACATTTAAGGGCTTTAGGTGCACCAAGGAGGAACAGAGGATTCCAGAGGCAAGAGGCAGCAGGGACAGCAGTCATAGGACAGGTGATACAGAGGGGCACTAGCATAAGCTGAGGCCTGTGGATGCGGAGAGGCAATACTGTGAGTCTGAGTTTTGCAGATACGATGGTGCTGCCCAGGCTCAGGAAGCTAGTGCCTGTCTAAGGAAGGACAGAGCAGGCTCATGGGCTGGACTGCCTGGCCATTGTCAAAGCTGCCCAATGTCACATGTGGTTGTCCCCTAGTTGCTATGCTATGGTAGATAAGACAAAAGGATGGGGGCTGGTCTCTGCCCCTACAAACAAGTACCATCAGTAATGCTAGCTCTGCTGTTGCTTTTTCCTGTCTTCCAAAGCCACATGCATATTAAAAGTTCAGTTTATGCTGCTTGATATGCTAATTAACCTAAGTCAAACCTCTGCAGGGAGCAGCACAAGAAGCGGCAAGTGCAGACCTTGCAGTCAGCAGACCTTAGTTTGAATTCTGGGCTCTACTTCTTTGAGTTCTCATCTGAAAAACGGGGACAATTTCTATCTACTTTCTACCCTGCATGGTGATAACTAAGTGAGATGATATATGCAAAATGTTCAGAATAGTGTCAGCACTTTGTACTTAACTACATCACTTCAGTTTTACTCTGTAAAAAGGTATTATCCTTTAACGAAAAAAAAGTTTTATCTGCTATAATTGTCAACTTCTGAAGAATCTTCCTAAATAACCCACGATAGTTCTACACTGTCTAAACAATAAAGTCAATGCCTTTCAGCATGCTGTTGGAGACCTGGTCCTAAGCTGTTTTGCTGGCTGACCACTTGTCCCTCAACCATTCACACTTTAGAGCCTTCTTTCCCTTTGCTCATGCTTATCCCTCAGCACAGAATGCTGCTCTTTACCCTTCCTCCACTGAGGAGCCACTTCTTCCATAAGGATTTCCAAAATCAATCATTCTTACCTCTTCATTCTTTCTCCTAGTTCTTATCATGGTCTGCTTTGTATTCATTCATTCATTCATTCATTCATTCAGTATTTAAGTCCAAAGTATGGCCAAATTTAATTCCCATAGCTCTCTTTCCCACTAAATGTGAGTTCCATGAATGTGAATTCCATGAATGTTGTATTCCTCCACAGCATCCATAACACTACATGGCACATCATCAGACACTAGTAAGCTGAAAGGAGAGAATGAGAAAATATTGCATATAATGTTCATTGAGTATTTAACAAACACATGAAGCACCTATTGCATGCATGGCAAGTATAGATGGTCTGAGTCTATGAAGATGTTAAACACAGTTTGTGGACATGAAGACAGACTTTGAGAGTTGCAGAAGACTTTAGAAATTGTCTAGTCCAGCTCCCACATTTCCCAGATGGGGATTCTAGAGGCCCAGAGAAGGAGAGTAACTGCCTAGGATAACACAGAGAGTTATCACCATAACTCTAGTTATGGTGCACAGTGGAAGGCTGTCTCTAACTTGCTCTAATTTTTTGTATTTTCCTCTTTGAGTTCACATTAGATTTACTTTCGCAAGGCCTCAAGCCTCTTGAGTAACTGTAAACAAGTGCAGTGGGTCACAAATGCAGTTTCTACTACTGTAAGCAACCCTAAAAAGGACCAGAGCATTGTGCTAAACAGGTGGTCAACCTTGTGCCTAAAATGGCCAGCATGAAAGAGTAATTTAGCAAGTATGGGAGCCTCCTCAACAGCCTGGCACCCTCACCTGTGGTGTCATATAGAATGACTCCTGTGGAGTGATATAAATGTCGCTTCTTTAGGAACAGTGAAAAATCCACCTTGATTGAGAGGTAAAAAGTTACATCTTGGGATTTGAAGCTATGCCTTGAAAATGTATGACTTAACAGAAATGTGACTTGAGCAATAAGCAAGATTCTGTAAAAAAAACACTCTGTATTTATTGTGAAACATCTTTCTTAAATGTAAAAGGTTTATCATGTTTCTGGCCTGTTGGAGAGGAAAATATGGTGCCCCAAGCGGCCAGGTGTGGTAGTGGCAACGAATATATCAGTTCCAGGGCTGAGAAAGGCAAGATCTGGGACAGAGCACTGGTAACCAAGAGAGCTAAAAAACTGTTGCTCTGCCTTTAGCTGCTGTCTCCCTGTCTGGCAAACAGCTCAGGCAACCACTTGAGAAAGCCCCTTGAGAACCAGGCACCATCTCCTTCTGAATAGCACAAGCTAAACTTGAGTGCTAGTCCCAGCTCTGCTACTGACCAGCTGTGCAATTTTGGGTAATGCCTTAGGACTGCTCTCGTAGCAACAGGACCCAGGAAGGCAGCCAAAGAATTCAATAAACAGTTTTGAGATAACTGATCAGCCATTTAAAAAATTGTGAGGCTGAATGCACACCTGACTTATACCAGGATAAATTCCATATGGATCGAAGATTTAGATGCCAAAAATAAAACCATAAAAATATAGTCATGCTATTTTGTTGACCAAAACATCACCAAGTTTCGGTCAACAACTGGACCATATATACAATGGTAGTCCCATAAGATTATAAGGGAGCTGAAAAAATTCCTATTGCCTACTGCCATAGTAGCTGTGATAATGTTGTAACACAACACATTACTCACATGTTTGTGATGATGCTGGTGTAAACAAACCTACTGTGCTTCTAGTCATATAAAAGTCTACCACATACAATTATGTACAGTATGTAATAATACTTGATAAATAAATGACTATGTTACTGGTTTGTGTATTTACTATACTATACTTTTTATTGTTATTTTGGAGTGTATTCCTTCTACTTATCTTTTTTTTAAGTTAACTGTAAAAATACCTCCTAAAAGGCAGGTCCTTCAGGAGATATTACAGAAGAAGGCATTGTTACCATTGGAGATGATGGCTCCATACATGCCTCTGAAGACCTTCCAGTGAGACAAGATGTGGAGGTGAAAGACAGTGATATTGATAATTCTGACCCCGTACAGGCCTGAGCTAATGTGTGTGTTTGTGTTTTAAACAAAAAAGTTTAAAAAGCAAAATAATAATAATAATAATTTAAGAAATAGAAAATAGCTTATAAAATATATTAAAAAATATTTTTGTACTGTGTACAATGTGTTTTAAGCTGTGTTATTACAAGAGTAAAAAAGTTTTTTAAAGTTCATAAAGCAACATGTTATAGTAAGCTATGGTTAATTTACGTTTGAAGAAAGAGATTTTTTGTGTGTAATTCAGTGTAGCCTAAGTGCACAGTATTTACAGCCTAAGTGTATAGTGTTTATAAAGGCTACAGTAGTATATAATAATGTCCTGGGCCTTCATATTCACTCATCACTCACTCACTGACTCACCCAGAACAACTTCCAGTCCTGAAAGCTCCATTCATAGTAAATGCCGTATACAGATGTATCATCTTTAATCTTTTGTACCATATTTTGCCTGAGAAAGGCAAGACCTGGGACAGAGCACTGGTAACCAATAGAACTAAAAAACTGTTGCTCTGCCTTTAGCTGCTGTCTCCCTGTCTGGCAAACAGCTCAAGCAACCACTTGAGAAAGCCCCTTGAGAATCAGGCACCATCTCCTTCTGAATAGCACAAGCTAGACTTGAGTGCTAGTCCCAGCTCTGCTACTGACCAGCTGTGCAATTTTGGGTAATGCCTTACGGCTGCTCTGGTAGCAACAGGACCCAGGAAGGCAGCCAAAGAACTCCATAAATAGTTTTCAGATAACTGATCAGCCATTGTGTTACAATTGCCTACAGTATTCAGTACAGTAACATGCTGTCCAGGTTTATAGCCCAGGAGCAACAGGCTAAACCATATAGCCTAGGTGTGTACTAGGCTATACCATCTAGGTTTGTTAAGTACACTTTATATTGCTTATGACAAAATCATCTAATGACACATTTCTCAGAACATATCCCCCCTTTTTGAGAGAGAGGGAGTCTTGCTCTGTCACCCAGGCTGGAGTCCAGTGGCAGGATCTTGGCTCGCTACAACCTCCGCCTCCCTGGTTCAAACAATTCTTGTGCCTCAGCCTCCCAAGTAACTGGGATTACAGGCATGTGCCACTAAGCCCAGCTAATTTTTTTGTATTTTTAGTAGAGACGCGGTTTCACCATTTTATTAGTCTGTTTTAACACTGTTAATAAAGACAACCCAAGACTGGGTAATTTATAAAAGAAAGAGATTTAATGGACTTACAGTTCCATGTGGTTGGGGAGGCCTCACAATCGTGGCAGAAGACAAGGAGAAGCAAGTCACATCTTACACTGATGGTGGCAGGCAAAGAGAGAGCTTGTGCAGAGAAACTCCCCTTTTTAAAACCATCAGATCTCGTGAGACTTATTCACTATCACAAGAGCAGCACAGGAAAGACCTGCCTCCGTGATTCCATTACCTCCCACTGTGTCTCTCCTACAACACATGGGAATTCAAGATGAGATCTGGGACACAGCCAAACCATATCATTCTGCCCCTGGCCCCTCCTAAATCTCATGTCCTCACATTTCAAAACCAATCATGTTTTCTTAACAGTGTCCTAAAGTCTTAATTCATTTCAGCATTAACTCAAAAGTCCACAGTCCAAAGTCTCATATGAGACAAGGCAAGTCCCTTCTGCCTATGAGCCTGTAAAATCAAAAGTAAGTTAGTTGCTTCTTAGATACAATGGGGGTACAGGCTTTGGGTAAATATAGCCATTCAAAATGGGAGAAATTGGCCAAAACAAAGGGGCCACAGGCCCCATGCAAGTCCAAAATCCAGTAGCGTAGTCAAATCTTAAAGTTCCAAAATGATCTCCATTGCCTCCATGTCTCACAGCCAGGTCATGCTGATGTTAACAGGTGGGTTCCCATGGTCTTGGGCAGCTCTGCCCCTGTGGTTTTGCAGGGTACAGCCTCCTTCCTAGCTGCTTTCATGGGTTGGCACTGAGTGTCTGTGGCTTTTGCAGGTGCACAGCTGTCAGTGGATCTACCATTCTGGGGCCTGGAGGATAGTGGCCCTCTTCTCACCGCTCCACTAGGCAGTGCCCCAGTAGGGAGTCTGTGTCGGGGCTCTGACCCCACATTTCCCTTCCACACTGCTCTAGCAGAAGTTCTCCATGAAGGCCCCACCACTGTAGCAAAATTTTGTCTGGGCATCCAGGAATTTCCATACATCTTCTGAAACCTAGGCAGAGGTTCCCAAACCCCAATTCTTGACTTTGGTGCACTCGCAGGCTCGACACCATGTGGAAGCTGCCAAGGCTTGAGGCTTGTACCCACTGAAGCCACGGCCAGGGCTCTACATTGGCCCCTTTCAGCCACAACTGGAGTGGCTGGGACACAGGGCACCAAGTCCCTAGGCTGCATACAGTAGGGGCACCCTGGACCCAGCCCAGAAAACCGTCTTTTCCTTCTAGGCCTCTGGGTCTGTGATAAGAGGGGCTGCCATCAAGACCCCTGACATGCCCTGGAGACATTTTCCCTATTGTCTTGGGGATTAACATTTGGCTCCTTGTTACTTATGCAAATTTCTGCAACTGGCTTGAATTTCTCTTTAGAAAAATGGGATTTTCTTTTCTATCACATCATCAGGCTGTAAATTTTCTGAAACTTTATGCTCTGTTTCCCTTTTAAAACTGAACGCCTTTAACAGTGCCCAAGTCACCTGTTGAATGCTTTGCTGCTTAGAAATTTCTTCCACCACATACCCTAAATCATTTCTCTCAAGTTCAAAGTTCCACAAATCTCTAGGGCAGAGGCAAAATGCCACCAGTCTCTTTGTTAAAACACAACAAGGATCACCTTTACTCCAGTTCCCAACAAGTTCCTCATCTCCATCTTAGACCACCTGAGTCTGGATTCCATTGTCCATATCATTATCAGTATTTTGATCAAAGTCACTCAACAAGTCTCTAGGGGGCTCCAAACTTTCCCACATTTTCCTGTCTTCTTCTGATCCCTCCAGACTGTTCCAACCTCTGTCTGTTACCCAGTTCCAAAGTCGCACCCACATTTTCGGGTATCTTTTCAGCAGCACCCTACTCCTGGTATCAATTTACTGTATTAGTCCATTTTCATGCTGCTAATAAAGACATACCTGAGACTGGGCAATTTACGAAATAAAGAGATTTAATGGACTTACAGTTCCACATGGCAGGGGAGGCCTCACAATCATGGCAGAAAGCAAGGAGGAGAAAGTCACATCTTACATGGATGGTGGCAGGCAAAGAGAGAGCTTGTGCAGGGAAACTCCCCTTTTTAAAACCATCAGATCTCGTGAGACTTATTCACTATCATGAGAACAGCATGAGAAAGACCTGCTCCCATGATTCAATTACCTCCCACAAGGTCACTCCCCACAACACATGGGAATTCAATATGAGATTTGGGTAGGGACACAGCCAAACCATATCAGCCATGTTGACCAGGCTGGTCTCAAACTCCTGGCCTTAAGTGATCAGCCTGCCTTGACTTCCCAAAGTGCTGGGATTACAGGTGTGAGCGACTGACCCTGGCCACGTATCCCGATTTTTAGGCAATGCATGACCATACTAGAATAAAATATAAAGAAAGACCATTATACTCTGGAGGAGAGAAGGATTCCCTGACTCAAAATCCAAAAGCCATACAGGAAAAGACTGATACATTTAATCTATAGTAAAATAAAAGGTTGCATGACAAAATATTACAGACAAAATAAACAAAAACATCAAAAACAGAAGATAAAAAGCTGGGAAAATACATTTGCAATTCAAATCACAGAACAATGCCTAATCTCCCTAATATGTAAAGAACACCTAGACATTTATTAGAAAAAGACTGACAATATAAAAGGCTGTCTTAGTCCTTCTGGGCTGCTATAACAAAATACCTTAGACCGGAAAATGTATAAATAATACAAGTTCTGGAGGCTGGGAAGTCCAAGATCAAGGTACCAGCTGATCTGATGGTATATAGTGAGGGCCTATTCCTTTTAGATGGCACCTTTTAAATGTCCTCACATGGCAAAAGGGGTGAACAAGCTCCCTTGGACCTCTTTTATAAGGGTACTAACACCATTCTTGAGGGTAGAGCCCTCATGACCTAATCACCTCCCAAACACCCCACCTCTTAATGCTATCACGTTAGGGAATAAATATCAACATAAAATTTTTTGAAAGACACAAACATTCAGACTCTATAGCAAGGCAAAGGATATTGAGGTAGAAAAAATAATGGCCTCCTAAAGATGTCCATGTCCTAATTCCTAGAGCCTATGAATATGTTTTGTTACATGGCAAGGGGAACTGAGTTATCAGATAAAATTAAGGTTGCTAATTAGCTGATATTAAGACAGGGAGTGATATGGTTTAGCTGTGTTCCCACCCAAAATCTCATCTTGAATTGTAATACCCATAATCCCCACATGTCAAGGGAGAGACCAGGTGGAGGTAATTGAATCAGGGGGGCAGTTTCCCCCATGCTGTTCTTGTGATAGTGAGTAAATTCTCATGAGATCTGATGGTTTTATAAGGGGCTCTTCCCCACTTCATTTGGCACTTCTCCTTCCTGCCACCTTGTGAAGAAGGTGCCTTGCTTCCCCTTCACCTTCCACCATGATTGTAAGTTTCCTGACGCCTCCCCAGCCACACTGAACTGTGAGTCAATTAAACCTCTTTCCTTTATAAATTATCCAGTCTTGGGCAGTTATTTACAGCAGTATGAAAATGTACTAATACAGGGAGATTATGCTGGATTATCCAGGCAGGGATGATGTAATCAGAAAGGTCCTTAAATGTAGAAAAGGGAGGCAGAAGAGTCAGTGTCAGAGTGATGCAGTAGGAGAAAGACTTGAAAAGCTATGGCTGGCTTTGAAGATGGAAGAGGTCATAAGTCAAGGAATATAGGTAGCCTTTAGTAGCTAGAAAGGGCAAGAAAATGAATTCTCTCTGGAACTTCCAGGAAGGAATGAAGGCTGCCAACAGCTTGATTTTAGCCAAGTGAGACCCATCTTAGATTTCTGACCTCAAACTTGAAGATAATACATTTGTCTTGTTTTAAGCCATTAATTTTATGGTAATTTGTTATAGCAACAATGAACAAAACTAATACGGGTGTGAATGAAAAACTCCTCATAAAAGAGAAAATACAAATAGTTCTTGAACATATAAAAAGAAGCTCAACCTTCATTTATAATAACTAAAATTAGACAGATTAAAAAGGCCACAATAATCTTAAAAAAGAACAAAGTAGGAGGGCTTATAATGCTAGATATCAAGATTTATTATAAAGCTACAATAATCAAGCTAGTGTGATACTAGCATACAAACGGAAAAACAAACTAATAAAAAAGAATCTAAAAGCACATCAACACATATATGCAGTCTCTTGATTTATAACAAAGGTACCTCCACAATTCAATGGTAAAAAATGAACTTTTCAATAAATGGTTCTAAATGTTTAAAAAAACTAACTTGAGATGGATTTTAGGCCTAAATATAAAAGGCAAAATAATAAAGCTTCACAAAGAAGACATAAGAATACTTTCATGATCTTGGAATGAGTAAAAATGTCTTAAGTAGGGCACAAATACCTCAAACCATTAAAGGAATGGTCAATAAACTGGACTTCATTAAAATAAATAACTATTCATCAAAAGACACGATTAAGAGAGTAAAAGAGTAAGCCACACGAGGTCAGGAGATAGAGACCAACCTGGCTAACATGGTGAAACCCCGTCTCTACTAAAAAATACAAAAAATTAGCCGGGTGTGGTGGCAGGCGCCTGTAGTCCCAGCTACTCGGGAGGCTGAGGCAGGAGAATAGCGTGAACCCAGGAGGCGGAGCTTGCAGTGAACTGAGATTGTGCCACTGCACTCCGGCCTGGGTGACAGAGCGAGACTCCATCTCAAAAAAAAAAAAAAAAAAAAAGAGTAAGCCACTGGCTGGGAGAAGATGTTTGCAATATGCATATTCAACAACGGACTGGAATCTACAAGATATAAGGGATGCCTGCAAATCACTAAGAGAAACATAGACAAAACCCAACTTAAAACAATGGGCAAAGACTTAAAGTCTTCGGACTTAAGTCTTTGAATTTGACAAAAGAAGCCACCCAAATGGCCTATAAGCATGTAAAAAGGTACTCCACATCATTAGTTATGAGAGAAATGCAAATTAAAATCAGTGAGATTCCACACTGCACACTCAACAGAATTGCCTAAATCTATAAGATTGAAAATATCTGGCGAGAGTATAGCACAAATGGAACTCTCATATTGCTGGTGGGGGTGTAAATTGGTGCAACTACTTTAAACACTGTTGCGCAGTATTTACTAATACTAAATATGAACTAGAATTCCTAGTCTTAATCATGCACCCAAGAGAAATAAATGCACATATCTATCAAAAGGCGTGTATAAGAATGTACGTAGCATCCCCAAACTAGAAACAACCCAAATGTTCAACAGTTAAATGGTTAAATAAGTTGTGGTATATTTATACAGTAGAATATTACCAAGCATTACAAAATTACTGCTACACACAACATGAATGACTCTTACAGACACAATGTGTTGAACAAAAGAAGCCAAACACCATCCACGTGAAGTTCAAACAAAGGCATCTTTGGAGACAGAAGTCAGAAGAATGGTTAGCTCTGGGGGTGGGTTATAGACAGAGATGGAGCATGAACTAGTCTTCCAGGGTGCTGGAAATGTTCTATATCTTGCTCTGGATGGTGTTTTCTTTTCTATATCTTGCTCTGGATGGTGTTTTCTTAAGTACATACATATGTAAAAATTCATCATCTGAACCCTTAAGATTTGTGAACTTTACTATATTATATACGTTATACTTCAACTTAAAAAGATAAACAAAAGCTACCCTGAGTAGTTGCTTACCTATCAGACTGGCAAAAATCCAAGAGTTTCTTAATATATCCTATTAAGGAGGCTGCAATAAACAAGCACCCTTATACCTTGCTAGTGGAAGTGAAAAATGGCATAGCCCCTATGGAGGCCAATTTTGAAGTACATTGCAAAATTACAAATACATTTATACTTTGACACAGTAATTTCACTTCTAGGAACTTATAACTATACTCTCCTCACATGAAATAACATACATAGAAGGTCATTCACTATAGCGTTGCTTATAATAACAAAAGACTAGAAATTACATAAATGTCCATGAACAGGTCACTAGTTAAATAAATCAAGATACATAGGAACTTTGGAATATTATGTAACTGTAAAAAAAGAACTAGGACAGCTTTTATACTGATATGGAAAGATCTCCCAGAAAAATTGTTGAGAAAAATCAGGCACTGAGAAATGAGTATAGTATGCTACCATTTATGTAAAAGGAAGGATAAAAACATATCTTAGTATTCACTTACATATGTAAAAGGACACTAGAAGGATACAGAAGAAACTAGTAACAGGCATTACCTGCACATGTGGTAGAAGGGTTTTGGGGAGCTAGAGAGAGGGGGATAGCATGGAAGGGAGTTTTTCATCTTAAATACTGAAACAAAAAGATGAAGTACTCCTATCTGGTGGCTTTAAAAACAGGCCAGACTGTCACCAGTCTGCAGGAAGGCAGCATCGGTCCACAGGCTCTGAAATTAGAGGTGGGGGTAAAAGACCTAACACACAAATTCTTCCTACTTGTGTGACCTGGGTGGAGTAAACTGCTCACCTTCAGCTTCATTTTCCCGTACCTAGAAGATGGGATTAACCAGAGTACCAGCTCATCAATTTGCTGTGAGGATTAAATGGGATGAGGTAGGTAAAGCATTTACATTCTGCCTATCTCATTGTGCACAGAAACATACAAATTTGTATCTGCCTCTAAGCTCTCTACAAGGCCCTAGGGTTTGGAGATATCACCACTCAGAGGAATATCCAGTGCCAAAAAAAGAGTTATTTCTCTATTTTCCTATTAAATTCTTACATGAAATTGCTTGATGGTTTCATGCCAAGGTTAGATGTTCTGCCATACATATTATAAAGGTACAATGGTTCAACAGTTGAAAATCATCTGTGAAATGAAAAAAAAATCCATGCATATATTATAGCTCCAATTTAGTAAAAGAACTGGCTCTGCTTGGAGGAGGAGGAGGAGGAGGAGGAGGAGGAGGAGGCATCACACTTTCCTGCCAATAACCAACCCTTTAACAATGCCTGTCTGGCAAGCCTGAGTGCTCCAGGAAAGGGCCACCAATAAAATCCTTCCAAGGGTCTGTGTGGAGCAGGGAGAGAGGAAACGCAGTCAGCTCTTTTTTCTCCGCAGGAAGGGAAGACAAAACAACTGCACATCAGGAAGAAGGCAAGCAAATTGCCAATTCAAGCCAAAATAAGCTGCTCCTGGTGGAAGCACAACAGCTGGAGCCAATTCATCCAGACACAGAGGTGAGGGGCCTGAAAGCAGAGCTGGATCTGGGGACCCTGCCTCTGAAAGGCAGGGATCTTCTCAGCAAGTGATGGCCACATGCCCTCAGTTCACCTCAGTCTATGCCCACAAATGGGAGTTAGCCAGTGAGCTTTGTCAGATGTGGAAAGAAATCCTAGGTGGAAAGGAAGAGAGTGAATCAGTGAAGCAGCCAAGTGGACAACACCTGCGGAGCACCTATGACATGGCGGGTACTGAGCATGTACTTGACATACCTATGCCATTGGGAAGAACAACTTCTGGGAGTGGGTATCATGATGTCGATTTTACAAATGAGGAATCAGGCTTGGTGAGGCAGAGTGATTGTACAAGGCATATAGGCAGAGAATGCCCAAGCCAGCCATGGTCAATGGCCTCAGCTCTCTCTTTTCTGATTGTCACCTGAGTCTCTCTATGCTCAGCTCCAACAGTTCTTCCTTAGTCTAAAGCAGGAACTCATACCACTTCACCATTCTGTCTAGTCATGGGGGCACCTGGTGGCAAAGACAAAACATGTCAAGAGAAACTTAATTGGAAAACTAAGGAAGTAACTAAACCAAATTTCAAAAGAAGGGGAACAAAGAAACCCAGAAGCACATAAAGCAGCAGAGTAAAATTTCCATCTTCTCAAGAAACTGAAATGTGGCTTCCATGGGGCTTGCTTCAGGCTGGAACATGCAGGGCCTGAGTCCCTGTCTGGGACAATGAATAGCAGAATCCTGTCCTTGAACAAATCTGGGCTAGGACTGTTTCCAGGGCTGCTTGGATGTGCAGATTCCCCAGTGGGAACCCCAGGCTCCAGTTTACAAATCCATCCTGCAGCTATGCTGAGATCTTGCCATGGACCCTGATATCCAGGCTGGGAAAGACACTTCCTTCTCTAGCTCCTGAGATTCCTACCCTGGCCTCAGGCTTATAATTACTTCCTTCCTTGAGGTCTTAATATAGAATAATAATAATAGCAGCTAACATTTATTGAGTCTTTACTTTTGTGTTAGGCATTGTTCTTAGCACTTTACCTAACAACCCTATGAAGTCAATAATATTATATCCCAGATGAGGTGATCAAGACATAGAGAAGGTAAGCCACTTATACAGGTTACACAGCTTGTAAGTGGAGAAGACAGAATCTGGATCCAGGCAATCTGTCCCCAGTGCCTGAGCTCTTCTTAACTACTACCCATACTACTTCAGGCCACTGGAAATGACAGAATAGAGGAGCAGTTTTGGAAGTCAGGCAGACAGCTCTACTATTTATTGCTGTAACCGTAGGACCAATTCAAACCAAGTAATCACTGCTTAAGTTACAGGTAGTGCAGAGCCAAAGTTACCTGGCATGCTCAGGAGAAAAGCTTTAGCAGCCTAATTGTTAGCATCACCAGCCTGGCTGACCAGCTGCACTGGCATCACCTGGGATTAGTTTAAAATGCCATAAAAGCTTGACCCACTCCCAGATCGGGGAGATGGATTTGAGCGTTGCCTCCCTGTCTCCTTGTCAATTGACTCACAATAAACTTTCTTTTCTCAAAGCCAGTGTCACAGCATTCGCTTCTATGTGCGCTGGGCAGCGAGTCCATTGCTCAGGTAACACTGCTACTTATCTCTACAACCTGTTTAACCCATTTAACTTCTGAGTCTGTTTCGTCTCTACAAAGCAGATACAACAAATATACTTTGAGGAGTTGTGTCCACTAACCTAAGACAGACTAGGTTCTCAATCATGTCCTTTCACCATTCTCTGTTTCACCTCCCTTTCCAAGTTGATTCATCTGTCACACATTCATCAGACATTAAGGTTGCTTATACCCTTGGGCAAAGTTTGGCTGCTTTATGTTCTCTTCTAGTCTAGTCTATAACTATTTTGTGCCTTTTACATGTGGGACACAGCACCAGGCACTGAAGGGCTAGAGTTCAGGGAATGAAACTGAAGGCAGGGAAATCCCTCTAAAGCAGGCAAAGGCAGTAGGATTGAGGGGAGGAGCTCAACCCCATGAGAAACATGGCTTTAAGCTGGCAGGAACTCTTCTTCACCTGCAACTTGTCTCCCTCTTGCTAGCCTCCTGCTAGGACTAACAGGCAGCTTCTTGTAGCTTCCTGTTTCAAAGCCTGCACCCTGCAGGGCACCCACTGAGGGCCTCATTCCTCCAGTGATGGAGAGCCTCTTGCTCCTGGCCACCAGGCAGGTACATATGTGCAGAGCCCTGTGCCTGCACTCACTTTTCCTGACTCTGAAACCATTCATTCAGAAGTCTGTGAGCCAGGTCCCAGGCACTGGGGATAAAATGGAAAATAACAGGTCTGTCCTCAAGTGCTCGCCAGCATGCCCTATTCTCCCACTGCCTCTGATGGCCTCCACACAGGTAACACTGGACACATCTTTCCAGAATGTCATTGTTTCTCTTCCAACAAAGAAATATTTCACTAGAACAGTTACACTAACAAGTATTTCTCCCCTCCCGCTACCCAACCAAGAGAAAAGAGAAACCAAAGGAATTTATATCTGCCAGCCATTTCACATAAATTATCTCACCTAATCACAATAATCCTGAAAGGCGGAATGATTACCCCCATTACAAAGATGAGAAGAATATGGACGCTCACACAGAGATGGAGCCAGTTTGAACCAAGGCTGTCTGCCTGCAGAGTCTTTGCTCCTTCTACAGCCCCAGGCTGCCTACGTCAGCTCAGCCTGCTGCTTTGCTAGCTCTGACCCATTCCTTCATCTGGATTTTGTGCTTTCACAAATTTAGATTCCCTGCCATCTTCTTGTTTATGTTGGTCCCAGGGGAAGCCAGCCTCTCCCAGTCCAGTGATAGCAGTAGCAGCAATGTCCTAGGCACCGCCTTTGACTCTTTTGATTAGCTTGTCTTAATTACACCCAGGCCGAAGCAGTTCCGGTATAAAGTATCTGGTCCTGCTGCAAAGCATGCAGGTTTGCTGTTACATTTTCTAGCTCCTTCTCTAACTCCAGTCCCTGTTACTCCCCACCTCCTCTGCTGTCCTTGGTTCTGCCTCTTTGTACATCATGTTTGGGCCTGCAAAGTAGTGCTTCAAACTACTGCCACCCCAGGCAGCTGAGCCAGTCCAGCTCAATTCAGAAAAGAATGTGTGAGTCTCTGCTAAGAGCCACACACTGCTTTAGGTGCTGTGAATCGGCAAGAAATGAGGAAAACACAAGGGCCTGGCCTGGTAGAAGTTCAAAGTTAGAAGCTAGGAGACAGGAGTGGCCAGGAACAGAAATTATTGACACAAATCAGTCAGTGGTGGGGTTGTAACAAGAGTCCTAAAATATCAGAGCTGGAGGGAAACTTGGTTTTCTGTTTTAACTTCTCCATTTTACAGATGGGGAAACTAAAGCCTAGCGGAGGGCAATTACTTTAACATATAATATCAGGTAATAATAACGAACATTACCAAAGCCCCTCCTAGGAGTTAAGCGTCATTCTATGTGCTTTACATAACTTATCCCTGCAACAACACTATGAGGTAGGCACTATTGCCCTCCCCATTTTAAAGATGAGCATAGAGAAGTCAATACCTTGTCCAAGTTCACATGGCTAGTAAGTAGAAGTCTGTACTGAACTCAGGCAGTCTGGCCCTACACTGCAGTCTCTTTAATGTACTGTGAGATGGAAACTGAGTCTACCTGTGGAAGTTAATGAGAAGCCTTCTTGAATGAATTACTCATAGATCTAATTATGAAAACACTAAACTATGATTATCCAGGGCCAACTAAGAGGAAGCCTCTATTAACCAGAGGTTTGAGTCCAACTGGGAGTTCCTGAGTGCCACTAAATACAAGGCAGCAAGGGCAGTGAGCAGAGCCGCATATTTCCAAAGAAAGAGCCAAACCAATAGGAAAGAACTTAGAATGGGGATTTATTCGAAAAACCAGAAGCAGTCCAATCATTCTTCCTTTTTATGTCTGGCTTTCTACACATGGTGCCCCTCAGCCTGTGAGTTCTTTAATATGCTCAAATGCCACTTCCCGGGCAGGGAGGCCAGCTCAGGTACCTTAAAAAGATGCTCAATGATATGAATCGAAATATTCAGAAAAGGAGCTTCTAGTAAACCCTTGGTCAACCAAAAACTTCCATTTCCCCCAATCTCCCCTAACACACATGCATGAGTGCACGCACCATGGCTTTTGGTTAACCAAAAGTCTTCTCCAATTCTGCCACATGATTTTCAGAAGAAACAGTTATCAGTATAAAAATTACTTACCAATTATTGCCAAATTATGCTCTGAGCCACAAGAGACCTGTAAAAAAAAAAAAAGACAAAGAAAATGGATAGATATTTCAGCCAGTATATTTTATAATCATAGTTCTTTTCTAATGACACTAACATCCATTTTTGGCAAAATTTAGGAAGGAAATAGAAAGAAGCATCACATACAAAAGTTAAGATTATAATTACAACACATTCACAGCTACATAAAAAGAAAATAAAAAAAATATTGAATGGAAATTCATCAGATATTAAAGTTGTCTTTAGCTAGTGAGACCATGAGTAATTTTTTAAACCCTTTCTTCCTTTTACTTTTTGTATTTTTCAAACTTTCTAAAATGAGCATATGTTACTGTAAAAATGGAAAGATAAGGCAATAAAGATAACAGTTTTTGAAAACTGAACTAAAAAGACCATCCCTCTCGTATGGACTGATAAAATGAGCAAAGAATTCAGTGGAAACAGACTGGTCTGTGGAGAAATGTTTGACTTTTTCTCATCTGTCCACTCTCCCTTTCACCTACCAGCCACACAAACTATATGCAGTTCTTTCAACACGTCATGTTCTCTCACACCTCTAGCCCCTTGCACATGCCTCTTCCTCTACCCAGAATGTCCTCTCCTCTACTGCATACCTAAAAAATTTCTACTTATCCTTTAAAATCTCAAAGTATCTACTAAGACTTCTTTGCTGTTGCTTCTAGGCAGACTCAGGTGCACCTGTCCTTATGCCCTTAAATGTACCCCCACCGTAGCAACCATCTTGTTGCCTTTTATCATTGTTTCCTGTCCTCTTATGAGACTACATCTATTTTGAGAACATGGTTGAGTCTCATTCACCTCTGTATTGCACAGATGGATTGGACAAGGCCTGGGATTCAGTTAACATCTGCTAAATGAGGGAATGAATGAAAGAACAAAGTACATAAAAGAACAAATACCTAATACATAAAAGACAATTTTTGGCTTTCTGAATCCAGAGTTTCCAACCAGTGGGAGATACTTCTTGCCCTTCAGTCTCCATATGTCCCAACTGCTAGCAGGAGGAAGTGACTGGGAATACAAAGGCATAAATGGTTCCCCAGGACTAATTAAGAGGAGCTCTAGGCTTTAGAGAATTATCCTGTGACCTTTATCAGGATACTCACTTTAGCTCCTGGCAAGAGGAATGTTTCAAGTACTCTGGAATGTTAATACTGGAAGGGCCCTGGAGATCACCTATGTTATGAGAAGATGGAGGCTTGGGAGGGAGAAATAACTTACTTACCTCAGGTCCCAGGGCAAGTCTGTGACAAAACTAAGACTAGAGCCACCATTCTATCCTCTACTTCTATGAAATCAACTTTTTAAATTCATGTATGAGTGATTCCTTATTGAATGAGATCATGTGGTATTTGTCTGTCTGTGCTTGACTTATTTTACTTAAAATAATGTCTTCCAGGTTCATCCATGTTATTATATATGACTACAGTTAATCTATTATATTCTTGAAAAATTCTGAAAGTAGATTTTGTTTTCTCACCACAAAAATGACAACTATGTGAAGTAATATATGTTAATTAGCCAGTTTAGCCATTCCACCATGCGTATATATTTCAAAACATCATATTGTATACAGTAAACATATACAATTTTATCTGTCAATTAAAAAAATAAAATAAAAAACTAAGACTAGAGCCACTCTGATTCTCTTAATTCTCCCACAAGTTCCTTTGGTAGTGTTTCTCATTCTCTCCTAGTGAAAACCACTTGGAAGTAATATTCAATGGTTCTTAGCTCAGGCCCCTGACAGTGTAGCTCAAAAGGCATTTCAGCATTAGAAGCCAATCTGCACATTCATAGGTGAGAAGGGGCAGCAAGGCCTCCTAGGCTTTTTCCTGTGTAGAAGCTGTGCTTCCCAGATCCCAGCTTCCACAGGGAAAAGGGTTACCCACACTTAAGTGGACTCCCTGACAGTGCTTAATTACCAGTAAGTATTTCCAGGTTGTTTAGTCTCTGAGCTCCTTTAAGGCTGGCTCTGTGTCTGATTGACCTGAGGGCTCCCACTATGCCTCACTCAGGACCATATATGCAGCACAAGTTCATTATATGCTTCCTGGCTGTAATGAGGCTGGTTCTCTAGGTCTGTTACAGGAAGATATTTCGATTGAAGAACTGGAGAAAACTCAGATGTCGAACAATTGGGAAATGCTTATGTAAATTATGGTAGAGCCATCTGATGGACTAATATGCAGCCTCGGAAAATGATGCTTATAATAATAGGAAAATATTCATGATATGAAAAATTACATAAAAATTGTATATGTAATATGATCTCAACTCTATAATAAAGCATGAATAAGAATGGAAGGAGATACATCAAAATGTTAACAATGAGTATGATTTTTCTTTTTCTTTTTTTCTATACTCCGAATTTTATACAAAATTTTTATAATTAGGGAAAAATCTATTAAAAACTAGAAAAAATAAGTGTAATGCAGTTACCACCACAGAGAAAAAAACCCACCTGGGTATAAAATATACATGCTATAAAATCAGGAATGTTTAGAAGTAGTGGGGGAAAAGGATTTGAAGGAAATTTAAATTATAAGGGTAGCTGCATCATGGTGGTAAGATTGTAAGATATTTTTTCTACTATTCTCTATTTTCCAAATATTATTTAACTGTGGTGGCAGTAGTAGTGGTGGCTAGGGCAACAGTAACTGTAGGAATTAAAGCCAGCATATATTGAGGATTCATACATGCCAGGTGTCATGCCAAGGTACTTTATAAACATTATCACATTTTAGTCATCACAACAATCTTTTCAGGTAAGTTCCACTTTGCTTATTTGAGACATAAGGAGACTGAGGCTCATACATATTAAATAACCTTCACAGCTAGACAAGTGGCAGCAGCAGAACTAAAACCCAGGTCTGCCTGATCTCCAAGCTAGTGTTCTTTACTGCTACATCATGTTACTTTTGTTATTGTTTTAAAGTTATTTTATTTTACAAAATGCAGAGAGAGAAAAGCCCTGCTTCTGACTGCTGGGGTTCACCCTGGGGCTGTGACTGTAGAGCTGACCAGCCTTGAGGACCAGGGGCTTCCAGAAACAAGCCATTGACAAATGTCAGTATCAGACAGCACATTAATGAATGAGACAGTGATGAATTGATTTTGTCAAACCAATGTAGAGCTTGAAGCTCAAAGTTCCCCACTGCTTCTTGCTGTCTGTGTGCTGGCATAGAGGTCAGGACACTGAACACCACAGGCTGCAAAATCCCAGTGTTATACTCCCTCAGTGAAACTGTATCAATGACCATTTGCTTCATAATGCTCCTGTCAGCATCTACCCACTGCTCAGCTGCAGGCAGCTTTCTAGAAGATGCTGTTAACAATGGCAATGCGCCCAAGAGAAAGAGATTCAGGACCAGGAAGCTAGATGAGTCCCAGGTCCTCCTCTTTCTGGCTCTGAGACCTAAAGGGCAAGGTATTTGATTTGACCTCTTGGGCCTCAGTGTTCTGAGGTGTAAAAAGTAGATAACAGTGTCTTCCCTGCCTGCCTTACAGACTCGCTAGAGGACAAATGAGACAATTTATCCCCTTACAGCCATGCATCCTGCCTTCCTCATGCACAAATCTGACCATGTCATGCCCATGTATAAAACCTTCACAGGATCCCAGTGTTGGTAGGATAAAGCCTAAAACATCTTACAAGGCCCTCATGAATAGGTCCCTGTTTACCTCTCTGGCCTCATTTCCTCCCTCTGCTACTCATGAACCTTCAAACCAAATAATATAATCCTTTTGTTCTATTCACATCACATTACTTTTCTCTAAGAACATCACGCAATTTCAGGCCTTTATGCATGCTATGCTCCTTGCCTGAAATTTGCTTTCTCCCACTGTCTACCAAGGTAAATCTTTTAAGACTGCTCAGCCGGGTGTGGTGGCTCACGTGTGTAATCCCAGCACTTTGGGAGGCCAAGGCGGGGGGATCGTTTGAGGCCAGGAGTTCGAGACCAGCCTGGCCAACATGGTGAAACCCCGTCTCTACTAAAAATACAAAAATAATTGGTGGGGCGTGGTGGCGGGTGCCTATGATCCCATCTGCTCAGGAGGCTGAGGCAGAAGAATTGCTTTAACCTGGGAGGTGGAGGTTGCAGTGAGCTGAGATCATGCCACTGCACTTGAGCCTGGGCAACAGAGCAAGAGTCAGTCTCAAAAAAAAAAAAAAAAAAGAAAAAAAAAGACTGTTCAAACATCACCTCCTGGTAAAGCCTTCCCTGACTTCTTCAGGCAGAGCCAGCTGCCCCGTCCTGGCTATTCCCACAGCACTATGTATCATGGCCCTTATCCCACTATGATGTCTGATCAGACTGTGCATGTGTTAGGTCCTCTGTCTCTCAGACATCTAGAAGACTGCCTGCTCAGTAGTCTTTCTGCACACAATCTAAGTACAGGGCATGGGGGTGAGGAGATGGCAGTACAAAGAGAAGGGACTCAGGGAAGGTATATGATCCCAAAGCAAGTATAAGCAGCAGTGTGGCCAATCCAGTCCAATTGGAGACAGACCCTGACATGCACAATGGGGACAAGGAGACAGCATTAGAAGGATACAGCATGAAGATGCTGGGGGCACTGAAAGCAGAGTAGGGTTCTTCTGGCAACTCCAGCACAGCAAAGCACAGAAGACTGTAACAGAAGTCAGTTACAGGAAACAGGACCCCACTATAGAAAAAGCAAGTTCCAGCTTGCTGATTGGGGCCTTCTGGAGAAGGGGGACACAACTCCCCAAGGGTAAGGGGTGAGAAGCAAAGGTGGCTGTGGAAAGCTGCTCTGTCTTAGTGCTTCCCAGAAATGAGAGAGGTCTGCTCTGTTCAGGGACCTCAGCCTGCGAAGTCAGAGCTGCAAAAAACAAATTCCGAAACCCCAATGCCAGAGGGATAAGATCTCCCACCCACCCACCAGGCTAGACTTCATCAGTTCTTGCAAGGCCAGTTAAAACTCTCCTAGGGGTGGGGTCTTAGAAAATACAGCTGGACCAGGGCAAGAGCTGACTGATAATATGCTCAGTAAATACATGTTGAATGCATTAATGAGTTAAAACAAACGAATAATTTAAGCAAAAATTGGATGAATGTGAAAATGCTTGCCAACTGTTGGATGTGAGTACTTTGGTTCTTAGCAGTACAGTTGTACCTGTTTGTAAAAACAGCTGACTGGCTCTTATAGAATACTTATAGGCCAGGCACTTGGCTAACTGCTTTACCTATATTATCTCATATAGACTTACACAAAACCTAAGAGATTCCTTTGTTACAACCATTTTACAGATGAAGCTGCTGGGGTTCAGGGAAGCAAGGTAACTTGTGCAGTGTTTCACAGCTAGCGGAGGTGCAGGATTCTGTGATCCTTCAGGTTCAAGCTTTCTTCCTCAAAACGGTATGTACCCTTCTTTTTCTCATATTAGATGGAAATAAACCACCCATCCAGTTCCCTTACATCTGGCAAGCCCAGTGCCAGGGACGTAAGCCTGGGAGAGCCCTAGATTTATAGGACCCAAACAACATCCTGCCTAGGGCTAGGAGTGCCCACCTCTGGAATGATCAAGGAGCTGTTTCCAGGGATATTTCTTAGGGGAACGGCTGCAAAGTGGCAACAAAGTTCTGTCGCCTGCCCTCCTCATGGATACCCATGGCGACAGAACGCCGCCAGATTGTTCAAATCTGAACATTCTAAACGGGGAAATCGGGGCGCGGAAGAGTGGGGTGGGAAACGAACACCGGGTTGCGGACCAGAACTCAGGGTCAGGTACGCCAAGGAGAGGAAGTGAGGCGAGGCCAGCCCCACGCCACCAGCCAGGGGCCGCTTTCCTCTACCAGAGAGGGGTAGCCAGCCGCAGCCCAAAGGCCACCCAGGGTGCCAGATGGACAGCGAGGCCTGCTGATTGGTTCTCGCCGGGTGCCAATGAGCCCGGGCGCCTTCAGGTGCTATGGCAACGAGGCGTACGTGCGGAAACACATGATGGCCAGGGTGGAAGGGGAGTAACGGGGTTTAGGTTGGTACGGTACTGGGTTATGCTCTGTGCCGCACTGCGAGCCCTTGGCGGGCACAGCCGCCAGGGTGGGAGAAGCGTACCAGAAGCAGCTCCAGAATGGCAGCCCCAGCTGGCTGGGCAGCCTGCGCCGCCTGGGTTAACAGGGCGAGGGAATGGGCGTCTCGGTGCCGCCTTTGCTAGAGCTCTGCCCAAACCCGGTTTCCATCCGTGTATCTCTGGGGTGACAACCAGAATTTCCAAACTATTAGAAACGCAGTGCTTGGAAGCTGGGCACGTTTTACAGGCACACTGCAATCCAGTGAGCCACCAGAGTTCCACCTCTAAGCTCAGAAATGGTCCCAACTGGGGAAGGCCATGGCGACACCAGAGAGGCAGCACGGCTGTTTGCTTCTGGAAGAACCTAGCCTTACTAAGATATCTTTAACTCTCTCTGTGGGCTTGAATTTGTATTTTATTTCATATATATGTGTATATGTTATATATACATTTTTAAAAAAAGCACATTGTATGTATGCCTGTGAAAAAAATGAGCTTGAACTAGGTTCTGCTATCTTCCAGAGAAGTTGGGGTGAGAAGAAGAGAGCTAAAGTTTGGTTAAGTGCCTGGATGTCAAGCATGTGACATTATAGAATTTCACTTTACCTGCAATACCTCCCATCTTCACAGCCACTCTGAGAAGTGGGAATCTGTCTCCCTACATAGCAGGCCAGCAAACCCGCTCAGAGCAGTTAAGTCACTGGTCCCAGGTCTGCTTTGGTCCAAAGCCTGTAAGCTAACTCACTACACATACTGCCTCCTCCTCCTCTGATACTCTCCTCTTTTGATACAGAGTGTCCCTGTCACAAAGGCTCAAACTCTCAAGTGACAGTTCTAACTCTTTTCCTTATCTCTCTCCCACCCTTATATTTAGGCTGTCTCCAGATCCTGTTAATCCTGCCTTCTCAATGGTTCTCAAGTCTGACTTATTTCCAGCTGCTATCATCTTAGTTTAGTCCTTTTCGCCTCAGCCTGGAGTCTTAGCAACCAATGACTTTAAGCTTTCTTCTCACCATAATATCATGATCTGATCTGTTTTTGTTTTTAGAGACAGGGTCTTGCTCTATTGCCCAGGCTGGAGTGCAGTGGTGTGAACCTAGCTCACTATAACCTCGAATTCCTGGGCTCAAGCGACCCTTCTGCCTTAGCTTCCTGAGTAGCGAGGACTACAGGTACACACCACTATGCCTGGCCAATTTTTTTTTTTACTTCTTGTAGGAACAGGATCTCATCATGTTGTCCAGACTGCTTGAACTCCTGGCTTCAAGCGACCCTCCTCCCTCGGCCTCTCAAAGTTCTGGGATAACAGGCATGACCCACCGTACATGCATGGGCATGATCTGATTTTTTTTTTAATTAAAGTTGTCACAGTTATCAAAGTCTCATTACTGTTTAACACACATTTTACCACTCCTTTCCTAAATAAACCCTCTAACCCAGCAACACGAGTCTCTTTTCTGTCTCTGGAAAAATCTCATTTCCCCCACTTTTGTATCTTCATTTGTACCATTCTCCCTTCTCCATACCATTCTAAATCCAACCAACTCTACAAGGCCTAGTTCAAAACCTGAGGCAGTCCCCCAGATCACCTCAGCCTTTAGGAGATCTGCCTCCTCTCAATTCTCACCACTTGCCTTGGCTATAGTTTGCTTTTATCAAATCTCCTTTGTGCTTTTAACAGCTTGGACACGAGTATGGGGCATGTCAGTGTGAGGTAATGGAGAGAGTTCTGGATATGGAACCAGAAAACCTGGATTTAAGTCCTGATGCCCCCCGCCCCCACTTCCTAGCCATGTGACTTTGGGTAAATCTCTTTGCCTCCCTCTGGCCCTCAGTTCCCTCATCTGTAAAACGGAATTCAAACAACCAGGTATACCTCACGCATCCTAACCTCTGCTATCTACAGAATAAAATTCACTTTGGGCTTGACCCTGTTCTACAGATACATTTTAGGACTTATATATTATTTGAGAACATATGAAAGGAGACTATAAGCATTAGCAACTGGCATAGGTTCACTATGAAGAGTTCTTCAAGCTGGACACGGTGGCACACATCTGTAATCCCGGCACTTTAGGAGGCTGAGGCAAGCAGATAGCTTGAGCTCATGAGTTCAAGACCAGCCTGGGCAACATGGCGAAACCCTGTCTCTACAGAAAATACAACAAAATTAGCCCGGCGTGGTGAAGTGTGCCTGTAGTCCCAGCTAGTTGGAAGACTGAAGTGGTGTGGTAGGATCACTTAACCTGGGAGGCGAAGGTTGCAGTGAACCGAGATCATACCACTGTACTCCAGCCTGGGCGAGTACTAAAAGCGAGACTAAAAACAAAACAAAACAAACAAACAAAAAAACCTTCTTCAGTATAAACAGTTCATTTCCTTTTCCAATAGTTTATTGACAGATAAGGAGAGGGCTTGAGAAATGTCTACTGAATTAGAATATAATATACACAGTAATTAGGCTATAATATATACAATTAAACTAGCCAGGCAGTCAGACTGCTTGCTTTTCCCATAGTGCCCTTCTAAGGGAATGTCTTCATCATAAATGGCCGTGTTGATACCATGCAGTCCTGCTTCCTGGGGCCAAACCTAATTGGACTATGGATGGACACCTGTCTCAATGTGGATTAATGCATAGATTGACCACAGCCTGTGAAACGGCTTAGTGAAAATTCTGCCTTGAAACAGTTCTAGGGAGTGAGTCCTCCAGTTGGTAGCTGGAGCAGTAGCTGGAAGAAATAGACACAAGGAAGGTTAAGATGAGGAGGAGGTACAAGCAGAGGAGTCAGAAGCAGCAGGAAGGAACAGTAAAGTGAAGCTAAGTCACCAGGATGTGAGTTCTAAAGGAAGAATCAAT
Organism: Homo sapiens; assembly: GCF_000001405.40. NCBI lineage: Eukaryota > Metazoa > Chordata > Mammalia > Primates > Hominidae > Homo > Homo sapiens. The sequence goes on from NC_000011.10 coordinate 17,887,153, forward strand.
AGATCCTACTGCTGAGGGCTCAAGAAGGTTTAGGCTTTTGAGTTGCCTTGGGTTCTAAATGACTTTCCCATTGTTCTTTTATAAGGCATTTGCTTCACCTGTTTTCCTCACTTATGCTAAAGTACAATACAGTCTTCACAATAATAATCTGCTAATATCTCTGGTCCTTGCCAACTAAAAAAGCCTAACACAACAATACATCTGGATTTCAGTAAAGGCATGCCACCAAGTTACTTAAGTTACTCAGTACTTGTACTGAGAACAAAATGGAACCATGTGAGTTGGACAATCAAACTAAAAGACAGGCAATTAATAGATTCAGGCCAGGTAAATATCCTATGGCAGGCTTCTCAGAAACAATTTAACCCTTTCCCTAGTAGCCATGATAGGTTAAAATTAAAAGACTGTCAACACCAAGTACTAACGAGGATGTGAAATAACTGGAACTCTTACACTGCTGACGGGAGTGTAAATTCAACAACTGCTTGGAAAAACTGTCTGGCAGTATCTACTAAAGCTAAACACATATGTGGACACTCAAGTACCCAAAATAAATTATTGCTTACTTCTATCAAAAGGCATGTACAAGCATGTTCATAGCAGTTTTATTCATAATAAAAATATGAAATAACACAAATATTCATCATCAGTATAATGGATACAGTGTAGTTCATTCAGAATACTTTACAGCAGGGGTCCCCAACCCCTAGGCTGCAGACTGGTAAAATTCCACGGCCTGTTAGGAACCAGGCCACACAGCAGGAGGTAAGCAGCAGGCAAGGGAGCGAAGCTTCATCTGTATTTACGGCTGCTTCCCATCGCTCACATTACCATCTGAGCTCCGCCTCCTGTCAGATCAGCGGTGGCATTAGATTCTCATATGAGCACAAACCCTATTGTGAACTCCGCGTGGGAGGGATCTAGGCTGCGCAATCCTTATGAGACTCTAACTAATGCCTGGTGATCTGAGGTGGAACAGTTTCATCCCGAAACCATCCCATCCCCACCTCTTCCAGGAAACCGGCCCCTAGTGCCAAAAAGGTTGGGGACTGCTGCTTTACAGCAGTGGGGGGAAATATTGATATTCACAACATAAGTAAATCTTTAAGAATAATAATATGAAACTCAAAAGTAGGCAAAACTGATTTCAAATAAATAATATAACTGCTCTGAAGGGGGTCAGAATAACTCTTGAACACAGTACTTTGACTAAATAACTTCTGTTTACAAACAAACAATGCAAAAAAAATTTAACTACTTTGTAGGTTATTTTCTTTCATTGCATGCGTGTATCAATTCTGAAAGTATTTTGTATATATTGTGGGACCATGCAAATGAGGAAATATATGAATGTTGCTAGGAGCCAGAATGCTCACTGTAGTTGAAGGAAACACAAATATAGAATGAGAGAAGGCAAAGAGAAACCCTGTGGATATCAGGTTAGAATTAGAGTTATCAGTATGAACTCACAGTTTTACACACACACACACACACACACACACACACACACACACACACACACACACGCATTGAGTTAAACCAACATGAAATTGCCCAGCAGCACTGACACCCCAGCAGCAATGAGTTTACTTGGTGCACAGACCCTGGCTTTTAAATACCATTCAACTAAGAGGGATCAGAGCTCCTCGGAGAAAAGGCTGATTCTAGGGTTGGGATGAGGAAAGAACAGTTTGAGCCTGGAACATGTATTTGTACCACGAAGTAAGAAAGTGATAAAAGAGTAAAGGAGACGTGTCAAAAGGAAACTAGCCAGCCTGAAACAGCTCCCACTAGCTAAATCAGGGAGAACTTGAGCTCCAAAATGAATAATGACAGTAGATTATAGCCCATTGAATAAAATAAAAATCCACTGTATATACTGAGCAATAGATAGATAGGGAAGCAGGGAAAGCTCTTTCTTATAGTAGGATGCCAAAAATAATAAATGTAAAAGAATAATTGGGCTAGAAAATAATTTTGCAATCATTAGTTAATTCAGACAAGAATCATCAATGCATGTTAAAACTACTGGGCAAAAGTCTGAAGAGGAAAAGGGTATTCACATAGTCTTAAAGTATCTCTTCACAGATTACTTCTTAATTACAAAGGATAAATGGTAGCCTTATAGCAGAGAAAGGAGGCAAGCACCACCTTACACAAGAAATGTAGGTTAGAATCACTAATAATGTGCCAAACTGACATCAGGTGCCTCCTCATATGATGCACTAAAGACAGACACAACATCACTTATTTAGTATTCCTGCCAAAAGTGTGTAAGTGAAATCCAATCATGAGGAAAAATCAGATAAAACCAATTGAGGGACATTATATACAAAACAACTGTCCTGTACTCTTAAAAAATGTCAATGTCATAAGAGATAAAGAAAAGCTATTCCAGAATAAAGGAGGCAAGGGGACATGACAACTAAATGCAATATATGATTCTGAACTGGATGCTAGATCAAAGTGAAAAATTGTCATAAAAGACATCATTGAGACAACTGGAAAAATATACAGAAGCTCTGTAGATTAGATAAGAGTATTCTATCAACGTTAAATTGTTTTAAAAAGAGAGAGGACACAAATGTGGCAAAATGTTAATACATTCTGTGTCTGGGTGAAGGGATTTGTGGAATTCTTTATATTATTCTTGCAACTCTTCCGTGAGTTTGAAATCATTTCAAAATAAAAAGTTAAGCAAAATTAATCTGTGGTGAAAGTTTAGAATAATGGTTATTTTGGGATAGGTATATCCAGGAAGCTTACTGAAGTGCCTAATTTGGGTGATTACATGGGTGCATACAAATATAAGAGGTCACTGAGTTGAATATTTAAGATCTGTGCATTTTACTGTAGGTAAGTTACACTTCAACCAAAAAAAAAAAAAAAAAAAAAAGACAGGATAGCTTCCTTCTTAAGCCTAAGTGAGGAAAGTGGCCAAGCATCAGAACCTACATGAGAAAAGTGGCTAAGAAGGGGCAGCAGGGTCCCAGTGAAGGTTCAGAGCCTGGCTGGACAGCTGTGGCCTGGTGGGGAATCAACCTGTGCAAGGAAGGTAGTCAGCAGGACTGTGATGCAATGGGTCGGTTTCATACAGGAGAACTGAGCAAGTAAGTAAATGTATTGAAGATAATGGGAGCCAGGTTTCTCATAGTCAGGGAAATGAATTACAACTGAAAGAGTGAGATATAGAAGGAACTCTGTAGTGCTGCATTATAACTAAAGACGCTGGCGTGAACTCATTATTTTCAAGGCAGACAGAGAAACAGAAATATATATAGAAAAGTAGGGCTGTGTGTGTGTGTGTCTGTATATGCACAAACTCATGTTTTTCTCACGTTTTCTCTCACATGTTTTCTCAGCTTTGTCCACTGAGGGAGGCTGTGAGCAGCAATCTCCAATGATACAAGCACACCCAGACCTGAGATTGATGGACTGATTGATTTTTTGTAGAGATGGGGTCTTATGATGTGGCCCAGACTGGTCTCAAACCCCTGGGCTCAAGCGATACTCCCACCTCCCAGGCTCCCAAAGTGTTGAGATTACAGGCATGAGCCACTGCGCCTAGCTGATTTTTATTTCTAAAAATCATTCTCCACTAAAAAATTATTCTTGGAGAAATGGCTGATTCTAGGACTGAGGCAGGGAAAGTATAAGATGAACCTGTAACATCTTGTGTCAGAGAGCAAAAAAAAGTGCTCAAAAAATGATGGGGGCATGTCAAATGACACAGAAGCAAACTTGAAGGGGTTCCCACTGGCTAAATATAAGACAATTTGAGCATCAAAATAAATAATGATACTCATTGGAATATAAGCCAGAGACTAAAACAGAAATCTTCCTATGTGAAGCTCTTACCTAGAGGCATCTTGTGGTTTACCAAGGAATATGGCCCTCAATTTGGCCTAACTAAACTTCTGATCAACAAATTGGATAAAGACTGAAGGTTTGCTTACTAAACACACAGAATTTATAATGCTGGGAGAGACAGCCAGTACCTTGGATGAGATGCTCTGGACTCAACGAGATGAACAAGTAGAAACACATAGGTTATAATTTAAAATGTGAATTCCTAAACTCAGTTTCAAAAAAAAAGTTGTAGAGATGCAGAATTGGCAAGACCTGACTAAAAAGCATTTCTTGTGAAAAAAGATCCATACTTGCAATTTGAGTCAGCAATGTGACATAGCCTCTCAAAAAATAGGATCCTGGGCTGCATTACATTTTTGCCCACAAAAATGAACTGGTCCTAGTGTCCTCTGTGCTGGTCACATCATATTTGGAGAGCTGTGGTCAGTTCGGGACTCTCTCTCACATTTTAAGATACTGAATTTAAGGAATAATAAGATCAAAGTAACCAGAATATTAAAACATGTAGAAATTGTCATATAATGAGCTGCTGAAGAAACAATACATGTTAAGCCTGGAAAAAAAGATTTGTAGGGACGTGGTAGGTGGAGGTGCATATGACTCTTCAAATAACTGAAAGACAGTCACATAGAAAACTTGTTCTGCAGGGTTCCAGATGGCAAAACAGTGTTATTAACATAGAATGTGGTCTAATATGCAGAAGAACCTTTTTAACACAGAGCTATTCTAAAACAGAGTGGTATATCTTGTAAGGTGGTGAGCTACTACCCACTATGGGAAGCATTTAAGTACAGACTGCCTCTCAAAGCTAATTATTAAAATCCTTTTGAGTTCTGAGTTTCTGTATCTGTCCTACTATTGGCTAGACATTTTTCCTAAGCCACCACCTTCTTTGGTCTCCTTGTCTATCTTTTAGGATCTTTTTTCCAAGTGGGCAAAAATTCTGAAAATAAGTATTTGCATATAGATAAATTCTGGAGTAGGACTATGCCTAAAATGGGGGTGAAAAAGGGGAGGGGAAGCTTCCAGCTTTTTCCAGAAAAACACTACAGAGTTAGGAAAAATGTGAGGAGCACTTGGGGATAAAAAGGAAGCATGCCTAGAAGATAGTAAAACATAAGAACACTATTATAGACTGATTGGATGAATGTCCCCAATTCTTACTCCTCCTCATATCCACATCCTTTGCCATGAATTGCCTTCCCATTCAGAGACAGTTTACCAGCCCGTCATCCTTTGGCTTTGGACTCAGCCATGTGACTTGCTTGGGTAACTAGATGTTAGCAAATGTGACACAAGTAGAGATTTGAAAAATCATTTGTATATTTATGCTCATTTTTGCCTTCTGCCCTCTGCCACTGCCATGAGAACTCACCCAGGCTACCCTGTTCAATGATGAGATATGTGGAACAGTGCTGAGCCACTCCCAGTTGTCCTAATCAAAGATCAGCCAAGACCTAGGCATGGGAGCAAGACCTGCCAAGACCAGAAGAACCACTTAGCTGAGCCACAGACACATGAACAAATAACTGTTTCTCGTAGTAGAACCTAGAAGTTTTTAAACTACTAGGTTATGAGTGATTTATTACGTAACATTACTGTGGCGATAGATAACTGACTTAAAACATCCACTAACATTTGTCTAGCACTGAGCGGTTTCCAAGTGTATTCACTGTTAATGCCCTGCAGCCCAAGACTACCAGGAACTTGTGTGTAGTTGAACAGACGGGTTTACTACTTATTGCTGTGAAGGAGAACACACACTACAGGAAACCATGGAGCATCTCTGGGAGGTGGAGGTTGCCGTGAGTTGAGATCATACCACTGCACTCCAGCCTGGAACATATTAGAAAGGACTCTATTAGACAGAAAAGTGGGATGTTTGGTGATTTATGGCTTGGACAATGTTCATGTTTTGTCTGTGTTCACACATGATTACAAAGTGGTCTTATTTTTGTCTTGATCCATCATGGTCACAGAGTGGCCTTGTCTGATGTTGACGTTTTGTCAAGTAGTATATGTTCAACAGGAGAACATCAAGACCTACCTGAGTGCCAGGCCAGCTCACAGCAACACCAAGGCCCAGTGACTGATAGTACCAGGCCAGTTCCTGGATGCCAGGGAATGATTTTCTCTTTATCTGTACAGAACCTTATTTGATCCACAAAATAGCCCTAAAAGTAGGTTTTATTATGACTTTTTTAAATAGATGAGAAAATTGAGGCTCATGGACATTAAAAGCCTGGTCCAAGGTCTGACATATGTAAGCTGTCTGACCTTGGGCATGAAGCCTGTACTTTTTGAACCTTTGCTTCTTCATTGTAAAATGGGTGTAGTAATATTTGCCCCACCAGATAGTGAAGATTAAATGAGATCAAATATGCTAAAGAACCCAACCCATCTCCTAGTATCTAGAAGTGGTTCAACCAATATTACTACTTCCATCTCCCTTGATATCCCCACTCTTTTCATATCATGGGGCCTCTGGAAAACATCTTTATATGGAATCTATATCAAGGTAATTTTCATTGTTGTAAATAAATACTGGGCCTCTTTTCAGAGAGGCTCCCCTACATGAGGCTATTTCATAGTTCAGCTGGTTCCACAGTGGCTCAGCTCTATACAAGCCACTAGTATCCACGTGCAGAAAGATCTTGTGTATATGCTCAACTCTCATATGATGTGATGAGTACAGCCAAATGGGCAGGGATGCATGGGTAGATCAGCCTTGAGATCAGAAGGCTGAACATAACTTCACAATATTAAAAGTTATGGGCTACATGGAATAAACTATCACTCAAACCAGTGTTCCTCCAGCAAGAAAACCACAGGCACATAGAAAGGGTGGAACTAAATATCTTGCTCAGCCTCCATGACACTGAGGGTGTCAGAGAAATGGTCTGAGTCTTAATTCTGGCCTTAGCTCTTGCCTGGGATTGTGCAGCAGCTTCCTTGTGCTCCTCTCCCCTCTGACCTCTCCCCCACTCTGTCAAAATGGTCTTCCTAAAGTACAAGTGAATTATTTTGCTCCACATTGCCGAAGTCCAAATTCCTTTGTCTGGTATTTAAGATCTTCCATGGTCTAGACCCAATGCAGTTCTCTAGCCTCTTTCCCCAGTAAAATTACCCACAAGTACTTGCACTCCTACCTCATCAAACCCCTCCACACAGCATCCCACCACCCCACTCCTCATCATGCCCAACTTACACTGTGCTCTCACTTCAGTGTACCTTCACCACTCATCCTTGAGAAGGAAGGAGAGAGGAGAAGAAGAAAAGGAAAAGAATTACATTTAGTGATTACTAAACCTATTCTAGGTACTTTTGGTGGATTAACACATTATATCCACATTTTATAGATTAACTGAGAAATAGGATGGTTAAATACCTTGACTAAAAGCACATAGCTAGTAAGTGGATGGGCCACTTCATAAGTAATTGCTTCCTCCTCTGGGTCCTGCTATAGAAATAGTACTTTCTCTACTTATTATTAAGTGGTTTTCAAATCTGTCTCTTCCCAAATTATATTGATTATAACTTTCTTAATCACGCGGGATATATTTCATTCATTTCTATCCCCAGTGGCTTGCACAGTGCTGTGTACATAGTAGGTCTTAATGAGATGTTTGTTGAATTGAAGCCACTTATCTGGGTACCCCTTACTGCTCCTGGCTCAGAGGCTGACACATTAGTACTCAGGAAATGCTAAATGAATGACACTGAATTTATCTCTGAACTTCCTCAGCTCCTCACCAGGGTCTTGTAAATGCATTGAACTCTGTAAGTAATGGCTGAATTCAGAGACTGATGATCCTTCAGACGTTAAGAATTTGAGTCAGTGGCTAAACAGAATGGCCTCCCAAAACATCACAGGCAGATCCCACAAGGCCTAGGGAAAAGTTCCCTGGGTGATGCCACAGGGCAGAGACAGTTAAAAAGTGGGCCTGTAGTGTATGGGGAAAGGCAGCACAGCCCCTTCCTGTCTCCATTCTATCCCCAACAACAACAACCAGATGACAGGCTGACTCTGAGCCATTTGTGCACAGAGCCCAAGAATCTTTGCCTTTGCTGCAGCTGCACAGCAGAGCTTGGCTGGGCCACTGCCAGGCATGAGGCACAAACACGTGAACATGGCCCCTAATCAAGAGGCCCTCTGGTACCCCAGAGCCCCTCACCGTAAGGATCACTTTTGATTTTGTGATTAAAACAAAACAAAACGTATTGAGGCCAGGTCCTAAAGCTTTACTCTTTCTGGGATTAAAAAGTCAATAATGAAGATAAGATGTGACAGAGAGATCAAAGCTTATCATAGCAAGTGTATACAATATAACATTGAACACAGCAGCAAGAATGATGAATATATCTTTTGCAGCTGACTGGTGCCACGTAACCCAGCCTGACAGACTCTCTTCCTAGGCACAGCCCGACAAGTCAGCAGACTTAGGAGTGCTGCTGTCCTGTCCCCAGGGGCAGCTTGCTAGAATCCCACTGCCAGAAGTCCAGTTCCTAGCTGAGTGATCATCACAGTGACCTTCTTGATCTACTGACATGACTGCAACTTTTCTGGTACAAAATAAAGTTGTAGATTTTCAGGTTCTGTTCTGGGTGACATACATATACATATACATAATAATTTTTAAATAAAGTTTATTTATTTTTTTAGGTTATAAAAGTAATATACACTTATTGCAAAGAATATAATAAGGAAAACAAAAACACCCATAATCCCACTGTCCACTTAACACGTGGTATATTCCCTTTAGTCCTTTCCTATCGATATTTGTCTGCATGTGAATAAAATATATATAATTTCAGAAACACAGCTTATAGTCATACTATATATTCAGTTTTATATCATGACCTTTGCCTTTAACATTTTATGTTTCCCATATCATTGTTTCATTGAAAATGTGATTTTCCAGACTTTATAGCATCATAGGAATATACCTTATTTCACTATTTCTCTTCTATGGGGTACCTACATTACTTTCAATAACTTGTCATTATAAAGTGTGTGGTGAACAAAAAATCTTAACATCTCTAATTATTTCCTTGGGATAAGTTTTCTAAAATAGAATTATTGAAAAAGGGGCTATGAATCTCTTTAAGACAACTATACAATTTGGGGAGTACATTTTATTAAGATCATTGACAAAATGAACCACATTCAGAAGAAAAAGAACAAAATGGGGAAAAGGTAGCAATATTGAAATGATAATATTGGCTAACATATATGGGGTGTATATAATGTCACAGGAAAAGGGCTTAGGAATTTTGTTTGCATGCATTAGCTCATTTAATCTGTGATTTAATTCTATAAAGTATACGTACATAAGGAAACCATAGGTCAGAGAAGTTAACTTTTTCAATATTACAGTTCATAGGTGGCATAGCTGCAATTTAAATCAAATTATGGTATAATTCCAGAGAGTACACTTAATGCTATGCTACAACGTATCACATAAAAAATAAAGGGAAAAAAATGAGTGTTTTCAGTCTGGAGAACAGAAGACTTGGAAGGGGAAGGGAAGGGGAAGGGAAGGGAAGGGGAAGGGAAGGGAAGGGGAAGGGAAGGGAAGGGGAAGGGAAGGGGAAGGGAAGGGGAAGGGGAAGGGAAGGGGAAGGGAAGGGGAAGGGAAGGGTAACGGGAAGGGAAGGGGAAGGGAAAGGGGAAGGGTAAGGGAAGGGTAAGGGAAGGGTAACGGAAGGGTAACGGAAGGGTAACGGAAGGGTAAGGGAAGGGAAGGGTAAGGGAAGGGTAAGGGAAGGGTAAGGGAAGGGTAAGGGAAGGGTAAGGGAAGGGTAACGGAAGGGTAAGGGAAGGGAAGGGTAAGGGAAGGGAAGGGAAGGGAAGGGAAGGGAAGGGAAGGGAAGGGAAGGGAAGGGAAGGGAAGGGAAGGGAAGGGAAGGGAAGGGAAGTCTTAAAAAGTCAAAGTACACCTTAATATTAGAAAGGCCATTCTAAAAATAAAGCTCTACCAAAAATCAAAGGACTGTCTCCAGGTGGGCCTAATCAATCACACGTGCCCTTTAAAAGCTGAGAGTTTTCTCTGGCTGATGGCAGAAGGAGAAATCAGAAAGACTAGGAGCACAAGAAGGATGTAAGGGACCATTGCTGGGTTTGAAGATGTGGTGCTACATAAAAGAACTGGAGAGCAGCATCTATTGCTGACGACAACTCAAGGCTGACAACCAGCAAAGATACAGGGACCTCAGTCCTATAATCTCAAAGAACTGACATCTCCCAACAATCTGAACAAGCTTAGAAGCTGATTCTTCCCTAGAGTCTCCAGGTAAGAATCCAGTCCAGCTGACACCTTGATTTAGGCTCTGTGAAATCTTAAACAGAAAGCCCAGCCAATCCCACCCAGACTTCTGGCTTACAGTACTATGAACTATTAATTATGTGCTGTTTTAAGCCACTAAGTTTGTGGTAATTTGTTATGCAGCAAGAGAGAACTAATACAATGGATAAGTGAATAAACAAAGCATAGTACAACCATATAATGGAATACCACTAATCAATACAAAAGCAACAGTCTACTGAAACACATAACAACATGGATGAATCTCAAAAACCACTGTGCCGAGTGAAAGAAGCCAGGCACAAAAAAGTAAATAGTGCATGATTTCATTAATATGAAACTCTAGGAAAGTCAAATCTAATTTATAGTGATAGAAAGCAGGCAGAAAAACAAATCTAATGTATAGCAATAGAAAGGCTGTGGTTGGGGTGGATTGGTTGACTGATCCTATCCCCTTCCTGTCTGACTTTTCTGCCTCCACTTGTACCTTCAGCCTAGCATGGAGAATGGGGAGGTCCACTCACAAAACACACCACTATATATTCATTTCTTTCTCTGCCACTCTAAGAAGACTAAGGACCCCATTAACCCCTAATGTTGGTAAACGGTCTATCAAAAGCACAATTTGAAACCTTAAAATACATTCCAGAAGGGAATAACCAAGTTTTCAAAAAGCTATGCTACATAGATTTCTCTTGTCAAGTTCCATTTAATAATATGTCCCATTTATAGAGGGGCCACACTGGCAGGGCTGAGCATTCATGATAATTTAACACTATTAAAAAATATATTTTAAATAAGTAGGCAGCAATGGTGACTGAGAAACTCAGGAATCTGGCCCTGTCTTGCCTTCAAGCAATATACAGGTCAAATATTTTTGAATGAATTCCTGTTCTAGCAGCTCTAAAGTGAAGCTGTGAACATAAGCTGTCACCCTCTGCCACACACAGCAGGAAGGGTGCACGGCAGGGAGAAAGGAACATGAGCTCTGCAATCACAGACTGTCAGGAAGCTACTGCAGTAGTCCAGGTAAGAGTAGGTTGAACTTCAGGTTCTATCACAATCTTCTGTGAACTTGGCCAAGTTACTAAGACTTTCTGGGCCTCAGTTTTCTCACCTGCACAATAGGAATTATAGTACTAACCTCACAGGACTATCCTAAGAGTTGAATTCAGTTAGCTATTATTTAGCATCTTGGACAAAGTAGATGCTTACATGATGGTTCACTTGCCCCCTTGTCCACTGAATATCTAATGGCCCAGAGAAACAAAAGGGGAAGTGTGAAATTGTTTGAGGGGTAGGAAAACGTTTTTCCCCCAGACCTCCTTTATATTTCATTAAGAAACATTAGATGGAAAAGAAAAACAACTCTTCCAAAACTTTGAGTTTAATTCTCTCTAAATGTGTTAGCTATAATTTTATGAGCAAACAAAACATTTTTGCACCCATCAACAATTATTTTAGATCTCTAAAGGCCTGATATGGTTTGGTTCTGTGTCCCCACCAAATCTCATGTCAAATTGTAATCCCCAGTGTTGGAGGTGGGGCCTGGTAGGAGGTGACTGGATCATAGGCGTGGCCCTTCATGAATGATTTAGCACCACCCTCTCGGTGCTATTCTCATGATAGTGAGTGAGTGATCGTGAGAGCTGGTTGTTTAAAAGTATGTAGCACCTCCTCCTTCTCTCTCCTGCTCCTGCTCCAGCTATCTAAGACATGCCTGCTTCTTCTTTCCCTTCCACTATGATTGTAAGTTTCCTCAGGCCTTCCCAGAAGCAGAAACCACTATGCTCCCTGTACAGCCTGCAGAACCATAAGCCAATGAAACCTCTTTTCTTTATAATTTACCAAGTCTCAGATATTTCTTTATAGCAGTGTGAGAACAGATAAATACCAGGGCACTTTAAAATCACTGTATATTTCCATTTTAATTAATAATTTGGTCCTACTCTAAAAAATGACTTTTTTCCCTTCTACGGTTTCAAAATTTCCATCAGTAATAATATAATCCAAAATTTACTGAGTTCTATGTGCCAAGTACAATGCTAAGAGTTTTACAAGAATTATTTCATTTAATCCTTACTAAAGCCCTACATTGCAGGTTCCATCATTGTTTCTATTTTACAGATAATAAAACTAAGGCTTAGAGAGTCTCAGTGATTTGTCCAAATCTACACCAAAGGTGTACCTATTAATATATCACCATACCATACCTCTTCTGTGAAATACAGCATCTCTAGCAGCAACAACAGGAATATGTAAGAAACTTCCTTGACCACCTTCACTTCATATCAGATTAGGAAAGTAACTTAGAAAGATATTCATTCATCAAACATTTAATGAGGCCAGGTATGGTGGCTCACACCTGTAATCCCAGCACTTTGGGAGGCTGAGGCAGGAGGATCACTTGAGGCCAGCGGTTCAAGACCAGCCAGGACAACATACTGAGACCCCCCATCTCTAAAAAAAAATTAAAAAATTAGCCAGGCATGGTAGCACACACCTGTAGTCCTAGCTACTCAGGAGGCTGAGGTGGGAGGATGGCTTGAGCCCAGGAGTTCAAGGCTGCAGAGAGCTATGATGGCATGACTACACTCCAGCCTGAATTTTGAGACTCTTGCCTCCAAAAAAAAAAAAAAACTAAATAAAAAATTAATGAACATGTACTATATGTCAGGCAATGTGCTGGCACTAGGGATACAGACAGAATGAAGACAATATCCCTACCTTCTAGGAGTTAAGAGTAGTGGGCTAGAGTTTGCTTTAAACAATATTTCAAAGCTGACTGAAATATCACCAAGGGGCAGTACACATAGTGGCTAATAGTGCAGGGTCTAGAAACAGACGGCCTGAGTTTGAATCCTGGCTCTGCCTTATTTGAGCTATGTGACCTTGGGCAAGCTGCTTAACTCTAAGCGTCTCAGTTTCCCCACCTAAAAAACAAGAATAACATAGTTGCCATTTCGCTAGGTTACCATGAGATTTGAATTATGATATGCAAAATGCTTAGAGCAGTATTGTACAAAGTACCCTATACATGACAGCTATTCTTAATACCCACAAAACATCAATCTCGGCATTGCTATCATCCTGAATATATTTTAAAATTTGATCATCTCTTCCAACAAAATCTATGTACTTATAGCAGCTAAAAGTCATCTAACTTTCCTATTTGATATATGCTAATGGCTCCAATTGCATTTATTATTAAACTAAAATCTACTGTTTATTCTCTAATAACCTTTTTAGCTTATTGAGTCAATGGTTCAGTGACCCTACCTAGGGGATTAGCGGAGAAGTACAACATACTTCTGACAATTCTAACTGCTTTGCCAACCATAAACGTTCATACAAACATGAACCACTGGTGTTACTATGCCAGTTATAACCACCAGGTGCTCATACCTGTAAGTATATTTATGTGTGTGGAAGCATACAATGGGGAGACTGGCCTTAGGAAATACCAAGTGACATGGATGGTACATCAGAAATTCAAAGATAAACAAAGACTACTTGAGAGTTTCACTCAGCCACATTGTAAAAGGAGCCAAAAGTTTGCTTAATAAAGAGGGAGGAGAGAAGGGGACCAGGAATGGTGGCAGTCGTGGTGAAGAACACTGAACATAGATGTGAAATAGGCAATTCACCTGCACCTAAAATTCAAGCTGCACAAAACAGAACACACCGTCTACCCCCACCTCATCCCTTCCCACCCCCAAATCTGTTTCCCTTACTGATCCTCCTATTTCTGTTAGGTGCTGCCATCACCATCATTGTAGTTACCTCAGAATCACCTCCTCCTCCCACTCCCCAAGTGTGGCCAACCACCAAATCCTGTAATTCTGCCTTCCTGGTTCTGCTCTCATGTTGCCCCTCTTTTCCATCTCTACTGCCACTCTACTAGTTCAGGCCCTCAAAACACCTGTACTGGACAATGGCAATAGTTTCTTAAGTGTTTCCTCTCTCTGCTGTTTCTTCTTCTCTCCAATTCATTGGATGCCCAAAGTAACCTTTCTAGACTTCAGCTCAGACTAGCAACTCCTCTGCTCAAAACCTGCTAATGGCTCCCCTGAGCCTATAGAACAAACCACGAATCCTTTAGCTAGACGTTTAAGTGTTCATCAATGAACAGGTTACAGCTCACTTTTACAGCCTACATCCCACCACATCTTCCACCACAAGAAGTCCATGCTCCAACCAAAGTGGACTGTAAACTAATGATTTCTAATGGCACTACCAGCATTTCCTCTCTGTACCTCTGCCTATGCTAGTCCCTCCCTTCCTGATCTCTGCCTGTCAGCTCCTTCTGTCAAAACACTGCCCATCCTTCACACTCAGCGGAATCCAACTTCTCCATGAAGTCTTTCCTAATCTTCCAGCTAGAAGAAATTTCATCATGCTCAGAATTTTGACAGCACCATAACTACAGTTCTCATGACAATGAGCATTTTCTTCCATGACAGCTGTTTTATGTGTGTGCTTTATCCCTCCTGCCCTCTTAAAGACTTTAGTTCCCACCCACCACTCTGCGTCTAGCACCAGGATGGCAGCAGAGCAGGAGAACATGTTACTTTTTTCTTAGAGCTTCAGTTTCCATATCTGTAACGTGAACATAACTCAATCTAACTCACAGGAATAACAAGAGAATTAAATAAGATACTAAATACAAATTATCAGCACACAGTAGGTAGTTACCAAATCCAAAACTCCATTCTTCCCTTTCACATAGCAGGGTACTTTGTTGGACAGATAAAAGGTTGCATGCTTTATAGTTTGCAAAGAAACATTACTGTATTTTTTCACTGAAGAAGGGAGAGAGGGATGGAGGGAACAAATGAGTAAACATGCAGCAGACAGGAGTAGTCCACTTTGACAAACCTATATGGGAATTGAAGGTTTGATTGATGAAAGAGCTATAACGTTTGGCCTGATTGCTTTACCAAGTTTTAAGTTCAAAAGTTGGGAGTCTATCACTCTGCATGATGTATGAAAGGACAGAGGACCAGAAGATCACTAAGAGGCTGCTACAGTGGTCCAGGAAAGAGGGCGCAGACACCCGGCTATGGCTGGTGGAAGCCACAAGGGAGCAAACAGGAATGGATGAATTTGCAAAGCATGTTCAAGAGAAAAAATGGCAGAGTTGGTGAGTGCAGATGAACTAACTGACTGGAGCACTCTCATCAAGCTGAATCACAGAGAACCCCAAGCCTCGGTAACTAGAAGAACAGAAGAACACCCAGAAGAATGGAGGGATTTGGGGAAGGTAGGAGGTGTCAGGGGAGCAGCACATGTACAAAGAACATAAGTTTACTTTTTTAGTTAGGTGGAACATGGGCAGAAACGAGGAATTAGTGCCTGGTGGCCCTCAAGGACTGAGAAGCCACTTCAGAGACAAACAAACAAAAAATCATTTTGTACATGAGCGCCTGCAAGGATTAGCTGAACAAGAAGCATGCAGGACTAGAGTTGCCAACATGCTGAGCTCATGAGCTTTCTAGAAGACAAGGGACAAGGGATATCTGCCTATCTACCAGACATCACCTGCCCCAAGGAAATGACTTCTAAGCTGTCTTTCCTTCCTTACACTAACAAGGCATGTTATTACAAAAGGAGGTCCTAAACTGTTTTATCTGCAAAGAGAATCCAGAGAGTTGATGCCTTTTCCAAATTAAGAGTTGGCTTTCCTCGGAAGGATAAAATCTGCCATTAGGACTCATAATTTATTAGCTGGGCAGCTTTAGCTTGGTCATTTAAACTCTCTAGGTCTCAGGTATTTCACTTGTTAAGTACAATAACAGTATCTCATGTGCCAGAAAGGACCAGAAGATTTCAGGAGGTCTCTCAGCTCTAAGATAGATAATTCAAAATTTATTCTAAACCCTGCAGGTCACACTCTAGTCTCTCTGAACCCCTGGACTGTGACTCACTGCGGAAGCCTACATGATATGATGATGAAGAAAAACCTGGCAAAAACACAGAGTTGAGAGTGGGGGCAGAAACTCCAACTGGCAGGTCCAGTCACAAGAAGATACAGCTAGAATACTAAAGCTGGCCTGGGGACAGAAGATAATTAATCTTCAAGGCAATAAAAATATTTAATTCATTCATCTGAGAGAAATGACAAGAAAGAAGATAGATATTTCCTTTTTCCCTCCCTGTTCTGACAAGGTTACCCTAGATAGATTGTAGAATGTTTAATGAACATTTAGTATAAAAGCCTGAGATGCAAACAAGTAAATGAGGAGAGGCCTGGGCAGCAAGCAATGGAAGCTGACATTGTAGAGGCTGCAACCAGGACAGACATTTCCAGAGCAGAGCTTTGGGAAGAGAAGCTTATTTGCAATTGTTCAGGTGGCAGCAAAAGTTAAAACACGGGGAGAGATATAAAAGAAATTCCAAAGGTAAAAATCACAGGATTTGATCATTGAACAGATAAATATGGAAGGAAGGAAGAGGCACACTGAAGCTGCCTGAGCTTTCTAACCATGATCAGAACTGAGGAGTCATTAATGTAGGGAAGAGGACAGCCGTGGAGAAAAAGGGAAAGGGGAGTCTCCACTTCCGTAGGTCATCTTAAGTGACAAGGTAACAGCCATCAACTATGAACACTATAATCCCTCCTTCACCTTGGCCGTGTAGGCCTTGCAGGCATCACCACAAGTGCCAGATCAGTTAGCCCACAACTGCTCTGTGTGCCTAGAACAGAGGAGTAGGTATCTAGGGCCAGGGGAGTATATGCAGGGAAGTGTTCAGGGATTGGGATAGTAGCAAAGCCGAGGGAAGAGGAGAAAATGCAGCCCACTGCTTTAGACCCTGTGTTGATTTTGTATCAGAGGGCTAATGAGGGCTCCAAGAAACAGAAAAGCATTTCCAAGGCTGGAAGTAGGAACATTGGCCACAGCCTGAACCAGTGAAGCAGAAGTGAAGTCCTCAAGGAAAAGAGTGGGGGTTCTCCAAGGTACCCTTTGCAGCAGCTAAAAGTGAATGGTTGAGGACTAAAGTCTACTCTTAAGATAAATGTCCATGACCAAAGAGGCTGGGATCCTGGAAAGACTACCCAGCCAGCCTCCACCATGCCAGACTGAGCCCCGCTGGGGCATTCGACTATAGCCACAGGCCCTGCCTTTCAATTCCTTTAATGTAACTGTTCTAGGAAGAGAGGTGACTCTTGATAAACTTCAAATTATAATCTCTCTCCAGCTTTACTCTGTCTATTCAAACCATTTCTATGAACTGTTAGGTGACTCTAGTGACAAGTCCTAGTTTAAGAATAAATGGAAATTTATATGACTATGTCAGCCTCTGAGTAGAAACCTCCCTAGGTATCAAGAAGCATTTCTTCTTTCCTTCTCCCTCTTTCTTTATTTTAGTAAATACCAACTAGATGCAAGGCCTACCAGTCTGCAAACAGATATAACCTTCCAAGACCAAGGAAATTATTTAGAGGCATTTAAAACCACCTTCTCTGACCCAAAACACAATGCAATGCAGTGCAAGACAGAAACTTCTGCTTGAGAACTGGATCAGTCCTGGATGCCTGATTCCCTGGGTCATCAAAGCCTAATTCTCACAGGCAGAAGTTTCACCTATCCTAATGGGTTCATCTGTTTTTCCAACTTTGCTCAACCCAGAGACTACTTGACATCTGAAATATCAACTGTCTTCCAAAACATGTTGGTCTTGAAATTGGCCCTGAAAGATCCTACACAAATACTTCATTTGATTAGCAAACTTTAGTACATCTATAAGAATATGGGTACACATTTCTGCATTTCAGTTGTAACATCAATACTTGGTCCAAAGACAACATTCCTCATACTGGAGACTATCCAAAATATCCAGGAAAATTTATTAGGGAGATTGCTTTTATTCCACCCTCTGTTTCTCTTCAAAAGCGAAAGAGATGCTGTACAGAATTTAAATGTTCTAACAAACATTGTCTTTAAAGCAAATTTCAATAAATTGAAGTGTAATTTATTGAAACAATTTTTAGTCACAATGAGCCCAGTTTTCTCACAGAATAGCATAAAAGTGCAATGGCCTGGGTTCTTGACACACTCAGCTTTTCTGACTGTGAGAATCTGAGCCCTTGCTCTGAGGCAAGACCCATTCCTACCAAGCATTCTTGGGGAGGCACCAGCCTTGCTGAACAACCAGCACTGGCTGAACCAGGCTTAGTCTGAGGAGGAAGGATGCAGTTATCTGGCAGAGATTGGAGTGACCTTGGAATCCAAAGTCAGCAGGACCCAGGGCTCCTTCTCTAATGGGTAATTTATAAGTGGAGACCATTGGGTCTCTCAGAGCTCACATGACAGGAGTCAGAGGTGACAGGAGTGAAACCCAGAAAGAAGAAGTGAATGTTTTCAGAGACCCATTAGAAATGAGGACAAGTGCACAAATGGGAACTGTGTGGTTGTAACAGCACTAGACTGGCCTATGCTCTGGTCCTTTCCTCTCTGTCCCTTAGTCTGCCCATCTCTAAAATAAGGAGCTTGAAAAATAAATAAATAAATAAATAAAATAAGGAGCTTGGATGAGCAGATCCTTAGGGTCTCAGTCAGCCTCGAAATTCTGAAATAGATTCCAACCCCAGATTGCTGAGGAGGTCTCCAGCCTTAACAAGGCAGTCCTGAGACCAGCATGGGAGGCCACTAGCATCTTCCCTTCATTTCTTCCTGTCTTGACCCAATTCATCACTCAAAACCTAGTTTGAATGCCACTGCCTTCAAGAAGCTTCCCCTGACCCTTCTGGCATAACCACTCATTCCTTCTCTAGGAGCTCCTAATTTGTGTTGGTGCTCAGCACTGACACTGTCAGAGGTGGATGCTACATAGTTGGAGCAGGGCACGGGGAGGGGTGGGCTGATAAGGAAGGGAATACAGGAGACAGGCAAACTGAAACATTACCAACCCTTTCCTCATTACCGTGCAGAACTCTCAAACCCAGTTTCAGCCTCCTGACAAAACCAGCTCTGCAAAGCCAAAAGACTTGATCCATGGTTTAGAATACCAGTGGCTAACGAAGTTTCGGTCTAAACCAGTCTCTGTCTTTTTTATTGAGAAAAAGCCATTCTTGAGCTGCGAGATATAAAAGCTTTGTGGTCTTTAGAGAAACAGAAGGCAAAATGGCCACAGGAACAATCACCTGCAAAGGGGGTTGGTGGGGTGGGGGTTGCAGCACAGAGCTAAGTGGGGGTGGGGCGCTTGGTGGCTCAGGCTCTAGGAGACAGTGCCATGCTGTGGCCACCTGCCGCCTCTGCGCCGCCTTCTGCAGCCTCTGCAGGTACAGGAGGCCTGTTTCCTGACCCAGTTTTCTCCCCAATCTCTATTTAGCTGTTCGCTAGTGATGCTCCTGGCATGCCAATCAGATACTGCAGCCGGCAGTGCAGTTTGTTACAACAAATTCACAGTTCCTAGTAAATTCAGTGGAAAAGTACTGTGTCAAGCAGCCTAATTAAACTGACGTAATTTCCACAGCCATACACTTCTATCAAATAAGAAAAAAAAAAAAAAAACCTCAGGGTAAAAAGAAAGAAATCATGTCTTTCGATCTTATGAAACTGAATGTGGTTGTAATATATTTAAAGAATGATTCTGCTCAGTGTCCTTGGAGCCACAGTTGTCCAAGTCTTGGGCCCTAGATGAGACTTTGGACTGTGCTGGGAAGAGCACTAGGCTATAAGTCTGCAGGCCCTTCTTCTCCTCGCCCAGTCCATGACCCTCGGAAAGCTATTTCCAGTGTCTTGGGGAAAGAGGAAAATATCAAACTGGATTATCATTAAAACATCCTGTGAGTCTCTTATTCTCTAGTCTGTCAAACTGTCAAACTTATGACCAAAAAAAAAAAAAAAAAAAATGTACTTTCATCAGACTAGTGAAACAAGAACTGAACTAGAGGTCCCCATTCTGGTCCCAGTTCTACTACTAAATAATTAAGACCTTGAGCAAACCACAGGATCCCTAGAGACTTCAGAGTCTTCATCTGCAAAATGAGGGTGATGAACTGGATAAACTCTACAGTGCCTTCTGATGCTAATGCTCTATTCTATTCCATAAAAGATTAAATTGGTCAGCACTACCATGGAGGGGTCAGTTCTGAATGTCACCAATTGCATTTCAATCTGCCTACAATGGGCTTTCTCTTCTCACAATGAGAATTAGTTATATGTTCTTTCCCTGTGTTTAAAGATCTTCTATTCTAAAAATGTAAGGCAGATACTTGCCTCCTCTTTCTTTTGAGATAGCTCCGCAAATAAGGTTGCCCTTTTCCTCACTCCTCCCCAGGTACCACTCTTGGAGGAGGATAGAACTATCCAGGCAGAGGGGGAATGAGGGTTGCCTAAAGAAATATCAAATTGTCACTCAGGTTTCCAAGTACAAATTGAAAAAATAACCTGGACATTAGTCAGACAGATGATAAAGGTAGAGTCAGCCAAAAGGAGAAGGATCTCAGAGGGAAGATGGGGTAGGGAAAGGGAAATTGATAGTTAACTAGGAAACAAACATCAGGTTTCTCTTCAGACAGCAAAAAGGAACTGCTTGTAGGAGACAGCAAGGCAGACAAATCTAAGGGTAAGACAAAATAGCATGCATCCTCAACTCCATGGGCAGCTAATCAGCTACTAGTCCTAGAAATTCCACCTCCCTGATATTCTGAACCTATTTACTTCTCTCCATTATTGCTGCCATAACCTTAGTTCAAGTTCTCCGCAACTTAGCCCTCAATCACTGTCACAGTTTTCTGACTTGCCTCTTATCTCTCCCTTTCTCCAATCCATCTTTCACCCTGCCATCACAGTGATCTTTCTAAAACACTATTTTAAACAGCCACTCTTCTACTTCAGATCTTTCAATGGCCCCTCATCACCTTCAGAACAAAATAGGAGTCCTATACAATCTGGTTCCAGATGACCTCTCCTGTCTCATCCCTCACCAT
Source organism: Homo sapiens (assembly GCF_000001405.40). Taxonomy (NCBI): domain Eukaryota; kingdom Metazoa; phylum Chordata; class Mammalia; order Primates; family Hominidae; genus Homo; species Homo sapiens. Next base: position 17,908,264 of record NC_000011.10, read on the forward strand.
CCCTACAGGCTCTGCTCCAGTCATGCTGAAGTGCTTGCAGTTTCCTGAATGTGCAGCTTTGGATCTTCATATAAGCAGCTCTTTTTGCCTGAAACTCTGCCCTCTCCACAACTCCCCCAACCACCACCATCATCACTCACTCACTCTAAGGCAATTTCCGCTCATCCCTTAGGAGTCAGTTCAGACATGATCCCCTCCGAGAAGACTGTTCTGACCAGCTCCCTCAAATCTGGATGACATATCCCTCCTCTTATGCTCCACAAACATCTTATGTTTATGCCATCACAACCATTTCCATATTGAATTGTAAAGGGCTCCTGATTCCTTGATCTCCTCAACCATATTTTAACATCTTGGAACTCTAAATACAGTGCTTGACATCAGTATTCAGAAAACAGTTGATGAATGAGTGAGTGAGTAAATAAATAAATGCACGTGGGAAACCAAGCCTACCTGATAGATGGGGGAGCCTTAATGAATCAAAGCAATACTGACAGGACAAATGGTGAGAAATATGGGACAGATTAGGGAGAAAGCAGAACCAACAACAAATCTGACAGTAGAAAAAATAAAAGCAGAAACTAGTAAGAGCTCTAGCAAAGGGAAATGGATAGGGTTCCGTCATCAGCATGAGAAGCCACAGAAGAATCTCAGGGCCTGAGAGGTAAAACTTCTTCTTGCTGGAATCCATGGAACTCTCCCAAGAATAAAAAGGTATAGAAGCAGCAGAGAAATTAATAAATAGTTTAGCCTGGAATCACAGAAAAAACCTGGGGCTAAAGCCAGAATAAGCCTAGGCAGATCAAAGGGAAGATGCTGGTAGAAGGAGCCAGGAGTTACAATGGAAAGAGGACCGGTTTTGGAGTTAGGTAGCTCCACCACTTACTACCTCTGTGACCTTGGGCAAGTCAAGCCATTGTTTTCCTAGGAATCTTAGATTCTTCATTGGCAAAATGGGCATATGATACCTATTTCACAGAACTATTTAAAGAAACATATGAGACATACAACACTTCGTAAATGAAAGGAGCAATGTAATTGACAATTATTATTTGGCCAGAAGCTGTCTCTTCTGTTTGAAGGAATCCAGAGCTTATAAATTGTTCCAGATTCCTTGTGACGAGAAAGAACACATGTTGATAAAGGAATGTACTCCAAGGTATGAGGAACCTGATATGTTACCATTCCCAGTGGGAGATTCTGCTGGAAAGGTCAATGCTTAATCCAAAGGAATGGTATTAATAATGATGAACTTGTAAGCAGGATCAGGGCCCAGCTGGGATGGCACAGAATAATGTGTTATTTTGTGTAACTATCAGAATATAGATGTCTTCTTGATGATATGGCTAAGGTATCATCATGCTATTAGAGTCAAATAAAGGACAAACCAGAACTACATTTGTGCAGAGTGGAGTGGCAGAAGTGTCACCTGAATAGTGATCATCCTGGATATATCTCTCAAACTGAATAAAGGAAGTGTGTATTCAGAGAAGTAGAAACCAGGTCCTCCAATCTTAGACATTAAAATGTCATATATCCAAGAAGGAGCTCCTGGGGGGAAAGTTTCTGATTAGACCTCCCACAGAGGCAAGGGGCTGCAGCTGGAAAGCAGAGGACCAGGCTAGAGTTAGGGGAGTTGCATCCACCCCTTAGGGCCAGAGACTGAGTGTCCTAGACTAAGTGAGCCAGATGCTTCACATTTCTTCTCTCTTTGTCTAGTTCCCTATCTCTCATGCACTATCATTCAGACAAGTCAGAACACTGCCAGCCTGCCTCAGCTGCACTCAGGGGACTCACAGTAAGGTCAGGGTCCAAACTTGGATCAAGGGGTTAAAGGAGGCCTACAGTTCCCCTAAGATCCAAAAGAGGTGAATTCAGAGGAACAGACTTGGAACCATTTGCCACCTACACACACACACACACACACACACTCTCTCTCTCTCTCTCTCTTTCCCTCCAAGGCTAAATCTTGTAAGTTCAGGGTTGGTTAGTTGGTTTGCTTAGAGACAGGGTCTCACTGTGCTACCCAGGTTAGAATGCAGTGGTGAACTCATAGCTCACTGTAACCTCAAACTCTTGGGCTCAAGCAATCCTCCTGCCTCAACCTCCCGAGTAGTTAGGACTACAGGCATGTGCCACCACGCCCAGCTAATTAAAAAAAATTTTTTTATAGAGATGGAGTCTTGTTATGTTGTCGAGGCTGGTCTTAAATTCCTGGCTTCAAGCAATTCTCTCCCGCTTTAGTCTCCTAAAGAGCTGGGATTATAGCCATGAGCCATCATGTCTGGCCTGTTGTGGGTTTGTTTTAATAAGCTAAATCATGGGAATTTGTCGTCTGAAGTCTCCCTAATATTTTGCAAATCATACACCATTCACTCATTCATTCATTCATTCTACTTTTACTGAAAACCAACTATATGCCCAGCATAGGCGAAGAGGACATAGAGAAAAAAAATCAGAAATTACATGTGCCCTCAGAAGATGTCCAATGTAGATGAAGAAGAAAGATATCTATACTGAAAGCCACTTTAAAAAAAAAAAGGCAAAACCAAAAATCTGGCTGTGAATCAGTAACAAATACGCTAATACAAAGCATCAGTGCTGGGGATAGAGGAGGGTGGCCAGGAGGGCCTCGTGGCTCAGGTGGGTAGACAAGACCTCACAGATCAAGTAGAACCTAAGCTGGACCTTACAGAAGAAGCAATATTTAAATAAAAGTCAGGGAGGGAAAATAGTACTTCAAGACTGTGGCAACATTCATTCAACAAACGCTTATTAAACACCTATTCTGTGCCAGACATGGGGCACATGAGATGAATAAGAGAGGAACATCAACAAATACTTTTGAAGAACTTAATATGTATCAGGTAATGTTTTAAGCACTTTACCTACTCAATCTTCCCTGCAATCCAATATGGTAAATTACTGTTATAACCCTCATTTTACAAATGAGAAAAATGAGGCAGAGGAAAGGTGAGTAACTTGTATGAGTGATGGGGCCAGGATTCATGTCTGGCTCTGGGAAGTTTTTTGTTTAAGTTTTATTGAGGTATTTTATATATATTATATATATATTATATATAATATATATATTTTATATATTAAAATATATATAAAATATATATACACACATATATATACACACACACATATATTTAATGTGTGTAATTTGATAAGTTTTGACATATGTACACACTAGTAAAAATTTTTTTTTGAGACAGTCTTTCTTTGTCACCTAGGTTTTTTTGAGACAGGATCTCTCTGTTGCCCAGACTGGAGTGCAGCAGCACGATGGCTCACTGTAATCTCCACCTCCCAGGCTCAAGTGATCCTCCCCGCTCAGCCTCCCAAGTAGTTGGGACTACAGGTGCGCACCACCACACCCAGCTAATTTTTGTATTTTTTGTAGAGATGGGATTTCATCATGTTGCCCAGGCTGTTCTCAAACTTCTGGGCTCCAGCAATCTGCTCATCTCAGCCTCCCAAAGTGCTGAGATTATAGGCATTATCTACCATGCCCATCCTACACTAGTAAAATCTTTACCACAATCAAGATGATGAGCATATCTATCACCAAAAAGTCCCCTCGTACAGCCCTGAGCAGTTTTTGAATGACAACTCATTAATGGAAGCAGGGAAGTCAAGTGGAGGTAGCTGGGTAGTAGTTTGGAGTTTAAAAAAATGACAAATTTAGCTTTGGATATGATGAGTTTGAGCTTATATTCAGCAAATAGTCAAAAACAGGGAACTAGAGAGGGGCTTGGTAAGTGGAGGTGGGAATACTGATTCCAGAATAAAGATAAAAGTAAGACCCTATCCAAGAGGGAGAAACAAAACAAAACAAACAGAGAGAAGAGCAGGGGCTAAGAACTGAATCTGGGAGACATACAGTATAGAAGAGAAGAAGAGAAGATGGTGAAGGAGACAGGGGGATGACAAGGAGAAATACACAGTGTTATGAAAACCAACAGAGAACAAAGCTTCTAAAAAGTTAGATGCCAGAGAAAAGTCAAGGATAATGATGACACTGTATAAAAACATTTCAGAACCAGAAACAAACTCAGAAATGATATAATTTTTCTTTAAAAAAACACAGGGAATCTGAATACCATTTGTGGCCTAGTTAACAAGAGGTATTGTACCAATGCCCATTTCCTGATTTTGATATGATACGACAGTTACATAAGATTCTATCATTGAGGGAAGCTGGGTGAAGCGTATATAGGATCATCTGTATCAATTTCCCTCTGAATCTATATTTCAAAATTAAAAAGTTTAAAAACCAAGGAACGAACTGAACATCATCTAATGTATGCCAGGCATTGTACTAAACACTTTCATAATGAATGATCATTTTAATCTTCGAATAATCCTATTAAATAGATGCTATATTCCCATTTTATAGCTGACAAAAGTGAGAGGCATAATAAAGGACTTGCGCAGAATCACCCAGCTAGATTATGAGGGAGCCAAAGCATTCACTACTTCTTCTACCACAATGTGTATACATTCCACCTAAGGCAGCCCTGACAAGTGGCCTCTCGGCTCCAGCTTCAACAAGTCACAGCCTTCATATTTTACATCCACACAACTGTAGAATAAGCTACTTTACCCTATCCTAGCCCCAGTTTTCTCATTAGTAAAATGGAGCAATAACTCTTATCTTACTTAATTCATAGGACTGCTGTGAGATTCCAATGAGATAATGGGTGCAAAGGATCCTTACAAACTGTAAAGTCTGTGCCCATCTCAGGGACTGACATTCTGAAACAAATGACTGTGAGTTAGGTCAGCCCTGGCTAAACAGACAGAGGGAAAGAAAAAATATCTGCACTAGCAACTCTTGCTTGCCTGTCCTTTTGGGTAGTATATGACCCTGGGGATGCACTGGCTACCCGCAGCATCTGGCCAAGGGCAGGCAGTCCTCTCTGCATAAGCCTGTATCAGCAATACTAGACCCAATCACCATCCTGCCTCCACTAGCCCCACTTTCTTCCAGCCCCACACACATATGGCATGCTTGCCTGTGCAGATGTCCTGTGCCTCCAAAAACTTCAGCTGTTTATAAATGAGCGTCCTGCTATGAAGCTACTAGAAATACACCCTTGGGCCCCTGACCCCAGCCCTAGCTCAAAGCTGTCTTTTTGGAGGCAGGATGTTGTTAGTACACCCAGAGCTTAAGAAATTAACAGCTCCAGACACTGGTAGAGCTGACTTCATTCATGGTGCTGGAATTAGCTAGAGAAGACACATACTGCTATTGTAAGATAATAGAAACCTATCTCAGAGGTAGCTTTGGGGGGTACTGAGTTCTGCCTGTAGAAATGCTTCTCTGGATAAAACAGCCTATCATTTCAGGAAGGAGGCTTAGCTGCACTATCTACTCCTCAGTCATGCACAGGAAAAAGCTAGGCTAGAGAATGCCAGTGCAGACTGACTCCCCTGGCTTGATTAAAATGCAATGCCAGTGACTCCACCAAGAGAAAAGAGACCTGTGGCTGCAGTGTAGGCAGCCCTCACACAGCCTGGTTGTACAGGCTCTACTGCAGCCCTTCTCTCCAACACCAGTGATGCAGCCCTCAGTAGAGCCCACCTTACTTAGACTTTGACAACTGTTTCCTTACTGGTCTCCCTGCCTACTTCCAAGCCATCCTCCAAGGGCAGCCAGGGAAGGCTTTGATCACATCATTTGATTAATAACCATTCACAATTCTCACTGACTACATGACTGAATGAAGCCCAAATCCTATAGCCTGGCATTAAAGGTCTTCTCAAATTGGCCCCAGTTGACCTTTACAACATTGTTTCAATTATTTCCCTTTGTGTTCTTTAGGCTACAGCCAAAATGAACTACTTGCTGATCCCTGAACTCAGTCTGTGATTCCTGCCTCTGTACTTTGTTCATGCTGTGCACTCCATCTGGAATGCTTCCTTCTTGTCCAAATCTTACGGATTTTCAAGCCAGCTCAAATCCCACCTCATCCATGAAGTTTTCCTGACTATTCTACTAGTTCACATTATTTCAGCTACATATTATCAGTACCTGAGGAGCTCTTACAAAATACTGATGCCTAAGCATTATCCTCAGAGATGACGATTTAATGAATTTGGGGTAGGGCTTGGCAAGTAACATTTTTAATGTTTTTATTTTTTTAATTTATTTTATTTTTTTAGAGTTGGGGTCTTGCTCTGAACCCAGGCTGGAATGCAGTGGCACAATCCAAGGCTGACTGCAGCCTCCAAATCCTGGGCTCAAGTGATCCTCCAGCCTCAGCCTTCTGAGTAGCTGAGACTACAGGCATGTACTACTGCCCTCAGCTAAGTATTTTATTTTATTTTATTTTTATTTATGGAGAAAGAGTGAGAGAAACTCAAGGTATTTCTAATATGCAACCATAGTTAAAAACCATTGTCCTCGTTAAAAGAGATCTCTCCTCTCACTGAGCTCCCATAACATTTTATCTAAATATCTTTTATGACACATAGTTTCTAGCTTCTTTCATACATATTTTATTTTTAAAGTATTTTATTGAGGGTTATTTTGTGTCAGGCACTGTTCTAGGCACTGTAATATAATAGTGATCAACACAAAGGGCCCTGCTCTCATGGAGTTTAAATTCTGATGCGGAAACAGATACTAAACAGATAAAATAAGGTCAGATGATAAGTGCCAGTAAAAGCAGGAAAGGAATGGAGAATAAAAGAAGAGGTCCTCTCTTAGAGAATATGGTTAGGAACGGCTTTCCTTATTGCAATCTTACGTCCCTTTTAGATGGCATATTGACTGACAACAAAACCTGTGTCTAATTCATTTTTGTATCTCTCATAGCTTTTTGTATAGTGCTTGCATAAATAGGTGCTCAATAAGTAGATGCTCGTTGTATGAATGAATGAATGAATGAATGAGTAAATGGATCAATGTGCCTTATTAATCACTGTATCCCCCATAATGCCCAGGGCAGTACCTGAAATATACCAGATGCTGAATACATATTGGCTGAGTGGGTGAACTTGACTGAATTTTGGGACAAGTTATTTTGATGGCATATTTCCTGCGACTAGGTCATCACAAGATCACAGAATATCAAGCTCATCCTGAGATTACTGAGCTCAACCTCCCCTTTTTAAAGAGAAAACTATTCTTCAGAGATGATCACCTAACTGGCCCAAGGTCACAGAAGAAATCAAAGGGAGAGGTGATCTGAGTCCCTAGTTCTTCTGACTCTTGGTCCAGTGCTCATTCCATCAAACTGAAACACTTTTTCCATTAGCAAGAAAAAACTATTCTGAGGACCATTAACTCAGCTGACCCAAAAAACAACTCAGATTGGCATCAGTAAAACTAAAGAAAACCTCCATTTTCTTTGATCTCATAACAGTCTTTGCTGATGACTCAAGCGTGGTACATTTCACAGACAATCTCACCCTCACGACACCTCACTGCCCAACTCCACCACCCACAGCAAGGCATGCAGACAGGATCTCCTAGAGCAGGCAGGGGATTGGTGAATTTCCAACTACAAATAAAACTATGAACCTTTCCCATTTTCCATCCTTAGCCAAGTTCCAATGAGATATGGTAAGGCAATGCCAGGCTACATGGGAAAGGCTAGGCAAAGAAGCCAGTGGCTGGAAAACCAGGGAGGAGCTAAAGAGTCTGGCCAGGTGAGGGACAGCAGCAGGTGCAGGGACTGTTGACGTAGTGATGGGTTGTGCTGCAACAAGTGGTTGGCCACACTGGCCTTGCTGTGGGCAAACAAACTGGCCTGAAGACAAGCAAGTAAAACCTTTTTTTTTCCATTTTTCTTAAAAGTCTGTGGAATCACAGCATCCATCTGGATGCAATGAAGACCAATTTCCTAGAATAACTTTCCAAACAAAATGCTCAAGAGAGCCAAAAGTTATACAGTTGGCATGGGCTTCCCTGGCTTTGTAGTAAATACATCGCTCTATCACCTGGCCCTTCTGTACCTCTACAGTCCAAGAATGTTCAAAATGAGGACTCTAAGGCATTTGGAGATCCTAAAGGGCTTTCTGAATCATCAAAGGAAAATTTGGCTGAGTGCAGCTTTCAGTGTCAAATTTATTATCATTATTATTATTTCTTAAAAATTGGCATTTTGTGTTGGACATAGATGAAAGAGAAGCAGAGTAGCTGATTAACTGCAGCAGAGATTTCTAGCTTTATCTGAGCTTATAAATTACCTGGAGGCATTGAGCCCCACCAGATTAGAATCAAAGTAGAGACCTGGAAATCTGTATTTTTAGCAAGCACACCAGGTGATTCTTATGAATTGGTTAGCATAGGAAACACCAAGCTAGAAAACTATAGTATCCATTTCACAGGATTATTATCAGAATTAAGTGAAACTATATAAAGGTGTTAGCACAATACCTGGCACATAATAAGTACTCAATAAGTGTTGGTTTTTGTTGCTGTGTAATAATTAATAAGACATTCCAAGCCTGGTCTGATAATAGTTACTCTATGGACATGTACAAGCTAAAAGGCAGAGAATACAAATATCCTGGAGTGGAACAATCACTATCATTTATCTGTTTTTTCTTATTAACTTCATCCCTGTTATCCCCCTAGCACAACGGTTCTCAAAGTGTGGTCCCTAAATCAGTAGCATCAGCATTATCTGGGAATATTATTTGAATACGGATGCAGTGAACAGGGAACACTTGTACACTGTTGGTGGGAATGTAAACTAGTACAGCCACTACAGGAAACAGTGTGGAGATTCCTTAAAGAACTAAAAGTAGAACTACCATTTGATCCAGCATTCCCACTACTGGGTATCTACCCAGAGAAAAAGAAGTCATTATACAAAAAAGATACTTGCACATGCATGTTTATAGCAGTACAATTTGCAATTGCAAAACTATGGAACCAACCCAAATGCCCATCAATCAACTAGTGGATAAAGAAACTGTGGTACATATATATGATGAAATACTACTCAGCCATAAAAAGGAATGAATTAATGACATTTGCAGCAACCTGAATGGGATTGGAGACTATTATTCTAAGTGAAGTAACTCAGGAATGGAAAACCAAACATTGTATGTTCTCACTCATAAGTGGGAGCTAAACTATGAGGATGCAAAGGCATAAGAATGACACAATAGACTTCAATGACTCAGGGGGGAAGGGTGGGAAGTGGGTGATGGATACAAGACTGCAAATTGGGTTTAATGTATACTGCTTGGGTAATGGGTCTCAAAAATCACACAATCACCGCTAAAGAACTTACTCATGTAACCAAATATCACCTGTTCCCCAAAAATCTATGGAAATATAAATAAATAAATGAATAAGAAAGAAATGCAAATTCTCAAGCTCCACTCCAGACTTACTGCATGAGTATATCATCAGAGGTGAAGCCCAGAAATTCATTTCAGCAAGCTTTCCAGGTGATTCAGAAACAGGCTATAGTTCGAGAACCATCACCCAAACATCTTGCAATTCAAAGTATGGTCTCCGTATCAGCAGCATAGGAATGCTGGAAATGCAGAATCTCAGGTCCCAACCCAGACTGACTAAATCAGATTCTGCATTTTAATGAAATCCCCAGGTGATTCATATGCACGGTATCATTTGAGAAGCACTATCCTAGTCCACAGGAACTTCAGAGATGCAAATGAAACTAAATTTACTGTTGTTTTGATTATTTAAATGGGGTTTATAAGTACTTACTAGGCACTGTCCTTTACACAGATTACCTTGTTCATCCTCATTATGCCTGTGGTAGGTATTTTTATTCCTGTTTTACAGATTAGAAAATTGAGTCTCAAATCAGTAAAGTAACTTGCTGAAGGTCACAAGCTAAGAAGTGGTACAGCTGATCATCTCTGTATGACCCGAAGTCTGTGTTCCTTTCTCCACTCCATGGTGCCTGTGGGTATAGCTAAGCAGATACCACCTGCCTGCTGGTACAAGTGGAGCACTTCAAAACAGAGACAGTCCCCAACTTATGAATGAGCAAGACTCCAAAAATGTTTTTCTAAGTCAGATGTTTGGAACTAGTGAGAGAACTACTTGTAGAAACTATTTACATCATGGCTTCTACAAGAACATGCATTCTGAATTACAGCACCAGAAGGTAGCAGCTCCCTGCAGGGTCAATACATCTGGGCTCCAGGAACTTGTCAGCACTTCATTTATATCAACATAAGAAAAAGCACCTCCAAGGCAAATCCCTCCCCAGATGTCATGGCCTGGGAAACATCCATTCATTCCCTCATTCAAAGATTTACTGCCTCCTATGGAAAAGGTGCTGTGCCAGGTGCTGTAGGTGAAAATGTCCCCATGACTTAAGGAATTCATAATCAGTAAGATAAATAAAGCAGGAACAGACACACACACACACACACACACACACATACACACACACTCTCTCTCTCTCTCTCTTTCTCTCCCCCTACCTACTGGAAGTTCAGAGAATGAAGTGATCAATTAGGACCTGGACATCAGGGAAGACTTTCCAAGGAGATGCCATCTAAAGCTAGTCTGGAAAAAAAGCAGAATATGGATTAGGCAAAAAGCACTCCTGGCAAAGGGAAGAGTGTGAGCAAAGGTATAAATGTGTGAAAGAGAAGTCAAGTTACAGAACTGCAAGTTATCCCCTTAGGTGAAGCAAAAGGTTCACTTAACGTGACTTTGGGAGATGAAACTAGAAATGCAGGACTGTGCCTCAGTAGGGAAGACTCTAAATGCTAGGTTGAGAGAGCAGAACTTTGTACATATATAGAGAGCTGCTGCATATTACTCATCATATTACATAACAAATCATTGAACCCCAAATCCTTTTTGCAACAAACTAGGGTAAAAACAAACATTTCTGAATTGGTATTATAATTATTTCAAGTCTGCTTCCTCCATTAGACTGAATTCAAATGACTTTGAGCATTAGTAAATTCTCAAAAGATGCTGAATGTATAAACAAAGGAATGAATAAATGAGTACACTAATGAGCAGCTGAGAGGTTATAAGCAGGAGAGAGAAGGCTCAATACTGCATCATGGCCTGAAAAGGAAAGGGTAAGGGGAGGGATGGAGATGGAGAGACCGGAAGCCTCAGATCTAATGGCTAGGAGGCCACTGTGATTAGACAGGCAAGAGTTTGGAAACAACTAGGTTAAGGGTAATGGGAATGAGGAAAAAGGGACAGAAGAGAGAGAGATGGTTACAGAACACAGTAAGTGATTGGCAATGTGAGCAGAAAAGGAAGACATCAAAGTCTCACTGAAGTTTGGAGTCTGGGTAACAGACTCCAAACCATTTGAAAAATGGGTAGTGAAATGGAAGAGCAAGATGCATTATAGATATCACTTATTAAATCCTTACAACCCTTGAGGGTATTATCTCCCTGAACTCATCCTCTCTTATTCTCCCCCATACTCACTCCACTTGAGTCATGCCAGCTTCCTTGCTATTTCCTGAATATGCCAAGCCTGCTCCCACTTTAGGGCCTTTGCACTGGGACATGCTTCCCCAGATATCTGCATGGCTAAGTCCCTCACCAACTCCATGTCATTATTTCAGTGAGGCCTATTAAAAACTGCAACGCGGGAGGCTGAGGCAGGAGAATCGCTTGAACCTGGGGAGCGGAGGTTGCAGTGAGCTGAGATTGTGCCATTGCACTCCAGCCTGGGCAACAAGAGCAAAACTCCATCTAAAAAAAAAAAAAAAACCGCAGCCAGGCACGGTGGCTCACGCCTGTAATCCCAACACTTTGGGAGGCCAAGGCGAGTGGATCAAAAGGTCAGGGAATCGAGACTATCCTGGCTAAAACGGTGAAACCCTGTCTCTACTAAAAATATAAAAAATTAGCTGGGCATGGTGGCACGCGCCTGTAGTCCTAGCTACTCAGGAGGCTGAGGCAGGAGAATCGCTTGAACCCATGAAGCAGAGATTGCAGTGAACCGAGATTGCGCCACTGCACTCCAGCCTGGGCAATAGAGCGAGACTCTGTCTCAAAAACAAACAAACAAACAAAACAGCAACTCACACTTTCCCCAGAACTCCTAAAATCCCTTACCCTGCTCTCACTTTTTTCTTCTTTTGATTATATTTATTATCTTCTAACATGGTATTTGAGTTTATTTCTTATGTCTAGGTTTAATGTCTGTCTCTCCTCACTAAAATGTAAACTCCATAAAGACAAGGATTTCTGTCTATTCCCCAAATGCCTTGGAAGTGGCTGGCACATAACTGTGCTCAATAAATTCAATGAACTATCTCCATTTTATAGATGAGAAAACTGAGGCTGAGAGGAGGAATGCAACTTTCCCTAAATAACACAGTTGTCAATCAGTGATAGTAATCTGAATTCAAACACATCTGTCCAACTTCAACTCTCACTCTAGCAGGCAAAGTCTCCCTTTAGACAGACCAAGTTTAAGGCTACAGTGGCCTATATGGGAGGCCAGTGATGTGAGATTAGAGCAACCATTCCCACAAGACAGTAGACTTGGCCTGGAAGGGAGCAGGTCTACGTATGCATAGAGATCCTGAACTGCCTGCAGACTGAGAAACAAGCAATCTGACCAGAGAATCACCAAGAGAACGAATGGTTTCATTTTCCAAGTGCAAGTTTGAAGAATCAGGCCAGCTTCTCCAGTGAAGCAGTTTCTAATTTTTCCAGCTGCCTAGATTGTCAAATTACAAACTTATCTTCAGGGGAATGTATTTAACAAAGGGACATGTTCTATTTCCCTTTTTAACACCCATCCAGTGGATCTGCACTTGGTTTAATTGCCATTCTGATCCCCCCACATAATCCATACATCACAAGACTCACATTTACAGTTCAGTACATTATCACACTGGAGCTGCTCAAAATAAACGGGTTTGGCAAAGTGTAATTATTTCCAGCAAAAGAGTTGGTTCTGCATTTTGACAGTCATCTGATACATTATTGTACTCAATGCTAAACTGTGAAACTGCAAAATTAAAAGAAAGTAATTTTTTTAAGTTTTAAAAGTACTCATTATTAAATTATAAAGCAGGTCATTTATGATGAGTCAGTCCAAAAACAGAAGGATGATAATGAAAGACTGAAGGAAGATTGGCTTCTTTGTATAACCTCTAATATTCACAATCCAAGGCCATTGTGAAAATTAAATGAGACTGCCCATGTAAAATATCTAGTCCAGTGCCTAAGACATAATAGGTCCTCAGTAAATGCTGATTTTCTTCCTTAAAAATTCCTCAGCAGCAGAATTTACAAACCACCTCAATTTGTTCATTTGTTCATACATTCCATGATTCCCTCATTCCCAAAGAGCTCTCAGTCTGCTGGGGAAAGGCAAGTAAGCATGTAACTCCCACAAAAGGGAATGAGTGCTAAGAGAAACATAGACAAAAAGGGCTATGAGGGTGCAGACAAAGAGTCCTCACCCCAGGGGAGAGCAAGACCTGAAATGAACTAGACAGGGAAAGATGAGTTCAGTAAAGCATGGGGGAAGGTGAAAAAGAGACAGAGACCAAGAGACAGAGAGAACAACACATGCAAAGGCCTGGAAGCAAGGAAGAACACATGATTTAGGGATACTGTAATTAGAACCAGCCTAGAATGACCGACACAGGGGGAACAGATGGTCATGAGACCTGCAATGGCCCCTCTTTTTTTGTTAAAGTGACTAAATGCACTGACTCCTCAGCACAATGGGAAGTGGCTGAGCTTGCCTTGTAGCCCACTTTCCCTAGTGCAAACTCCCAGTAAGGTGATCTCAAGCCCCAGCCACCACCAAGCCTCATGGACTTGTCTCAAAGATGAGATGGGAGAGATTTCTCTTTAAAAGAGAACTTGATGAAATCTAAGTTACCCAATGGCAACGTCTGAACATGCTGAGTCAGCTGCACTTCAGGAAACAGAGTGTCCTTGGAGAATAGAGCATATCACTTTACACACAGAAAACCACTCCTGTCTACGAAGGACAAACTGCAAAATGCTTAACACTGGCCTTCAATTATTAAACGAGCCCAAATGAGCTCTGGCAGTGAGACAGATCACACACACTCACAGAGAGGGCTCTAGCAGGCCAGCCTATATTGTTTTAGGATTATTCATCAAGGTACCAACAGACAAGGGTCTTTCAGAGATCTTAGGGTCATGAGGTTACCCATAGCTCTTGGAAAAGATGATCATGCTCAGAACAAGGAAGAGAAAGTAAAAAGAACCTGACCCTTTGCAGAAAACATTGGGGTTTTTTTCTAAGTATTATAACACAGCCTATGCTGGCAAATATTTCATTAACAACTTTTTGCTCCTTGGGTGGCAGTTTCATACTGGTCAGTTTTTGGCGTACTATGTGGTACTCAGGAGTTTACTCAATTGTCTCCACTGGGGGTATTTTTTAGTCCCCTGAGAACAAGCAGAACACTGAGGAGAAGCTCTGGAATCATACCTGGCTTCAAATACTGCTCGTTCTTTTGTGTCCTCACTGTATGACTTGCAGTCTCAGTTTCCCCATTCATAAATGTAGATTCATGGGGTTTCTGTGGAAACTAAATAACATACCATGCACCTGGCACAATGCACATAAGGGAGCTATTTACATTTTGTTCTCTATTCCCTTTACTCCTTTTGTGTCCTGGAAAAATTAGAATGGTTTCCTATCTGGATACTGGGTTCACCTCTTTTGATTTCAGATTAAAACTGCCATCCTAGTCTCTGCTGGTTTGAAACTAACTTCCACCTGGAGGTTACCCTAACAGAAAGAAATCTGGGTAATGACCACGGGGCCAGCCCTTTCACTTCTCTCCTTCCTCTGACCTCTGACAGTCCCATCCCACCTAGATATACATCAGTTTGCATTCCTCTCTAGCTGACCCATCTATGAGGTCTGCCTGTTTCCCTGTCCCTGCAACCTTCTTCTCCTGCCATCAGCTGATTCCCGTCTATTGGTCCAGCCCTGCCATAGGCCCAGGTCTAGCCAGGCTTCTGCCCTCATCCAGTTTAGCCTACTGGATCCTTAGTCCCTGGAGAGCAGGGGCCATACCTCAGTGCGCTCAGCTCTGTAAGCAGCTCAGGATCCAGTACACAGCAGAGGCTGGCCAGAAGTGGTGGGGTGAGAGGGACTCGGTGCCAGAGGGCCCAATCCTGGGACATGTTCTTAGAAGTTCTGTCCTGAGGCCAAGAAAAAATTTCCTAGGATGGAAATGCTCCAGGAAACCTAGGCAATGACAAATGAGCTGAGCACAGGCAATCTCCAGAGACTCCTGGTACTCCAGAAACCTTCACACTCTCATGCACATTCCTCACACGCTTGCTGCAGATTATGTGAATGGGGCCTGGACCAGGGTGGAGGCAGTACAGATTCCAGACTCACTGGGAAGGGAGGTGTTGCAGATGGACTAATGAGAATACAGAGAGTGAAGCAAAAGGTGACTGAGATTTTGAGTCCTGGTCACAGGGGAAAACAACTTAACACAGTGCTAAGTGCTAGGGATGCAGAGGTGGGTGTACACACAGCTCCAGCCCTCCCCCAGGATAAGTTAGTTCCCAGCACTCTGCTGCCATAGCACCCTGGACACCCTCATCATTGCACTCAGCATCCTGGACTGACACTATGACTTACCTGTCTCACCTGCTACATCACAAGCTCCTTGATGGAAGAGACTGTGTCATACTGAACTTTATATCTACAGCCATCTAGCATAGTGCGTGGTACAATTCCCAGGCCTACCAATTACTAGCTTTGCCAAGTCATTTAAACTCTCTAAGCCTCAATTTCCTAGTCTGTAGAGTGAAGATGATAATAATCTCTACACCCAAGGAGGAAGAAATGAGTGAACTTATCTAAAGCCCTTACTTATCCCAATCCCTGACTGAGAGTCAATACTCAAAAAGGGTTAGCTAGTGAATGAATTTGGGGCAATGAATTTGAGGTAAGAGGGAGAGAAAAACATTCAAACAAATGGTTCTGGAATTATGTAATAAATAATATAGTAGGAATACATTTGAATTACTCTGAGAGCAGAAAGGAAAGCACCAAATTTTGCCTTGGCATATATAGAAAACTTCACAGAGGAGGTAACACTTGAACTAAAATCTAAAGATCTAAAATCAGGCCAAAGGAAGGCCATGTGTGAAGTCAGAGAGGCAGGAAAGAGAACCTGGTATGTTCAGGAACTGCAAGTCTGGCTATAAGAAGGGTCTGTGCAAAGGAATGGTGGTGACACACAGGGTGAAGAGATGACTTAGAGCCAAAAATTCCCTGCAAGCTCTGCCACAGAGAATGGATTTCTCCTGGAAGATACTGAAAAGCCACTGCAGGGTTTTGAGTAAGAGAGTGAAACATAGAAGCACTGTGGTGGCAGTGTGGAGGGTAGAAAAAAGGGGTAAGACTGGAGACAAACATAGAACAGTGGGGGTGCGGGGGGTGATTTGGGTTGAGAAGAAAAGAATGGAGATGGGGTGGAGAGAGGGGGAAAGTGAAGCTGGCCAGCTCAAGAAGTTAGGTAGAAACTGAGTCTCAGAAAAATTGCAACTGGCCC
Organism: Homo sapiens; assembly: GCF_000001405.40. Lineage (NCBI taxonomy): Eukaryota > Metazoa > Chordata > Mammalia > Primates > Hominidae > Homo > Homo sapiens. The sequence goes on from NC_000011.10 coordinate 17,924,773, forward strand.
TTGGCATTCCCCAAGACTTCTTCACATAAAGTGTAGGTCTATGAGTTGTAATAAATCACCTTCCTTCCATGTTTGCTGTCTTACAATTTGTGCAATAGAGGAGCATGAATATGGAAAATTCCAGCTGAAAACTTTGACCGCATGAACAGGCCCAGAGGTCACAGTCACCACTGATGGTTAGATGAAACCATCTACAAACAGGCCTGGGATCCCGGCCAGCAATTTTTTATTCACATGCAAACTTGGGGATGGAGTTCCACCGACAAAATCTTTCAGGTGTACTCTTTTTTTTCTTTTGTTTTTTAAGCCATTTACAGGAACCCAAGGTCCTCCTTGTACTTCAGAGAAATGCTTTGTATTTAATTTGTTCTTAAAGAAAAAACAATAGCCTCTTTGCTCTACATGACTAGGCCACTGGGCACCACGAAAGAGATACAGTAACCCACCAAGTCTCTAAGGTCCCAGAAGTCCATCTGTCTGTCACACACATCACAAGGGCACCACGAAAGAGATACAGTAACCCACCAAGTCTCTAAGGTCCCAGAAGTCCATCTGTCTGTCACACACATCACAAAGACACCACTCATGGCAGAAGAAATACGCTACTGCAGGGTGAAAGGGACTGCATTCTAGAAGCCTTCTGGAGGGCAAAGGAAGGAAGAGAAGAAGAAAAGAAGGGTGAAAAAGGGGGAGGGAGTGTTCAAGACCATACATGACCACTTCTGCTAAACACAAAATAGTTGCCTTTTCTGCTTCTTTCCTTGCTTTCAATCTAATTAGACAGAAAGAGCTAATGAGTAGGCAGCAATGGTGCTTGGTTCAGCTGTTCCAGACCCTAGTGTTTCCTCCTTATTAAAAATAAAGAGACCCAAGGGCTCAATTTGGTAAAAATGCACACAGGGAGGCACATTTCCATCTTACAAAAATGTTTTGCATTAAAAAAACCATATCTGTTTAATAGATACCAAAAATTAAATGTACAATAGCAAGATCCCTGGCAGTATCTGTCTGCATTTTTGGAAGTGTCTTCAAAGACAGGACATTAGAATAAGACTCAAAAGACCTGAATTCCAGTGTCAGCTGTACCATTTACCAGCTGTGTGATCTTGGGCAAAATATGTAACATCTTGAGCCTCAGCTGCCTTACTATCAAATGAGTATAATGCTCTGCCTGTCTCACAGAGTCTGGGGGAAACAATATATTTTGAAAACTATAAAGCACTTTGCTAATACCTACTCAGTCAATAAATATTCACTGAGAGCCTACTAGGTATTAGGCATTGTTTCCCTTCAACTGTTAATGTTATTACCAATATTCCACCCCTTCCAGCTCAGTCATTAGATGTCAGTTTCAAATGCAGACAGGTCTATGGTCTCAAGCCAACCTCTCATTCACCCAGTTTTTTTTTCCCAATTGGGGCATTAGTCACTTGCCTCCATCAGGAGATATCTAACGACATCTCAGCCCTAAGAGGCCCTGAGACATGTTAGTACAAATGATGATGGGGAGAGGAGCCTCTGCCACCTCTGCTACCCTAGAGGGCCTGATCCTAAGAAGCTTCCAGAATCTTACCCTCCACAACCACAGAAGAAGACAGTTCTCACAAGCAGGGCCAGAGGCAGGGAGAGACAGGTAAACAGATGGAAAACCTGCATGGCTAAGTCTTTCCAGTATCAGAGTGCCTGGCTCCACGTCCACACCAGGTGACCTTTACTCCAGCGTACCCCTGTCTTCTATCAGGAAAGATTTCAAGTTTCAGAGGTTAGCAGCTCAGAAGCAGCCTCAGTGTGCTGCCCATTCCTGCCCTGATCTTGTTCCTTGGTTTCCATCACTGGGTATCTGCCTTATTCTAGAAACCATGCCCTCCTTTATGCCAGAGGTTCAGCAAGTGTGACCCTGAATTGATTGTTTCCTCTATCTGAATCCCCACCTAATAAACCGTTTCACCAAGACCAGAGTCCTACCTTGCTATTACTCCAAAAGACTATCTTGATGCAGAATCCACCTGGAGGGCCTCCTGAGACCAGAGCTCTAGGAATTCATCTCCACATCTCCCACTGTGCAGTTCAGTATCTGGCATGTAATGGGCACACAACAAATATTTATAGAATGAAAAGGTTACCCACTGGTCTAGATCACTGCAGACTGTCTGCTCCTATGCCCCTCCCCAACTCACAGGACCTCTTTGACGGATAAACCAACCATCGCCTGTCACCATGTTCTTTGGCTGCTTTGTTGTTCCAACTCCAGGCCCCTGACAGGGTCTCTGGGTCAAACATACCTACTCTATTCCCGGTATGCCCTCTTTGCCACTTAGCACATCCTAAAAGAAAGAGTGCTAAGCAAATTCTGAAGTCTGAAGGCTGCTTCAGTGTCCCAGACACACCTTTTGCTCCTGGATTATGAGGGTTAACCCACACTAGAGACTCATTTGGGGCCATCTGGCAATTTTTGGCACCACCCACTTCCCCTTGTCCAGTGTGGAAGGGACTCAAGTCCTGTTCAACAAGCACTACTGAACACAAAGCCTGGTGTCATAGAGAGGCTCTGCTTAAGATCCCGTGGTAAATGCCTCACTAAAACCTAAGAAAGAAGGGCTTCAGGCAAGTCTAGACTACCAACATACCCGATTTTGGTTCTGTGAGGCTGCTGTAAACATGAAAATGCAAGTAGGAAACCTTATTTCTGCTTCTTTACATTGCTAGATCAGCAGAGGAAAAGCACACATACAACACAGAAGGAAAATGATGACCTGAGTGTTGGTCCTGGTCTCTTCCACTAATTTGCTGTGTGACCTCAGGCAAGTCACTCTCCTTCTTTGGATTTCTGTGTCCTCCTTTGTAAAGTCACAGTCTCAGATGTGATGATCCATTTATAAAGCCCCGTCTATGCCTGACATTTAGCAATTTCCTTGCTACTCAGAACACAGAATTGAAATCATCTGGGAACCTGTTAGAAGTGGAAAGTAGCCCTACTGACTCAGACCTACAGAGCTAGAATCTTCTACATTTTAACAAGATCCCCAAGTGATTGCACACACATTGAAATTTGAGAAACACTGTTGTGCAGCTTCTCAGGAAGATCCAGGCCGACCTGGGGCATGACATCTTCTGCAAGAAGCTGGAAGAAGAAAGAGTCTGTCACAGGACTTTACTGAATGTGATTAGAAGCAGCTGGCTAGTAGTAAGGGCTGAGGAGAAAATGCTGCAAGATCCTTTTAAACTCAGCTGCAATCCATAAAATGTCTCTCAAGTACTTAGAGTCTCTAAATTTGAAGTCTTTAGATAAAATGACTTTAAAAATACTAATTATGCACGGAAGTCTAACCATGAACCAAGCATTAGTGAATCCAAAGCTCCTTCTGTACTGGCATGCTGCCAGCAGGCATGAACAGAAGCTCTAAAATCAGCAAGGAGGTCACCTCTGTAACCACAGCATTTCTCCCGGCCTCACCTGTCTCCTGACTGGTCCTCACCTACAGAACTTCAGTCTCAGTTGGAATCTCACAGACAAGACCACATTGAAAGGAACACTGTCTGAGCCTAGACAGTATGGCAAAGGTGAGAGAGGGCTACAAACTCTGGGGTCACAGACCCACAGAGTCAGTCCATGGAGGAGAAAGGGAAAAAAGGGAGAAGCAGAGTGGAACCAGCACAGACTGAATATTTAGTGGTGAAGACTCCCGCTTCCAAATCCAGGGAGAAGCCAGTTTCTGACTTCTTATCTGTCTCTCCCACAGACTGCAAGCTTTGTGAGGACAGGACTGTAAAACTTGTCTCTAGCTATAGTGGCCTGCACATAGAAGTCATTCAACAAATGTTTTATGAGTGAATGAATGAACGAACCAACCAATGAAAAAAAAACAATAAAGAAACAAGGACCAAAGATCATTCGCTTGGTTTCATCAGTGTCAGTCGAGACTACCCTTCAAACTCGTGAACTAAGCTTACTCCTCAGTCCAAAAGCCAGAACAGAAGACCCCAAGGGGTCTAGGAGATTTAAACCTGAAAAAAAAAGGGACTCAAACTAGCTTGGCATTTTTTTCTGGACCAAGGTATGCTAACAAACAGGCTATTCTAACCTTTTCCAGGTTTTGTAATGTTTTATGCTACTCTTACCAGAATTTCCAGGCAAGAAATTCTTTTCTAGAAACTAGATGCTATTTATATTTTAGTTATTAAATGCAATGTGAAAGTACCTAACACATAATCATCATCTACATTAACATTTGTTGAAACTCAATCTATAGAATTCTATTTCTCTATGTCATAAACTAGGAATTTTGCAAATAGCAGAATTACAGAACACTTTGGACCACCCACTTTTGTGAATATAAAATCACTTAAGTAAGGCAAGCTGACTTTGGTGGAATAGCCTTTATTTTTCATCCACTTACATAACTCGGCATTGTCAAAGTGCACCAATAACTGGTGCTGTCATCTCTCATGCCCCCAAGAAAAAACTCCTTTGGGGCTCTTTCTACATTTATTTTCAATTGCCAGATCCCCAGAGGAAAAAATCAAATCACTGACGCTATTTCAAACTTCATGCTCAAGGCAGCCACTAAGAGGATAATAGGGCAGCTCAGTTTTTGCTCTCTTTGAGACAGGAAGACACCCCATGGCTGTGAAGGAAAGGCAGGACACGTGTGTGGACATTCAAAATATAGCAAGGAAACCCAAAACAACAGAAAGACAAGAGGAGCTGGAGGAAAAAGCTGTTTGGAACTATGAATCATCCCAAGGTAACTTATTATGTTTTTATATAACAAGCAAAATGAGCTTTCAGCATTGCCATTCATTCATTGTTTTAGCCATTCATGCATTTGTTCAGCAAACATTTGTGGGTTCCCATTATATGCCAGGCGCTGTGCTAGGCAGGCAGGCAGCAGAACATCAGCCTACTACTGCTTACTATGTTCCTGCCACTCTAGCCTTCCTTCAGGTCTTTTGCAAGGTTGTTTCATGCTTCAACACAGTTCTCTGTGTAAATGTTTCCTCTTCCAAGAGGTCTTGCCTGATTTATTCCCCCATCCCACCCTGGACTAGATTAGGCTTGTCTGCTCTATATTCCTACAGCATTTCCTTTTTAACATTCTACACATCCATCATTACTTTATAGTCTCAGATAGATGGTAAGCTCCATGTGAGCGGGGACTGCCTCTCCAGTTACGAGCACAGAGGCTAGAATATAGTAGGATTCGATACATATTCACTGAACAAATGAACAAACTGGGATTTATAGCCAAGCTACAGGCTCTGAGAGATATAGCGGAATAAGTGCAGGATTTGGAGCTCAACAGACCCAAATCTGAACCCCAGCTGTACCACTCATTAGCTAGGTTACCTTAAGCAAGTCCCATAATCTCTCTGAGCCTTAGTTCCTCATGTGTGAAACACAGACAAAACTTCATAGAGATGTAGTGAAGATTAAATAACATGATGTGGGTAAAGTAACTGGCACAAAATAGATGCTCAACAAATGTTATCCTCCTACCCACTTCCCAACTTGCCTATAGTTACGAAAGAGTTGACAACACCAAGGCAGGGCCCCAATTCTATCAGAACTTATCAAAACAGGATTCAGGCACAGGAATAAGGGAAGGTCAAAGATAGCATCCCAGATGACATCTTACTGACTCCCAAGCTTTGAACTTGAGCTCCTTCAGTGTGTCTGACCAAGGTACAATACTAGGCCCACGACTAAGCCTACAGATGGAGGATCCAATGGCTGCAGCCATGGGGAGAAGATGGCAGAGACTGAGCCCATTCCTTTTGGCTTTTGAAGCATTTAGACAAAAGCATACAAAACTCCCTTCCCCATCTATGCTGTCCATAGGTAACTTAATGGAATCCAAAGGTCTACAAGTAAGCTTAGTTAGACCAGTGAGGTTAAAGGCAACACAGCACAACAGGAGGACTACACCTAGAATCAGATGACAGGGTTCAAGTCCAAACTCTGCCACCTACTGGATGTGTGATTTGGGACAAGAGTTTCCCTTATTCAGGTCTCATTTCACCATCTGTAAATCGAAGGGATTAGACTAGGATAGTGTCTAAGGGCCCTTACAGTGAGAAAGATCTGAGATGCTAGCTGCATGTCAGTCAGCTGTAATCAGCAGGCAAAAGGAGAACTCTTCAATCACGCACACCACTGAGCTGACGTCTGCTACACTGCTCTCAATTACACTGCAGAAAAAATGGTCATAAGGAAGAGCTAATATGGTATTTCCTGAGCCTATTTAGTCTCCCAATTCAGCACTGCACCTGTTCCTTCTGCATTTGCAATTTACTAGATAATATCATCACAGGCACTCCCTGAAACAGCTATCATTTATTTGTCACTTGCTTCTGTATTTCAGGTATTCTTTCTTATTTTAAATAAGATTAGGTAGAGTATTAGAAAGACTAATCAATATAACTGCCAAATGAAATTTACCCAGAAAACAATTTTCTCCTTTGTTTCCATTGTAATAACAGCAATATCTATAATGAATTGCTGACCTGCAATAAAAATCATACTACTATCAGAAAGAACATGGGGGCAAAAATATAATGCCTACTTCACAAACATGTAATGCCACACACAGTAAGGTAGCCCATTCATAACCCAGAACCTTTTTCTTACAGAAACACTGCAAATAATACTCAAATGTCCTGGGCCTGCTGCCTTGCAATACTAACCACCTCCATCCAAACACATACCCAACATTCACTAAATGCCATTTAATATGTCCTACCCATTCTTCTTAGGGCTGGAGAACCACAGTAATAAGACACAATTACTGTCCTTAGACAAAGTCTCAGCCTAAAGGTCAAGTGGTCCCAGCTGTGAAAGAAAAAGTGGCAAACTAGAACCCAGTCCATATGCCACAAGGTGACTTCTGTGAGCACTTAGGCCAAAGAATGGACTGCAAAACATCACCCAATATCTGCATTATAAAAGACCACTTAATACTGGGGCTGTGGTTCTCAAAGCATAGTCCCAGACCTTAAGTATCAACACCACCTGGGAACTTGTTAGAAACCAAATTCTCAGGCTCCTTCCCAGACCTACTGAATCAGAAACTCTGGGAGTGACGCCCAGCAATCTGTGTTTTAACAAGTCCTCCAAGTGATTCTGATGCATGCTGAGGTTTGAGAGTCACTGCCCTAAAGCATCCAAACTGCTGCATGTTTGCAGTAAAAACAGTAGAAAACTAAGCTTTCAATTAAACCTAAGAGAAAAGCAATAAAACTGGGTAAGAACAGGTTTTTCAATGTATCTTAAATATTGGTGTTTTGGAAAAAAAAACAGCTTTGTCAGAGAAGGAAGAGAAAGAAATGCTGTGCTACATGTATACATATGTAACAAACCTGCACGTTGTGCACATGTGCCCTAAAACTTAAGTATAATAAAAAAGAAAGAAAGAAAGAAATGCTCTGCTAATGCAACAGGGAATGTCTGCGCGTGTTCAAAAACCTCTGCGGCCTAAGGCCCTAGGCCTTTTCCTGTGTGGTGCTTCATTTCCAAATATAGGCCTTTTCTTCAACTGAGAGCCCATCACTTCAAAGGGTGTTCCCACACATTCGCTGGCAGATCTCTCAGACTCAGCAATCATAATTAAGGTCACTTTTTAAAAAAAATTCATAAATAAGAGGATGGCAAGTAAGAAGGAAAGGAGCAATAAATGTTCCTGGGGTCAATAATTTTAAAATGAAGGTAGAATTTTTGAAAGGATGGAAAAATAAATGTGTGCACATATGAGAAAGAGACTGCTTAGAGTTGAATTTGTTGAGCTCTGAATAAAAAAAGAAAGATGGGAGGATCAGCCCTAAGAGGAGAAAGGAGCCATAGAAGGAGAAAGGAGGTAATGAAGGAATATTGAAACATTTCTTAGCCTCTGCCACCAGGTGGTGAAATCAACCCAGCACAGCTTAGTTGCTGCCCAGAGCTACTGCTTGGATTTATCTTTTCTTGTTTGTCATTGCATTGGGGTGGGAATAGAGATGCGGAACAAATGGAGAGGCAGAGCAACTTCAAGCTGGGTGGCTGGGAGCAGGGAGAGTATAATGAGAAATGGATTGTTTTTATGCATACTAATTCAGTGGCCCTAATTAAAGAGCATCATTATATTTTAAAATGCATGGACAATCATGTAATAAAAAGTGCTCATGATGATAAAGGCTATACTGAATTATACATTAATGTTTAACTCCAACTAAGTTTTAAAATAATACATTTGATTTTAAAATATCTGTTTTCCTGGAATGAAACTCAATGTCAAGTTAGGTCTAATGTTATCATCCAAATGCAATTTTCCTCCAGTATACCACAAAATGTTGAATACTGAGGAAGACAATAATAATGAAAAGTCAGCTGTACTATAACAGCAAATTTCCTGTAGAGATGATTTGAGGTTCTACAGGTCACTAAGGAAAAGATACACATGGTTAATCATAAATCCATCTAAAGATAGTTCATTTCTATCATCTTTCATTTTAAATGGAGGTTTATACAACTCTTGGCTTGGAGGGTTGTAAATTTAATAATGTTGTTCCAATTCACTACTAGTCCTCATTGATCTTATTTTAATCTGTATTGATTGATTAATGTCATCTTGTGACATCCAAATGGCAAACTGAGGAAGAAAAATGATATGCATTGAGTTGGACTTCTATTGGAAAGAGCACTAAACTGGGTATCAAGAGACCTGGCTTCTAACATGCTCAGTCACTACTAGCTACTGTCCCTGGGAAAGTCACTCCATCTATCTGGGCTTCAGGTTCCTCATATATAAAATTAAACAATAATATCTGCCATAATTCAACAAACTGTTGTGATAAGCAGATCAGAAAACAAAAAGTTGTTACTATGAGACAGTATCTATATTCCCTTAAGTTCAAAACAAATAAACCCTCTATTGAAGAACAAACTACTTGTAAAATACTTTTAAATTAGGCAAAAAAAAAAAAATGCTGTTTTAAGTATTACAAATATATAGATGGGCAAGTAGGAAAACTGGAAAATAGTTCTCAGTGTTGTTGAATCCCTAAATTTTGGATCATCAAAATAAGTGTCTTTGGAAAATTTGAGTTTGCATATTTCCACCAAATGTTGCTGCAGTTACCATAGCAACAGAGAGGCCCAGTCAGTTGGGTCAATCAATAATGGCCATGAACAAGTGGCTCTGCTTTTCCTATGATGACAGCCACAAGAAAGTTTCTACTAAAGCTGGTATCTCTATGTTCATACTTCTCTGCAGCGTTCAGTGTCAAAATGTTCATGGAATTAACAAGGCTCAAGTGGTTCTCAGAATAAATTGAATAATAAAAAAAACTAGAATTTTTTTTTAATATTGAGATACTTAAATGAAAGGTATTGTCCAGGTATAGATATCACTGCCATTATCCAGGAAGGGATACCAGTCAAATGGGTCTAGGGACAATTTACTCTGAATGTTTCTTTAACTGCTATATTAATAAAATGTAATATAATACATGGTAAATATGCACTCAGCAAAACAAGAGCTTGCAATCGCTCTCAATTATTAATGGATATTAAAATTCAAACAAGCTAAACCACCCCTCAAACAATTCAGATCACAGAGCTAGACAAATATTAGCTTGTTTCCCAGCTGGTAACCCAAACAGAGTTCAATCTAGTTATTCATTCAGGAAAAAAGAAACTGCCTATGTCATTTATCTTTAATTCATTGTCCTGTTGAATACATATATCTGACAACTCTCCTCTAGGTCAGACCACTGCTTAGACATTACTTCCACTATTAACTTCAACAATAGTCCACTTAAATAAAATGGGGCAATGACTGTGAGAACTTAATGTAAAAACTTTATAAAGACCCCCTAATCCTCTGGCAATTCCAAAACAGATCTCTAGGCTTCAGGCTGTGTGACATTTGTACCTATGGAAGAAAGAGGAACTACAGACCAAGTGTACTGACTAACCTCAACCAAATGAATTTCTAATAGAACTATATAATCAGAAATTTTATCCTGATTTTCTTTTTGCATAAGTAAATGAAATTATTTGAAGAAAGAAAACTTCATCTACAATTCCACCACCTAATACCACGTCACATCTTTTTTTCATTATTCAACATTCCCTTCAAATCCATATCTAAGCATAAACAGAATTTTCACTCAAAGACATGACCCAGGTCCTATTTCTCACTTAATTTAGACAAAGATTTTCTCAAACTAAGTCCTATAGGGCCCTAGTGCTCCTGGATGTGCCTCAGGAGCCACCACAAAGGAAACCTGCCAGTAGGCAGCCAAGTGATAAGGCTTCCTTCTCCCATCCCTGACTTTCCTATCCCTATTCCCAATTCAACCAGAACAGTTATATTTTTATCTGTTTTAGATTTTGATGCTCTGCATACAATTTTAAAATAAAATAAAATAAAATAAAAATGGTGTATTACTACTAAGCATTTAAAAATAAAAGAATGTTCCCAGCACCTTGGGTGGCCAAGGCAGGAGGATTGCTTGAGGCCAGTAGTTTGAGACTAACCTCAGACATAGTGGACCATGTCTCCACACACAAAAAATTTTTTTTAACTAGCCAGGCATATGCCACCAGATACTCAAGAAGCTGAGATGGGAAGATCTGCTTGAGCTCAGGAGTTTGAGGCTGCAGTGAGCTGTGATAGCACCACTGTATTCCAGCCTGGGAAACAGAGGGAGACAAAACAAAAACAAAACAAAACAAAAACACCAAAAACTAAGAATGTATAGAATCATGTAATTTTAGAGCTGGACAGAACCTTAGAGAACCAATGATTTTATTTTACAGATGTTAAAAGAAGGCACAATGAGAAGAAAGACTTATCCAAGTTTATACAGGTAATTAGGAACGAGAATTGGATCCTAGGTCTCTATGCCCAACACAAAAGCCTTATTCCTAATTCAGGAACCATTCATTCACTCATTCAGTAAATATTTATCAAATGCTACTGTATGCCAGGCAGTGACTGAAGAACTGAGACATCAAGAAACAACCACAACAATGAAAACCCTGCCCCCATGGTACTTACAGTTTAGTAAAGGAAGATAAATAATAAATACAACAAATGAGTAAAGAATACAGTATATTAGCAAGTGATAAAGCAAAGTGGGGAGATGGGGCAGCAGAGTGGAGGGAGCAGGATTAGAGGTTACAATTGATGAATTTCCTCAAAGATCACTACCCATTCAGTCTTTATGTGCATATGTGCATTTGTGCTATAATTCATTAATTCAGGCTCACCAATTCAGAAAAGGAAATAATCTAATGGTAAATCTGCCTGAAATTTCCCAGGACTCTATCTATTCTTTTAATAGCATCCAAAGTAAATCAGTATAACAAGCAGAATGTTAAAACTATTTGGTAAAAATGTTAAACAGCACCTTAGAAGCACATACAAACATGATATTAATTGCTGCACTTGGCTCCACAACAAGCCAAGAATGTGACCAAAAAGAATTAGAAGTGAGGACCTAGTTGCCCTATTCTTCTGGGTAATACTGGATAAGATGATTAAGTTCTCTGAGCCTGAGTTTCCTTATCTATAAAATAAGAGGGCAGGGTAAGATATTCTCTGAGGTTCTACATTATCATTTGAATATCAAAGCCCCCTAATGTGCTAAAAGCATTATGTAATATCTCAGTAGTCATATCAGCATTACGATTTGAATCCAAAGTAGCCCTAATAATAACACATTACATTTATAGAGTTCTCCAGTTTTCAATGTGTTTTCATATTCATTATTCTCATCTGACAAGTAACAGAACAGGATTTTTTTTTCATGTTCTAATAAAGAAGGCTGGCCCTTCAGTCAATCCAAGGTAATACGAAGCTTCCTGCTCTCTAGGGCGTACACTCTGATCCAAACGTGGCTCCAGCCAAGGAAACCAACAGGCATTTCACAGAGAGACTCACAGTTAGGGGTTCCATTCATTAGGGTTAAGGATGCCAAGAGTACATGAGATACCATTTCGTGGGTACAGGGAGTTTTCAAATGAAGTACTTCAGACACTCAGGCATCTGCCCCTATACTGGTGATGAGCGTAGGGATCAAGGATGAGAATGTGAACTTTAATAATTCTTGCCATCCTAAATATGTGTCAAGAGCCTTTTAAAAGTCTGTATCTTTTCATCCAGGAATCCTAATCCTAGAAATCCTTCCTGAGAAAATAATCAGAGATTTGACCAAAGATTTAAGCACAAAGATGCTGATCATAGCATAATTTTTGGTAGCAAAAACCTGGGAACAACCTAAATTTCCAAAAATAATCACATAAATTATGGCATATTCAAATAATACAATATTATTTTTAAATGTTAAATAGTTACTTTATAATATTTAATAATATAGATAAATGTTCCTAATATAATTGTAGGTGGAAATATGAATATAAAGCAAACATACTATCTATAATGTCTCATATTTTTAAAAAATACGTGTAGAAAAAAATATTTAAAATGTACTACAATGGGCCGGGCATGGTGGCTCACGCCTATAATCCCAACACTTTGGGAAGCCAAGGTGGGTGGATCATTAGAAGCCAGGAGTTCAAGATTAGCTTGGCCAACATAACCAAATTCCATCTCTACTAACAAAGAAATACAAAAAACAGCCAGGCGTGGTGGTGCGTGCCTATAGTCCCAGCTACTTGGGAGGCTGAGGCATGAGAATTGCTTCAACCCAGGAGGCAGAGGTTGCAGTGAGCTGAGATCGTGCCACTGGACTCCAGTCTGGGTGACAGAGAAAGACCTTCCCTCAAAAATAATAATAATAATAAATAAAATAAAATGTATTACAATGGTATAAGTGGTTTTCCCTAAGTTGTGAAATTACAGATGATTTTGGTGTTCCACAATTCTACAATAAGCATGCACACTTTCTATAACATGAAATTTAATATTATTTTTAAAAATTCCTGTCCTACCTACCTCACAGAGGTAGACAAAAAAACAATATAAAGATGAACTTTCTAACAGTAAGAACTATCCTAAAATGGAATCTTTGGGGAGAGAGTTCAAGCTAGCAGTATGTGACCACATGGCCCCTGATTAGGTTAGACTTTAGAGACCTGGAATTCTACAGCCCCCTGTGAAATATCTCTACCCACAGGATATGTTACCCCATCCTTCCTGCCTAGTACCCTGATGCTCAGTGGTACATACTATTGGGGATAAAGCAAGTAGTCAGTGGCCAAGAAATAGAGATCCTCCAGGGGAACAACCCTAGCAGTCAGTGGCCACTATGCCATCACCAGCTTGGCCACTATGCCATTACCAGCTTCTAACACCACAAGTAGTAAAAGCCCCTCTGTCCAGCAAACATATTGCTAGGACCTCTGCTACTGGTTCTAGGACACTGTGCTCATGGACTTCTCTGAGGACCTAAAGTGGTCCAAAGGCTTCACTTTGCAGCTGTGGTCCCATATATACCATGGGAAAGGAAAGGAGGAGTCAGACTGTCAAATACAACCATCAGACATTTTATTCTTGACCCACCATTGGGTTTGGCCCACCAAGTATTTTAAAAGACAATATAGTAGGGATTTGGCTTGGTCACAATATAATATGAGCATCTTAACTTATACCTATATCCCTGCAAGCACCTAAAGTTGAGACAGGAAAAGTGAGAGGCAAAGTGACTTGCTGAAAGCCATACAGCAAGTTATCAGCAAGCTAGGTTTAGAACCCAAGTGTCCGGGCTTCCAATTCCATGTGTTACATTACAGAATCCCTAGCTCCTCAGGGACCCTAGACCCCTGATATTAGGAGGACCCCAGACCCCTGATATTAGGAAGGACCCCAGACTCTTCTACCTCCTATGGTTCTCTTTGCCCAAGACTGCAGGACACTTTAGTTATTAAGTTGTCAGTGACTGAGACATGAGGAAATATGAAGTTCATACTTGTAGTTAGGAGTAACTGACAGCAAGCAAACAGAAAAAGACAGGACATCCTTGGAACATATGGGTATATTGGGTACTCTAGACCCAAAATTTTATACAGGAAGTGAAATAGCATCTAATGCTAAGTAGATCTATGATACAAGTGAATATCCATATTCCTCACCAGAGGAGAGAGGTAGAGATACTTCATGGGTATCAGAAGAGGCTGGAGCAATGGACAAATGGGTGTTAGAAAAAAATCAATTGCTACCTTGGCTTCTTGGTCCTCCTTAGCCTGGCTACAGATTTCCTCTCATCAGAGAACTATTATAGGATAGAGCATAATAAATGTAATAAATTCTGAATGAAAGAATGTTTATTCTGGACTCTATTTAAGATGGTGACTCTATCACCTAGGAAAGGGGTGAAGAAGTCTGGTGTGTTATATTTTTCCTACCATTCCACATTTTCATATTATCAGAAAAGAAATGTTAAAAGATTAGAAAGTGGAGCAGGAGTAGGAAGACAAGAGTGGCAGAACAAGGAGAACAAGAGGGGAAGGTTGGGGTAGAGAAAAGACATAAGAATAGAAAAGCATTAATAGTAAACAAGTCAGATGACAATCCTGGAAACATAAGTTATTTGCTTTCTAATTTAAAAAGGAAAGTAGACTTCATTATTCAGACTTCTATTCACTCACCAACCTGTCTTCAGCTCCCTCCCCGGTCTGATGGCTTCCAAGATAATGAAATATCAAGGTAAATCAGGCAAGAGTATTTGAGTGTGGACAGAAAAATCTAACTCCCCTGAGCCCCACCTGTTGCACTGGAACACTCTGAAATGCCATGAGTCTTCTCAGCTGGGAAGACTGCTAAGAATGGTGAATTAATTTGGGCATTTCAGCACAGAGAAGCTGAGGTGCCACCTCACTGCATGAATACAGTATGCTTCCTCTGGATCACCAGGTATGCCTAGGCATCACAGGCAGCATGACTCCTGACAGATGGGGCAGCCCTTGGGGGAAAGGGAGAGCCAATGAGCCAGAAGGGAGCAATGACACAAGGGATATCCCAAAAGTGCAAACACAAAGCAAAGGCCAGCCTTTGGGTCAAATCCATAGCTCCGTGGGACCCTGTCCAACTGGCAGCAGATGGCTGTTCTATTCTAGACTTGGCCATTCCTCTTAGAAAACCTCTTTGGTAATAGGGTTGTCAGTCCCTTTCTCAGTCTAATGAATGCTCAGACATCAAAAGGACATGCAAGCAAGAATGTCACCAATATTTTCAGCAATATTTGAAAATCAGAAGGAACAGTTAGTTACTTGTTTTATTTGGAATTAAACATGTTTATTACAGAGGAAAGAGCCCCAGAAAAACCTTTCTAATAAAACAGGCAGTATACTATCTAGCCTGGTTCCTCCTTTCCACCTCCAGTCTAACAAAGAAGAAGAAAGCTGAATGGGAAGAGGTCTAGCAAATGAACTGAGTCCAGTATGGTGGGTTCAACAGGGAAGTTAGAATAGCACGTTTCAGACCAAAAAAGAGGGGTCAAAGAAAACCCAAGCCACCTTGCACTCTAAACATTCCTCTCCTTGTGGGCAAGACATCAATATCCCAGGATGCTAACAAGGCCATCTGGGATAGAGGAAAAGACGGTGCATGGTGAGTCAAGATTATCTGGGTTGAAGGCCCTGCTCAGCTATGCAGCATACTTAGCCTCTTTGAGTTCCAGTGACCGCATCCCCCACCACCGCCCACCCAACTGTAAAACAGAGACAATAACATGTACATAACTTATTATTACTAATGGCAGAAATAAACAAGACAGTGTACATGTAGAATGCTAGGTAAGGAAGCCCTCAATGTCAGTTTCCCATGCTCTGCCCAAACCCACACACAACCATTTCTTTGAAAAATGGTGATCAGTCTTTTTTTCTCTCTCTCTCACTCTGTTGTCCAGGCTGGAGTGCAGTGGTATGATCATCGCTCACTGCAGCCTTTAACTCCCAGGCTCAAGAGATCCTCCTGCCTCAGCTTCCCGAGTAGCTGAGACCACGGGGACACGCCACCATGACCGGCTTGATGATCAGTCTTACGGCCCCTTTCTAGTGTTCCTTCAGTCTTACACTGGAGAAAGTAAGTGCAAAGGCTGAGATATGAACCACCGCCCAAGGTCAGACCACCCACTGCTCAAGGCAGGCTCCGAGTCACTGTACTTCTGCTGAATTGTGGCCAAAAGCATTACAAATAAGTTTTCTGTTTCCTCACAATTTGGTTTCTCCACCAATATTTATTATAAACATTTTTAAACACACAGAAAAGCTTAAACATACAGAAAAGCTTAAACATACAGAAAAGCTTAAATAATTGTACAATGAACACTCATATTCCTACTACCTAGATTCTATAGTTAACATTTTTCTGTATTTGCTTTAATCACAAATCTAGCCATCCCTCTCTCTATTCACCAATCTTTTTAAATGTATTTTAAAATAAGTTGTAGATACAAGTGTCCTTCACATATGCTGATGAGTCTTTCCTCCAATTTTTAAAATTGTGGCAAATATACATAACATAAAATTTACCATCTTAACCATTTTTAAGTGTACAGTTCAGTGGTGTGAAGTATATTCGCATTGTTCTACAACCATCACCACCATCCATCTCCAGAACTCTTTTCATCTTGCAAAACTAAAACTCTGTACCCATCCCAGGATCATACAGTATCTGTCTTTTTGTGACTAGCTTATTTTGCTTATCTTAAGGTCCTCAAGGTTCATCTATGTTGTAGTATATGTCAGGATTCCCTTCCTTTTTAAGACGGAATGATATTCCATTGCATGTATATATCACATTTTGTTTATCGTCTATCCTTTGATGGACACTTGGGTTGCTTCCACTTTCTGGGTATTGTGAATAGTGGTGCTATGTACATGGGTATGCATATATATCTTCACGATTCTGCTTTCAACTCTTTTGGATATATATCCAGAAGTGGAATTACTGGATCATATGGTAATTCTATTTTTAATGCTCTGAGGAACTGTCATGCTGTTTTCCACAGCAGCTGCACTATTTTACGTTCCCACCAATAGTGCACAAGGGTTCCAATTTCTCTACATTCTGGCCATCACTTCTTATTTTCTGTTTGGTATAGTAGCCCTTCTAATAGGTGTTGGGTGGTATCTCATTGTGGTTTTGATTTGTACTTCTCTAATGATTAGGGATGTTGAGCAACTTTTCACATAATCTTGGTCATTTGTATATTATCTTTAGAGAAATGTCCATTCAAGTCCTTTGCCCTTTTTTAAAATTGGGCTGTTTGGTTTTTGTTGTTGCTGAGACCTTGTAGATTTATAGCAAATTTGAAGTCGGGTTAGGTGGATCTTGCAACTTCATTCTTCTTTTCCAAGATTACTTTGGATAGTCACAGCCTTTTATGTTTCCATATAAATGTCAGAATCAGCTTATCAACTTCAACCCCCAAAAAAGTCTCTTGAGATTTTGATTGGGGTTGCTTTAAATCTACAAGTCAACTTGGGAAGACCTGACAAGTTAACAACATTGAGTTTTCCAATCTGTGAGTGTGATATCTCTCTCCAATTAATTGGGTCTTTAACTTCTCCCAGCAGTGTTTTGTAGTTTTTATGTACAAGTCTTGCACGTTTTTGTTAAGTTTATACCTAAATATTTTGTACTTTTTGATATAACTGTAAAATTATAATCGTAAAAAAACTGCTTTTTAAAAATTTTCCAATTCTTTGATGCTGCTATATAAAAAAAAAGTTGATTTTTGAACGTTGATTTTGTACCTTGCTAAATTGCCATTTTGGTTCTAATAGTTATTTTATAGATTTGTTAGATTTTATAATTCAACAATCATATCATCTGTGAATAGAAACAGATTTACCTCTTCTTTTCTGATTTTAAGCCTTTTATTGCTTTTTCTTGCTTTATGGCACTGGCTAGAACCTCCATCCAGTATAATAGTGAATAAAAATGGTGAGAGGACATACTTGCCTCATTCTGATCTAAGAAGGAATACATTAAATTTTTCACCATCAATTATCATGTTAGTGCTTTATAAGTGCCCCTTATTAAACTGCAGAAATTCCCTTCCATTTCTAATTTGCTAAGTTTTTATCACAAATAAATGTTAAATTTTGTCAATGATTTTTCCACAACTGTTGAAGTTATTATTATGGTTTTTCTCCTTTATTTTGTTAATACATGATGAATTAAATTGATTTTCAAGTGAAAAAGCAAGCTTTCATTCCTGAGATAACATAGTTTGGTCATGATATATTATCCTTTTTAAATATTAATGGATTTGATTTGCTAATATTTTGTTGCAGATTTTTGTGTTTATGTTCATAAGGGATACTAATCAATAATTTTCTTTTTTGTAATGTCTTTGGTATCAGAATTATGCTGACTTCATAAATTTGGAAGTGTCCCCTCCTTTATTTTCTGAGTTTGTGTAAAAATAGTACTATTTCCTTACTTAAATATCTGATAAAGTTTATTAGAGAAACCACCTAGGCCTAAAGAGTTCTTTGTGGAAAAGTTTTTGATAATAAATTGATTTCTTTACTAGACATACAGATATTCTGATTTTCTATTTCAATTTCCTCTTGTGTTTTTGTACACTGTAGTTTTTCAAAAATTAATCCATTTTATCTAAGTTGCTGAATTTATAGGCATAAAGTTATTTGTAATATTTCCTTAGTCTCCTTTAATGTCTACATAATCTGTAGTGACATACCTACTTTCATTTCTAATATTTGCATTTTGTGACCTTGTTTTTCCTGATAGTCCAGGTAGGGCTTTATCAATTCTGTTGATATTTTCAAAGAATTGCTTTTGAACTTTTATTTTTCTCTCCTTTCTATTTCATTAACTTCTGTTCTTTCCTTTATTATTTTCTTCTTTCTATTTACTTCAGGTTTATTTTTACTCTTTTTCCAACTTCTAAAGGTAGAACCTTAAGCAGTTGAATTTAGTCCTTTTTCTTTTCTAATATATTCATTTAAAGATATAAATTTCCCTCAAAGTACTGCTTTAGCTGCATCCCACAAACACTGATGTGCTCTACTTTCATTATTGTTCGAAGTTTTTCAAATCTTTTTATTTTGAAGTAAATTCAAACCTAGATAAAAGTTGAAAGAACCACACAAAGAACTCCTGTTTACAATTAACTCATATTCCCAAATCTCAACGTTTCACTAGCTTTGCTCGCTATATCCCCTTCCCTCTATTTGTTTTTTGGTTTATTTGTTTGTTTTTTGAGACAGAGTCTGGCTCTGTTGCCCAGGCTAGAGTGCAGTGGTGCGATCTCAGCTCACTGCAACCTCCACCTCCCAGGTTCAAGCGGTTCTCCTGCCTCAGCCTTCCAAGTAGCTGAGACTACAGGCACGTGCCACCATGCCCAGCTAATTTTTTATATTTTTAGTAGAGACGGGGTTTCGTCGTGTTAGCCAGGATGGTCTCCATCTCCTGACCTCATGATCCGCCCGCCTCGGCCTCCCAAAGTGCTGGGATTACAGGTGTCAGCCACCGTGCCCGGCCTTTATTTTTTTCTAAACTGTCTCTGATCAAGTTGCCAAACTTGATGCCCCATTATTCTAATATGTCAGTGTGTTTGCCACCAAAATTGACATCACTGTCTACATAACAATTCAACCATCAAAACTAAAAAATAAACACTGATATGTAACTTTCAAGAAGCTTCAGACTCTAATTTAGGTTCTACCAATTGCCCCAGTAATGTCCTTTACAACAAAAGGATCCAGTTCACAACTGTACATTTCATTTAGTTGCTATGTCTCTTTAGAATCTTTCAACCTGGAACAGTTCCTCAGTCTTAACTTCCAGGACCTTGACACTTGTGAAGAATGTGCCTGCTTTTGGTCACTCTCCATTTCCTTCAGGTAGTTTTTTTCACATTTTGTCTGAGTTTATAGTTGATTTCTGTAGGAGGACTGGTCTGATAGAAACTACTGCACCACTACCAGAAATGGAATTGAGATGAGATTCAATTCTCTTCTGAGCACAGATCCCGCATGAAAAACCCGCTTCTCTCTGTTTGATTAGCATGGCAGATCTCACATTTACAAAACAGGAACAGCTATATTATACAGCCTCATAACATTTCATAAAACTTTTCCAAATATCTACTTCATTATTATAATTAAGATGATACCGACACAGAATTAAAAGATCAAATAGTACAGAAAAGTATAAAATGAAAAGAAAAGGCCTTCCTGCCTAACATTAAAAGAATGATCTCATGAACAAAGTCTCTCTATTCTATGCTTGCCATATCAGTGATAAGAAAACTAGAGGAAACTTAGGCTGGAAATCAGAAGATATAAGTTTCCAGTCCTAATTCTACTGCTCCAAAAATGGCCTTAAATAAGCCACTTACTCATATTTGATACACAATTAGCACTTTTCTCAGCTGCTAGGAGTATATTGAATTGTTCTGTGCCTAACTTTCCTTATCTGAAAAACATACATAGCACAAACCATCTTTTCTATATGCCGCCTAGGTAGGAAACACAATGATTTAATAATGTATGTTTGAGTGTGCTGAAAGCACAATACAAATATAATAATACATCAGGTATTACACCTCTGGAAAAATCAAATGGAAATTAGAAGCCTTGGTTGGAACATAGAAGAATCTATGCTCTATTTAGTTTTATATTATTACACTATCTATACCTGCACTGTCCAGTGTGGTGGCTACTAGCCACATGTGGCTACTGAAATCTGAATTAAAATTAAATAAAATTAAAAATTCAGTCAGTCGGTTACTTTAACCATATTTCAAGTGCTAAGTAGCCACATGTGGTTATTAGCTATTGTATTAGACTGATACAGACCTTTTCCATTATCCTAGAAAGTTCTACTGGACAGCACTGATCCATACAATTTTATACTATGCATTCTCTTACTTGCCTGATTTTAATGTTATTGTTGTGGAACTAATACACAGCAGCTAGCCTGCCACTATAAAACAAAACAAATAAACCCAGCACTTTGGGAGGCTAAGGCAGGCGGATTACCTGGGGTCAGGAGTTCAACACCAGACTGACCAACATGGAGAAACCCCATCTCTACTAAAAAACAAAAACAAAAGCAAAAACAAACAAACAAACAAAATAATTAGCTGGGCACAGTGGCACGCACCTGTAATCCCAGCTACTCACGAGGCTGAGGCAGGAGAATTGCTTGAACCCAGGAGGCAGAGGTTGCAGTGAGCCGAGATCACACCACTGCACTCCAGCCTGGGCAACAAGAGTAAAACTCCACCTCAAAAAAACAAAAAACAAAAAACAAAAACTCAAAGGTGAAAAGAAATTGGTCTCCAGGTGATTAAGAGCTCTAGCCAACTAGAATGGTATTGGCCTTAGAACTTTGGAAGAACCCTTGGAACTGCTTCTCATTATACAGATTAGGAAAGTGAGGCTCAGAGAAAGCAAAGTCTCTGGTCCTAGGTCCCACAGGGAGTCAATATCAGAGATGAAAATGGAATCCTGGTATGCAGTAGCATAGGTTTTGCAGTAGGATCAGGGTTTTACTAGCAACTTTGTCATTTACTAATCACGTGACCTTGGACTAACGACCACCACTGAGTCTCACTCTCTTCAACTGCAAACGGAAGAATAATAATCCCTACTCTGCAAGACTGTCATGAGGATTAAAGAGATGGTGCCTAGAAAGTGCTTAGGAGAGAATCTGGCATCTACTGGGACTTGGTGTATGCTACCTGCTGTCATTATTAGCAAATACATTGCTCTTTCCACTGCATCACAGACCCTGATGAGGGAGGCTGTGGCCACCAGATAGATCATCATCATGGAGCTAGTGAGTGTTGTAAGGCACGGGGAAATTATGCAGCTTTACAAAATGTGCCAGGGGAGCAGAATGATAAATGCATTATACAGCAGTAACTACAGAACTGCTCCCAAAAGTCCCCATGCAACAGCAGAAATTTCACCTTGAGGGGTGCAAAGGGAAATGCACCATTTGCACGCCTCTGTGTTCTCACCCTAAAATAGGTGTCTGAGGAATGGAGCAATGCAGATTGAAAAAGATGCCTATATTTCTATGCCCCTCATGCTGAGACTACTGGAGGAGTCAGCATTCTGTTTTTGTTTCTCTCCCTCCAGAACTAATACATTATAACTCTGTTAGCAACCAATACAGCTATCTCATGACAGATCTCTCCAAGCCTGCTTCAGAGTAGATGGAGATGGAGCCCCCAAGGCTTCTCCAAGTGCCTGCTATGTGACTTAGCCCCTCATTCCCTGCCTAACAGGGTAAGACACACAAAAAATCTTAAGATACAGTGCCCACTCAGTAGCAACATATACTTTCCTCTGGAAGACCACCACACATGGGATAATCAGATGTTACAATACAATCAAATACTAATAGGTGATTCAAACTCTGAGTTAAGATTTCCGTTCAATTCAATAACAAATCCCAACCATTTGCTTTCTGATAGGCACTGTGTCATGCACTAAAGTTACAGCCACAATCAAGATATGGTGCCTATCCTCAAGTAGCTCATACTTGAAATGGCAACTGAAGTTGTCCAGAAAAGATTCCACTGGGCAAGCTCTAATCTGAGCCTTGTAAAGTGGTACATTTTGGATGTGCAGGTAAGGGGGCTAGGAATGAGATACTCCAAAACTCATACTTCCCGCCACTGTAAACAGAAACAGAACACAAACCCAAGAAAGAATCATGAGGAATTAAAACATCTTTTCTCAAGTCTTCAAAGGCATGCTTTACTGTACCAGCTTTAAAGTGGTGGTTTCTAGGGAAGGAAAGCCTCTTGGGTGGCTCTGTTTACCTCCACTAGTTTGTGCCCAGACACCAAGGGAGGGAAGAATGAGCTGTTACAGGCTCTGCCAGAAGACTGGCACATCTGGACTTCTAGGAGTTGGGGTGAGCACCAAGCCACAGTCACCTCTTTGCCCTTCAACCTGGAAAACCACCATCCAGTCACCTGTATGTCCTCTAGTCCACACTGCTGCCACTATGTTAGCTCTGGTATTTCCCAGCTTTGTCCTTAAATAAGTTACCTCCCCAGGTTTTGGTTCCCTCATCTACAAAATAAGGATAAATTATTATACTGCTTCATGGGAATGTGTTAAGAATTAAAAGTGATGCTTATAAAGTGCTTAGCATAATACATGGCATGTAGTCAATGTTCGACAAACAGGAACTAACATTATTATTACCTCTTTTAAAAAATCCAATTGTTCCTAATCCATTCTTTTTTTTTTTTTTTTTTCTGAGACGGAGTCTTGTTCTATCACCCAGGCTGGAGTACAGTAGCACAATCTCAGCTAACTGCAACCTCCATTTCCCAGCTCAGCCTCCCAAGAGGCTAGGACTACAGGTACACATCGCCATGCCTAATGTTTGTGTTTTTTGTAGAGACAGGGTTTTGCCATGTTGCCCAGGCTGGTTTCATGTGATCCACCTGCCTCAGCCTCCCAAAGTGCTACAAGAAATTCGTTTCCGAAAAACCAATGTAAGAAATCTATAAACAAAACGTACATTTGTTTATTGCTTCATAGTTGATAAAATGCTTTCACATCCCTGACATCATTCTGACAACTTACAAAGCTAAATCCAATAAGAATTATTATATCTATTTGACAGATGCAAAATCTGAGACTCAGAGAAGTAAAAGCAGCTGTCCAAAGATCAAGCCGCAGTGTAGTCTCTTGATTCTTCCAAGTCCTTCCCCTATTTGTTGCTCCCTCGTGCAGACCCGATCGTCAAATGATATGCATGCTCCCCACGTAATTAATAAGAAATCTTATCAGTGGGGACCACAGTGAAATAAAACCACAGAGAAGAAACTAAAAAATTACTGAATCACCTTTTTGAAGCGAGGGACTTTCCTCAGCCAGTCTTGGGAGTGCTGCTTACAGTGACATAAACATTTTGTTCAGCAGCCATGAGCAACCTTCCCTAGCCAGCTGGGTCTCCTGAAGTGGCACATGGGGAGGCCCCTGTGGGAGCCACAGTAGCCTCCCAGCACCTGTGAGTGGGACCCCACTCTACCTCCTACTTTGCTTTCCACTTATACTTCTGGTTCCTCTGAAAAGCCAGAGGCCTCACAATTAATTATTGTAGCAGTTGCTCCTTTTGCAAAGATATCTCTGATTCCTTCCATTTCTGCTACCCATAGCCAGTCTCCCTGAGTCTTGGATGACACCAGACATCCAGTAAAAAGAGCTCTCTTCCAAACAGTAATCTTCAGATGCAGGAGGTGGTGGCCACCACTGGCAGTGTCCCCACAGACAGAACCACTATATCACAAAGGGAATTATGTAACCATACAAAGATTAACCTCCCCCTTCTAGTCACAATTCACCAGTCCCTCTAACAACTGGCTGGGGATCTTGGGGGTCTAAAGGCTGCATCCCAAGGGAATGGTGTGGTTTTGCTTCCCTGAAAGTGACAAGAGGAATGTTTTCTCTTTATCTACCTCAAGAGGTGCCTACCAGGCAAGGCCTCAGTGGTTCAGGACATTTCAGGCAAAGAAGAGGCTGGAGCCAGACGGCAGTCATCTTTGGGGAAGATGGGGAACTACAGGGCTCGCTCCTAAGGCAGCTATCCAATATAAAGTACCCAATGGAGCCTGGCAAAGAGAGGCTTAATTCAGGTCAGTGTAAACAACAAGGAGGTCCCATTGGTCAGAAAGCTTCCAAGCAAGAAGCTCCAAGGAACAGCAACCCTTGGAATCAAGCAGATGGCCTTATATAGGGGAATGAGCCACTCAGAACAAAGTCCCAAACAGTGACTAAGGATCCAGGACACTGAGTCCAATCCCTGCGCAATGGGACTGGCAAAACCCATACCCTGCTCAGCATAGGGTTTTTGTGCAAGTAGAACTGGGAGAGAGATCTAGCTGTCTGGATGTGGCCAAAGCAGGAGGGAGAAAGTGTTTAGGAAAGGCAAAAGGGAGGTCAGGGCTCATCACATCCCAGAGCCAGGCCACCAACAGCCCAACAAATTCCAGGCCTAAACCCAAGGGCAGGGGAGGTAAAGGGAGGGTGGAAAAGTGCTTCAGGGACAGCTGCTCAACAGAGCCAAGGAAGGTGGATAATGACACTACGCAAAGAAAAACTCAACAGAGAAAGTAAGAAGAGGCATGTTTGTAAGACTAGGTGGCAGGAATACCAAGATGATTATAAGACATCATCCTTGTTAGCTACTGAGAAATAGGTAGTAGTTGTCCAAGGAGCCAAAGGCAAAGGGAAGCAGAACCAGCATGCAAAGACCCAGAAGTATCAAAAAACCTGATGCATTATTGGTTAGGCATAGATAAACTGCAGAATACAGGGAGAGACTGGTAGAAGGTGAGGCTGGGTATTTTGACAGAAGCTGGATCAAGAAGAGCTTCTTATGAAAATCCAGAGATTTTAGACTTCATTCAGGATAGGAAGCCGTCAGAAAGTAAGGGCACACATTCATCCCTATAACAATCATTTGCTCAGCACCTGCTGTGTGCTGGGTGCTATGCAAGGTGATGAGGAGACAGTGGTGAACAAGGCCAACAACAGTCCTGGAGCTTACACTCTAATGACTCCATTCTTTGCACACTGGCTGTGCAGTTTATGGGTTGTGTGTTTCTCCTACCCATTGAGAATAGAGGCTGGGTCTTAATCTCCACTATATCTTAAATGCTTGGCTAAGTTTCTTTCACATAGAAAGTCGCTATCTAATAAGTGTGTATTATGGGAATAAATGTTTTCTGTATTTTCTAAGAGTCTAAAGAAAAAGAGCATAGTGCAATCAGATTTCTATTTCAGTACATCACTTTGGCAACTGGTTGTGGGCAACTGGGGTGAAACCAAACTAGAGACAAGGGCTTACCAACTAAGAAGCTGTCACTGTATTAGGCACTAGATAATGAGGGTCCAAACTAGAAGAATAGTGGTAGAAATGGAGGTAGTTTTAGTCCCCTGACAAGCCAATTCATGTGCAGCTCATTCAGCCTTCACAGACCTAGAATTGCTCTCAGCAGACCACTGAAGCCTCCTTTAAATCCTCATTGCCTTCTGTTTTCACTCTAAACCTCTGCATGATTTACTTTCACCCTGGGACAGCCCAGTTTTCAAGGTCAAATGCAACAAAAGACAGCTGGTCAGCTCCAGGGTGACCCTGGGCAAAGCCTGGGGCGGTTGTACCTCTGCAGAGCATGGTAGTAACATATGAGGTCACTAGGACTTTAAATCAGTGCTGATGAATTTCCTCTGCTGCTGAAAAAAAAGCAAGCCAGAGATATCCTTGCTGTCAATGCTGATGGCTGCCTCAACAGGAATTCATACTCTGATGCTGCAGGGAGATTGGCTGGATTATCAAGCATCTAGGCTCCACTATCTTCACTGGTTCTAGTTCTAAGAAGTGTTTACAAGATCCATGGTGGTTCTAGGTAGCTCCTAAGATCTCAAGCGATTAAGACAAAACAGCAGCTCTGACCCATACTTTTAACAAAACCTGTACCCGAAGCAGCTCATATGTCATGAACCTAAAAAACAACTTTTTTTGTACATGTACAGCACATTACAGTCTACAAACGCCCTTATATATACTATCTGCATTTTTCTATAACTCTATGGGCAAGATAAAGCAGATATTATTATGTGCACTTTGTGAATGAGAAAGCTAAGGCTTGGAAAGGTTTTGAATGACCCAAAATCATACAGATTGTACAAACAGAACAGAAAGTCCAACCCAAGTCACGCTCTACGTTTAAGACTCTGTCCATCAGACCTCCAACTCCAGCCAGCACGAGTTTACTAGAAGCATGAATTAACTTACTGTCCCAATACTTACTGAGGCTATTCCTTTCCTTGTTGCTTTTCCTGATATGACACTGAGGCAGAGCCTGTAAAGGGCCACCAAGTCTCCATTAGACCTGACTACCATCCAGTGATACCCAAAGCCAGAGCCCAGGGTCACACCCTGATGAGAACTGTCCAGAGAAGAAGCTGTTGGTGTTCAGGGCTAGCAATGAGAAAAATGAGGGGTCTGAGAGCCGGGTTCAAGTCCCTGTTCTGCCATGTACTGTGACTTTGAGCAGTGACAGCTTTCTTTCTCAACTTCAGTTTCCTCACCCCCAGAATGAGGACAGCAGCATCTGCCCTTCCCGCCACTCAGGGGTCAGAGCCAATAATGGTGTCTTCCTTCTCCCATTTCCAGGCAGTCACCTGACAGTGCTGGAAGAACCCATTACAGAGTAAAGTGAACTAGTCCCTCCCAGGTAGCCTCCCTGCCCTAATCTCATCACTCCAGCAGATAATTTTCCTTCCAATCTAACCACGAAGATTTAAGCCAACCAACATGAGCTCTCACACTTTTTTCAGCACAATTCTATTATTACTTACTTTGTACCAAACCTTGCCCTAATTATACAAAGATAAATAATGTCTGTCCTCAAAGAACTTCAAGTTTGATTTAGAAATAGGCATGTTAATAATTACTACATTACTAATAAATACCACATTGCAGTATTGGGCAGCAAGTTTGACTTTTATTTGTGAATTCTTGGTGCCTGTGCATGGCCCACAGTAGGATAAAGTAAACATCTGTTGAATAAATAAATAAAACTAACATAAAACCTGATGACAAAAGAGGTACACAGTTCAATGAAAGCACTCTCTTCTCCACCTCAAAACTTCTCTCTTCACATATCCCCTTGTTTCTTTACTCCAGCACTGAAAGAAAGAAAAGGTCTCCTTTCTTCTTGTCAGAACTGGCCCCTTCACAGTGACCTCAATCCTCTCTCTCATCTTCTTGGGGGCCTTGCTCCAATTCTTCTCCTTTCCTCTTGCAACTTTACTCACTCAGTTTTCTTCCTCTCTCTAAATCTCTCTTTCAGCCTTCTGACGTGCTCTGGTTTCTCCATGCTTACAAAACAAACAGTAACCAATCTCTCTATTCAAGGTACTGGGCTTGTTTTCATGCTCTTTGACCAGAATCTCCTGGAAGGGCTACTCACACCCACAGCCTCTATTTCTCATCACCCGCTCACTCATTTGCTGTGCTCCTGCTTTAGCTTCTACCTTCCCACTGAAGCTGCTCTCTCAAGTGCCACAGCCTCCCAGTCACCAAATCCAGTAGTCTTTACTCCATCTCCAACCTCCGTGACCTCCCTGTTAGCGTTTCCTTGGCTTCTGTGACTCAGCAGTACCTGGCTTCCCTTCTCCCTCTCCTGTCAATACTCAGTCTCTATCTGGCTGCTCTTCCTCTGCTTTCCTCCTCAAGTTCTTGCCAAGATTCCCCTGTTACTTTACTTTTGCTCCCTTGAGCACTAATTTGACATCAAGCCTTCCAATTCAGGAAGGCTTTCCAGTCACAACCTCCCACCCTAGCCCCCACCCCCACCCAGCAGAACCCAGCAAAACCACAGGGATTGAAAATGCCAGAAAGAAAGGGTCACCAAGACACGGGAAGGGACAGGATCAACATATTTTCATTGCCAGACTCTCTTAAAGCCTTTGTCACATTCTGTTTGTCCTACAGGGAACTTAGCCCTGCTACTAACTCACAAGCTCCTAAGGCAGAAACTGTTCCACTCTTCTCTGCTTCCCCTACCCTAATGCTGTGTTCAGACAGATAGGCATACTCAAGCATCTATTGGATTAAAGAAGAAAAGCCAAAGGTGAATAGGCACGAAAGTACTTGGTAAACTGTGAAGTGCTAAAGGACTATGAGACTCATCATCAATAGCCTTTGTAAGAAACTTCAGGGCTGTTCTGAGCACCATATAGGCTCACAGCCTATCTGTGCTGGCTCTGCAGGGCATCTGATGACCAAATGCCTGAAAACATGGAAATGCCTATTCCCAAACTGGCCTGGGATTGAGAAGCACAGACTATGGGGAAGAAGAGAAGAAGCAGTGAAAATGGGTACATACCTCCAAAACCATTACTTTCATTCATTTTTCACTTATTCAGTCAGTAAACATTCACTAAGTACCCACAAGGTGCCAGGGACTATTCTAGACACTGGGATCACAACTTTGAACAAGACAGAGAAGGCCCTTGCTCTCTTGGATTTTCTATTTTAGTGAGAAAAGAGAGATGATAAATATAAATAAGAAAATAGTGGGTGGTAGTAAGTGCTTGTTTCACCATCTCTCTCAAACATGACAGCTCTTCCTCTCTTCTGAGTGTTCATGGGGACAAATCCGGTCCACCACTTTGAGGTTTGTTTTGTGTTATTTCTCCCCCTGCTATGTCAGCAGCTACAGCACAGATGTGCTAGATTTTTAAATCTCCAGTGAAACCATCTTTGGGTGCACACTACTACCCATTTTAAGCACTGCTATCCCATTTCCAGAGGGCTTTAAAACACTGGACCCTGCTACAACTGAAAGGTTTGGCCTGCCTGGGCCCATGGTCTCAGAGACCTCATGCTTCTCTAGGAACAGCAATGATGCTGTGGGTACTTACCAGAGAGCCACTTGGGAATGCTTTTTCAGGTTGTGTTCAATTCTGTCAGAGCCCTCCGGACTCAGCTGATTGCTGGTGGTAGATTTCTGTGTTATTTAGGGCACCAAAGTCCCACAGTCTTGACACAAACTTAAAATTAGAAATGTATTAAATATAGGAAAGGAGGAAGGTCATTCAGGAAAGGCAGTCTTCCGAGGGAGCTGTAGGACAAAGACGCCCTGGAAACTTCCAGGTTCATTAATGGGTTTTACACAAGCATTCAAGTGGTATTTCTCCTTCAGAAATAACACTGTGGAAAGTGTAGGGGCCTGGCTCAAACCTCAGCTAACACAGCTGAGTGAGTGACTCTGCAAACTAAAAATAGCTTCTTTCCCACTCATTCCGACAGATTGCACTTAGACCCTGTGCACAGGTTGATCCTTTAGCAGTTTTAGTCCTGCTGCAAATGAGAGCTGATGGCATTTGGGCTTGACAATTACCCAATCTCTGGTTTAACTTTTATTTCCACATTTCCTGCTCCTGCTCCAATGGCACTGTATGTGCACACACATGCACGTGTATACTGAGTTCCCTGGCTGGGATTTGGTGCTCCTGAACCAAACGTGGGCAGAATTTAAACCAGGAACATGACTCAGGACTGTGGCTGCAGACTGAGCCCAGAGAAAGTCCTTAGAAACACTGGGAGTCAAGCTGTTTGCCTTGGATCTTCTCCTAATTCCTAGCTAGCCTCTCTGGCCTCAGTTTCCTGAATAACAAAATGGGAGTAACCATGCCTATTCTGGCCTATTTCACAGCATCATGCTGGGATCGAATGAGACAATGTATGTGAAGGTCATTTTCCTTCAGACAGTGATGGGACAGGCTAGACAGGCAGCCAGATTACAAAACTAGGTTCAGCCACTAGAATGGGTAGGCATCCTGATTGCATCACAAGTTAAAAGTGATCTAGACTCAATTTCAGTTTATGTTGTCCCTCGGCCTGATATCCTTCTATCTTTGCTAAACTCCTATGCATTTTTAAGAACCCAATTCAAATAACATTTCTTTTTTGTTAGTGTCTTCAGAATTGACCATTCCATCTTTAGTGCTCCTTTGGCCTTTTGTACATACCTCTAATAGCACTTTTCATCTATACAGTAGATATTAACTTACATACCTGGAAGTTCTTTGAGGGCAAAGACTGTGTATTTTTCATCCTTGTATCCACCTCCCCATCCACTTCCACTGTATGGCCAACACTGGTGCATGACAGGTGTCAACCAATGTTTATGGAATGGGCAAGAACTCAAAAGTCAAGAAGGAGGTAAATGTCAGAAAGATCCAGGAGAGCATAAAAGGTGGGACAGCACACAAACAGCCAGTGGTGGGGATGGTGGGCAAGAAATCCAAGAAGGCAGTGTCACTGAGGTCAGTCCTAGGCAATAAGGGCACAGCCATAGGGATGACAGTCAAAGCTGAACTGCAAGTTCTGGGAAGACCAGACAGGGATTTCATCTTGGAAACACAAAGAATTGAACAGGGAGCAGGAGCACTCTCTTGAGGTCCAGGGAATAAGGAACAGCAGCATCATACCAAGTCCCACAACGTAAACTGGAATAGGAGGGCTTGGGGACAAGAAACAAGGGCAGAGAATAGAGGCAGGGCAAAGAATCAGAGCAAGGCTGAAGTGGTCCTGAAGAAGCCTAGAACTTATAGGTTAGTTAACATTCCCAGGTCTGCCAAAGTTGAGTTAGCAGCTAGGGATTAGAGACCTTAGCTATGAAACTGACTTGGAAAGTAGAGAGCTGCTGGGGTATACATGTGCAGTCAAGCAGCAAACAAACCTGTTCACATACATCCTGCCCTGACATGCGCTTGGTGGGATTAATCCAGATCACTGTACTACCCACCCTGGAATTTTCCAGGAGTGCCTAGAGAGGCCCAGTATCTAAGGTAAAACTGACAGAGAATGAAACACAGAAGTTTTTACCACTGTAAGGACATTAAAGGAAGGCCTACAAGGTCTAAAATCTCAAATAAAGTGTTTCTCAGGCTAGAGAGGAGACATGGCTCAGAAGAAAAGAATTGAAACACTTAGGGCATTAGAGACCCTTATTCCCAGATTTCAAGAACCCAGCAAAGGGTTCCACCCAGGAAAGGGCACATAGAAAGAAGGACCTCAATTTTACTTTATCTATAGAGTATGTGACCTTCTTCAAGCACTTCAAGTTCAAGACCCAGGCTCACTGTTTACCTATTGTGTGATCAGTAGAGGCCAGTTGAGTTTACCCATTCTTAGCCTTAGTCTCCTTATTCATAAAGCAGCAATTGTAACACCTGCACACAGGTTTATCATGAAGACAAAATAATATCTGCAAAGCATTTAGCATATTGGCCTATAATAAGCACTAAATAACTTTGTGTTTCTTTGCTTTCTTTGGTTCCCAGGAAGGGATGGTTATACCACAGTCTAGCTCTGTCTACCTGTGTTTTCCTCTCCTGCTTGGCTATCCTTCTGGACCCTTCTTTGCAGACATCCTATCTGAGACACCAGACAATTCACTCCTCCTCCTGCTTATCCCTTGGACATTAAAGGCAACTAAGAAGAATTAAAGGCAGTTGGTCAGCTATGTGCCACACTCAGGTCCTCAAGGGTCAGGAAACATCAGCCTAGTCCAACACTGTTCCTGCACCTCCAGGTATCTCTGCACCTCTCTGGCCAAGCCCATGACCAAGGTAGCACCTAGTTTAGTGTGGCTCTTGTCTTCTCCAAGGTGAACCCACTCTTAGTAGCATATAGCTGCCTCCTGGCCTGGCTCTCTCTTGGCCTCGAGCAAATACATGCCTAGCAGGCCAGACCTGGATATCCACAGCTGGAGACAATTCCCAGACCCAATTTACCAGAGAGTAATAGCCTGGAGTCTGAACCTGAAATGAGATCAGAGCGTCTACACTCCAGCACCCCAGAGACTGGAGCTAGGAAGGAAGGAGCTCTAAAATGAAGCTGCCAGGGGGCTCAGGGCTCAAGCCCACTCCTGATAAGCTACGTAAAATTCACATCAATGTCAGGCTCTTAGACTAAATTTTGCACTGGTCATGTCTGTCACAGTGCTGCATACTGTGGCTACCACATGGCATTAAAAAATTTCAAACGGTAAGAAGAGAATGGAATCAACAGTTTCTGAGTGCCTACTAAGTCAAGAACTTTGCATGTTATCCTTACCAATACCAATACCTTAGGTATTATTATAAAGGGTATACTTATCTTGCCAATAGAACTAGAGACTCGGAAAAATCTAAGAATCCTCTGTTCCTCCACTACTATACTACCTGACCACAAAGTCTTAAATGATCTTGGAAAGACAAAGAAAAACTAGAGTGTAAAGCACTATTTACAGGCTCTCAGCACCTTAACTCACTAAGCAGACAATACTAGTTTAAATACTGCATTCCCTTATTCACTACTGGTAGAGCCAACTTCTGCCAAACACAATCTAAAGAAATATATCAAAAGTCATAAAGATGCTCCGGACCTTTGCCCTTGTCATTGCATCCCCAAGATCATATCTTCAGGAAAACAGTTCAACAGAGATTCACTAGTGGTGGGAAAAAAAAAAAAAAAGGATGATCTAAATGTCTAATATCCAAAGAATGGTTTGAGAAATCCCAGAACCTTCTAATCATGTAATGTTTACTGCATAGCCATTTTAAATGATCATTTTAAAGACCAAGAGGGAAAAAAACAAAGCATCTGTGATAAAATAAAGATTGAAAACAAAACATCATAAATGCTATTGGTACAACTTGTAGAAGTATGGAGATGTGTATACACAAAAAGGAATGTAGCTGTTTTAGGGTGGCAAGATTATGGAAATCTTCCATAATATTAAGTAGTTTCATTATTATTACATGTAAATTGTCTTTGTGGTATTGTTTAGTTCCTTTTCAACCCAAGAGAAAGAGAGAGAAAAAAAGATAGACACACTTAACCCAGCACTACGAAAAGGCCCAGGAAGACCAGGGCTGGGATGTTAAAGCAGAAATTGAGAAGCGTCCTACATACCCGGAAGGAGGAGGCCAGGCAGGGCCCTGGGGAAGGGAAGCCCTCTAGGTATGAAGAGGGTTGTCATTAGTCTGATGCTAATTACAGAAGTCTCACTAGCTTATTAATTTTTTTTGACTGACTCTGAATGAAGACTGAATCCCTTCAGTAAGCCAACTTGGGTTCAGAGGCACATTTCCTGTGTGGCCATCCTCATTCTTCTAAAAAATCTAGCCTTTTCTTTTTTTTTAAGGGTAACAGTAAAGTAAAATTTAGTAACAGAAACGCACACCCTGGAGAAATTAAGATTCCTGCCTTAAATGTAGAAATTCAAGCCATTTCAGAAAATCAAAGGGGTTTGAATAAGCAACTGAACTACAGTGTTTTCTGGACTGGGAAAAATAAACACGAGTATAAAATGTTTAGCTCAGTATTAAAGGCCCCCTTGATCAGGTTCCAGCCCATCTTTCTGATATTACCTCATAACTGTCCTGCCAGATACCCAATGCTCCAGCCAAACTGAACCACCAAGTAGTCCCCAAAATAGTTTCTTCACTTTCCAACCTCCATGACTCTTTTCAAGCTGTTGTGCACACTTAAAATTTCTGTCTTACAACTGCTTGCTCAAGTCTGACCCATCCTCCAAAGCACAGATCAGAGCCTTGTCATTTTCTTTTTTTGTTGTTTTTTTTGTTTTTGTTTTTGAGACAGAGTCTTGCTCTGCCCCCACCCCCCTCCAGGCTGGAGTGCAGTGGTGTGATCTCAGCTCACTGCAACCTCTGCCTCCTGAGTTCAAGCAATTCTCCTGCCTCAGCCTCCCAAGTAGCTGGGACTACAGGTGTGTGCCACCACGCCCAGCTAATTTTTGTATTTTTAGTAGAGACGGGGTTTCACCATGTTAGCCAGGCTGGTCTCGAACTCCTGACGTCAGGCAGTTCGCCCACCTCGGCCTCCCAAAGTGCTGGGATTACAGGCGTGAGCCACCGTGCCTGGCCAGCCTTGTCATTTTCTAAGCCTAGGCCAATCTCTGTACCCTGAATTCATTTCTTGCTCTTCACAGTAGATCCAAAGTACTTTGAACCTCCAAGGAACTACACAAAGTCTGCCTTGCAGT
Organism: Homo sapiens; assembly: GCF_000001405.40. Taxonomy (NCBI): domain Eukaryota; kingdom Metazoa; phylum Chordata; class Mammalia; order Primates; family Hominidae; genus Homo; species Homo sapiens. The sequence goes on from NC_000011.10 coordinate 17,959,288, forward strand.
ACAGTTATCTGGGTGACTGACTTTTGACCACATTAAAGCATGAGCTCCTTAGGGCAAGGACCTCTTCTGATTCCTACATGGTACCTATCCATAACGCCTGGCACACAGTAGGCCCTCAGTAAATGATTCACTGAAAGACAAGAAAAAGGGACAGATTACATCTGTGAGAAGTCACTTCCTACCTCAGTTGCTCCAGTTAAGCAATGCGGAGACGAAGGCATGCTGTTCGGTGGTCTTGAACAGGGGAGAAATGAATCTTGCTTTTCTAGTTTCCAGCCTTCATAAGTCTCCAACTTCCTCCCTAGCTGACCATAGTCTGCTCGGCCCCAGGTAAACATCTTGCCAGTTTCTAAAAACAAATATTATTTGAATTAAGACTACATTCCACAGCTGTGCTCTCATGGGTAGGCAATGAATTACAAGAGAAAGTGTGACATTTATTTTAGTACCACCTACCAGGAGCCTTCCTATCTTCCTGTAAAGAAGGCACATGCACTCATATTTTTACAGATGTGGAAACTAAGGTTCAGAGAGGTTAAATGACTTGCCCAAGATCAAATAAGCTGTGAGTACCAGAGCTGGATTCAAGCAGAGATTCATTCTAAAGTTTCTGCTCTTGCATGTTATATAGATATGAATATGACTACGGATATACTTCAACCATGCTTTATGGCCTTCCATTCCCTCCCTTCCCCACACACTCCTTGTGCTTTGCCCAGATGCCTGTTCTCAGGCTCTCCTCTCCCCCACCCAACCCAGGGCCCCATTTAGCCACCTTGAAGTTCTCCACTCCACAATCTCTTAGGGCCTAGCTCAATGAATGGCCAGCTTCATTTGCTCTCCCCTCCTTGTAACATAAAGGGACCTTTCAGAATCTATGCTCTTACCCAAAGGAGCAATTCTAACAATCCTAAGGCAAGTGTTTATGTGTGCTAGAGGGAAGGGAGTGAGAGAAGAAAAAAAAAATGGCAAAACCATTTGGAGCCAGAAAAGCATTTAGTCCCCCAGATGCACCACATGGGAAGCTGGCCAGTGCTAAAAATGACAAAAGAAAATGAGATTTGCAAAAGGAGAAATGGACTTTCTTCTCCTAGATAAGAGAAAATTCACCAAATTCATTCAGTTGTACCAAGTGCCACATTTGTTATTTCAACAGAAATGCAAAATCTGATGAGCCATAGATTATTAACAGATTCTCTGCAATAAATATGCATAACCATGTGCGTTGTATAAATTCTTTATACATGTTTATTTTAACAAAGAAAAACTTTGCTTTAGAGACAAAACACAGAGCAGTGCATATTAAATTCTAGACAAATCTACTACTGCATACTTTGTGTTTGGTATCAAAGCTTCATCTGGCCCCACATTCAACATATGGTTTATAGTGTCAGCTAAAAAAATAACCATAGATTCATGGGGAAATGTCAGAATATTGCAGTGATACAAGGCTCTGCAGGGAAACAGTTCTCAGCATCAGCCTGCTAGCAGACACTAAGGTAGATACCAAGCAGTTTACAGGAATCTGACTTTTGGGCTTCCTCAAAGAGGGAACAAAGTCTGCGTAGCTCACAGGGTATTTGGGGTACCTCGTATATTATGAGAGCTGGGAGTAGGTCCATTCAAATGTACTCCTTCATGGCTCTTTGTGTGCTGTTCCTTTTGCTAAGAATGACCTCTCCTTAGCTGGTAAACTATGGCTCCACCGTTGGAGTCCAGCACATGTACCACTAGTTCTATGAAACCTTTCTTGACTCCCCAGCTCTCCCCAGAAAGGGTGAAAGTCACCCTCCTGTGAGCCACCTTTATCATTGTACTCATCCACTACTATGCCGCCATTTGGCAGGTGAAAAAAATTAAGGTTCAGAGAAGTGACTAGCCCAGGGTCACACAGCTAAGCCACATCCCTTTCTACTAGCCCATGGTATTACTCTGCATTGGTTATTAAGCACTAGTCACTGCATAATCACTCAACACTCTTCCTTCACTTCTGCAAGATTAGCCTCTTAAAAACCCATGTGCCCAGGACCCATAGGGCATCCAAAACTGGCAAATTGTCCCTCTACCTGAGCTGGCTAGGATTTCTAACCAGATTGCTCAGCAGGAGATTCCCAAGAAACCAGGGGATGAGACTGTTGCTGCTTAAATGACCGTTCCTCTGCTGGGAAAAACTAGGAAGTTGTTATCTCTAAGACTACAGAAATAATTTTACCAGAAATCACGCATTGAATCCTTTCTTTCACATGAAGTAAAACATCTTAGAGCTTTCCTGTTATTGATTATTGAAGTCAAAGACAGGCAAGACTGGCAGAATATGGTGCCACCATTATTATATCCCCAATAGCAATTCAGCCATTCCACTTACAGAGCACTTTTCACCTTCAAAGCACTTTACAAAGATTAACTAATTAATCCTCATACTCTCTGCGGAGGCCATAGACATTCTGGTTAAGACAAGTCCAGAAACCAGGCTGACTTAACGTTCAGTCTTTAGTCTCAAGCCTAAATTTAACACACTCTGAACTTGTCTATTTCTCCTCAAAATAAACTCTGCATCAGAAGGCTCACCCAGGACAGAAGAGACCCTTTTATTTTTCCTTTTCTTTTAAACAGACATTTACTGACCTCTTCCCAGGTACCCAGTACATTCATTGACGCTGGCTCAATCCTCACAATAATGCTATGGCATATAGAGTATTAAGCTTATTTTACAGATGAGGTTAAATGATGAGAGTTAAATGATTTGGTTGAGTTCAATCAACAACCAAATAGTCGAATCAAGATTTAAACCTGTGTCTTCTGACTCCAGGGCCAGTGGTATCTCCAATGATTGCACAGCTGCTGTCCCAAACTGACAAAACTTGGCTGATGAAATAGCCATTTTTACAATGTTTGAGGAAGACGAAAACCCAGATTAAATGGATATGCTCTGTGTACCATCCAGCTTTCCTCACTAGAATAATCTTCTTCCCAGGAGCCCATGTAGAACTCAGGACTGTAAGTGCTGAAATAAAGGCATAAACACATGGATGATGATTTTATGTCATCTGGAGTAAAAAAAAAACAATGAATCCACATATAAAAAATGCTCATTAATACACTGTAGATGAATGTCTGCATCAAGCTGATGCGTGCTGTCAAATCCAGGGAGATTCAAATCACAAATTTAACAAACGTATCTTCTCCTTAAAGGATTATATATTACTATGATTAAAAAAAATAGATACACTAATGTCATCCAAAAAGTATAGGTATGTGTCTCCAGGTAAATGATAAATGACAGAGATGACAAAATAGCTCAAAACGAAGTCAGCAAGTGCAACACAATTTATAAGGCATGTCCATGTAAGAATTAGCACAGAGAAATAACTACAGAGCCAAGAAGTATAGACTGCAAAAGATATCAACGTACCACAGAAAACGACAGAGGCCAAATGAGAAGTATGGAGAAAGAACACCTAAGGGGTCTGGAACTAGAATTGTCCTGGCAGGCTTGAGGGAACAAGAGGCATTTAAGGTGAACTTCTGGATAAGAAAAGAAAATGGGAGACCAAGGGAGGATATTGCAGGAGCAGCGTGAGGGGATGAGCAAAGATACGAAAATCAAAAGGCGGCCAGGCACAGTGGCTCACGCCTGTAATCCCAGCACTTTGGGAGGCCAAGGTGGGAGGATCACCTGAGGTCAAGAGTTTGAGACCAGCCTGACCAACATGGTGAAACCCCGTCTCTACTAAAAATACAAAAATTAGCTGAGTGTGGTGGCCCACGACCGTAGTCCCAGCTACTGGGGAGGCTGAGGTGGGAGAATCACTTGAACCTGGGAGGCAGAGGTTGCAGTGAGCCGAGATGGCACCATTGCACTCCAGCCTGGGCAACAGAGGGAGACTCTGTTTCAAAAAAAAAAAAAAAAAAAAAAAAAGTCAAAAGGCAGGAGAGTGAATAAGGGTCACAAGAGAAGGAGACTAGAAAGGGAGTCAAGATTGCCAGGCTGGGGCCAGCCACAGAGAAGTGCCATGGCTGGATCTGGATCTCACCCTCCAGACCAGGGATCCCTAAACTTGGTTGCTTACTATTAGTAAAAAAAAAAAAAAAAAAAAAAAAAAAAAAATTTTTTTTTTGACACAGAGTCTTACTGCATTATCCAGGCTGGAGTGCAGTGGCATGATCTTGGCTCACTGTAACCTCCACCTCCTGGATTCAAGCAATTCTCCCGCCTCAGCCTCCTGAGTAGCTGGGAGTACAGTCATGCACCACCATCCGGCCAATTTTTGTATTTTTAGTAGAGACAGGGTTTTGCCATGTTGGCCAGGCTGGACTTGAACTCCTGACCTCAAGTGATCTGCCTGCCTCAGCCTCCCAAAGTGCTGGGATTACAGGTGTGAGCCAACACGCCTGACGTCTATTAGTAAAATATTTTTTAACACATCACCGATATATGTACATTAATTTATTTATTAAAGTATGTACATTAAATTACATTTATTAAAGTAAGTACATTCTCTGTACAGTATCCTGCTTATTCTTGCAACAACCCTGTGAGTTAGGCACTTTTACCATCCCCATGTTACTGACAGGGAACAAGGTACTTACCCAAAGTCACAGAGGTAGCAAGTGAAAAGAGAAGAAAAGAAAGAAACAACAACAATAACACAAGCCTAGGATGCATCAAGGCCTAAACTAGAATAGAAGTCATAGGAAAACAAAGAAGAAAGAATTTACAGGGCTTGGCACCCCATTAGATGTGATTTTAAAAGGAAAGGAGAGGAAATAAACACCATTCTGAGATTTCAGGATTTCAAGGTGAGTAGGAAGATGATGAAGGTGTAGAGATGCTACATCAAGGGTCCCGCTAATGGGAATCATAAAATGTTATTTCATTACCAAATTATTTAACTCTCCTGGGGCGTTTGGCAAACATGTTATCAAATAGTCAAATATAAATGAAAGGGGAGAGAGTAAGGAGAAAGACTACTAGATGCAAACCACAGAGAGCAGGGGATACTCTGTGGGTAGGGTGGGTGGATGATGAATATTCAAGAGGCCAACTTCCTTTACCATCCATCAAGGGCTGCAGGTGCTGCAGCCATAGCTATAGGTACAATGAGAAGTAGCTCCAGGGATGTCTGAGCTCTTCAGGGAAGAGAAATTTCTACCCTGTTCTAGGGAAGGGAGTCCTATAGGTGATAGAAAGATAGATTAGAGGATCATCCATATTTTCTTGACAGTATCTGTCCAAAAAGGGAATATAATGTCACTGAAGATAGCAAAATGGAGTCAGCAAACTGAGGTGGATGTTATAAAAAGAAAATCCATGGGTAAGACAGAGAAAAGGTCACATGACCTCTTCAGTCCCTCTCAACTCTAATATTCCAGGATGTTACAAGGTCTTCTAGAATATACTCATGAAAAGGAGGAAGCTCTCTACCTATAGGTTTGTTATATTTATGATTCACCTGTTTACAAATACAAGCACCAGTTACTCTCTGGGTTATTCATTCTGTGTCCTTAGAAGGTTAAGAACCTGACTTCTGTAACTCATCCTTCATTCTGCCATGTGGACAGAGACTTTATAAAAAGGACATTTGATGATAATACCCAGGGACTAGTCAAACACAGAACTAACTGACCAAGAATCACCTAGCATCATCTTCCTGTACAAGGAGCAGGAAACAGGCAAGGAGAGAGCTCAGAGCACAGGTGCTGGAAGCAGTCACACCACACTCCTTTCTGTATAGCATGTGCCATGCTGCTCCTCCACAAGGCCTCTGATATGGTTTGGCTGTGTCCCCACCCAAATCTCATCTTGAACTGTAATCCCCATAATCCCCACATGTTGTGGGAGGGACCTGGTGGGAGGTAATTGAATCATGGGGTCAGTTTCCCCCATGCTGTTCTCATGATAGTGAGTTCTCATGAGATCTGATAGTTTTGTAAGTGTCTGGCATTTCCCCTGCTGGCTCTCATTCTCTCTGCTGCCGCCCTATGAAGGGGTGCCTTCTGTCATGATTGTAAGTTTCCTGAGGCCTCCCCAGCCATGCAGGAACTGTGAGTCAATTAAACCTCTTTTCTTTATAAATTACCCAGTTTCAGGCATTTCTTCACAGCAGCGTGAGAACAGACTAATACAGCCTCCATACTGGTTCCCTTTGTCCCCAGCTATCTCTACTACCCTGACCCCATTCACCTAGTCAACTCCTACTCATCTTCAACTCTGCCCACTACTCAACTCAGATCAGGTTCCTCTGTGCAACAATCTCAGAGGACCATGTTCCTCATCCTGGGAGCATTTACCTCAGTTTATAAATGCACACTCATTAGGACTGTTTAATTAATGTGTGCCTCCTCTTCCAGAGAGCCAGCTCCATGACACTGGGGACTGGCTATTTCACTCATTCTTGTGTCCTAGAATAATGCCCAACACAAAGTAGGCACTCAATAAATATCTGCTGCCTGAATGAACAATAGAATAAATGAATCCAACCACCTCCCTACCTATCAACCTACCTACCTCTCACTCACCACTACTGAAAACTACCATTCACTAGCTCCATAATCTTGAGCAAACTACTCAACAGCTCTAAGTCTTATCTGCAGAATGAAAACAAAAGCATCTCCCTTGCAGCATTGCTGCAAGGATACTTTTCCATAAAGCCTATGGCACATACTAACTAGTGAATGGCCATTACTACTACTATTCTCCCAAACTGAACAACACAGCCTTATTAAGGATTTCCATGGTTCCACACAGCATTTCTACCACTTTGTTAAATCTTCTCAGCCAATTCCCACCTACCAAAGTGTTAGGGTCAATGCCTCTAATGATAATCAAAAAAGAGAAAGAACATTGAAAGCTCTATCATGGAATTTTGATTTTTTTTTTAAGATTCAAGCATAGTGGCTTGCACATCAGAAGCCTCTAATGTACGAGACAAAACAAATTAATTAAAGGTAGGAAAAAGAAATGAGTAAAAGGAACAACGGAGAAGAAAGATGAAGCAAGATTCAGTTGGAAAAGAGAAGAGAGGAAGCTTCAACTCAAGACTCGTAAGACTTGAATTAAGATTCAGGCCTAATCCTGGCTTCTCTTCTAGGCTGCATGGCCTTGAACAGGTCCCTTCTGCTTTAGGCACCCAGTTTTCCCATCTATAAAATGAGAGAACCGCAACAGATGACCTCTTGGATACCTCCCTGATCTACATTTTAATTATGATGCCTAAAAATCTTCAGTATTAAAATGACTGGTATACAATTTAATTTTATTGTCACCTTTGGAATATTTAGTCTGACCACTGTCCAAAAATAAAGCATGCACTCTAATATCAAAGACTACTCATATAGTTCCTAGCGTAAATAAACATTAAAACTTGACTGTATAGTTTGTTATTTTTTAGTAAAATGTCACAAGTTTCCAAAGTCGTATCATAAACAATATCACATAATAAAAGGTTTGGAATTTTTTTAAGTTAATACAGAAATAAGATTTCCAAATACAGGCTGCCTAACTAAAAAGGGGAGAAAAAAGCCCGCAAAGAGAATGAACAAAAGTTGAAAGGTTGGGGAGAATTTATTTATTGAGAGCTGACTCTGTATAAAACTGCTTTAGGCACTATCATTAAGTTACATAATTAAATCAACCCTGAATGATTATTGTGAATCCCATTTTACAGATTAAGAAACAGACCACAGAGGTTAAATGACTTGTCCAAGATCACATAGCTAGTAAGTGGCACAGCTGCAATAATAACAATAATAATTGCTAATATTTTGAGGGCTATTTCATGCTAAACTCTTCATATGGATTATCCCTTTTAATCCACAGAAATACCCTGAGTAGGCATTATAATCCTCAAATTATAGATGAAAATATTAACGCATAGAGAGAGGTTATGTCTCTGGCTCAGAGCCAGCAGCTTTCAATGGCAAAGCTAGGATGGGACCCAGGGGCCTGGCAACCAGAGTCAGTGCCCTCAGTCATTGTCCTGCAGGGGATGCACAGGTCTGTCTGACCTCAGCTCCACTTTTCACGTGGTCACACTGGCTCTTCAAAAGTGAACATTCGCAAGGACTTCCTGAGGTTGTTCAGAGTCACAGGGACACACACGTGGGCTGGAGGCACAGAGAGAGCCCAGCTGATGAGTGAGTGAGCTTCATCCATCCTTGACCTATATGGCAAAGGTCAGATTCCCAAAACATAGAAGTATTCCACACAGCTGCTCCATTTTCACCACTGACTTTATTAGCTACCAAATCGGGGGCAGCAGTGATAGAAGTGAAGACAGACTGCACCCTGAGGAACACCAAGACTGAGTGCAGAACTATCTACAACATGTGGTTAGGGTTTTCCAGAGAAAAGCAAGAAGGAGTCAGGCTGGTTTCTTCCTCCAGGCTAGGGAAGAGCATGGCAGGAAGCCCCAGTCCTAGTTTGTTCAGTAGCTCCCTTGCCTCTCTCAAAGCACCTACATTCTCTCAATGTTGGATGACTGCTCCTTTGTCAAAAGCATATTCATATTCCTCCTTCCTGGGCCTTAGGGCCATGCTCTGCCCCCAGCTCACAATGCTGGTCAGCCTGCAACACCTGTCAGCCTGCAATGCTGGTCAGCCTGTCTGTCCCACTTATGGAATCCTACTCCCCCTTCAGGGCCTAGCTTAAATGCTGCTGCCTCCCTAAAGCACCCTATTATCCCCTGGTCAGAATAAGCCACCTCTTCCTTTAGGAGCCACTGGCATGGTGCTTGTACCTCTGTTTCAACAACTTTCTATCCCTCCAAACATAGGGTTATTTGACTGCATATCTTAGTTTGCCCACTGAAGGGTGAAGAACAATGATCTTTTCTTATTCTCTCAGTATTCCCCACAGCACCTAACACAGAGCCTGACCCAGAGGTGGTGTTCAGTGTTTGTTGAACAGTAGGAATTGTAGGTATTGCTGTTACCACCAAGGATATCAGAGACCATCTAAACCTACTCTCCAAAGAGAAAACAAAACTAAGGAAAACAAATAATTTTCCAAGTCACACAGCCTATATAGATAGAAACAGATCCAGGCATTCACAATATTGAGCAAATAGTTATTGAGCACTTTCTATACACCAGGTGCTGTCCTAGGTGCTAGGGGCTACTGCACTGAACAGAACACATAAAACTTAATCCTAGCACTTTTGTAGGCCAAAGTGGGAGGATCACTTGAGCCTTGAGTTTGATCGCTTGAGTTTGAGACCAACCTGGGCAACACAGCAAGATCCTGTCTCTACAAACAATTTAAAAAAAACTAGTTGAACAGGTAGTGCACACCTGTAGTCCTAGCTATTCCAGAGGCTGAGGTGGAAAGATTGCTTAAGCCTAGGAATTCAAGGTTGCAGGGAGCTATGACCATGCTACTGCACTCCAGCCTGAGTGACAGAACAAGAACCTGTCTCTAATTTAAAAAAAAAAAAAAGACAAAACTCCCTCCCATCATGGAGCTTAAATCTAATGAGGGGAAAGACAGACAACAACAACAACAAAACATTACCTATGGCAAATGACGTTAATTGCTACAGAGAAATAAAAAGTAGGGAAAGGAGACAGGCAGTGCTGGGGAGGGAGATGGAGGCCCAGGACCAGTGTCCAGCTCCCATCTTCCTTTGTGAGCTTCTCCTCTACAGCACATCACCTTTCCTAATGGAAGAACCTTAAACTTACAAGTCCCAGCCAACTCAAGCAGAGGCAATGAAACTTGCTCAAGCAACCTCTCAAGCCTATGATGAAAAGGCAGGCAATAAACATAAATGCACTTTGTAAACTCTTAAATGCTAGTGTTAATAACATTATGACTATCACTCTCTAAAGCCAGTTTACAAAGAACCAACATGAGAGGCTGGACCACGAGTCCCTGCTCTGAGATGTGCCGGCTGAGGTCTTGGTTTTCCTGTTCCTCCAGGGTCCAGCAGCACATCACACTGCTAGTTACACCTAGAAGCTGCTTGGCAACCTGAGAAAAATCCCTGATTGAGGCCAGTGACTCTACAGATGTTTCCCAACTCATTTCACATTCAAACTCTAAAGCTTCTTCACACAGTTTTAGATTCTTATTAATAACATTTTAAAATGCAGATTGCTGCCTAATCTTAGCTGCATAATTAAAAAATAATCTTGCTTTTCTCCCTCCCGGCAAGAAAGGAAACTATACCCCAGGGCTTCTGCAGCTAAGAATCACACCCTACAGAAAAGCTAGTAGTAGGCTGGGGGGTGAGGAGTGTGGGTGGAGGGGTGAGGGAGGGTAGCTGAAGCCAAGCAGCAAGTCTAATCCCTTGATTTTAAAGAAAATGAAAATAAGGCTAAAAGAGGGGAATGATCTGCCCAAGGACACAGTATGTTTTGGTAGAACCAGAACTAGGATCCTAATTTCCTGCTTCCCAGTAGACTCTGTCTGCTGCCTGGTGGGGACAGGAAAGAAGGACAACAAGCTGTAAGTCCTTGGAGGGTGAGTACCATATCTATGTGATTCTCCTTACACAGTGAGCACAACACTGTTCATCTGGAGAAAGAGCTACAGGTTTTGGATTCTCAAGAGGATTATGGGAATAAGGTTCAAAGTTCTTTACATTCAATTCAGCCTCATACACTATCTGAGCCAGAAGAAACCTTAGAGAACTTCTTACCCAATCATTTGCTTCTAGCTGGGTAAAACAAGGCCCAAAACAAAAGCAACTTAACTACTCAAGGTCAAATAGTGAGTTAGAAGTAAGACTAGACTAGAACCCAGGTCGCCCTGACTTCTAGTACATCTTGTCCACAGCTTCTTAGAAAAGTATAGGCATACTTCACTTTATTGCACTTCACAGATAACTGCGGTTTTTGTTTTGTTTTTTACAAATTGAAGGTTTGTGGCAACCCTGAGTCCAGTAAGTCTATTGGCGCCATTTTTCGAACAGCATGTGTTCTGTGTGACATTTTGGTAATTTTTGCAATATTTCAAACTTTTCATTGTTATTATTACATCTGTTATGGTGATCTGTAATCAATGATCATTGATGTTACTACTGCAATTATTTTGGGGCATCATGAACCATGCCCATGTAAGATGGCAAACTTAATCGATTGTGTTCTGACTGCTCCACCGACCAGCCCTTCTTCCATCTCTCTCCCTCTCCTCAGGCCTCCCTATTTCCGGAGACAAAACAATATTGAAATTAGGCCAATTAATAACCCTACCATGGCCTCTAAGTATTCAAGTGAAAGGAAGAGTCACATATCTCTCACTTTAAATCAAAAGCTATAAATGATTAATCTTAGGGAGGAAGGTATGTCAAAAGCCAAGATAGGCTAAAAAGCTAGGCCTCTTGCACCTGTTAAGCAAGTTGTGAATGCAAAGGAAAAGTTCTTGAATGAAATTAAAAGTGCTTCGCTAGTGGACACCCTAATGATAAGAAAGCAAAATGGCCTTTTTGCTGATATAGAGAAAGTTCTAGTGGTCTGGATAAAGGGTGAAACCAGCCACAACATTCTCTTAAGCCAAAGCCTAAACCAGAGCAAGGCCTTAACTCTCTTCCATTGTAGGAAGGCTAAGAGACGTGAGGGAACTGAGGAAAAAAAGATGGAAGCTAGCAGAGGATGGTTCATGAGGTTTAAAAAAAGAAGCTGTAGGACCGGTCATGGTGGCTCACACCTGTAATCCCAGCACCTTGGGAGGCTGAGGTGGGCGGATCACGAGGTCAGGAGATCAAGACCATCCTGGCTAACATGGTGAAACCCCGTCTCTACAAAAAATACAAAAACTTAGCCAGGTGTGGTGGTGCATGCCTGTAATCCCAGCTACTTGGGAAGCTGAGGCAGGAGAATCGCTTGAACCCAGGAGGTGGAGGTTGCAGTAAGCCAAGATCACACCACTGCACTCCAGGCTGGGCGACGCAGCGAGACTCCATCTAAAAAAAAGAAAAGAAAGAAAAGAAAAGAAGCTGTTTCCAAAAAAGTGCAAGGTGAAGCAGCAAGTGCTGATGCAGAAGCTGTAGCAAGTTATCCAGAAGATCTAGCTAAGAAAATTGATAAAGGTGGCTACACTACACAACAGCTTTTCAATGTAGACCAAACAGCCTTCTATGGGAAGAAGATAACTATCTAGGGCTAATGCAGCTGGTGACTTTAAGGTGAAGCCAATTCTCATTCACCATTCCAAAAATCCTAGGGCACTTAAGAATTATGCTCAGTGTACTCTGCCTGTGCTCCAGAAATGGAACAACAGAGCCTGGATGATAGCACATCTGTTTATAGCATGGTTTACTGAATATTTTAAGCCCACTGTTGAGACCTACTGCTCAGAAAGGAGTCTTTTCAAAATGTTACCGCTCATTGACCAAGACCCTGGTCACTCAAGAGCACTGATAGAGGTGTACATGGAGATTAATGTTGTTCTCATGCCTGCTAATACAACATCCATCCTGCAGTCCAAGGATCAAGGAGTCATTTTGTCTTCTAAATCTTATTATTTCAGAAATACATTTTGTAAAGCTATAGCTGCCATAGATAGTGATTCCTCTGATGGATATGGGCAAAGTTATTAAAAATATTCTGGAAAGGATTCATCATTCTAGATGCCATTAAGAACATTCATGATTCATGGGAAGAGGTCAAATAACATTAACAGGAGTTTGGAAGAAGTTGATTCCAACCCGCATGGATGACTTTGAGGGATTCAAGGCTTCAGTGGAAGAAGTAACTGCACATGTGGTAGAAACAGCAATACAACTAGAATTATACGTAGAGCCTAAAGAGGTGACTGAGTTGCTGCAATCTCATGATCAAACTTGTAGGGTTGAGGAGTTGCTTCTTATGGATGGCAAAGAAAGTGATTTATTGAGATGGAATCTACTCCTGGTGAAGATTCTGTGAACACTGTTGAAATGCTAACAAAAGCGATTTTATAAACTTAATTGACAAAGCAGCAGCAGGGTTTGAGAGGACTGACTCCAAATTTGAAAGAAGTTCTACTATGAGTAAATGCTATCAAACAGCATTGCATGCTACAGAGAAATCTTGTGAAAGGAAGAGTTCAACTGATGTGGCAAATTTCACTATTGTCTCATTTTATGTAATTGTCACAGCCACTCCAGTCTTCAGCAACCACATCCCTGATCAGTCAGCAGCCATCAACATCAAGGCAAGACCTTCTTCTAAAAGGCCACCAGCAAAAAGATCACAACTCACTGAAGGCTCAGAAGATTTGCATTTTTTAGCCATAAAATATGTTTTAATTAAGATATGTACACTGTTTTATAGAGATAATGCTATTGTGCATTTAATAGGTATAGTATACAGTATAGTATAACACAACTTTTATATACACTGGAAAAACAAAAAAATTGTGTGACTCGCTTTATTGGATATTTGCTTTATTGCTGTAGTCTGGGACCAAACCTGCAATAACTCCAAGGTATGCCTGTACAAGTCAACTTTTCCAAGCTTCCATTGAGACCTGCCTCACCTAATTATCATGGGCTTCCTGAGCTCCTTGGCAGGGAAGAGCAGACAGGTGATGTCCCCACGATTCCTCACTGCCTCCATCCCAGGGATGGCTTTTGGGAGGCCCAAGGGCTGGGTAATGAAAGAAACATCCCTTTCTCCATCTCCTCCAGATCCTCCTCTCCCTATCTGGAACTGCCATCCCTAATTCTGTACATCACCTTCAGTTTTTGTCCGTTGCAAAATCATCAGCAGTTTCCATCTCTGTGAAGTTACAAAAAAAAAAAGGAAAGAAAAAAGGCCAAGCACTGCACCCAGCTGTTGATGAGGCCGTGTTTTCCACTGATGACGATGACTCACAGTACCCAAGCTGAAGGCTAAAGCTGGGAATGCGACTTGGGAGTGTCAGCACAGCCAAAGGAAAGCCGCAGTTCCCAAGCACGCCTAAACCTGCAGAGGAGCTGCTTGAGTTCCCTTGGTAAAAATCCCAGCACTTGGCCATGGGAACACAGCTCCCCCTGCAGACCACCCTAAGGTCCCACAGGAGCAGGATCAGGGACAGACAGAACATACACTGGAGCCAGTGAATTCTGCAAAGCCCATCCACTGCCATGTATCCACTGCCACTGTTATGTTAGAAAGCCAGGACCCCACCTCTGAAACCCCAAGACATCCCACAACCCCCTAGAAATACTATTTGCATCCTTGGTTTCCAAAGAGAAACTGGCTTTGGGGAAATGGGAAGCTCAGATTAAGATCTCCAATAGAGGAGACAAAGGTTGGCCCCAATCTTTGGGTAAGCAATTCACCCAGAGGCAGCAGTAGGGAAGGGAAGGAGCCTATCCTAGGATGCCAATTTGTGGTCAACCAGTGAGAACATCTTGGTACATGACTTTAGACAGTGCCTCTCAAATTTAGTCTAACCCCATCCCTGGGAAACTGTCCCAGGTTCTTCAAGAGAGATTAGTATAAAAGACCTACAGGGGTCCTAATAGAGCTATACTCAAAGATGGGAAAACATTCTCCCACCCCATATTTGAGAACTCTACAAGGGTGAAACTGAGCGGTGGACATGGTCAGGAAGATGCCAATGGAGATAATGACCACTCCACTGTCAGTGGTTTGGGGACTTGGCACTTGCATTGAGCAGTGGCAATAATGAGCATCACCGAAGGAGGCCACTGAGGAGAACATACAATGTTCAAGGACCCACCAGGAAAGGGAAGATAATCAGGAGACTTAGAGTCCCAGTAATTCCAAAGTAGGGGGTTGGGAGAGGTTTGGGGTTAAAGTCCACTGTCAAGGCTAGTAGATGGTGTGACAAATGCTTGTCACATTCAAATGGCTTGTCTAGAGGTCCATGGCCTCATGGTATGGAAAAGGAGGGGTTGCCAGGGCAGACCCAGGATGGGACGGCCACCTTTCCCTTCCACATCTACTAATCTCCCTCCTGCTCTGCTCCCTGCTCCCATCTGTCCCTCAGGCCCCAGAATACAAACACCCTCTACTAGCAGCTCAACTGCCAAGAACCTCCAAGTCACCAATGTGACCTTTTGTAAAAACTTGACACAGTTTAAGATTATCTTTCAGGGTGCTCACACTTAGTCCCACCAGAGACAGTTACCACCCAAGCTACAGTACTTTCCTTGGAGAGGAGGACTTTTCCATGGCCAGGGCCTGGGAGAGGCATCTGCTACTGAGGATTTTTCATTTCACAGGCTCAGCTCCAACCAAATCAGCAAAGCACTGTTACTATGGACCATCTGCCAGGACCTGGAAACAGCCCTGTTACATAAAGGGGCTGGTATAATGAAATTTATTAAACTGGATTCTTCCTCCACAAAGAAGCCAAAGTCTCTCATAAAAGGGCTCATGTGGGGCAGTGGAGGGGTCCTAGACAAGGGACCCATTGGGTTCTAATCCTGGCTGGCTCTGCTACGTGTTAGCTGTGGGACCATGGGGACAAATCATCTCTCACTGGGCTTCTGTTTCCTCAAATTTCAAATAAGGATAAAATGGTCCCTTCTAGGATTAAAATTCCACAATTTACTATTGTTTTCACCAAAATGGCAAACAGAAAAGAAAGTTTACCCTGATATTAATTGGTGCTGTAACGTTTTAAAGTTTTAGCATTCTAAAAAAGGACATTGCTCTTATTTGTGGGCTTAATGGAGAGAAGTGGTGAATAGAGCCACTGACTCTGGGGCTGGCTGGGGGAGAAAGTGCGCAGAAGAGAAACTAATGGCTAGAAGCTTCTATCAGCTCAGGAATGAGTGGCCCAAACAAAACTCAATGTAGGAATGTGGCTGGGAAGCAGTAGTACTATTGATGGCTCCCTGCCTATGCACACAGTAACTTTCCAGTTTACAAAGTGCTTTCCATGATCTTATTTGAGCCTCACAACACCCCCAAACTTGACAAGGTGATCTTGACCTGCAATTCACATTGAGCGAAGCAAGGCTAAGTACCCAAGTAGAGTGAGCCCATGTCTCTTTATGTCTCTTCGGTTTCCTCATGTGTAAAATGGGAGTGAGCCTCACTTGGCAAAATTTGTATATGGATTAAACAAATGTTTGTAAAGCCCTGGTAAAATGCCTGGCATACATGTGCCCTTGATAAATGTGAGTGACCCCTTCCTCACACACCTCCATCTCCTCAGAGAGGTATAAGGAGAAGCCCCAGAGCTGCTCATTTTTAGACCTTTAAGAAACGCTTCAAGATGAAAGGTAACATGATGGTTTCCTGAATGACCTTCCATATGGCTCACAATAGCTTCCCAGAAGAAAGGCCAATGAACCAGATAACTCCAGTCCCACCCATCTCCCCATCTCATAGATTCTCAAAATCACCTGAGCCCCTGAAAGGGGCTCCCCTAAGAATTCAGAGGACTTCTAATTCAGCCACAGCGATGAGTAGAAAGCAAGCATGAGGCCTCAACAGAGGAGACTGCAAGAGCACCCCGAGTCAGGGTCTCTCCTTTCAATGTTTATGTTTCTCACACACCTCCACTCCTCACAGAAACCTCCAGCTGCTCCTCCACTACTCACAGAGTAACGCCTCAACAAGGACCCCTTCTCATTGTACCCAAAAGTTCCCAATGTCTTATCATCTGGCCCAGGTCAAGCAAACTACACCACAGAGCACTTCCCACTTCTATAGATTTTTTCGCAGTATTCCTTCTGTTTGGAATGCCCTCCCCTCACTTCTGCCTATGCAACAAATATTTGTTGAACAAATGAGTGAAGGAATAAAGGGAGGAATTGTGAATGAGTAAAGGATATAAGACACCCCTGTGAAGCAGACAAATTAGGAATTAAGGCCCTCATTTTACAGGTGAGGAAGTTCAGGCCCAATGACTTGCCCAAGATCACACAGCCAACAAATAGCCAAATCAGAACTTACACCTAGCTCTTCAGGGTTCTTTTGGCCACATTAAGCTTCCTCCTGAGGTAAAAAGTCACTCTCTGATTGGGCAAGAGTTGATTCCTCCAATATTCCTCAGAATGGGCTGCTTTCACCTTGGCTCACATTGAGAGCACTTTAAGGTACTGGTCTATGATTATTTATTTATTTATTTTTGAGACGGAGACTCACTCTGTCGCCCAGGCTAGAGTGCAGTGGTGTGATCTTGGCTCTCTGCAACCTCTGCCTCCAGGGTTCAAGTGATTCTCTTGCCTCAGCCTCCCGAGTAGATGGGACTACAGGCATGCACCACCACCTCGGCTAATTTTCATTTTTTTTTTTTTTTTTTTTTTTTAGCAGAGATGGGATTTCACCATATTGGCCAGGCTGGTCTCAAACTCCTGACCTCGTGATCCACCCGCCTTGGCCTCCCAAAGTGCTGGGATTACATGAGTGAGCCACCGTGCCTGGCTGTCACTGTGATTATTGAGAGCACCCATGGGATAGGCAAGGTCCCCTGAGAAAGGGCAAGCAGAGTGCCATCTGCCAAAAACCTAAAAATGATGGCAAAATTACAGGCCAGTAACTAAATGCTTACTTTTAGAGAGCTCCTGGAACAAATCAATCTCCATCAGGAAAGAGGAAGATTCTTTGAATGGAAACTGAGCTCTCTGCCAGGGACCTCTACACCCTTCCCAGAACCATCTGGTGAGCTTGCAGCATGGCTGGTCACCCCACTCACTATGGACAGATGGGGAAGCCAAGGTCTCAAGGCAAGGCCTTGCAGATAGGCAGGAGCAAAGCTGGTCTTAAAACGCTGGGGCATCAGGCATCACTGTCAGCCTCAGGGAGCTGAGGCTCTGTGGCCTGGGCTTCTCCAAGAAGGTAGGAAGAGGGCAGGGCCAGCTACAGGCTGTATCTCCTGAACACAGCCATTGGAAATAGCATCACTTCCACATCCAAAAGTTCTACCCATCCCATGCCACCAGCACTCGAGTCTCTCGTCTATAGTTGGAGAAATCCAGGGATGAATAAAGCAGACCAAGTCCCTAACCTTGTGGGGCTCACATTCGGTTAGGAGAGAATGACAACAAATAAGTAAACATATAATGACACTATGGTTTCAGGCAATGAAAACTGCTATAATGAAAAATAACACAGTGAAGGGAATAGAGTGTAAGAGGTGACATTTGGACAAGAACCAATGGAAGTGAGGCAGTAGCTATGCAGGAATCACAGAGACGAGCATTCCTGGAAGAAAGAACTGCTAGAACACAGGCACAGAGGGGAAAGGTATTTAACCATTTCTCAGTGGGCTTTATACCACCAGCCACCACTCCCTAACCTGCTCCAATAAATACCTGCCCTTTCCTGCTTCAAAGGCCTCCTCCCTCTGGCAGTTCACCACCATAACTCCCCCAGAAGCTTTCTCCAGGAAGGAGAGACAAAATATCTGTTGCCCCCTCCCTAAAGCCTAAAGGGCTGCTACAGACTGAATGGTTGTGTCCCCATCAAATTCATATGTTGAAATCCTAACCCTTAATATTATGGAGACAAGGCCTGTGGGAGGTGATGAGGTCATGAAGGTAGGGCCCTCATGAATGGGATCATTGGCCTTATAAAAGAAACCCCAGAGAGCTCCTTTACTTCTTCTGCCATGTGAGGCACAGCAAAAAGGTGAGAGTCTATGAACCAGGAGGCAGGTCATCACCAGACACCAAATCTTCTGGTATTTTGATTAGGACTTCCCAGCCTCCAGAACTGTAAGACATAGGTTTCTATTGTTTATAAGCCACCCAGTCTATATCACTTGGTATAGCAGCCTGAATGGAATAAGATAGTCAATTGCTACATTTCCCATAAGGTCACCTTGAGAGGAAGTGGCATGATGAAATAAAATAAGCTTTGATATCAAACACAGCAGGATTCAAGTGTCTGCTTTGCTTTCTAACTAGCTATGGTACTTTATACAAGCCACTTAGCCTCTCTGAGCCTCAATCCTCACCTAGAATGAAGGGAAATGAACCCTACCTTAAGGGGCTACAGCAGTATTACCCTCAGGCTGTAGAGCAGTACCTGGCAGAGCACCTAGTACATAGTAAGTACTTGGCAAACACTGGCTCCCTGCCCTAACCTGATCCCCTTGGAAATTAAAAAAAAAAAAATGTTCTTATTCAACCAATTGTGCTAACTCATGTCTTCAGCATGTCTCTGGCAAGGCCCTGGGCCTGCCCATCTGTGGGGTATAGGACTTAAGAGATGACCCCTAATTCTATCCATTGCACAGTGTGATGGGAAGCCTTGGTCCAGAGAACTGAGGAGGAGAACTGGACAGGGCAGAGGCGAGCAGAAAAGATGTGCACATTGCTTTTGCTGTGAGTGAGAAGGTGAAAAATCATTAAGACCAGGCCCTTGAAGAAATCAGGAAAAAGGCAGACAGTTAACTGCCACTGCCAGGTCCTCTCCCACAGCTGGCTCACTGGCCCTTGTCCCCTGGATCTCCATGGGGCAGCCAGCTAGAGGTCAGATCCATATCAGTTCCTGTTAAGAGCAAGGACTATCAGCTATTAACTCAGGGTGTGTCCTTATGCAAGACCCTTTCCCTTTCTGGGCCTAGGTTCTCCCATCCATACAAAAACAGGGAAGGCCTGGGTGACCTCCAGGGGCCCTTTCAGCTCTGACCTTACTAATTCCGAATGATGACTCTACCAGCCTCATCCCAAGGCTAGCTGGCTGCCTACTGCTGCCATCTGGTGGCCCTGCAGGCCCAGCCCCTTGTCGAATACACCCACTTCAGAGGGTGACTCCTGCTTCTGCTTCAGGTGCACACATGCTACACTTCTCTAGACCACAGATCAATGGGTATTCACAGCCAAACACAAAATCCAAATATAATGATAACGCTTCATCTCTCTAGCAGAGATGACACAGCTGCAGCTGAGAACATGACCTCCCTTCTCAAAGACAGAAGGTAACCTGCATAAGATCACAGAGCTGCCTGGTTCCCAGGCCAGTACACGGTTTCACTTTGCCACAATGCTTAGGGCTGGTGGGTACCTGCAAACCAAAAATAAAGTCAGCCTAGAGCCAAGGAACAAAGCTGTTTGAAGGTGGGGAAAAAACTGCCAGGATTCCTCGCAAACCTCAAGAAATAGTAAGGCATGGCACGTGAACAGGCTGAGCACTGCTTGCAGAAATTAACTGGAAATACAAACTTGGGGTATCCAATGTATCTCCCTAATCTTGGAGGTGATCATTCATAAGAACACCTGCAGGGTCTTCCATAAACCAGGCTCCAAGCCACCACCACAGCCTGGATCCTAGACTAGGCAGACCACCAAATAGTGGGGAAGACACCTGGGGTAGCATTGTGTGTTTGTGTGAGCTTCCCCCTGCCAGACAGCAGCTCCTCCGGGCAGGGTTATATCTTTTCTTCTCTATCTCCAGGCCTCTTAACACCTGGCCAGAGGCGCTCAGTGAATGCAAGTATACAAGTAGATCCTTTAGGTTTCTGCACAACATGGGACCTGTCTATTCTTTGTGGACTCAACTGATCATACCCTTGGCTCTGTCTGCAGCCTTCCTTTACAGTGTAGACCCTGAAAAAGCACATTGTGTGACTTTAACTAGGTCGCTTGCTTTTCCAGGCCTCTATCATCGCACATCTGCAGCATACTAGGGTTTTACTGGATGATCTTCGAAGTCCTTTTAATTCTAAAATGCTAGAATTTGAAACCCCCAGGCAAATCAAGACTGATCTTCACCTGCAGACACAGCCGCTAAAAAATGGGAAAGGGGAAAGTAATCAAACAATGCTTCCCTCTAGTGGTTCAGTGCTGTCATTACACCCTACCTGCGCAGAGACCCTGTCACTCAACTTCTACTCCAATTCACCCTGAACTCTGAATGAAAGAAATCAGCCTGCAGCCAGCAGAGCCCAAGTGCAGGGGAGCGGGAGAGAAAAGAAAGAGGCCAGGCTCAAGAAGCCAAAGAGGCCTCTTAGCCAGTTCCACAATAGTGGAGAAATTATCCATCTTTAGGAACAAATATATTTTGCAACTTAAAGGACCTTTTGTGACCTCCAACTCCCCTCTTCAGATGAAGAAACTGAGGCTCAGGGATATTCAGGAGGGACTTACCCAAAGTCACAAAGCTGACTCATGACCGAGCCAAAAATAGATGGCCACTCTCCTGCCTCCTGCTAAAGTATCTTGCCTCTCTTCCATGCAACCTCCGAATTGAGGCCCGTGCAAGTGACTTGTCAAGGACATATATACATGGGAATAGATGGCAAAGGAGCCAGTCTCTTGCACTGAGGGGTAAGTGATCTTATTAACTTTAAAATAGTATTTATAGGAGCTATAATCAAATTGAAAATATTCAAAATTCATCATAGAAAACAAATTCACTCATAATCCCACCTGGCCCATTTCCTTCTAGTCTTTTCTACAGAAACATTCTTTTTTTCTTTCAACAAATTAGAAGTTACAGTATGGTTAATCATTCTTTTCACTTACTATACCACGAGCGTATTCCTGTCATTAAATATCCTTCTAAAACATTCTATTTAATGACAATATAATATTCCAACATATGGCTCTGCCACAATTTGTTTAACCAATCTCTCTTCAATTTTATTTGTTTCCATACCTTTGTTTTTGTCATTATAAATTAGGCTGCAGTAAATGGCATTATACTTAATCTTTGAATACATCCATGACTATTTCTTTAGGCCAGTTTTATTTTTTATAGGATAGAATTTCAGAGCTGGAATGACCCTTAAAGATTATTATGTAAACGTATTGGCCAGATGGAAGAAAGGGACCAGAGAGTTTAGTGTCTTGCCAGAGGACAAAGAGAAAGCAAGAGAAGCAAGTCAAACTCTCCATCTATTAAAATGTGACCTTCCCAAAGCCCAACCACAATTTCACACCCTTCCCTGACCAACTTCACCCACACTGACCTCTCCTTCCCCTGAAATCCTAGAGCCTGCAGTGTCTGGGTCACTCCTTCGGCCCTTGGCCACAATCTTTTTATTCTTCTACTAAATATTTAGTTGCTCATCCAACCACAAGCTTCCTAAAGGTGGTTCTGGATTTTATATTCCCCTGTATTCTGTAGCATAGTACTATATGCATATAGATAAGCATTTCACAAATATCTGCTAAAGGACTAAAGATACCTATGAATTTCCTTCCAATTGCTTGCCGAAATGTAGTATCACTGTCAAAAGCTGGGGAAAGATGTTTCTTTGAAGGGTAAAAGAAGTTTAGCTGATGAGTTAGAGCTCTCTGAGAAACACAAGATCTGGAATTAGAATAGCAGGCTTGGGGACAAAAGATGGGATTCAAGTTTTAGCTCTGCCCTTCTGTGTGAAACAGGGCAATGCCATTAACGAATTAGGGACTCTTGTGTGAAGTAAGGATAATAATACTCATCTTGCCAACTTCATATGAGAACATGGATGTGAAAGTACTTTATAGTAATAAAGGTGGTCCGTGAGAGTTATGATTGCTGTTGTATTCTCATGTAGCTGCTTCTGTGAATCCCAGAATGGCCTCCTGACCCTCGCTTCTCAGGAACCATTTCCCAGTTTCTACTCCACACACATATCCTTAAAGAAATCTATGGCTGCACTCTTCAGGTAAGAATAAGTGTTTTCTTGAAGCAGAACTTCTTTTTTTTTCTCTTTGAGACAGGGCCTCACTCTGTCACCCAGGCTGGACTGCAGTGGCGCAACCTTAGCTTACTGCAACCTCCACCTCCTGGGCTCAAGCCATCCTCCTGCCCCAGCCTCCCAAGTAGCTGGGACCACAGGCACGCACCACCACACCCAGATAATTTTTTTTATATTTTGTTGTAGAGACAGAGTTTTGCCATACTGCCCAGGCTGATCTCAAACTCCTGGGCTCAAGAGATCCACCTGCCTCAGCCTCCCAAAGTGTTGGAATTACAGACGTGAGCCACCATGCCTGGCCAAAGCAGAACTTCTTATACAGAAGGAACTGTCATTCCTGGTTCAGGTCCCTGGATTTGACTAGTTAAGTCGTCCACACTTCCTCATCATCTCTGGAAAGAATGTAACAAGGCAGAAAGAACACTGTACTGAGAGTCATGAGACTTGATTGAGTTCTGGTCCTAGCTCCTTCATTCACTCACTGTGCCTCCCCTATTTAGTCCTCAGTTTTCACATCTCTAAACTGAGGAATTAAGGCCAGATGATCTCTAAGTTTCCATCCATTACTGACATTCTAAGGATTCTAGGATAAAAACTCATGACTTTAATAAGAATAAAAAAGTATCCATTTCAAAACAAGCCTTTGGGCTCAGTTTGACTTTCACTCATGGGGTTTTCAAAATTCTAAAGCACAAGCATCATTAATTCCAAAGCACCTGCTTTAAATAGAGCCCATGAGGTCAGAATCTCCCCAGGCTTGGTTGAAGTTTCATGATATATGGTCCCAAAGAAGATGGAGTAATGTATACTGTCACCCTATTCTGAAAAGGATCTTGGCCCCAAAACAGAAAAATCAGCATTAGGTATATTTATAAACTCAGTTTAGTGTGAATCAATGGCTGGGCTTGAATTTCACTAATGCTTAGACATCAAATGCAATAAAATATTTCTTGGGCTGTGACACTTGAAAGAGTAGCTAACAGCCAGTCCCTTTCATATGTACCATACAATTCCCCTCTTTAGGAAAACAAATAATAAAAAACCTCAATCAAAAGGATATAACCACAAATCAAGAGGACACCGATGGAAGGGAGAAAATTTCACTGGAAAGTAGAACTAGATTTCTAGCTTAAAGTTGCCATAAAGTCACTTTCTCTCTGCTTGGTTTCAGTTTTTTCATTTGCAAAGTGAGGAAGTTGCTTCTTCCATCATTGATTCTCTAAAACTTCTAAGACTCTTTGGCTCTTTAAGGTAACACTGAAGAAAGTAAAGAATGTCAAAGAACTCCCTGTATTTGTTCTCACTTTTTCAATCCATATTCCTTGTAAGACCACAAGGCTACTTTGGGATACTGCATGATTCAGGGAAAGCTTCCAGCACCCCAAAAGCAACTGGATTCTAGACATTCTGACCAACTCCACATTAAGGTTTAGATCTTGTGTAAATAATTCCCTTTGAAATTCTAACACACCGTCAGCAACCAGCACTTGTAACCAGCATTTGTAAGCACTGATCTTTCTGCACTCTTCAGGAGAGTTCTGAATCAACTTGTCACCCATCCAGAGACATTCACATCCAGCCCCACAGAGATATAAAGAGAAGAAATGGAGCATGTGATCTCTAGAGAGCTCAAGAGTTTCCAAAAGAGTAGTGGGAGCTAATGTGTCTTTAAAAGACATATGAGCCAGTCCTGTGCTGGATGCTTTAATACATCATCTCTTTTAATCCTCATATCAGGTCAGCAGTTATTTCCCCACTTTCCTAATAAGGAAATAAGTTCAAAGAAGTTGGGTTTTTTCATTTGTCCAACATGTCTTAAGTAGGCAAAAGCAAGCATGGCTCCTGCCTTCATGGGGCTTACAGTCTAGTGGGAAAGGAAATTAGTCAAAGAATGCTACCAAAAAAGAGCACAAAAGAGAGGTTTACGGTGCTATGAGAACAGAAAAAAAAAAAAGGAGAAATGACTAGTCAGCAATGTCAAGAGAAGTTCTCCCAGATACCTAAGTTAAGGGTTAAGACTTTAAAAAAAAAAAAAAAGGATTTAGCTAAGTCAAACTGAAGAAGAGGTGCATGGATAAGTGGCCAAATAGAGGGAATATCAGGTGCAAAGGCACTATGGTGGGAAATGAATGATGCTTTCAAGGGACCAAGCAAAGGCCAGAGTGCAGATTGGATAGGGATCAAGAACTAGCATGGTGAGAAATGGGACTGGAAAGGTCAGCAGACATCAGATTACATAGGACCTGTAGAACCACTAAGGATTATATTTTCATCATAAGAGCAATGGGAAGCCATATGAATGTAACACAATGGGTTTGAAGAGATCTTTCAACTGAGGTATGAAGAATGGGTTGGAGGGGAGAGGGAGGATATTAGTCATTCTCACACTCCTATAAAGAATACTTAAGACTAGGTAATTGATAAAGAGAAGAGGTTTAATTGGCTTATGGTTCTGTAGGCTGTACAGGAAGCATAGTTCGAGCATTAGCTTCTGGGGAGGCCTCTGGAAGCGTACAATCATGGTGGAAGAGGAAGCGGGAGCTTGGACATCATCTGACAAGAGCAGGCGCAAGGCAGCAAGAGGGAAATGGTACACACTTTTAAACAACCAGATCTCATGAGAACTCACTCACAATGGCAAGGACAGTACCAAGAAGAATGGTACTAAACCATTCATGAGAAATGTACCCCAATGATCCAATCACCTCCCATCAGGCCCCACCTCCAACACTGGGGATTACATTTCAACATGAGATTTGGGTGGGGACACACATCCAAACTATATCAAGGAGTAAATATGGGAAGACCAGAACACCAGTTAAAGGCTACTGCAGGATTTAGTTAAGAGGTGACAGTGGGCTGAACTAGGGTGGTGACAATGGAGACAGAGAGAGGTGGAGCTGCCCACAGTCACACAATCAGTAGGTTAAGAGAGCTAAGATTCAAGCCTTGGTCTATCTGACTTCAAAGCCCAGGTTTTTCTCTACCTTGCCATTTACTTATTCATTCAGCACTTAGTTACTGATCATCTGTTATGTATCAGGCCTGTGCCAGATGCTGGGGATATGGCCATGAACAAAACAGACACTGCTCTCATGTAATTTACAGTCTAGACATTAAACAAATAAGAATACAAAGAGATGTACACAATTACAAATTGGGATGAGTATCCTGAATTTTAATAGGTAATATTACAAATTAGGCCACGAAAATCTTCCAAGTTGTTGATAATATGAAAGAGCCACTTGCCTACTGCATGCAAGTAAAAGACTTTAGAAAACTTTGCTGTCAGAGTTTGATATTGAGTATGGCATCCCTGGCCAGCTCATGAGCTTTCAGGCTAGTAGTCTCAAGGTGGCATTATCCCTGTGGAAACAGAAGTCTTTCTAAAAGCAACTACTAAGTCTTTAATTTACTTACATACCCCAGGCAGCCATCACTTATGTATGCATTTTACAATAGTTGGGATCTTTCACAGATTCGTTCATTTGAACATCATAGCAGCCCTATGTAGAATGCAGGCAGGTTTTAATACCAGACTTCAGAGTTGAGGAAACTGAGGCCTAAACAGGTAAAGTGACTTAATCAAGGTCAACAAACTAGGAAGGCACCCAGATCTGCCATCCAACTCTCATTAAAAGCACCTCCAGCCAGGAAACCATGAATCTCAGATGAGACACCTGCAGGTCACTGAGCCTGGATAAAGTCACCCAGGAGTCCCATGAAGTTCCTGAGAACAATGATCGGGAACATTAAGCAGCTTGGGAAAGGTTTCTAGAATGCAGCACCATGAGCCTGAGACACAGGTACCCTTGCCAACTCTCCCAGATTAGAACAGGTTCTCTTGGACTCTTTCCAAGTGCCTCTGACTAACAGAGAAAAGTATTTTTCCATCACAAACACTGCAGGCAGGCATCAGACAGACTCCTGAGAGGGGAGGGCAGAGAACACATCCCAGATTCCCATACAGACAATCTATAAAGTTATTCTGATACCATGTGAACTGCCTTAGCTAAGCACCTACCACTGGGGATGTCCAGTATTGAGCAGTGTTTCTCAATCTTGACACTATTAACATTTGAAGCTAGATACTTCTTTGTTATAGGAGACTGCCCTTGCATTGTAGGATGTTCAGCAGCATCCCTGGCCTCTACCCATTAGACGCCAATAGTGTCTGTGCATAAACTCTTTTTTAATCAATATCACACAACTAATGCCTCCCAGAATGAGACTGAGAGCAGCCTCTGTGCTGATGTGGCCTGCAAGTTCATTCCAGGAACAATTCACCACCGGAGCTTGTGAAAACAACTACAGTCAAATAACTCCTTGTTCCACTAATGAGCTGCTCCTGACCCTGTGAGGAAATCTTATTCCCATTAATGTGAGTGCTGAGTCTGATTAAATAGAAGCCCTGGGTGTTTCTTCTCAACGACACTGGGCCAGAGCACGGGCCTCCACTGCTGCTAGAAGGAACACAAAATTGGTGAATCATGTAACCGGAAACTCCCATTTACCCAAAATTCAGTACAAAAACCAGGACATTCAAACATCCCAGGTTTAACCATTCTGGCCTTAGGATAAAGGAGAAAGTGGCAATGTACAAAAACAAGCAATCTGAATTAACAAGCTAAGTAAATAGCTGAAACGTTACCAAAAAATCATGCTCTTGAAAGGAGGCAGAAACCTGACGCTGAGCTCCAGAGCAGCTGGGGTGACTCAGACAGTGTCAGAGACATGGGTTCCAACCTCCCACCCCAAGGGCTGGGCTGCTGGCCCAGATGTGGGAATCGCATCAGCTAGAATGCTTCAAAGCTAAAATCAAAGAAGCAACATCTTTATGTCTTTCATTAGTCAACTACCTGACTAGTTAAAGGGTTTACTGACAGACAACCAAATTCACCACCATTTGGTAGTAAGTGTATTTTAATGTACTGCAATTCTTGGAAGACTGACTAACCATGAAATGCCTACCTGTGAACACCCAATCACTCAAGACTACTGCTAATTTCTATGCGACTTTTGCCCTTTGTACTTAGCTGTATTGTTGCACATCTCATACTGGAATGTAGTAAAATTTTATCACAGGTCTATCACCCCTAGTGGACAGTGGACTCCTTAAGGGCAAGATTTACATCTAGTACAAGGCATGGTACATAAAAAGACCCTCACTATTTGTATGATGCATGGATGATAAAGTTTTCCATCTCTATATTCTTAGGCTTACACCTATCTACATATTCTAGTGGGAAGATATGGCCTATGTCTTTTCTCCTCCATTTCCCCAAGGCTTAACACATTGCTCAATAGGTGCCTAATAAACATTAACCTATTTGGTTGGACACCAGAATCCAAAGAGACAAAGAAGCTTTCTGTTCATGAACATCTAAGTCCCAGGAAAGAGGTCAGAAATCCTAGCTATCTACCCTGCCTTGTATGCATTTGTGTATGTGTAGTCTCTTTTAACTATAAAGAGTTTGATGCAGGAAAATGAGTAAATTCTTTGATAGGCATTGGAGATACAGAAGTGAGCAAGACTAATCTGGTGGCTTCCTTCACAGAGCTCATTATCTGAAACAAAAGAGAGATATCAACAATTACAAACATACAAAACCCAGCTACTATGCTCAGTGAGTCTCTTTAGGAAAAGGTTCTGTAGATAAGCCCAATCTTCAAGCAATCTGAATCTCTTTGAGGAAAGTGACGACCTTCCTCCTAATGAATGACACACTTTGCTTAGAGCATCCTCTAAAGCGGTAATATGGAAAGTTTATTATACACCTTTGTTATACAGGCCTCTATTGCAAAATGATCATGAAATGTTTTAAAAGACCAATTAAAAGCATCATAGGTATGACTGCTCATAAGTCTACATTTGTGTATAGAAATGCGTAGTATATGTGACTTACCAAGGATAGCTGAAGCTGACCTGAAAACCTGCAAAAGCCAGAAACTTCTGAAATAAGAGTCACTAGATATTTGGGAGTCTAGAGATGTGTGTGTAGCTAGCAAGCAGGACAGGAGTAGGCAAGGGAACTCCTGAGAACCCCTGAAGCTCAGAATACTTTGACATGATAACAGATCTTGGGAATTTCAAATTGGCTGGGGAACTCTGTGAAATCAACAGGCAGGAAGGCAGGGATGAATAGAGGCCATGAAAAAACAAAATCTGAGGACAAAGTTAACAATATGAAGGCCAGGAAAGTAGAACTGCCCTAAGGGAAAGATGAGAAATAAACGAAGATTCAAGAAAAGATGAAGATGCCAAAAGCTGTATGGCATGATGTGGTAACATCTGAGGGAATATATGAGATGTCTGAACCAATACACATAGTTTATTAGGTCAACAAAAGTTTAAATCAGAATTCCATGCCAGCTATGAATCAAAATAATGTTCCTACCTCAATCTTTAGATATTTATCTTTCACTTAACATTTTCTGATGCTTTTAATTTAGACTTAGACATGCAAATAGCTATGACAAAGTAAGAACTTCCCAACAAGCTGGACAAATTTCTGGATGACGCTTGCTGCAATGGATCCCTTCTCAAAACCTCATGGGCTCTTAGGACCGGAAGGAGTTAACTTAACCCAGGCTTGCCCTTTTGGGTACAAACCTGTGACTCTGAGAGGAAAAGCCACATATCTGGCTGGTGGCAGAACTAGATCCCAGTATCCCCATCTCTGATCTTTAAGCTTTCATCAGTAAAAAGGCTTAACCCCAAGCACTCATGGCTGCTTAGACAGCTGTCCCCCAGCTGCTCTTACCAACCGTAAGTTCTCTGCTACTGTCTCACCTGTCTGAGCAACCAGGTGTGTCCATCCACTCCAGATGGCAGTGACCTTTTCATTCTGGAAACAATGTGCTTCTATTTTCTGGGGCACAGGAAGGAAAGCAGCCTCATTAGCCAGTTGCCCATGCTTGTTGCTTCCCCAAACATACACCTCTCCTGCATCTTAAACAAACAGAAGGGTAACAAAAGAGGTGAGGGAACATTAGTCCAAAATGATGGAAAATAACAGAAGTCTAAAAAATAAGTGGTTAAAAGAAGTTGTTTTATACTTAGACTACAAGGTTGAGTGGAGCCAAGCAGGTTACAAAATTTGTGTACACCATAATAACTTATTACAAGATTTTCAAAAATTCTATACATAAAAAACAAGGCCAAATGTTCTTAGTAGCTTAAGAAATAAAAATGTGTGGTTTTCTCTTCACTTTTTCATTCAACAAATATTTATGCAACATCTACCATGTGTATGAGACACATTTCTCTATTTTCTACGTTTTTAAAATATATGCCTATACCTTTTGTATGAAAAAAATGCTTTAAATTTTCAAAATAACAGGTTAAAAGATACATTATTTAAGCTTAAATTTTTTAAACATAAGATTATTTCACTGCATGCCCTGTCCAGCAGAAAATATAATGCTATAGAATCGCATCTGGATAGCACTTCAGTTTGTTTTAACCTCACAATAATCCTGTGATATAAGCAGGAAAGTGACTGACTGACATTGTGATTTAACAGAAAGAGAACAAATTCAGAGTCAAGTGACTCTGGCTTCTATTCCTGGATCTGCTAACTAGCTATTGACCTTGGACAAATCACTTCCTCTCTAAGACTTAGTTTCACCAGCTGAAAATTGGAAGGGAAGGCTGTTGGTCTAGAAGGGCAGACAATATGACTGATGACACTGGTAACAAGAATGACTGGCAGGTGACTGTGGCAAGCCAGAGAGTACGTGCCTATCTAAAAGGCATTCACATTCAAAAATATTTTGTAAATGAAAGCCATACAAAATGAGGCCATGGGCAATAATTTAGCCTATGGCTTGTCAATTTGTGACTCCTCAGCTTTTCCAACCCTTATAATCTAAGGATCTACAGCTGTACTACCCAATACAGTAGTTCACCACCTACATGTGGCTATTAAACACTTGAAATGTGGCTAGCCCAAACTGAGATACATTGTAAGTGAAATGCTACTCTCTCACACAATGGACTGCAAAGACTTAGTGCAAAAAAGAGTGTGGCTCCTTATAATTTGATATGGGTTACATGTTGAAATAATATTTTGGATATACTGGGTTAAGTAGATATATTATTAAAATTAATCCCACCTGTTTCTTTTTACTTTTTGAACTATGGCTCATATTATATTTCTATTAGCACTGTTCTAGAAGATAAATTAATCAAGGCTGGAAGATATTAAATTACTTTTCAGGATCACATGGCTAATAAGGAGTCAAATAGGGACTAGAAGCCAGGTCTTCTGCTTTCACTGCATTTTGTAGCTTCCCAATAAAACTTGATAGTATTGCTTGCCCTAGGGCAGTCTAGTATATTCCAAAAAACTGACAGAAAGTCAAACAGTATCATTAAGGGGCTTCAGACTAAGGTTCAGAAGTCTCCAGTTCAAGTTCCATCTGTTACCCGATCACTGTTTGACACTGGGCACATCACTTCACATTCTAGGTCTGTTTCCTCAACTCCAAAATGAGGGAGTATAAATCAGTGAAACCTTTTTGTCACTGGGGTGACCCTGCAACATTGACATTCTGCAGTTCTATGAAGTGAATTTGGTGTATTCCATTCCCAGAGAGAGGTCAACCTCCTGGACTTCATCAGGGTGTGCAAAGTATGAAGATCTCTTACAAGATAGCAAAGAAGCCCCCTCAGCAAAGTATCAATCCATTAAGTGGACTGCTGAGCTACAAAGATGCCACTGACGATGAAGCCTGTGTAAACAACTTCACTTATCTTAGTAGCTCTAAACCATCTTTTTGAAAGTCAAACTGTCTTCCAGATGAGGATCATTATGCTGTTGCCTCAGCAGGTAAAATTAAATTCTGCTGCAATGCCAAATAGTTATATAATCTACAACCACTCCAGAGAAAGTGTCTAAAGAGCATTGAACAAAATCCAATGTGTAACAGCTTGAACTAGATGAAGAAAGAGAGGGCTATTAATCTTTTTTTTTTT
This sequence comes from Homo sapiens, assembly GCF_000001405.40. NCBI lineage: Eukaryota > Metazoa > Chordata > Mammalia > Primates > Hominidae > Homo > Homo sapiens. The sequence goes on from NC_000011.10 coordinate 17,990,784, forward strand.
TGAGACGGAGTCTTGCTCTGTCACCCAGGCTGGAGTACAGTGGTGTGATCTCGGCTCACTGCAACCTCCGTCACCCGGGTTCATGCAATTCTCCTGCCTCAGCCTCCCAAGTAGCTGGGATTACAGGCACGTGCCACCACACCCAGCTAATTTTGAATTTTTTGGTAGAAATGGGGTTTCTACAAAAAAACTCCATTTTTTAGTAGACCAGTGGCCAGGCTGGTCTTGAACTCCTGACCTCAAGTATTCCATCTGCCTCAGCCTCCAAAGTGCTGGGATTACAGGTGTGAGCCACAGTGTCCAGCAGGGCTATTAATCTCCATAATCTTTAGCTCATTTTCAAAATATCAAAAACCATTTCACTTTGTGAATATATTAAAAATTACTAAATTGTATACTTTAAATGAAACTTAAGTTCTTTGTATACTTTAAAAGAAATTTAATTTCTTATATTTAAAATACATCTTAATTAAAATATTCAACATTTATATATAAATAACACCATAATAAAAGTGCCCTACATATGAAATAACAAATTTACTACCAACAAGAATTTTTAAGAAGTTGAAGTTGGCAAACAATTAGACAAGCTCTAGGTTTACATACCATCAGTCATTTCAAATTAATTAGAACAAAACAGAAACACCTCGTAGTCTACTTTTATTCTCAGAAAAGAATGCCTTCTCCATCCCTCATTGACTGTGGGGCACGAACACATCACTTCTCACCCTAAGGTCTCTAGTCCTTCTTCTGTAAAAGGAAGGGAGGAACTGGATACCCACTGGAGTCCCTTATAGTTGGCATTCATTTCAACTCAACACTTTTAACAAATATTAATATATAAATCTACCTAATGTGAGACACAAGTTAAAAGTAGGTGCTTTTTTATTAGATGTTTGTTTTAAATTCATTAAATGACAAATTATCTGCAGCTCAGAATTTGCAAAGCATTTAAACTTTCATATTATGGCTCCCGTGCTCTTGAAATAACAACTTCTCAGCTGGGCTGCATTGCAAATTTGATGTCGAAGAATGCATACCACCATTAATTTACATATATTATGGGCACACCTGAATTTCCACATAAAACACTAAGTACGGAAGTCCCTCCTCTTTGCTTAAAAAATAGAATACATTCAACTCTGTGAGAGGTCTTACCAAACAAAATATTATAAATCTCTCAGATGTATAGTCTCCAGTCTACCAGCAGGGGTCAGGGCAATGTGGGCCAAAGAGAAGGGATTACTGTCACTTTCAAGAAAATGCTGCATTGCCTTGGAAGGAAAAGTCACTAGACAGTTTATACTGTATTGGCTCGGTGTTTCAAATGGAAGGATGAATGCGCAGCCAAAGAGAGAGATATAGTGTAGGATAAAAAAACAGTTAAGACAGAAAAACAGATAGATCAAAGAGATGAAGTAGATAAATTAGAGAAACATATAACAATATAAAATATTTACAAAACTACATATCTAGAGTTAGATATATAGACACACAGATTAGATATTACAAAGATTAAAGATAAATAGATACATAGGTAAACAGAGTAGATAGATACACAAATGGAGACTGATAAATGGATTAGAAAGATATAGATGGATAAAACAGGTTACTTTGAGATTAGACAACTAGAGAGTATACACAGGTAGAGAGCTTAGACAGTTACAATACACACCAAAATAGATTAGATGGATAAGAGAGCAGCTTCTACCCTCATAATCGTAGGTATATCAGAAAACTACAAAGAATTCATAATTATATTACACTGTGTTATCCATATATGTTATATATAAATTTACTGTTGATTACATGATTTGACAACCACCATTACCCTGAGAGGAAGACATTATTATCCTTATTGTATAGTTAAGAAAGCAAACTCAGACGAAATGGAAGTGAGCCTATGTCTGCTATTCATGATTTATATGTATTATATTTAATTCTCGTAACTGCCCACAAAGTCTTTTACAGACAAGAAGATGGTCTCAGAAAGGAAAAGTAATTTGCCTAAGAGCATACCAGTGGTAGCATCAGAATTCTAGCTCCAAAGTCTATGACATTCCCTCTGTATTTCAATATCACCACTTCAGGCAGTCACATACAGAATCCTGAATGGCATGTTAAACCGTGAAAGAGCTGGTACCTACCTGTTAATGAAGCTGAGTGGTCTGAGCCAGCAAGAACACACATTGCTTTAGAATTCTCTAGACCTACAAAAGAAAAAATGTTCTTCTGAATTACATTTATAACAGAACAAACTGGGCAGAGAGGGGGCACTCAGCCAGTACCACCTGGGCGTGGGAGAGACTCAGCCAGTGCAGGCAGGCCTGAGTCAGCAGCACTGGCCAAGAAGATGGCTGGCATTGTAGGGAGCCTGGTAACATGCCAGGAGATTGAACAATCAAGTAAATACATTCAGGATAAAGGAGCCAGATTCATCACTATCAAAGAGGGGAGGAAAGGTATAGATATGAAAAGGGGAAAGGCTATAATCAACCGTGTAATATTGGATAGTAATTGGAAAAATCAGTGTAAATTCATGATTTCTAGTAGAGACAGATAAATAGACATAGGTGTGTGTATGTAAAAATGTGTGTGCATGTGTGTGTGTCTGTGTGTCTATTTCCTAACTCCAGCAGTTGAGTGGGTCTAGAGCAATGACATCTCATACACTCAGCTGTTATCAAACGCAGGCACTTAAATAACCCCAAGCCTCCTAAGAATACACAATCAGAACCAGATTCTGAACTGGGCTTCTTTCTCCAAATTCAGCACTTTTCCTTCCTTAATTACACTGCTAAAAGTGGAGCTAGCCTGTGATGACATGCAGTCTAGCATGCAGATAGACGCAGACTTATTCTGTAACTTTTTTTTCTGACACTTCTTTTTAATTAATAACTGTTGTAATAAAATGGCCCTCACACCTTCAAGTGTCCTCTGGAATGATAACAGGACAAAGCAGATGTTTTCACCCATGTTCACCAGAGAGGAAGTACTGGGCCCCTAATGGCCAGGTGAGGAGGGAACAGCCCGGGTTCCAGCTCCAGAACTTTTGGCAATGAGGTGAGAACGGGAGGACGAAAAGTGAAAGACTTTGAGGACTGGAAGCTGATGATCCATTCTAATGTCTCATCAGGGAACTCCCCCAAAACCAACTCTGAATGTAAGCTGTGCCCCACCCAAACAGATGCCAAACAGGTTGTTTAAATGAAATAAAATAAAAAACATTTTTTCCCTCTAATAACAGGTCCTGTGCTAAAATATAGAGCAAAATGACACACCGCTTCCACCCTTTAAAAGTTCATAATCTTCAGCATATGAGAAAACATACAGACAATTCATAATAACAGTATACTGTGCTATCCATGCATGTGAAGTTAATGCAGTGAACACTAGAAAAGAAAAGGTCTTTACTGAGAAAGGTGTATCTGAGCTAGGTCTAGCACTTTGGGAGGCCGAGACGGGTGGATGACGAGGTCAGGAGATCGAGACCATCCTGGTTAACACGGTGAAAACCCTGTCTCTACTAAAAATACAAAAAAATTAGCCAGGCGTGGTGGCAGGCGCCAGTAGTCCCAGCTACTCGGGAGGCTGAGGCAGGAGGATGGCGTGAACCCGGGAGGCGGACCTAGCAGTGAGCTGAGATCGCGCCACTGCACTCCAGCCTGGGCGACAGAGTGAGACTCTGTCTCAAAAAAAAAAAAAAAAAAAAAAAATTCTTAGAATTTTTCCCAGAGGGAACACAAAGGAAAAGGCATTTCGGGCAGAGGTAACAGTTTTCCCATAAGCACAGAGAAATGAGAAGGCAGGATATGCCTGGGGAGAAGTGAATACCTTGATGAAGAAGACAAAAATGTTTGAGAAGTCCAAGTTTACATTATACATGTTTCTAATGTCATGTGAAGTGGACTACCTGTCCCACATCCAATGCTCCTTCTCCTTTCTAAGAGGACCTTCCCCAGCTCAACCCATGGGTTTCAGGGAAGCTAAGCCCACCCCTAGCTGAAAGAGAACACCTCCAGGACTTAGAAAAATTAGAATGATCTCAACACCCAATTACATCACTCCCACTGCAACCCACCCTTTCCTATTCTTCCCCCACCCCTTCCCACCATCCTCAAAAATCCCTGATTTGTTCCAGGCAACAGAAGAAGTAGTTACAAGTCTCCTATACAAGTTTTTCCTACAGCCAAGCCTGGGTAAACTCGGTCACAAAGTAGAAGAGTGAGAAAGCAGAAAAGGGAGAAGAGGAGGAAATGGAGACATGGTGCTGTATACAGAGGGAGAAAGGCCCACAAGGAGAGCAGAGAGAGAGAAAGAAAGAGAGAGAGAGACAGGGGAAGAAGGGTGGGGGGAAGAAAAGGAAGGAGAAAATACAGACCAAATGACCAACAGACCTTTGGGCAGAACACATATTACCTACTCCTCGTATTTTCGCGTAGAGAGATTTCCCTGTGGGAACACTCCTGGCCCCTCTGTCTACATCCTCACTCACTCCTGCTTCCTTTTTGGGAGAAGGAACTGGCCATGCAAGGCATGGTCCTCCTGGGTTCCCTCTTTGGGGTGTGCCTGCCTGAAGAGAGGGTACATCCTCATGTCCTCTTGGTCAGGCGTTAAGTTTAGTAGGGCCAACTCTATACAAGTACCCCGGTGCTTGGTGGGTAAATTCAATCTGAGTTTCAGAATTAGGGGTTTGAAGACAATATATAGTCATAGTGAGCCTCTAATCATGTCTTCCAACCTAGCTTTTAACAGTTCTAGAGTTACCATTTCAATCTCCACCTACCTGACTTGCATCTATGCCTCAATCGGTTCCAAACTCTGGCAGCAAAGAGGGTTGCTTCTACTGGGCCAACAAACAATGCCAGCAAGACTAACAGACCAACTAATAGAGAAAGTTAGAGAGACCAAGAAATAGCAAAATCAAAAATCCATTTAATCCTCTTCTGCATGTTTATGTCTCTACTTCCTGACAAAGAACAAATATAGGACTAAAGAAAGAAGCATCTTACCTGTCACTCTGCTTGGTTCCTTTGCTGTGAAAAACAATGGAAGAGTCTGCCCAGGGCACAACCGTCGTCCACATGATGCCAAACCAGTCCCCCACTGGAACACGATGCCACTCGCTTCCCAACAGAATGGAAGAGAAAGCAGAGAAGATGCACATCAGGATAAGACTAGATTGCTCTTTGAACCTCACTGCTATGAGAAATTCCCAATTCTTTCTCAGTTAATATGAGTGTTATGGAGAAGCTCAATTGCTTCAAGAGGTCCTGTAACTGGCCCAGGGATTACCACCAAGCCAATCACAAATCCAGTCTTCAGGACAGACTAAGACCATCAAAGCAAATTCCAATATCACATAACTTCCTACAAAAAGTTCCAGGACACTCCTTCAGAGTCAAATCAGTGGAATGACACCTTATTCATGATTAACCTGAAAAGACAACTCAGATCCCAGACAAAGCAGAAAAGAACCTTGAAGATCATCAAATCCATTCCTCACATTCAGTAGATGAGAAAACTGAGGCCCTGAAGAGAGGATGCGATTTGTCTCCTCAGGCAGGAAGGTAACAGCAGAGAAAATGCCAGGACTCAGCTTTCCTAACACCTAATGTAGTGCCCTTTCCACGACACCAAGATGAATTCAAAGATTCCTAATTGCCAAGTAAATACATATTTATGACTGCAAGATAGCTTCTTAATAGCCATGATTTCAGCGGAATGGCCTTTTACTTTCATGCCCACTGAATCTAATTCATGTACCTATGTTCTGAACCTCATACAAATGCAAATATGAAATTCTAGATATTTGATCTACACTCAGGTGTGTGAAACTAGGATCCATCACCCAACAGCAACATTAAGGTTCTGCTCCTTTGGGAGTATCCTATAAACAGCAGTCCTTTTTAAGGCTATAAACAGACAAGCCTGTTTTGTGAAAAATAAGCTATGACCACTGAGCACAATGTGAGCAAAGCACAGTGTTGAAATAAAAACTTACAATCTCTTCAACAAATTGACTTCGAGAGGAAAAAAAAAAAGAGGAAAAACTTTATAAGAGACTTCAGATAGCTGACAGGAGATGAATATCCAGAATATATAAAGAACTCCAAAAACTCAACAACCAAAAGAAACAACTCAGTTAAAAAATGGGCAAAGATGTAATCCCAGCATTTTGGGAGGCTGACATGGGAGGATTGCTTGAGCCCAGAGTTTGAGAAAAGCCTGGGCAATATAGTGAGATCTCATTTCTACAAAAAATTTAAAAATTAGCCAAGCATGGTGGTGTACACCTGCAGTCCCAGCTGCCTGAGGTGGGAAGATCACTTGCGCCTGGGTGGTGGAGGCTGCAGTGAGCCAAGATCACGCCACTGCACTCTAGCCTGGGCAACAGAATGAGACACTGTCTCAACAAAAAAAGCGAGGGAGGAGGGTGCAGTGCAAAGGATTTGAATAGACATTTCTCCAAGAAGATATACAAGTGTCCAGTAAAAACATGAAAAGATGCTAACATTGCTAACCATCAGGGAAATGAAAACAGATATCACCTCATACACATTTTGATGCTACTATTTTTAAAAACCAGAAAATAACAAGTGTTGGTGAGTTTTTGGAAAAATTGGAACCTCGTGCACTCCTGGTGGAAACAAAATGGTACAACCTCTGTGGCAAATAGTATGGTAGTTCCTCAGAAAATTAAAAATAGAATTACCATATGAACTAATAATTTCACTTCTGGGTACACATCCAAAAGAATTGAAAGCAGGATCTTGAAGAGATATTTGTACACCCATGTTCATAGCAGCATTATTCACAATAGCTAAAACATGGAAGCAACTCAAATGTCCATTGACAGATGAATGGTAAGCAAAACGTGATATATCCATACAATGGATATTATCCACTTTAAAAAGTATCTAAACGCCGATATATCCTACTCCATGGATGAACCTTGAGGACATCATGCTAAGTGAAATATACGCCAGTCACAAAAAAGACAAATACTGTATGATTCCACTTAGATGAGAGACTTACAGTAGTCAAAAGTATAGATACAGAAAGTAGAATAGTGATTGCCATGGGCCAGTGGAATGGGGAATGGGGAGTTATTGTTTAATGGGTATAGAGTTTCAATTTTGCAAGACAAAATGTTCTGGAGATGGATGGTGGTGGTGATTGCATAATGATATGAATGTACTTATACACTTAAAAATGGTTAAGATAATAAACTGTAAACTACGTATATTTTACCATGATAAAATTAAGAAAAAAATAATTTTTTAAAAAAAGAAAGAAAGACTTGTGATACATATCAACTAATTACAATATGTAGACCTCATTCAGGCTGGGCACAGAGGCTCACACCTGTAATCCCAACACTTTGGGAGGAGAAGGCAGGAAGACTGTCAGAGGCTGAGAGTTCAAGACAAGCCTGGGCAACATACCAAGACCCCATCTCTACAAGAATAAAAATTTTAAAATTAGCTGAGTGTGGTGGCACATATCTGTAGTCCCAGCTACTTGGAAGGCAGAACCTAGAGGATCGCTTGAGCCCAGAAGTTTGAGGTCGCAGTGAACCATGAACACACCACTGTACCCCAGCCTGGACAACAGGGGGGGACCCTATCTTAAAAATACATACATACATACATACATATATATATATATATATATATATATATATATATATATATATATATATGCATGTGTGAGTGTGTGTGTTATATATATATATGTTTATATGTGTGTGTGTGTGTGTGTATGTGTATGTGTGTATTTATATACAGTCATGGGAAGAACTGTATCCCCCTAAAATTCAGATGTTGAAATTGTTGAAACCCTAATGCCCACTGTAACTAGATTTGCAGATAGGGGCTATGGAATGCAATAAAAGTTAAAGGGGGTCATATGTGTAGGGTCTTAATCTAATAGGACTGGTGTCCTTATAAAAAGGAAGAGACATCAGAAATCTCTCCCTCTCCACAGGCACACCCAAAAAAGGCCATGCAAGAACCGAGCAAGAAGGTGGTCACCTACAGGCCAGGAAAAAAAAAAAAACTCACGAGAAACCAATCCTGACAACACAATAATCTTAATACTTTTAGCCTCCAGAATGGTGAGAAAATAAATGTCTGTTCTTTCAGCCTCCTAGTTTGTGGTATTTTGTTACGGCAGCCCTAACAGATTAGTACTGTGGTACATCCATACCATCAAATACTACTCAGCAATGAAAAGGAATGAATTACTGATATACACAACTTGGATGAATGTCTACGGAATTATGTTGAATGAAAAAAGCCAACCTCAAAAGGTTATATACTGTATGATACCATTTATAGAACATTTTTGAAATGACAACATCATAGAGATGGAGAACAGAAGAGTGCTTAGCCTAGGGCTAAGAAGTGGTTATAGGCAGGTAGAAATGGGTGTGGCTATAGAAAGGCAACAGGAAGGATTCCTGTGGTAATGGAACTGTTCTATATCTTGACTGTATCAATGTTAATATCCTCATTATGTTATTGTACTATAGTTTTGCAAGATACCATTAGGGGAAACCGGGAGAGAACACACAGGGTCTGTTTTATTTTTGCAGCTGCATGTGCATCTGCAATTATCTCAAAATAAAAAGTTGAATTTTTTTTGAAGTATAATCAATGCTAAGCCCAGGACTATCAGCACAGTCCTGCATTGAGCTCTTCCTCACCTCCTCTCTCCTTCCTCCACTCCACAAGTGGACTCACGAAGCACCTGAGCCTCAGCTGCCACAGCCAATTAGTGCTGTCCTTCAGTTCAAAAGGAGTAAGAGCAGAAAAAATGAAAAGGGGAGAGATAAAAGGGTCACCATTCTCCCACACGCCACCTCCCTGTCCCCCTCACACACAGACTGTCAGTCCCATCACCCACTCACAGTACAGGAGACAAGCTCACTTAAAGCTTTTAAATTAATAAACAATAAAATCCATTAGGAAGGCTGTGCAGTTCCCTGCAAAAAATATGAGCCTTAGGATCCAAACCATCCCAGGCTCTGATCCAAGCTCTACGTTACTCCCTGTATAAGCTTACACAAGCACTTTAACTCTGTGCCTCAGTTTCTTCACATGTAAAATGTAACTCGCATCACTTCCTGGTTGTGAGGATTAAATAAAGTAATCAAATAAATAGCACCTAGCATCATACCTAGAACACAAAGAGCTAGAAAACTTCATTTCCTTCCTCTCTACCTGCTAATGTCTTTCCTACATGACTTCTGCCTTATGTTCTCTCCTTTTCATCAGAACCACAATGCAGCAGGACCCTTTGAAATATTTCCTAAATGGTTTTTCTCCTAAAGTTAAGTTTCCTCTTATTACAGACCTATTTTAAAAGGCGGAGGGCAGGCTGGGCACAGTGGCTCACACTTGTAATCCCAGTACTTTGGAAGGCCAAGGCGGGAGGATTGCTTGAGGCCAGAAATTCAAGACCAGCCTGGGCAACATAGCGAGACCCTGTCTCTACAAAAAATCTTAAAAATTAGCAGGGCATGGTGGCATGCACCTATAGTTCTAGCTACTCAGGAGGCTGAGGCAGTTAGACAGCTTGGGCTCAGGAGTTCAAGGCTACAGCAAGCTATGATCGAGCCACTGCACTCCAGCCTGGGCAACAGAGTGAGACCCCATCTCTAAAAAGTATTAAAAATAAAAATAAAAAAATAAAGATAAGATGATCACCTGTAGCAGCTACTGCATGCCTCAGTCCAGCAGCAATACAAACAACCTTCTCTTTATGGAGCTGTCAAAATAAAGAAAAGGATTTAGATCTCAGAACCATCCATCTACAAAATTTTATGTAATTTATACCAAATACAATGCAGTACGGTCCTCATTATGGGTCTGACTGGTTTAAAGCAACCACTCCCCCCAATATTTCCACCCATTAATACCTCTACATTTATCCCTAAAAGAAAAAAATATATCTTTTAAAATACCATATCACAATACCATATGACAACAACTCTCAGGGCTGGGAGGCACTTCTAAGGTCATCTAGTCCAAGAGTTAGTAAATGTTTTCTGTAAAGGGACAGTTAGTAAATGTTTTACAGGCCACAGTTTCTGTCACACTACTCAGCTGTGCCATTGTAACATAAAAGCAGCTCTAGACTATACATAAATGAATGAGCATGACTGTGTGCCAGTAAGACTTTATTTACCAAGGGCTCAAAGTTTCCCAACATGATCTAGTCCAATCTCCATCCAACAACACCCCACCAAGTGGTCATCCAACTCCTGCCAAACACCTACCCCCAGTGACATAGGGATCGCCATTTCCCCAGGTGCCTGTTCCATTTTTGCACAGTTCCATTTATCTCTTTAGGTGGAACCAAACCTATCTGCCTGCAGCTTCTGACAATGCTTTCCAAATATTTGAAGACAGTTGTCATGTCCTCTCTAAGACATCTTGTAGTGGTTTTAAAAATAGGTCCTCAAATTCTTGCTACTCCTCCCTTCAAGATGTGGAGCTTAATACCCCTCCCCTTGTGTGGGCTGGACTTAGTGACATGCTTTTAATAAAGAGAATAAAGCAGCAATGAGTGACTCAGAGTCTAGGCGAAAAAAGGCACTAAGGCTTCCTGCTTAGCATCTCTCCCTCTCTCTCTCATCACTCCTGGGGGAAACCAGATGCTATGTCTGAAAAGTCCAATAGAAAGGTCCACATGGCAAGGAACATGAAACCATTAGGGCTTTACCACATTTGTTTATTTACAGGTCCACGGAGATTGCAAGCAGACCCAGCTAACATCTCAACTGTAACTTCATGAGAGACCAGCTAAGCTGTTCCTAAATTCCTGACTCTCCGAAACTGTGACATAATAAATGTTTGCTGTTTTAAGCTGCTAAGGTTTGCAGTAATTTGTTACACAGCAATAGATAACTAATGAAGATCTTTTCTTCAAAGCAAATATCCCCCATTCATCAGCCATCACTGGATTTCAAATTCCCTTCCCCTCCTGGTCTTCACTTCTCTAAATATGCTCTAGTTGTTCAATCTTTCTCTTTTAAAGGAACTCTATAGCATAATCATAACCCCATTAAGGCTTACCACATTTGTTTATTTACAGGTCCACAGTGTCTTTCTAAACTTTAGGACCCTCAAGGGCAGGACCTGAGTCTTATATACCTTTATGCCCAGGGCCTAAGCACCAAATCCACAACAAAACACAACATCCCAGATGCAGGCTGAACAGCAGAAAGGGCTGAGCTTTGGCCTTCCTTCTTCTGGAAACTATACTTCTGTCAATGGAGTCCACAATCACATTAGCTTACGAGAAGATCAAATCTTAGCGTTAATACAATTTGAACATATTGTCCTTTATATTTTTCTTTTGTTTTTCCCCAAAAAACTAACTGAAGGGCTTTACATGTGACTTCAGTCTCTTTAACACCACTCACCTCCACCTCTTACTCTCCATCCCAACTGTTGCTGCTTTAGTTTGAGCCACAATTGTTTCATTTGGATTGTTAGCAAGAGTTTCCTCAGTAACCTTCCTTCAATCCATCTTCCTATCTGACCTCCCTACCATGTTGTTCTTACCATGTGTCACATACAACCACCCTGATTGCCCCATTCCCACCCACTCTACCCTGGAACTTCCACCTCTTCCTTATATTCCAACCATACTAAACTACTTACGATATCCCAAACTCTCCTGTTTCATTCCGTTGCACCTTTGCTTACATGGTTCCTTCTGCCTAGAATGTTCTTCTTTTGCACCCACTCTGAGCATCCTCCTATCCCAAGACGGGTAAACCTCTATTTAACTTTTGAGACCTAGCTTAAGCCTCTTCTCACCCCACCTTCCCCCAGATGCTCAAAACTCCCTCCTTTGGGGATATACATGCATCTGTCATAGTTCTGACATGGTATTACATTTAAGTATTTATGTGCCTATCATGTCCTACCAAACTATAAAACTCTCAACTGCTAGGACAGGTCTTATTCAACTTTGCTCCCACTGCCTAAACATAGTACCTACACATAATGGTTGTCATTAAATAAATGAATGAATTTCTATTAAATTTCTCTTTGGCACATTGCTCCTATTGTTGCATAGAATGTCACCTGTCAAAATGTTTTTACTCTCTGATTCTGTCAACCAACATATTTTAACCATTGTTCCTCTATTCCTTAATTATATAAAGTATAATTAAGCTAAATTAATTATAACTTATATGTAGGTGCTTACAAGGCCATCTATTTGCAATTGGGAGCTATAATACTTCCTTCAGGGACTACAGAGCCTAGACTTTGTGCATACCATGGGAACCATGACCCGAAATAACAGTCCACAGACCAACAACTGAGTTCAGCAAGCTGGCAGGGGCAGACCCAAGCTTTCTCTAGGGAAAAAACATCTCCCACTATTAATCAGAGTTTAGGGAAATTAGATCGGAGTGGGACAGCTTAGGTGGTAAAACTCATTTTTGATTCAAGCATATTTCTTTAAAAATTCTATATTCCTATTATGATCACTTACAATATAAACTTCACAAAAAGGGGTGATTTTAAGTATGATGCACTGAAGTAAAGAGCTCTGAACTAGAGCCAAGAGTCCTGTTTAACACTTGTTTTGTCCAATATGGTAGCCACTACCTACACATAGCTCTTGAAAACTTGAAATGTGATTACACTAAACTGAGACATATTGTAAGTAAAAAATGCATACCAGAGTTCAAAGACTTAGTACAAAATCAGTATAAAATACCTTGTTAATAATTTTTATACTGAATTAGCTGGGAATGGTGCCAGGCACCTGTAATCCCAGCTACTCGGGAGGCCGAGGCAGGGAACTGCTTGAACCTGGGAGGCGGAGGTTGCAGTGAGCCGGGATCGCGCCACTGCACTCCAGCCTGGGCAACAGAGTGAGACTCCATCTCAAAAATAAAAATAAAAACAAAAAATAACTTTATACTGATGACATGCTGAAATAACAGGCAAATCTATAGAGACAAAAAGTAGATTAGTACTCACCAGGGGCTGAGGGGAAGGGAGAATAGGAATTGACTGCTATTAAGTACATAGTTTCTTTTGGTGGTAATGAAAATGTTCTAAAATAAGATAATGATATTGGTTGCTCATCTCTGTGGATATACATTTTAAAGGGGTTAATTTTATGGTATGTGAATTACAGCTCAATAATGCTGTTATTTTAAAAATTACTTTCACCTGTTTCTTTTTTAAATAGGGCTACTAGAAAATTTTAAATTACATATGGCTCACATTATATTTCTACTGGCTAGCACTGGCCTATACCATTTGCCTAGCTTAGTGTCTTTCGACAAATCACTTCTATCTGGACCTATTTCTAACATAATTTCCATTATTACTAATTTTAGAACTGTAAAATGTCATCAATATCCTTATGAGATGTATTACTCTTATTGTTTTATTTCACAAAACTTCATATGAAGTGTATGAAAACTAACAGAGGTTTTCATTCACAACGTTTACCTCCCAACTTAATTTTTCCCAGAAGGACCTATTTTTCAACTCAAATTCTCCTACTCCATGGGTTCTCAGGGATCCTGACAGCCTTTTATTCTGGGGAGAGATAGGTTAATACCTTGGAAACACTTTAACAGGTCATGGGCAAGCTAAATATTAACTGTCCTCACCTCAATGGCCTGGGGAACCACACATCTTCGAGGTCCATGAGGAACTCCTAACTGGCCAAAGGAGTTGGATCCACATGATAGAACTTGACCATTTTCTGCAAAATACAAATACTTAAATTGCAAATCTATGAAGTAAGATGTCTGTGACCAATGGGTAAATGCTGCAGGGTGAGAGATGCAAAGGGGATGAGGGGAAGTGCTTCAGTGCATTCAGACCATATTCCCTGCTTTTATTCCTCTAGGAATGAAAACACTGGGCACCAGGTTAAGCACTCTACACAGATTGTCTATTCTATTCTCTCATTAATAACAGATTATCTGTGTAGAACACTTAACTCAGTGCCTCGTATTGGGATGGGAGGATAGTAATTTTTCATTTTTCATGTTTCCATGTGACAAAATTTCCATTAGTAAAACAACACTCCAGCTTTTCTCCCTGCCCTTCCCCATCCTCACTGCTTTCTAGGGGACAGCGGTCATGTAACCAACTGGTGAGTTTAGGAGATGGGACAGGACATGTGTGGCTTGGCACCTCCCTCTCAGTCATTCTAGGCTGACACATAGGAAGCATTTCCCTGTGGGGAAAGCCTAGAGATTTGGGGGTAAGTTTGGACCAGAAGAATATTAGGACCACTGGCCTCATAATTAATACTGTCCTCCAATTTAGCCTTTACCAGTGAAAAGCCAATAGTTTTTAATCTCCAATACTGACTTCTCTGTGCTTTTCTCACAACTGGCTCCAAATGTGAGCAGGAAAGAGCATTATCTACTGACTCCTTACAATCCAAAACATAGGCTCACAATAAACACCTTATAAATGATAGTTATTGTTTAGATTCTAATAATCACCATCAAATTCAACACATATTACAGAACCCCTCCACAGAGGAGGATGGTGACACTTGAGCAGGGTTTTAAAGCTGGGATTCGAGTCCATCAGATAGACAAGAGGGGCTGGTCCAGACAGACAGAAGAACATATACTGCTTGGTATGACCAGAAAGAAAAGTATGAGGAGTGTGGAGAATAAGAGACACAGCACAAAGATAGCTAGGGAACAGTTACAGAAGGCCAACGCTAAAAAGCTAGGAATCTGAGCTATGTCTGGGAGAATCCACAAGGGTTTATGACAGGAGAGTGACAGAAGATGCCCTTGCCAAAGGACCGTGGCAAAGAGGGAGCCTGGTCAGAAACCACAGATGGTCCTTTAAATCCAGAATGGCCAGCTAGACAGAGCAAAGCTGAACAGAGAGGTCAAAACTGCTTCAAGGGAACAGACGTCAGCTGACAAGGTAACTACTGCTGGCTGTTCCCAAGTGCATTACTCTAATAACCCTCTGGCCATATCCTATCCTGCTACCTGGCTTCACAAAGACCAAACAGATCTGCCTAACACATTTAGAAAAAAAAAAATCCCACAGTGTGAAAAAGCTGCCATCACTGCTTTGGCAACCACTATTGCCTCATATTCTCCTACCACATTCCCTGTAAGTAACCCTCTGCTGCCACTGCTGGCCACTGGCCAGCTACCCCAAGCACACAGCTATCATGAACTTTTGGGACAGGAAGTGGCCACCAAAGGTGATCTAGTCTATTCCCTACTCTCTGACAAAAGTTTTCCACCCCAATCCCAGTCTCCTTTACCGTTAAACTCTCCTTAGAAAAGGTAGTCCACAACTTTCCTTGACAACCAGAGGGAAAATTTGTGTGTGCTTTTTATTTATTTTTATTTATTCTGAGATGGATTATTGCTCTGTTGCTCAGGCTGGGGTGCAGTGGCGCAATCTCAGTTCACTGCAACCTCCACCTCCCAGGATCAAGTGATTCGCCTGCCTCGGCCTCCCAAATAGCTGGGACTACAGAGTAGCTGGGACTATAGGCATGGGGTACCACGCCTGGCTAATTTTTGTATTTTTAGTAGAGACGGGGTTTTACCATGTTGGCCAGGGTGGTCTCGAACTCCTGACCTCAAGTGATACACCTGCCTTGGCCTCCCAAAGTGCTGGAATTACAATTGTGAGCCACCGCACCAGGCCTTATGTGTGCTTTTTAAACACAAAGAGGCTTTCATTTAATCTGCAGTCACCATCATCATACTGTTCTCACCCAAAGCCTTTGTGGTGACAAAAATCTACCTAGGAGTGAACTCACCTGTGAGCATAATCGTAAAATCCCAGCCACAGGCCACCTGTTGGATGGGACAGCCAAAGAGGGATTTGCAGGGGGTAAAATATGGGATATCCTCTGTGTGACCAAGCCCCAGTTGCCCATCTTTGTTCAGGCCACAAACAAAGAGGTCTCCTCCATCTGCAAAATATAAAGGCATCAGTGATAGCGTGCACAGGAAAAAACACAACTGCAAAATGAACAAAAAGATTTCACTAATTATTTGGACTCTCAGACCAATAACTTTTTTTGCCATCCAAGTTAATAAGCTGTGTATGTTCATGTATTCTGGAGCCAAACAACACAAGGCCAAGGGCCTCAAACTAATACCTACAGAGAAACTTCAAGTCTTGGCGCAGTGGTCAATCAATCACCAAACTGAGCATCTACTGGAACAAAAAGCCAACAACATTTATTCAACATTGAGAACGTGCCAGGTACTGTTTTAAGAGCTTTTTGTGCAGAGCGGACTTATCCTTTAGGCACAGTGTCTAGGGCCCACAATGCTTTCAGAGGCCCACAGAGTGGCTTAATTTTTAGTTATTTTTAAATGAGAAAAAGATAATATAGTAACAATGCATATATAACACTAAATCTGGAGTGGATTCTATTAATATCCATCTTTATACCAACACAGTTGTAAAATATAATTTTTTTCTTTACAAAGGAAGAGGTCCATAAAGGGAAAAGCACCAACGACCCATGACAGTCGGAATGGAGCCCTGCTAACTCACTGGTTCTCTTCACCCACCATTATTATCCTCATGTAACAGATTCAGAAACTGTGGCTATTTGCCCAAGGCCACATAGATAATAAGTCACAGAACCAGGATCTGAACCCAGAGATTTGATTCCAGAGCTCATGTTCTCAACCAGATGCAATATGCCCCCCTTTACAACATTGTAGCACTTGTACTACTTGTTAAGTGCTATCCTAGATACAGTAAGGGAAGATTAAGGGGAACACACAGTTTTTGCTCTCAAGGAATATCCAATCTAATTACAAAGACTTCTAATTCCTATGGTGTAAAATATACATTGTAACTCTGCCACTACTTTGCCTTGTGATGTTAAGCAATCAGTGTTCCTTTCTGAGTTTCATTTGTATAATGGAGGGGGTGGGGGAAAGGGGTGGCCTAGAAGATCTCTGAAGTCCTTCTAGCCCTGAAAATCTAGGATCTTCTGATGGTAATTTGGCTCTTTCACAAAAATGTTTCACAAAAATACATTATTTTCCTCTGCAAAATACAAAAGGCTGAAAGATGGCAATATCATATCCAGGGGAAAACGTCTAAATAAGAAAATGAGTGACTATCTACTTTTGAAGGAAATTACCTGTGACAACTGCAGAGTGGCCCCCTCCTCCTGTGATCCTCCTGACACTCCTGGGTTTACAGAAGTCATTCAGTTGCTGGGGCAACAGCACATCTTCCTTATGGCCGAGGCCAAGTTGCCCATAGCTATTTGCACCCTAGGGATGAATAAGCCAAGGATGAAAAAGTGTGGGAACCACAACTGTCAATGTCTATTTACCTGTCTCTGTCTCTCTCACCCTGACGTATCTCTCAGACCCTGTAACAGATGAGATTTATTAGGCTCATTCTTTTTTAAAAAAAAATTTTTAGCTCCTTCACGGCAAATACTCACAGCACTGTTTATTCAAATATATAATAACAAGCACCAGAAAACAACAGGTAACACTGTCTCCCCACCCCTGATCTGTAATCCCATTAGAAAGAGACTCATGACCATAACAGTGGAGGAAATTCATGTCCAGGAAAGTTCCTAGGTAGGCACCCTGGCAGGCTTAATTTACTGGGGCAAAGGACAAATGCCCTGCTTGGCCTCCTGCAGCAGCTGAAGAAACCACACTTTTTTCTACCTCAGGCCCCAGAAGGCAAAGCAGCAATGCTAGCCATGGCTGAAGGGGACATGAGTCCTATGAGGTCCTTGGCCTAGCCCAACCCTCTGGAGGTAATGGGGTAAAATGGCCTTTCCTCTTAGAATGGCCAGGAAAAGAGAGGCCATCTCCTAAATCAAGGTTCTTCTGACTGAGAACAAGACAGCCTCTTGAGGAGGAGGGGCTTCTCTTCTCTAGAGAGAGTTCTGGGCTACGAGTCGTTGGCAGGTGTATCTCGTATCTCTCCTTACCCCCTCCTCCTGCACCCATGCCACCTCACTGCTTTCCCTAGCTGAACTTCAGCCCCCAAATGAGAACACTATCCAGCGTGTTTCAAATAAATTATAAATATGGACACAGAATCCAAACAAAGTTCCAGGAGAAGCTGCTCACAGACCCCTACAGGGTCCAACCTGAAGAAAAATGAAGGTCATTCCTTTGTTATCTGTGTCTCTGGAGCTGTGGGCAAAACTGTCTCCCCTTGTCCTTGAGTAACCACGGGAACAGCTCAGGACAGAGAGAGTTTCAGACTTAGAAACACTCTTACCCCATCTCCTTTCTTCCCTCCTCAAATCCCTTCCCCAAAATCTGAAAAGAAAAATAATAATAATTCGCTCACCAGAAGGACTCTGGAGCATTTGGGAATGTAAATCTTACCCTTCCTTTGTCAAGTGGGAAACTGACCAAAGAGGAAATGACCTGTTAGGCTCATTCTTAACGGCTGTTATATGCTCCCATATTTAGATGGAGGCCCCATCCTCAGAACACCATGATTTCGATATGAGAAGAGTCCTAGGCATCCACAACTCAGCCAGTAATATTCCTCATCTTTCCCTTCTTATGCTCCAGCCCCCAGGTACTGCCTTTTGGAGACAGCACAGGGGTTCCTTCTGATAAAAGCTAACTACCTAGGGAAGCTAAGGAAAGAAAAAAATGAGAGAGAAATGGCATCAAAATGGGAGGGCAACATCCTGGAATTAGTTCTTGTTTCTCCTCCCCACACCCATGATGGGAAAACCAACAATGACTCTGGAATCAAAGCTGGCTAAGGATTTCTTGCCTTAAAGCAAGGCACGTCATTATTTCATTTGTACAGTGAAAGAGGCTGGCAATGATCTCTAAAGCCCTTTCCAAGTACAGTGCTATGTGACTCCAAGATTCACATGGTGAGATTCCAGTAAGGGGACAGATTTCCCCTTGACAGGCAATATGTCTATTATTATTATTATTATACAAAAAGGGTCCATAATCCCTAATCTGAAATGCTTACAGTCAGATGTATTTCAGATTCAGAATTTTACAGCTTTTAGAAAAGTAATACAGTACATATGTCATATATACTGATGCAAGGTCCAGGGACAGCAGCCCATAAGCAAAACAATAATATTTCTGCATTACAAAGTACAAATATTCATAAGAAGTGGCCAAAGACTATAAATGGCCTTATGTCCAGTAAGTTTTGGGTTTTCAGAGCTTTTTGTATTCAGAATTGAAGACAAGGGATTGTGGACCTGCAGAGAGAATCTTACTAAGATTTCAGAAATCTTTATAATTTATTCAAGTACCTACTCCTAGCTGGTTCTTCCTGGAGATGAGAAGTAAAATCTTTTAAATATGTTTGTTTTTGAAGACACCTGAATGAGGAAAGGTGATGTAAAATAATTACAACAAATACATATATACATACTTACATACATACATACATAATCCTTCCCCTTGTAGTCTATTTCACAGCCATCCTGGGCTGCAAGGACTCAAAGATGGAAGAGTAAGCCATAGCAGGGGCATAAGTCCCAGAAGCCCACAGGGGGCAATATTAGCTACCAATTACTGAGTGCTTCTCTCCATACTGTGCATTCACCTTTAATCCTCACAACAACTAAGAAGGACATTATTACTCCCATTTCACAGAGGAAGAAACTAAGGCTCAGAGAGGTTAAGTAACTTTCCATAGTTATATCTGGGTAGGCAAAAAGTCTGATGCCCTGCACCTTTTACTATACCTTACTGTGTCTCTTAGAAAAAATAAAAAAAGGACATACAGTGAAGCAGCCCAGAGCTTACCTGACAGGTGGTTAACTGTATGACTTTATCTAAAAGAGCATCCCCATATCACTCATTTTCTGCTTTATTTTTCTTCATGCCACTTCTTGATGTTACATTATATATGACTACTTGTTTACTGTACACCACCCCTGCCAGAAACTAAACTCCAGGAGGGCAGGAACTCTGCTTTGCTCACTGCTGTTTCCCCTGCATCTGAAACTGTGCTGGCCCAAAGAAGATGTACATATATTTATATGGCGAATGAATGTAAGACCCTATGAAAGACTTGCTCAGCATGAAGGGGAATATAGAGCATATATGCACAGGATTTCTTGGTCAGCCCTGAGATCTCCGTGGCTGTCCCATTACCAGGGGTGCAAGGCTGCTGAACACCTGGGAGAAAAGTAACATGACACATGGGCACTCTGAGGTTCAAATTACGGTACCAATTTTTGTAACACTGTGAGAGGCCCTAAATCCAGGATAAAGCAAGACGAAGGGAAATTTAACACAACCTATTACAACTGTTGTTTGCCTTTCTTCCTCACAAACACTCCAGACATATCACACGTGCACATGCACACATACACACACACACACACACACACACACACACCCCTAACAAGGTAAATCCCCTTCCTGTGAACCGAACTTTATTCCCCCAAAATTCACGTGTTGAAGCCCTAACCTTTAGTACCTTACTGTATTTGGAAAGAAGGCCTTTAAAGGGGCAATTAAGGTTAAATGAGGTCATAAGGGTGGGGCCCTAATCCAATATGACTGGTGTCCTTAAAAGAAGAGACACCACGGATGCTCACGCACACAGAAAAGGCCATGTGAGGACACAGTGAAAAAAGCCATGTGAGGACACAGTGAGAAGGCGGCCATCTGCAAGCCAGAGAGAGGCCTCGGGAGAAACCAAACCTACTCACACCTTGATCTTGGCCTTCTAGCCTCTGGAACTGTGAGAAAATAAATTTCTGTTGTTTAAGCCTCTGTTGTGTGGTATTTTGTTATGGTAGCCCTAGCCGACCAACACACCCCCACAGTTTCAGATTATACAGCAGGAAAAACACACTACCAGTCCTCCAAACACAGCAGAAGGGTGTCAACAACCTATTAAACATATTTTACAACCTTTAATATTCGGCTTTGTCTGTACTGAAACAATATTTCTGTTTCCTCTGTCCACACAGACGCCAGTCTCCTGCCTGGAAAAAGCCAGAGACAGCACACATTCAATCCCCAACTCCACCCCCAGCTCCCGGGCCACCTCAAAGACGCCCAGCCAGCCAGACTACCGCAGGTCACGCCATGCTCTCCCTCCTGCCAAATTGCAGCCCCACATTCAACAATTGCCGCCTTGTACTGATCATTACTTCTTTAAAAATTGGACAACTAATACTGATTTTAACAGCAATACAGGTTATAATTTTGCTCTCCCCCAACACAAGAGCTGGAAGTCCTTCACTCGTGTATTTCACTCATGTGTATTTCCCCAACACCAGCACATGGGTAGGCACACAGATGCTCGTTCATTCATTCGTCAACGAGTATTTACTGGGGACCTACAATGTGCCAGACACCAAGAGAGGCACCGTGAACAAGACAGGCACAGCACCCACTCTTACCACACTTACTTTCCAGCCAGAGAGACTGACGTTAATAATAAATTATACACATCATTACAATTGTGATACGTGCTATGAAGAAGCACAAGACGCAGCGACTGCTTGTTCCCGTGCATGCTGGTCGGCCACCTGCCACGCTCCTGTGCATGAACCCTCCTCTCTCCCAGACACACATCAAGATGACCCTGTCTCTCCCAATGCTCCCGTCAAACCAACAGCAGCCCAACTCCCCCAACACATGCAAGAACCGGTCACAGCAGAGTGTCAGCAAATAGGCAGGGTCTGTGCCTTGTGCGCGGCCAAACACCGCAGGCCTCACATCTAAAGGATGCTTTCGCCAGGCTGGGACAGGGTCTCCCTCCTCCAGGCATCAGGAGTGTGGGGGGCACAGGTGGCCCCACGGAGCTCTGGGACCGGGCGATCCTCTCCACCGAGCCCTCCGCGCTGTCTTCCAGGCGCTATTCGGGCTGGAGGGCTCTCGCGGAACCAGACGCTCTGCCCCGAGGCAGGTTCTTCCCGCGGCGCCACAGCCCCTCCGGCCCTGACCCCGCCAGCCGGCAGGCCCCTAAGTCGACCGCGAAGACCCTTCCTTCCCCGCCCGCCCGCTCCTCCTCCGCTCCCCCTCCGCTCCCAGCCCAGGATCCTTCAACCCAGAGCCCGGCTCGGACCTCAGCCGCCCAGCCCCTGAACTGCCCACGCCGCGGCCAGCAGCTCCCACATCTCGGCGCCCCTCAGGGCCTGCACCGGCCCGGGGGCGGAGTCACGTACCCAGGCGAAGAGCGCGGCCGCCGCGGGGGCGGCCTCCGAGGCGCTGGGCTCGCGCTCCATGCGAGGACGCTCCGCCGGCGCTTCCGGGAGGGACGGCACGGGGGCGGCGCCTGCCGGGGGTAGGTGAGCGCCGGAGCCGGACCGGGGACGCGTGATGGGTAGGGCGCGGGGCGGGGTCTGTGGTGGGAAGCGGCCCGCAGGCCGGGAGAGAGGGTGCGGCCGGGCCCTCGGGCCACTGGGGATCAGTGGTGGGCGGGGCCGGACGACAGCCCCGGAGCCGCCTCCCAGTCAGCCCGCCCCGGCGGCGCTCGCAGCGTCTCCGCCCGCAGCCTCCTGTCTCGCTGGGCCTCTCAGCCTCTCGCTCCTACCCCCTCGTACTCTTTATTTTTAGTCATAATTTCATGTTTCATGCAGGTGCACTGCGCGCCACAGTTCACAAAGCTCCTTCGCGTTTTTGTCTCCTTGGAGGCCCACGACAGCCCAGAGGGGCTGACAGGGCAGCGATGGCATCACCATTTGCGGGAACAGGAAATGGAGCCTGAGGGGTAGGGCAGGGTCCTGCCCGGCGTCTCAGGCGCAATTGTCTTGAGCCCGCTTTGGTGTGCGTTCGCAAACATCTGAGGGGGCGCCTTGGGAGGCGAGTGGAGTGGCACGTCGCCGGTGTCGCCCTCTGCACCTGGCACGGAGCGGGAACCCGCGCCTCGCGACGCTGAATGGGGGAGGCTGGTTAGCGTCGACTCCTGCCGGGGCAGCCTCGGCGCTCCGGGCACGGCCCTGAGCTCATTCTATTAATAATACTGGATAATCGTCACCCAACGAACATTTCCATATAAAATGGCTTTTCTCAGACAGCGTCGTGTTGCTGATGGGAGTTAATTAAGTTCAATTTATCTGAAGGAAAATATGGCACCGCGTACCGGGAATACAGAACACATAGGGTCACATTAAAGATGATCATCCACATTCACATTCGGTAGCACTTGGCCCCTCTGCTGACACGGGCCTCCAGCACTCACTGCCCTTCACCCCTGGGCTTCTGGGAAGTGTCTCCAATGAGCTCTTACACTGTCCTTTCCTGTTCTTTCACTCCATCCACTTTTAGGAGTTTCTGCCTGTAAGACCACTTGAGGGCAGCCCCTCACCTTTATCTCTCCAACCTGTGGCATCTGGAGAACGTCGATGACCATACCAAGAAAAAAGCAAACTTTGGAGAGATAAAACAGCTCTTCATTCTCTAGGGATCTGAATGTGCAGGAGCTATACCATGCTTACTGACTGTCTTATGAGTGGGCTTTTTTGTGCTGACCATTTCTTTGAAGCATGTGTAACAGGATGTAAAAATGGGATCCTTCACCGCTCAGTTTTGGCTGAGCAACAAGTGCCAGTTACTCCTATATCATAAAGTAAGGTTCAAGACCACCAAAGCAGGTCTTGCAAAGCAACTGTCTAGAAACCAGTGTATGACTTTCAGTCTACGAAAAAGGTTGAGAGGCCAGAGAGAATTCTAGTAGGATATGTGGCCACAATTATCAATGTGGTGTGGGTCTCAACCCATCTCAGGTCTAAGGAAAGTTACTTTACCTGGGTCCCTGAGAGAGCTTGGTATGCATCCCTCTAGATTTAGGACCCAGACAGGCTTCTGTCCAATCCGTTCTGAGAAATACAAGGGCTTGTGGCTGGATATCTGCTCTAATAGCTGAGCAAAGACAAACTGATGCTTTGGGGAGGTCTTTCACACCCACAGTTTTTCAAAATAAAAACTGTCCATTTCCCATGTGAGTATTTCCCATACCTGAGCAAACTGGCTGGGGGATGGTCTTAGACCTTGTCCAAGAGAATTTCTGGAAGGGTGAAGTGACACCCACAGGACAGTCGATCACTAGATTCCTTGAGGGTGAGGGAAATGAATTTAACAGCCCAGAGAGATACATTTACCTACATCAAGAAATCCCAAGAAATAAGAAGGTGGGAAGGTCTTCCAAAATGCCCACAAGAAAATGTCAGCATGTAATATTTACAAAGTACAGAAAGCACTGATGACAATTCACAACAGTATCAGACCAAAAAGAACTTTTCTCCTCCTTACCTCTCCTCCCCTCTACATCTCCCCAACCCTGGAGGAGTCCCAGGCATCCACTGAGTAACAAGAGACAAGGAAATTAAGAAACTAAGCACACCCACTCCTTTCTCAGTTCTGGAGGAGGAAAAAAGCTTCAACCTTAAAGTTTGTTTTATCAAAGTTTTTCCACAGGACTAGCCTTTTTAAATATTGAAATGAGAAAGAGAGAGAGAGAGAGAGAGTGTGTGTGTGTGTGTGTGTGTGTGAGAGAGAGAGAGAGAGAGAGAGAGAGAGAGAGAGAGAGAGAGAGAAATGGAAATTAGGAGCTAAGGACTTTTTATTACCTGTGAGCAAGCAGAAAGTCAGGCAGCAACCTGAGATTTCATCCAGAAGGGCAAGGAAGAACTACCTACAGAGCCAGTTTTAATAGAGAGAAGGTCTGGGAGAATATAGTTGTTTTCTGACTCCACCCCTTGAATGTACAAGCATCAATATTTTAACTAACCTACAGTTATATTATCATGTCATATCCCTTAATACAATTTATTGGAAGTGTTGAGATGTTGCAACTATTTCAACTATGTACTCGCCACTGCCTAGTTCTTCCCATGAGCAGCCTGGCTGAATTGCAGTTCTTGAATGGGACTAGATTTAAACCATCTAATGGCTTCACTTTCAGATGGCTTATCTCCCCAAAAGAGGAAAGTATAAAGTATTTGAGAACATACAGATTGCATCTCTGTACCATGAAGGTTAGGAAATTTTTTCCCGTTGGATTATTTTTTGTGATCATCCCAATAATACT
Organism: Homo sapiens; assembly: GCF_000001405.40. NCBI lineage: Eukaryota > Metazoa > Chordata > Mammalia > Primates > Hominidae > Homo > Homo sapiens. Next base: position 18,015,815 of record NC_000011.10, read on the forward strand.
AGTATGATAAGTGCTGTTAGGATTATTATTTTATCTTATTTTGTTTTTTTGAGGCAGGGTCTCCCTCTGTTGCCCAGGCTGGAGTGCAGGTGGCATGATAATGGCTCACTGCAGCCTCTACCTCCTGGGCTCAAGTGATCCTCCTGCCTCAGCCTCCCAAGTAGCTAGGGCTACAGGTGTGAGCCACCTTGCCTGGCCAGGATCATTGTTTTATAGATGAGAAAACTGAGGCTCAAAGTAGTTATTTACTTCAAGGTCAGTTTTCTACTTTTGATAAAGGAAGATTAGCTAGCTGCATACCTATTCTCTCATAAAAAAACAACTAGAAAATTTGACAAAATATTTTTAAAATATATTTCAAGTTATTGGAGAGCTATCAAAGCAGGAAGAACTTGAAGGGCCAAGATCTGGAAGCTGAGAGATTATATTTGGCACTACTTTTCTGCTTGAAGCACTTGCTAATTACTAAGCAATGTCTTGGAGGCTAAGAAACTGGGCTGAAATCAACAACTAAGAAGCTGAGCAGTACCTTTAGCAATCTCATAGGGTAGGGATGGGAGGAGGGAATGGTGGACATGAAGGAGGGGACAAAAGTAGTAGTCCAGAGCCCCCAAGGAGAAGCCCTGGTACACACTCATAGTTTTCTCTTGAGATCCCTAAAGGGCTACACCCTAAAAGTCAAGGTGAACTGGAAATAGACCAGCCCTCACAAAGACTGAAGCTCAACTTCTCTTTGGCTCAATCCCTAATTGGACTCAGACTTTACCATGCCATTATATACTGCCTACTAGAAGCAAAAATTAATACCCTCTTGTGGAAGATAAAATCATCTAGAAGCTAAGGGGGAATATCTGTTAAGAGAGTGATTGTATTAGTAATTCTTTACATGTGGAAAATGAGTTTTTTTTTTTTACAAAGTCCTCTTGCAGCATAACTTCTCCAATAATCTAGTGTAGTAGACTTAGTTCATTTTACAGATGAGGAGTGTAAACCAAAAATAAAATTCTAAGGCCCCCCCCAACCATCTGAATGGACTTTCTTCTAGGCCAGGGCACTCTAAAATGTAACCCGAAACACTGATTCAGGCCATGACTGGAAGTGGGGTCACGCACATGCCTCCTTATACCTCTCCAGCATTAACATCAACACAGACCTTAAGTCTGATAAGAAAAATTGACAGTCTGTTCTCTTGGAAGCCTGCCATCTGGAGGCTTCATCTGCATGATAAAACTCTGGTCTCCACAAACTCATACAGCAACCCAGACATTCCTTTCTATGAATTGCCAATTAGAAAAATTTTAAAACTACCTATAATCTGGAAACCTCCCACCCAACACTTTGAATTATCCCAGCTTTCTGGACTGAGCCAGTGTATCTTATAAATGTATTTGACTGAAGTCTCATGTCTCCCTAAAATGTATAAAACCAAGCTGTACCCTGACTACCTTGGGCACATGTTCTCAGGGTCTCCTAAGGGCTGTGTCATGGGCCATGGTCACTCATATTTGGCTCTTCAAATACTTTACTGTGTTTGACTCTTTTCGTTGACAGGAACATAACACAGACTTTACGAAGAACTCTGAAAAGTGGTTACCAGGTTCCAGATATGTTTGGCTTCTATCTCATATCCATAGGCTTTTTAAGAAGTATAAAGATACAATGGATTTCCTAAACTAATAAAATTGCTAATGTAACTTTAAATAAATTTTTAACGTATGTTTGAAAAAAAGTAAACATTGGTTGAGAACATAAATTTTGTGTTCATTTATTATCCCACTGAATAACAAACTTGTAAATCATAAATATATATTACATAGTAAAACAAAGATTAGACCAAAATAGACCATAGTACCTTAAACACTTCCTATGAATTAACATATGGACTCTATCATATGTTCCTTTAGAGAATTCAGGATTTTTTTCTTTTTTGAATTTGGAAGCCAACTTAAAAGCTAACAATAATTATTTACATTTTGGTGTGTCATTACTACTTGTATAACTCCAAATGACAGAATATGTAGATAAAGAAATGTAGGTATTCTGAAGACCAGCTTTTGAGCATCCTTAAGAAGTCATGAAGATATTAACTATGTCTTTGAATAATGATTTACTGATTAAGAATTATTAACCGGCTGGGCATGGTGGCTCATGCTTGTAATCCCAGCACTTTGGGAGGCCGAGGCGGATGGATCACCTGCGGTCAGAAGTTCGAGACCAGCCTGGCCAACATGGCGAAACCCCATCTCTACTAAAAAAACAAAAATTAGCGGGGCATGGTGAAGCACGCCTGCAGTCCCAGGTTGCAGCGAGCTGAAATCACGCAACTGCGCTCCAGCCTGGGCAACAGAGTGAGACTCTGTCTCAAAAAAAAAAAAAAATTATAAACGAAGCTTTTAGTTCAATTCTGTTCTCACATTTGGGTAACTATTTACATATTCCTAGGTGCTTTGAAGACATATATTTAAAATGCATGAAAATTCTAAGACTCTCAGGACTCCTGATTTACCAAATATTACAAATACCCAGAGGTGAGAAGAACTGAAATCCATCATTAAAAATTTCCAATGTTTGGCCGGGTGCAGTGGCTCACGCCTGTAATCCCAGCACTTTGGGAGGCCGAGGTGGGCAGATCACAATGTCAGGAGATTGAAACCATCCTGGCTAACACGGTGAAACCTTGTCTCTACTAAAAATACAAAAAATGAGCCGGACGTGGTGGCGGGCGCCTGTAGTCCCAGCTACTCAGGAGACAGAGGCAGGAGAATGCCGTGAACCTGGGAGGTGGAGCTTGCAGTGAGCCAAGATCGCACCACTGCACTCCAGCCTGGGCGACAGAGCAAGACTCCGTCTCAAAAAAAAAAAAAAAAAAAAAAAAAAAAAAAAAAAAAAAAAAATTCCATTGTTCTGAAGTTGTGGATTATAAGGCTGTGCCTTTAACATTTATTCTCATGTGCTTTAGTCATAGAGTGATTTTAAACATCATCATTTTAAAATTCAATAAGTATGATTCTTCACCGTTATCAAAGTTGTATGAAAATAACCACATATAGTATGCATAATTTGTGTTATTTGCTATCTATTTTTTAATTTCCTTTTTCTACATGTTCTAAGATTTGCTTTTTTTAATTTCTTTTTTTCTACATGTTCTAAGATTTGCTATCTATTATGATTTGCTTACAGTAGATTTCCTTGCAACCAAACTATAAATCAGATAATCAATATTTCAAATGATTCTAGATTAGCTAGCATCTATTTACCATCAAATGTATACTTAAGAGTTGATTAGCTATTAAAATGTACAATGTAAAAATTTAAAACAGCATGAATTATTCTTCAAAATTCTATTTCCTTATATAATATGACATGAAATACAAAGTTTTTAATAATTTATTTTGAGGACTAAGAAGTGTTAAAAGATCTATTAGTCTGTTGAAATAAAACACATTAAATGGTATACAATTTATTTATGTGAAGAAAAAGCCTATTTTTAAGTAGCTGACTAAACCTAAAAATGATTGAAAATACGATGTTTAATATACCATTAATGGAAATTAAATTACTGGGAAAGGAAGCTGATGGACTGTGATATTCAAGTGATTCTGAGTTCCTTTATAGACCTGTTCAATTTGAGATGCTTGGCAGGGCTGTCATATTGAACAACCCCTATTCATTCTATGTGGATGATGCCACATGAAGTTGTACAGCATTGGCCTAAATTATGAGACATCTACATAGACATCCAGGAGTTCGTTGGAATTAAGGGGCAAAAAAATTCAAGAAAGATGTCAGGGTTATAACTGCAAATAGAGGAGTCATTCAAAATAAGAACTGAAGTCATGTATCTGGGTGACATTCCCCATGAAGAGATGGCAAAAAGAGTAGAAGTGCAAAGACAGAAACTTGAAGAACATCTTCATTTAGTGACTAGAGGGAGGAAAGGGGCAAATTAAAGAGACATAAGTTTGTATTTTGGAGTTCAGCTTCACCCATTTATAACAGGACTGCTTACTCCCTGTGCTACACAGCTGACTCTGCATAAAAACCATTCCTTGGCAATCCTTACATTACTTACAGTCTCAGTCCTAAACCACTCTTCTTGACCTTTCTGACATTCTATTTCCTCCCCTTTTCTGCAGCCTCTACTCTCATTGCATACCTTTCTGTTTATGGCCTCACCTTATACCTTAGAAATAAAGTACTCAGCACTGTTTTTTCTATCTTTTACTTTGTGCTTCTCTTATCTATCTCAGTTTGAACTCTTCCTTTGATAACAATGCTTCCTGTTAATCTGGGGACAATCCCATTATAATACCTAGGACCACATGTCTGAGTACAGCCCCATGCAAGTCGCATCTCTACTAAGTTTCCCTTGGACCCATGAGTAGGATAGATAGTCCAGAATAAAACCAGTATCGTGTGATGTCATTGAAAGAAAACAAAGTTTCAAGGAAGATAGTCACTTGGGAAGGGGCTCCCTAATGCCTAAAAAATAAAGTCTCGAATTTTTAGCCTAGTCTTAATGATTATGCCCCATTCAACCTTTCCAGGCTTAGCTACTCCCATTTCCCTACAAGATACTACACTTGAAACTAGACTACTTGCTCTTTACTAGGTATCCTCCATGTGCAAAGGCCTCTATACTTTTGCTCATGCTAGCAACAAAGACAGCAGGGTCTCCTGTTAAATTTTAGTGTGAATGTGATTGAGCTTGGCACAAATTCAGCAATAAGTAACAGATACTTTAGAAATAAGGGGATCTTAGGTAACAATATGAGTCAGCGCCATAATACTCCTCAAGTTATTCTAAGCGATCCTAAAGGGTCATTTTACTCAAGGAGGATTGGGGAAAATAGAGTTAGGCTGAGATTAGATCTATCTATTGGGTCAAACAACTTCTCTATTAAAAATGGGTGGTCAGTGGCTTGTATGGTATATAAATTGTCTCATTAAAGCTGCTACCAAAAAAAAAAAGAAATAAAACTAAACAAAAAAATAAGTGGTAAATAGAATATCCAGGTACAAATTTTCAAAGACTAGTGATTCCTTAAGTAGTGGAATTCGATAATATTGTTTGGCCAGAAGATGCTGTCCCTCCAGGATCAGGTGTTCAAGGAAAGCAAGAGATGGCCCAGACCTCCGAATTGATGCTCAAATGTTCCTGGATGACTGGCTACTGTTAGATACTCGGCTTCCTGCTGACCTTAGCAAGGGCATCACTGACAACATCGAGATCATGCTGCAGCTCATTCATGGCACTGGTTATGCTCTTGGTGTCTTTCAGGATCTGAATACTCCGTGTATATGGATTATACTTCACTCCAAATGGACGCTTAATTGTTTTGGTAAATTCTCTATTTAAGAAAACAAATAGGAGACAATCAATTTCTAGGGAGTGAATGATGAAAACTAAACAAACAACAGAATATATTTCACATACTAGGCAAAAAACAAATTCTTGTTAGATATGTGTACAACCAATCTGACCTACTTCTCTACACTACATTTGCAGAGGTCCCCTGGAATCCCACACAAGTGGGAAACCTGAAGTAGTTATAAAATAGTTATAAGTACTTTACATTATAAAGTAGTTGTAAATCCCTGGTATTACTAGGGAAAGATCCCATAGATGGATTTCTTAATCATTTATTACTGTATACATCTCTTGACTACAGTAAGGAGACCAACTACTGTAGTTTTATCAGTAGACGTAAAACTGTTTCATTACAACACTTAACCACATAGTAACAGATCCCTCAGTCATGCCTTATATAACTATACCTACTCACATATGTAACCTGTGTGTTTATATAACATATAACACACACACACACATACTCACACACCCCAAAATAGACTAGGAATGGTCCTACCTCCTGCACATGTTAGATTTTTTCTGCTTAGAATGTTTCCCTCTAGGCCCCTTTCAAATGACCTAAATTCTGCCCCTTTTTCAAGCATTAAAGTTCTGCCTCCTTTATCAAATCACTGTTTGAACCTCTCATTTGGCACCCCCAGGAACAATCATGTCCAGGACTCCTAGGGATAAATGTGAAGCTGAGGACAACTATACATCAGTAGCAGCTGAAATCCAACTCATAATCCACCTGGTCTACAGAGGGGACCCCCTTTTCTAAAAAGTTGACATTTATGCTAGAGGAATCCCTGCTAGTATTATTATTTGGTTTCATGAATGGCCTAACTCCCCAACTAATGGTTTCTCTGAAAGACAAGGACTATGACTTCAACCCCTATCGATCTCCATCATCACAATGTGACCTCATGACTGCTTCCACTAAATGTTGTCTCATTGATTCTCCTTCAAAAGTCTTTTCTTTTCCTACTACTTCTGTCTTAGTTCAGGCATTTATTTTCGCCTGAAGTGTTCCAAGAATCTTCTAAAAAGTTTCTCTGCCTCCAATATCCTCCTTTCTTAACCACACACTTAGCTGATTAATAAAGCGTAGCTTTGATTACATTGTACATATCTCCTATATTTCTCAACATCCTGACCTTTTTTCATGCTAACTCTCAGTCTAAAACTTAATATATCTAAATATTACCTATCCTTCAAGTCCTTTCTCAAATAACATTAAGGTTACCCTGTTTGTCCACCTGAAATGAATTGCTCTTGAATAAAATGCAGAACAATGTTTCATCTGTATCTCTCCAAGGCTCTTGTCATTTTCCATGTTGTTATACAGTAATTTGCATATCATCTATTTTCCCTATTAGACTACTAAACTCTCTGACTGGAAGAATTGGAAAGAAAACAATTTCTCAATGTATCTGATTCATATTTGCAACTATGCAAAATCCTTATATACAACATACTCTAGATACTTGTTATGAAAGGAAGATGTGTTACAGACAGAAGGCTCCTTGTGGGCTTCAAATTATCTAGCTGCTTACTTCTGTGACTTGTTACCATAATGGGGCTGATCTTTCCCTGAAGAAAATGAAGGCGTGAAGAAGATATACTGTACCTCATCTTCTCCTTTGCATCTTCAAAACTTTCAGATACAAAGTAGACATCTTGAAAAGTTGTGATAAGACATTCCTGTTTGCAGGTAATCTTGGGATCAAAGGGCTTTACTTTGGCATGTCCAGAAAGTGCATGCTAGAAGACAAAGAGTCAGTGAATCAAAGAATAATATCTATTTTTCATAGATCATGCAACTTCCATAATTGGCTCACCTCTAAACATATTACTAATGCAATGGCCCCAATCTACAATTCCAAACTTATTTCCTATAGCTCTATTCAACCCACAGTACACTCCAGCAAAAAAAATGGCTTGCCCTTCCCTGTAAATACCCCCAAGATCCTCTCCATGGCTTTGTTCTTCCTCTCTTCTTTGTGTAAAAGGCACCCAAGGATCTTTATTTATTTATTCCTGTATTATGGCACCTACTTTCTACCCAACACTAGTTATTCCTATGTATGACTTATATACCCACCATCAAGTGCTCCCTGAAAGCAAGACAGTACCTTGGATGGTGTTTCATACACATTCATTACTCAACAAACTTGAGTTTATTTATTCATTGAATAAATAATAAATCTCAAAGAATTCCCTAGAAATTATAGAAGTTATTGCTAGCATATCAGAAATGATGAGGAAACAGCAAGACTTTGTAAGCAAAGATTTTAAAACAGTTTTTACTTAAAATATACACATACCATTTCATATATATCAGAAATATATCAAAATATTTCATGTGTGTGTGTATTACTAATGCAATGGCTCCAACCTACAATTCCAAACTTATTTTCCACAGCTCTATTCAACCCACAGTATACTCCAGCAAAAGAAGTAGCTTGCTGTTCCCCATAAATGCCCTTATAAAATTCTTATTTTATCTATCTATCTATCTATACATATACACACACACATATTTGGATTATATGATATAATATATAATTGGGAAATAGAGAAAAATACATTCAGGTAATGATTAGTGACATCCCCAAGTATGTTCCATAGTAAGCTCTTGTTCAAAAGCAAAAACTATTTCAGGTTTTATCAATTATGTTAGGTGAATATGGTTATATACAAAGATTTGCAACTCTTACTTTGAGTTCACTGATAGAAGAAAGTAAGCCAGCACCAAAGACTCTTAGCTGTCCATCTTGTTTACATAGACCAAACTCCACAGTGAAAAAGTAGCACTGCAAAAGAACATCAATATTATTCTCACACACTGACGAATTCAACTTAAAACAAATTACAATTCTTAGTCACTGACCCAAAATACCCTAGAATAAAGTCCAAAATCCCAGTCTAGTTCACAAGTCTTTCTACAATCTGACCTCATTCTAAACCAGTACTTCTCAAACTTCTGTTCTGATGACTTTTACGTACTATTAAAAATTAGAGGACCCCAAAGCTTTTGTTGTGCGTGTATGTGTAGGTTATCACTAGCTATATTAGCCATATTAAAAATTAAAACTGAGAGGAAAATGCTTGCTAATTCATTTTAAAATTTAATAAACTCATTTTATGGTAACAAAGAATGTTTTAATACAAATAACTATATTATACAAAACAAAAAACTAAGAAAAGTAGCATTGTTTCACAATGTTATAAACCTTTTTAATGTCTGGCTAGAAGACAGATGGAGTCTCGTGTCTGCTTCTGTAGTTAACCTTTTGGGATATACTGTTTGAGTACATGAGTTACATCAGCTTCATGCGGTTATCTAGTTAGAAAAGCATTGAATATCTTAACAGTCTTTTTGGATAGTTGTGGATATTCTCCTTTTACTCTGCATGAAGACTCAACAAGTGGATAGAGTTTCTCAAAAGTTCAACGGCAATGTGGAATCTGAATTATGTCAATGAACTGCCTGTTACATTAAAATCCACTGTGTGCTTTGAATGGATCTTTTATCTAGGCATGATTTTGACCTCAAGGACCCCATAAAAGAGTCTCAGGGACCCCAGAGGTCCCCAAACCACAGTTTTAGAAGCACTATTCTATTTCACGCTGCCTCCCTCACTCTTGGACACTCTGCTCCAGCTTCTTGCTGTTTCCCCAGACACACCAAGCACCACCTTGTCTTTCCTTGTGTGCCCTCATCCTGAGATGCATTTCTTCCTTCCTTGCTGAGCACATCACTCATTTTCCATCAACTAATCCAGATGTCCTTCTCCCAGGAAACCTTCCCCAGGTTCTCTATGCTCCCAGAGCAATGTGAACTTTGCTATAGGCTATCTCATTTGACATAACTGTCTCCTCAAACAGTATATAAGCTCCTTAAAGGTAGAAACCAGGCCTTACTCATCTTTGTATTTCCAGCACAGTGTCTTGTACCTAGTACTCAAAAACACTTTAGCATAATTTTAAGGAAACCTATCCTTTTTATTGGAAAATAAAAGATAGATAACCTATTATTGTAATCTTGTTTTTCTCTACCTTTTTTAAAGCTCATGTCTCCTTTTGATAAACCTTAAAATTTTACATCCTTCTTTAATGTTATTTGAATTAAAGATTATGAGCAAAAACAAATTTTCTTTTCCTTTCTTTACTCTTCTCTTCTCTTTCTTTTCTCTTTTTTATCCTTTCCTCTCTTTTCTTTTCTTTTCTGACAGAGTCTCTCTCTGTTGCCCAGGCTGGAGTGCAGTGGCACAATCTCGGCTCACTGCAACCTCCAAGCAAAGACAAATTTTCTAATGGTCATTCTGAATATGTACTTTTAAACTACACAGATACTCATACACCCTACCCCAGGTGAAAATATAGCTAATTCCAGATTTATACCGTTGCCAGTTTTTGAACAGCCTCCTCTGAAGCGCCAAGAGAAGCCAAGCCAATTTCTTGGGAGAATTGGGCAAAACTAGGTTCAGCCAAAAGCGGGACATGACCTAAGAGTTCATGGCAGGTATCTCTGAAAGAGAGGTACAAGTTTGTCACGCTGCAGTGCTTAACATACGTTTATAATCAACCATTCAATCAAATCGAAATCCAATATTTTATTCTAATGATCGGGTGATAATACTTTAGTAATGGATCACAAAGGACACTAATCAAATAAAGAAACAATTTTGGTTCAAAACCTTGGCCACTCAGACTCACACATATAAGTGCACATCAGATACCTATGGACATCCACATGCCACTCCCAAAACCACAACCCCCAACACCCAACCCCACCACATACACACCCAAATCAGATCTCTGCTCAGATATCACCTTCTCAGCAAGGCCTTCCCTGATCACCCTTTTCAAAACAGCAACACACACACACACTCCCACCCACCTACACTTTCCTCCATCCCCCTTTCTCAGCTTTATTTTTCTCCATGGGACTCAACACCACTCGATGCAACATTTGCATACATTTACTTGTTTGTTTATTATCTGTTTCCCCCACTGGAATACAAGCTTTATGCAGGCAGAAATTTGTGTCTGATTTTTTTCAGTGTTACATTCCCTATGCTCAGAATAGCAGCTAGCACCTAATAGGTTGTCAATTAATAATCATAATGGCTAACACATATAGAGCATGGAACATGTATTTCATGCCAGGTACCATTCTAAATGCTTCACATGTGCTAATTTATTTAATCCTCGCACACCAAAAAAAAAAAAAAAAAAAAAAAAGAACCCATAAGGTAGATGCCATTATTATAAATAACCATTTGATGAATTCCTGGCTGAAATAGAAGTACTTACGGCTCTGGGGTATAGAAGGGATCTGAACTGTGTCTCACATATTGAGTGCAGTGAAAAACTCGAAAGGCTAAACCTGATAAGAAATCTCTTGGTGATAAGTAACCAGCCACAGGACGGATGGAAAAACCTGTACGCTCTGCAAAGCAAAGGAGAAAACAAAGAAAATCTTTACCAGAATAGACCCCTGACTGCAGCATTTTAGTTCTGCTAGTGGCACCAAGTAACACGTTGATGGAAGGCATGGAAACTATAATTTATCATATGCATATTAAGGGGAACTAATTATTATTAAGCACTTGCTATGGCCAGGCAATGAGTTAGACCTTTTACATATCACATCTCCTTTCACATTTACAGCATGACTTAAGGATGTTTCTCCTTATTGTGACAACTATGAAATGGAGGCTCAGAGACTCAATAATGTGCCCAAGTCCACACATTAGTTGATAAAGGCAGAATGAAAACTCAGATTTCCTCATGCCATACAACACCTTGCTGTCTCCCTTAAGGGGTTATACTATCTCCTAGATAATCTTCTTTTTGTAAAAAATCATTAACAAGATGTATTCATTTAAATCAGAACGATTTTTGAAGCTGTGCCATTTTTAGCCAGTACCATCTCTTGTAAAGTAGTCCCTTTCTTTTATCTAAACTGGATAGTGCCCTTCCATCTCCCAACAGCCAAGACTGCATGCATACTGTAAAAGAGGCCTGCCACTAGGATTCAGTGGTTCAGGAGACCCCTGTAAGCCCTAATCTTGGCCTTCATTCCAAACCCTCACAACTCTGGTATTCCACTTCCATCCAGCTGTGTTGTATTTGGATGCTCCCATTCTGATGGGCAGACTGCACTGTCCGGTAAAAATTTCCATAGTGATAGAAATGTTCCATATCTGTGCTGTCCGGTAAGGCAACTACTAGCCACATGTAGCCATTGAGCATTTGAAATGTGGTTAGTGTGACTGAGGAACCAAACTCTTGATTTACATTTATTTTAGTTATTTAAATTTTAAACAACCAAATGTTTCTAGTGTCTACCATATTTAATAGTGCAGATATCCCCTTCCAACTTTTGCTTGAACTTTCTGTTAGTTTTGATTTCTCTTTGGTATTTGACCTTGAAGCATTTTCAGCAGCACATTCTGCAGCCAGCCCAGGCTCCAGACCCTAAGAGATCAGCTTTCAGTTTTGTGTGCATTACAAAGCGTTTCCTCCAAATCTCATGCAAATTTGATGTTACAACTTCCGTAGCATATATTTGTCCATCTTTGTAAGTCCAGCAATGTTATGTGCATTGGTTCTCTATCATCCTTAATCACTATTTCTCAAAAGTTTAGTTTTTATAGAAACCACTTACATAATTTCTTCCCTTGTAGAAACTGTATTGCTCTTTCCTGTTTATTTCTTCTAGTTTTGTGTATAGTTGTTGAATACTGTTAAGGAGTTAAATAGATATGTAGATTTTTTTAAGTCTATGAGAGAAACTCAAAGACAGCAATTTCAGACCACGATGGAAATAAACTAAACTCTCTTGAGTCACAGCATAACTGCTTTGTTTTCTCCACTATGGTAATCTGCTGAGATTATCTACTGAGATAAAAGGGAAAATTTATACTTCTTAAATATTGTAAACCCTTGAAGATAGATCACTGATCATTTTACTTCCTATACTAGCTAGAAAAAAGTAAAGAGGCCTGGATCAAACAAATATAAAGAACTAAAAGGAACAAAATTGTCCTTACCCTTTGTTTATGCCTCTACTAGCACCATCTTTTTTCTTGCTAAAATTATAAAATCTTAATGTGGAAAATGTCTTCAACCTTCTCCAAGATGTTTGAATCTCCTCTACCAAATAATGGGTGTGGAGCTTTTGCATGAACACCCCCACGGATGAGGAACTAACCATCTCATCAGCCTATTCTATTTTCAAATCACTCTTTAACAAGATATTCTCTATTCTAGGCCAAAAGCTTGAAGTTTCTATCCAACAGTCCTTTACTTTAGAGTCGCACAGTAATCCCTCTGTTATAAAGATGGCTTTCAAATATTTAAATAAAGCTATAACAGCCCCTAAATCTCTAGGTTAAACACCCTAAGAGTTCTTCAAATTTTATATGTGATGCAATTTCAAATCCCCTTATAATTCTGCTCACTTTCCTCTACCTTGGCTGCAGGTTATGATTATCCTTCAATGTGGTGCCCAATCCTGGATCCAATACACCAGGACAGAGTACGGGAAAATTCTGACCTCCCATATCACTACGCTTTATTCCCCTATTAAAAATGCTGTCATTGTCGGGTGTGGTGGCTCACGCCTGTAATTCCAGCACTTTGGGAGGCTGAGGAGGGTGGATCACTTGAGGTCAGAAGTTCAAGACCAGCCTGGCCAACATGGCGAAACCCCATCCCTACTAAAAATACAAAAATTAGCAGGGTGTGGTGGCAGGTGCCTGTAGTCCCAGCACTTTGGGAGGCCATGGCAAGAGAATCGCTTGAACCCAGGAGGCAGAGGCTGCAGTGACAGAGGCTGCAGTGAGCCAAGATGGCATCACTGTACTCCAGCCTGGGCAACAGAAAGAGAGACTCTGTCTCAAAAAAAAAAAAAAAAAAAAAATGCTGTCATGATCAAAACAGAGTTCAGCAACTCCCTTACAAAAAATTAATTAGCTTATTACCTTTTAAAAAGTTGGAGACATCTTCCAATTGTGGGATATTATCCTCCCGATATCCACAATATTTAGAAAGCAAAGGTAAGTTTTTGAGATACTCTCTGCAAGCATGGGTTGGGTAGAGTTTGTTGAGCTCTTGGAATACGGTTCCCCAGGTCTTAATCTCCTCTTCAGTGAATTCAACCTTTGGAATGGGGTCTCCACTAATGAGATAAAGGGAAGGAGTTGTTTTGAATTAGCATTTAATAAATAGTGGCACTTATTTCACTTTCTACTTACCAAATGAACACAATTTATTCTATTCACTTATTTTATTATCTCAAAGTTGACTATATTTTTTTAAATATACTTACTGTTTATAGTTCATAGCCAAGTCCGCAAAATACTTTCGACGTTTACGGTAGACATTGTCTTTGAAGCCCTGATAATTAAAGATATGTTTTTAAATATCCATACTAAAAAATACTTGACAAATGATATTTGGGAAACATTTCATTATTACTAGAGCTATTATATTAAAGGGCTACATAATTGATACTATGAGCAAGCATTATTTAGAGATTTATGATCATTTTTATTTTAAAGTCAATGTTACATGACAGCTTTATACTCCAGTAGCTACAAAGATAAAAGATATAATGGATACAAAGATGGAATTGTGCCTACAAAGATAAAACAGTTTAAAGAATAAGTAAACCACCATCCCAGTTAAATACATGGCTCTTTTCCAAGGGTGAGGGGTTTTTTCCTTAATCATTTGACTATATCTTGTTATATTTACCTGTAATAGTAATTAATAATAAAAAGTAATTAATATTTGAAATAGTGACTTAACTGAATCTAGCCTTAGATTTTATCACAAAATGCAAATATATTTGCCATTTGCAGAAACAATGATGATTTAAAAAGCAGACAAAATAGTAACATTAGAATTTATACTCATGAAAAAAAATTTTTTTAGACAAAATGGCTGAGCATGGTGGCTCAGGCCTGTAATCTCAACACTTTGGGAGACCTACGAAGGAGAATCACTTGAGCCCAGGAGTTTGAGACCAGCCTGGGCAACAAAGGGAGACCCTGTCTGTACAAAAAAAATTTAAAATAACAATTATAACTAGCCAAGTGTGATGGTGCATGCCTGTTGTCCCAGCTCCTCAGGAAGGTGAGGCAGGAGGATGGCTTCAGCCCAGGAATTCTAGGCTGCAGTGAGGTATGATGGTGCTGCTGCATCCCAGCCTAGGCAATAGAGGGAGACTCTATCTTGAAAAAAAAAAAAATCAAAAATCAAAGCCCAGGAGAAAAAAATGCAAATAATGGGAAAGAAGGGGACATCTGAAAAGAGAGAATGAGACTCATCTCTTTAATACAGATCTATGAGGTAGCACAGATTTACTATGATTTGTGCTAAAATCTGGAAAAACAGATATGAACAAAGCACAGTCTGGGGCTTAAAGGAGTTTACATGAACCTGTTATTGTAAAATGATACAATAAATGTCTCATCATATTGTACAGAACGGCATGCACACTTAAGACGATTGTGTGGTTCAGGGAAGGCTTCCCAGTGATGACTCTCGAGCTAAGACACAAAAGAAGAGTGGAAATAGCACAGTGATTAAAACAAACAAACAAACAAACAAACAAAAACAGCATGTTGTGCCTAAGAAAATATAAGCAACCCCATGTTGCTCAAACTTGGAGAGTAAGGCAGAGCATGTTGAAACTAGTTGGTGTCTGCAAATTAAAGGTCCATTAAGGAGCTTGGAGTTTAGCCTTGGGTAATGGGAACCCACTGGTGTTTTTTAAATAACTTTATTGAGGTATAATTCACATACCATAAAATAACCATTCAGTGGTTTTTAGATAGTCACAGAGTTAAACAACCATCTCCATCATCTAATTTCAGAAAGATTCTGTCACCCAAAAAGAAACACCATGCTCATTAGCAATCACTCTCCAACTCCACCCCAACCCTCCTCAGCTCCTGGCAACCAGTAATCCACTGTCTATTTCTATGTATTTTTCTATTCTAGACATTTCATATAAAAGGAATCATACAATATGGGACCTTTTGTCACTAGCTTCTTTCATTCATCATAATGTTTTCAAGGTTCATCTATGTTGTAGCACATACCAGTATTCCATCTCTTTTTATGGCCAATAATATTTGCTTATATAAATATACCATGCTTCATCCATTTATCAGTTAATGGATGTTTGGGTTGTTTCCACTTTTTTGCTATTATGAATAAGGCTGCTACAATCATTTGTGTATATGTTTTTGTAGGAACATATATTTTCAATTCTTTTAAGTATGTACCTAGGAGCCATTGGTGATTTTTAAGAGAGAAGATGAATAATAGTCATATTGAGGTTTTAGGTCATTCTAATGAGGATAAGGAGGAGGTGTTTGAAGGTGACAAGGCTAAAAGAAGGGAGACCAGTTTAAGGGATGTGGTAGTAGGGATGAATAAGGAACACATTTAAGAAATACCTAGGAGGTGAAAATCAGCAGGACTTAGTAGATCAGTAAAACTGATGTACTCACCTTTCCATAAACATGCCCCAGATTTTCTTGCCTCTGAACCTTTGCTCATATTGTTCCCTCCTGAATTGTTCTTCCTTTCCATCTCTTATCTCCTGAAATCTTTTAAGGCCCAATTGAAATGTCGCCTTTCTCTGATCTCTTCAGCTAGAAGTGTTTGCTCTCTTATGTGTATTTTGAGGCAATTTTTTCATGAAGCAAAATTTTCACCTAGTGCACTTTTTACATTTTATCTTGTGTGTGTTTATTTACATATGTGTGCTTTAGCTTTTCAACTAGACTACATGCTCCTTTCCGGCAAGTACTGCAATTAATTGCAATAGTTATTCAATAAGATTATAGAATAATTGGACAGATCATCTAGTGGCTGTCTAAGGTAGTATAAAAAGGTCACATTCACACAGCTAACACATGAGAGAAGCTACATTAAAGCTCTGGTCAGTTTAACTTCACAATTGCACTCTCTTCTCTCCTCCCCTCCCAGAAATGCTCTAGATTTACTAATTCTCCAACTCTTGCCTGTACTGTACAATTTTCTCAGGAAACAACTTCCTAGTTCATCAACTGCCTAATAAACCAATCATGGTGGGCAGTGTGGGGGGCAAGTCTTTCTCTGGCCCACTTTTATTTATCTCCCTTTCCAATAACCCATGCTCATTTAAATAAAAACTGATTGCAGATGCTGTCTTCGTTTTAGTATAACCTTTTGAATAGCTCTTAATAATAGGAATGCTGGGCATGGGACAGATATTTTGGAACAAATGAAGCTACATGTTTTTCAGGCAGTTAGTCTCAATTCCACCAATATGGAGGTCTACTAACACTTGTTGAAATCTTTTTTTTTTTTTTTTTTTTTTTTTTGAGACAGAGTCTCACTCTGTTGCCCAGGCTGGAGTGCGGTCGTGTGATCTCGGCTCACTGCAAGCTCCACCTCCCAGGTTCACGCCATTCTCCTGCTTCAGCCTCCCGAGTAGCTGGGACTACAGGCGCCCGCCACCACGCCCGGCTAATTTTTTTGTATTTTTAGTAGAGACGGGGTCTCACTATGTTAGCCAGGATGATCTCGATCTCCTGACCTCGTGATCCACCCGCATCGGCCTCCCAAAGTGCTGGGCTTACAGGCGCGAGCCACTGCACCCGGCCCGCTTGTTGAAATCTTGATTAAAACAATGTCTCATTTAGTCTAGAAAAAACACTTTCTCTAAAAAAGTTGCCCTTAATTTTTAGTTTGCTTTAAATTGTTTTTATAAAAATATTTATTAAACATACTTACTGGGTGATAGTTTATGCCTGTTATCCCAGCACTTTGGGAGACCAAGGCAGGTGGATCACCTGAGGTCAGGAGTTTGAGACCAGCCTGGCCAACATGGTGAAACCCCATCTCTACTAAAAATACAAAAATTAGCTGGGTGTGGTTGTGGGCACCTGTGATCCCAGCTACTTGGGAGGCTAAGGCAGGAGAATCACTTGAACCCAAGAAGCAGAGGTTGCAGTAAGCCGAGATCGTGCCACTGCACTCCAGTCTGGACAGCAGAGCAAGACTTGCTCTTAAAAAAAAAGAAAATACTTACAGGATGGTCTGCATCTAGTTCAGATCCATACATCAGAACTCTGTTGGCACAATGGTCCAGGTCAGAAATCTTCTTTGGAAACCAAGGAACAGTTTCCATACCTGTAAAATTTAAAATAAAATAAAATAAAAACCAGTAAAAGTTGAAGAGATAATCTTAAACAAGACAATAAAGAAGATAAAATTAAATTCAGTTGGATGAGAGTTTTAATTTTAGCTTGTACATCAAGGCAAGATTTATATGAGTTAGGTAAATTGCCCTATTTCTAAAAAGTAAAATTTATTCAAAATTTCTGAGCTTTAATTTTTTTTTGAGTCTTCAGGTTGATGTCTAAGTTTTGGAGAAATACTGTACTTTAGAAACAGACTGAAAGTTTTAAAAATGCTTAAGCTACATATTTAGTTATTCAACAAAAGCAGAATAAAGATGCACAACTTTATTTACAGACCAAGGTACAAACTTAATAAAAACTTCATTTATTTTTGCCGATGGAAAAGATCTTAGAAATCATTTGTCTTTGCCACCTTGATCTTCTCACCATTCCTCAGACACGCAAGCCCTCATAAGACTATGGGGTTTTATAAATGCTACTTTTCTGCCTGGAATAGCTATTCCACTCCCATTCCCTGCCCCACCCTACCCTTCTGTTTTCCTGAGAATATCCGTCACATCCTTCAAGACCCAAATCTAATGAGATCTTCTCATTCCGCAAAGCCTTCCCTCACCCTGTAGGTACAGCTAATTATCTGTCCCCTGGGTTCCTGTGATGTTATGTTTCTCTCTAAAGGCTTTTACTATGTTTTATTATAATGTACCTGTTTATATGTCTGTCTTACATGAAAGACTGGAAACAACTGTAGGGTGGAGACTATATCTTTTTGTATCCCTATTTTTTAGTAGAAATATCTGTCACAAGGTTGGTATACCCTAAATATCAACTGAACTATCTCGTCATCTATACACCTCTGCATTTTACAGATGAGGTAATCAAACTCCAGAGAGGTAATTTATCCAAGGTAACTCACTCCTTTTGGAATACAGAGGACTAGAACTCAGCTCTTCTTGCCCCAGCATATTGCTCTTTCTAACATATCCAGGAGTGATATTCAAGGGATTTAACAACAAATACAAAAGGAGCAGTAATCACTCAAAATAGACATCAGCAGAGTCCTAGGCTTCTGCTCTGCAAGGTGTTAACCCTTTAGTTGTTAATGATGGGTATGGGACTTCTTGGGGGGACAGTATCTGGAGCAACAGAGGCTTCAGGCATGGTGAGGAGCCCTCAAGGGACTTGGGGAAGTAGCTCTCTGCCAGCCAGAAGTGGAGATATATCAGTATTTTAATAATTATATAGCTGTACGAACACATAGCAGATGAATAGCAGTCCTGATTACACCTCAAATATTGTGGACATAATCTGAAGAGATTATTTTAGATTGAGTACCATATATAAAATGTACCTAAATTATCTATTTGTCTTTTGCCTCGAGTGAACTCCAAGGATTTTTTTTTTACCAGTAGAGATCTTAACCTTTATCTTTGCTACCTGAGTATCTGAAACTTCAAAAGGCTTTATTGTTTCCCATTTGCTTTTGGAAGGAATGCTGTACATCAGTTGTTCCTGTTTTTGGCACCAGGGAGTGGTTTTGTGGAAGACAATTTTTCCAAGAAGGAAAGACGGGGAGGTGGGAGATGGTTTCATCAGGCATTGGATTCTCATAAGAAGCACACAACCTAGATCCCTCGCACTCGCAGTTCACAATAGGGTTTACGCTCCTAGACGGAGCTCAGGCGGTAAGGATCGCCGGGCCTGCTGCCCACCTGCTGCTGTGCAGCCTGGTTCCTAACAGGCCACGGACGAGTCCCCTGCTATACATATTGTGTGTCATTTCATAGTTGTGAGCAACTGTCAACATTCTCAACAAATTTAAATATTCATTTACTATCTGCTAGATGACAAGTCTTATGAGACTTACTAAGTGCTCAGGGATTGTGAATTATAGGTTTGTCAAATCAAGAAATGTTGATGATTTGGAAATTGAGAGATAATCAATTATCAATTTCTGATTATGCCAAATTGTCTGTCTTTCTTTTTCTTTCTTTCTTTCTTTTCTTTCTTTTTCTTTCTTTTTTCTTTCTTTCTTTCTCTCTTTCCTTTCTTTTTTTTTTTTTGACAGGGTCTTGTTCTGTCACCCAAACGGGAGTGCAGTGGTACAATCTCGGCTCAGCTCTACAGCCTCAACCTCCTGGGCTCAGGTGATCCTCCCACCTCAGCCTCCAGAGTAGCTGGGACCATAGATGCATGCCACCACACCTGGCTAGTTTTTGTATTTTTTGCACAGACTGGGTCTCTCCATGTTGCCCAGGATGGTCCTGAACTCCTGGACTCAAGTGAGTCTGCCTCGGCTTGCCAAAGTGCGGGGATTACAGGCATGAGCCACCACACCCAGCTGTTTCTTATACTCAAGATTTTCTTTTTCATTTCTCTTACACTTGATCAAATGTTGCTTTATAATTTTTCTTTGGTATCTGGAGCAACTATATTTTGTGTTCCCTTCACTATCAGACTGTAAGCAATTTGGAGAGCTTGTGTTTTATTATTTTAATGTCTTCAAGATAAATATAAGGCTGGACACACATTAGGTGTTTCATCTTCTAAGTAGTATTTTCACATTTTGAACTTACCATCTTCCTTCAAAGTAAAATTATCTGGTAGATTCACAGAGAGAACATTGGTATGAGACTTCAGCAGATGAAAAATATCATTCAATTGTTCTCTGTTGATGTCACAGTCAACAAAAATCTCAAATTCTGAGTTTCTTCTTTTTGATTTTCGGGACTCGATATGTAACAGATTCACATGCTTCTCCTGTGTAAAGCACAGGGAAAAGATTTCATGTAACTGCCTCAAATGTTAATAGTCTTTGAGCAGGCTACTTTAATTACCACTAAAAATCAGATTCACACTTCTCAGAACAGCAAAGGGAAAAAGACTGTTTTTAGTGCTGCCAACAACAAAATAATTCCTTCTTAAAAATTATGTATTAGAAAACTTTTCAAAATTCATCCCATCCTCCAGAAACCAATAAAATAACACACACTAGAGGTCCTTCAGATGTCAGAATTAATCAGAATTCAAATCAAAATATTATTAAGTTTCCTGGGTAAGAGGAATCTTTTGAAAATTCTCATAAATAAAAGCTAGTTTTCAAAAAGTGATACCAATGTTAGTCCTGGAGAAAGAAGAGTTTCCCTTTCAAAAATCCATTTAATTAAATTAGATGAACAGCTTGAGCACAGAGTATTTAATACCTCAAATCTCTTAAGCTACAATCTTAGTAACAGCTGAACCAGATCTCCTCTTCTGACCTCTCCCAAGTCAGCCTAAGATGGGGGTGCTCTGTGTATAAGTGTGGGAGGAGGGTATGTTCTCTTACCAATTTGGGTAGCTGAGGAAGAGTGCTGGGGACATGATAATGAAACATGAGCACTAATCACCCTATAGTTTTTTCATCTAAAACAATGAGAAGGTTAGAGCAGATAATCTCCAATACTAACCAGTGCATCCTAAAATAACTTAATGAACACCTGTGTAACTAGGTAAGGGCTGCGAAGAATATAAAGGGAAGACATAAAGGAATTTAGAATCTAGTTGGTGAACACATGGAAGATTAAGAAAATAAAGTAAAGAGTGTTCGGATGCAGGTGCTCAGCAAAGGGAAAAGCATTACGACTTAAGAGAGAGTAGAAAGTTTCATGGAGCAGGTGGGAACTTAAATGAATCTTAAAGAATAGATAGAATAGGCCAGGCGTGGTGGCTCACGCCTGTAATTCCAACACTCTGGGAGGCCAAGGTGGAAGAATCACTTGAGCCCAGGAGTTCAGGACCAGCCTGGACCACATAGCAAGACCCTGTCTCTACAAAAAATAATAAATTAGCCAGGCGTAGTGGCGCACACCAGTAGTCCCAGCTACTCGGGATACTGAGGTGGGAGGGTCACTTGAGACCAGGAGGTTAAGGCTACAGTGAGCTGTGATTGTGCCACTGCACTCCAGCCTGGGTGACAAAGTGAGACCCTTTCTCAAAAAAAAAAAAAAAAATATTATCAGGGAACATGAGCTAACAAGAAAGAGGAGTGAGTGATAGAGGATGTTAGAAAATTAGAATAGGCAGGGTTTATCTGGGAACATATAATTTATCACAGAATCAATAGAAGTCAGTTACAAAATATATTGGGATTGATCAGGTGTAAAGAAGAGTTTCATTTCATCTATTTCTTATAAATTTTTACATTAATAATGCATTTGTAAATATTTTCTAAATGATGACTTGAATAAATATAAAGCTAAACTATGTCTTTGGAGAAAAAAAAAGATGCAAAAATGTCAATCATTCCTAAATTAAAATCTCAATGGAATTTGGTGAGGAAATGTAATTAAATAATTTCCAAGTTCATCTGGAAGAAAAATACGGTCTGGAAAATTCAGATAAAGTAGAAGTAGTAAGTGAAACATTCCCTATCAGACATTTCAGTTACAGAAACAGAGGCATAGAGAGGTTAAGCAGTTTGGCCAGAAGCACACAGGTGACAAGTGTCAGAGCCGGAATTCAAATCTAGTCTGTCCAGCTCCACAGTCCATGTGCTTAAACACTATGCTGTAATCCTGTTGCCCAAGAAAGGAAGAGTCACAAAGGTGGATACTAAGGCTCTTCTTCAAACAATATTTACATAATCTTAATAATAAAGACACTAAAGATTGACAGAGCCAAAAACCGGGACACAAATACATTGGGAAGACGAGTGGAAAAGAAGTTGAAGAGGCCATCGGAAGGGGAGTTGTGTCAAGAAACCTAAATTTTTACTTCATTGTTGAAAATCAATAGATAATTACCTATAATTCTAGAAATCAAGAAGTAGAAGCAGAATAAGCATATAACTTATAAGTGTGGAAGTAAATATTAGAAAAATAGTTTAAAGAGTTGAAAATGGTTGCCTCCACTAGGCAGGGGATAACTAGGTTGTCTCCACTAGGCAGGTGGAGACACACCCAGAGAACACCATGTAGCAGTTAGAAGAATGAATGAGATGTTCACACAGCAGCGTGCATAGGTCTTAAAAACACAGTGCTGGATGGGAAAAAGAATCTTTATAGCACAATATGATTATATAAATTACTAATATACGCACACACAAAGACTACATATTCTAAAGTGCAGACAAAGTAATTCAATGTACATATCAAACATGAGAGCAGCTCTCTATCAGAAGAGAGAAATGGAGATAGAATTCAAGAATGAAATAAAACAGGAAGAGGTTGCACAAATCAACGATGATAGTGTACACGTGATTTAATGAGTGTGATTAACTCAAGCTTCTGCACACAAGGTTGCAAAAAAATTAAATGGAACTTTGGAATGAAGAGAGATGGAGCAAAACACTACTTTTTTAAAAATATGTTTTATAGTACAGGTTGAGTTGTTTTTAAGCTATGCACAATTATTCTTCGATTAAAAATTAAATTTAAAAAAAGCTGATGGAAGAAGACATACAGGTATTTTATTTAAAGACCCAAAGGTAATCAATAGAATAGCTAAAAGTAATAATAAAAGTATCAGATTTGGAAGGACTGGGAGAGGGAAGGGAGGGAGGTGGTATCAGTATCATTGTTCATAATAGAAAGTAAATGAATATAGTGTGAAGTTGATAACTTGAAAAGACATATAAGAGCAATGTTTAGATTTCATAAACTCACCACCAAAAAAACTAACGACCAGAAATAGTTAAAAGAGGTTGCCTCTAGGGAGTGGGACTGAGAATATGGTATGTGTTAGGTAAGAAAACTGATGCTTTTCATTACAAGCTCTTCTAGACTATCTATATTTAAGATTTTTAATTCTTTGAAATATTCTTTGCAAACAGCTATATAATAGTATGTCATATGATTATTAACATAGCTAACATCTATTGTTCACTTACTTTGTACTGTACCATCCTAAGCATTTTAGAGATATTAACTCTACTAATGCTCACAATGACCCTATGAGGTAGGTAGAGTTCTCATTTTATGGACATAAATCATGAAGTGTGGAGAGATTAATCAATTTGCCCACGATCACCCAGGTAATAACTGACAGAGCAAGGATATGAATCCAGGTGGCCTGTCTCTGGAGACCAGAGCTTAACCACAGTGGTGTTCTGCTATCACAATTCAACATCCCCTATATTAGGACAAGTGGCTTATTTATAATTTTTAGTTCCTATAAACAATAAATCTTTGTGTGTCCCTGAGCCCTTAAACTCAGTTAGGTCCCCCAAGTTCAATGCTGTCAGAATATCTGGTATTTCTGTTTCATGTCACTTTACACATAGTGATTATTCACTTACTGCAGTTGTTTGTTTAATGTTGCCTTCCCCACTAGATTACATACTCTGTGAGGACAGGCACTGTGTTTACTTTGTCCAGCTCCACATCCTTAGTGTCTGGTGTGGTACCTGACACATAGTAAGGACTCAATAAATATTCGTGTTCTGCCTGACTGATCCATATTTTTAAGACAGATTTATGAAATTAGAATTATGGGTCAAAAATATGAACATTTTAAGGCTCATAATACATATTACCAGATAGTTTCCCTACATGGTACACAAATTTATCCTTGTGCCAAAGGTGCATTGGAGGGTAATGTACCTCCAATGCAATGAAGTTCTGACAATAGGAGACACTGTCATTATAGAATCTTTGCTACATGAAAATAATATCATTAAATATACTATGACTATATCATTAAATCTCAAGTATATAATTAATAATATATGATTATATATTGATAAAATTTTAATATTTTATTAAAATAAAATTAAAATTTGCTTCTCTAAAATCTATAAAGTGAATCTTTTCTCCCCCATTTCTCGAAGTAGCTATTTGTATCTCCTCTTCTGTAAATTGTTTGTATCCCTTGTTAGAATTCAGCACTATTTTAGAAATGTAAGTTCTTAACAAATGTTTGTACTCCATCTCTGAAGAGTTTACAATAATTTATATATATAATATATAAAAATTATATATTTATATATTTTATCTATATATAAATATAGATATATATATAGAGAGAAAATCTCACTCTGATACCTAGGCTAGAGTGCAGTGGTGTGATCATAGCTCACTCACTGTAACCCTGGACTCCCGGACTGAAGCAATCCTCCCACCCCAGCCTCCCAGGTAGCTGGAACTACAGGAGTCCACCACCACACCCAGCTAAATTTGTTTTTTTTTAAGAGATAGGGTCTTGCTATGTTGCCCTATATTTTAAATATAGTTTTAGAGATTCATTTCTAGAAGAATTCTGTGCAAAAATACAGAAAATGCTTACCTGAAAGATTTTCAGGGCTTTTATAAGTCCTCCAACTTCATTCTTTAAGGAAAAAATGAGACTTGCTCTTCCCCTTTCTAAGGAATGGTCTTTGTTCTCCTTATTGTCTTCAATCATGATGAATTTGGAGTAATTCTCTAAAACTAAAGTATGAAAACAAAGACTACGGGCTAAAAAAGAAGTTGCACAATGCAGACAATATTTGATAACTAAGGGCTCATTTACTTCTAGGAGCTTCAGTTTCTTAACCTTTTATAAAACCTGGATATGCAGATAAGCTTTGCAAGAATCTAGTGAGACCAAAATAAGATACAACTTTGCCTGACACCTGCCTAGAATAGAATACATGTTAGTAGTTCCCTTTTGTTTTTTTTCTAAACCAATCGCTCTTTTAGGGCATGACTGAAGCCTGCTGGCTTCTTGCAGTCTTCCCAACTATTGTAGCCTAAACTAGTCAGGAAGGCCTACCTCCTCCCCACCTTGCCCACAATCTTAGCACTTCATTATACCAGGTCTCAAATGGTTTCCCCAAATGTTCTATTCGAACATATCTCACCTTCTAACAAGGCAGCAAGCTCCTCCAGAGTGGGGACAAGGCTTTCTATTTATTTTGTAAACTAAAGGCCTGGCCAGCTCTAGATACATATGCACTAGATGGATAACTGCTAGCCAGGAGAATTCTAGTTCTGCTTCTCAGAAGATGAACCAGAGATCTACTTTGGTATCTTCTTAACCACCTATTTACACTGCAAAACAGTGTAAGGAAATATGTGGAATGTGAAGTCAGACATATCTAATCATTGGCCTCATGTTTATCAGTGTATGACCTCGGGCATGCTACTTAACCTTTCTAATATAAAACTAAGTTACCAAACAGCTACCAGAACTCATAACATCCAAAATTCTCACTCGTTTTAAAACATCATAACATGGCGTGCTATTCTGAGATTTTCCTCACGGAAGAAACTAGGATATTTCAGGTACCAAGAAGAGTTAGAGATACATAATTCAAAATTTAACTAACATTTATGAATTCATTGGGTTCAAGTTTCCAAAACTACCAAGATTTTTAAATTATGCCAAATTAGTCTCTAGAACTAAAAACAATTTCTATTTCAAATGCTATAAAACTAAATGGCCAGTTAAACTGAATAATTATGTGGATTTTTCTTTGATTCAAATAATTACTAATGGTAAAACGAATAAAATTTCAACCCAAGCGCATTCACATGTGTGAAGCACCACAGTCAAAGTTAGGGCAGTAAAAATTTAAAAACAAGACAACTTGCCTCCAAATAATTCACACACTTGTTCATGGGGAAGGAGAAAATGGAAGACAGACTTCTCAATAAGTACAAATAAGCAGAAAAGAAGGGACACTGAGATCCCAGCCATGACACCCAAGGAGTACACTCAACCACCCCTCACCTTCCCACCACCCCACCCCTTTGATCAATATCCCATGTGCTTCTAAAGATGACTGAATATAGCTTCTAGCCCATCCATGAGTCTCTGCTGAGAAAGGATTTATGGATGAGAAGCAGGAGATCTTAAGAGATTTTCCACTTCAAAGGAAGTGACCATTTCTTAAGGTAAACTTAAGTATACACAGAAAATTCCAAATTGGTGGCTCTGGGGCTAAAAATTCAGGGATGGCCTCAGATAAGCATTCTCAAAATGTTTTTAGGGATGTGAAAACTTTCAGAAACGTTTCTTACCCATTCAATTACCACTCAAAGATTGACTTTTCTTATCAAACACAGAGTATGGGCGACGTTGTCCTAAAGCGTGAAAATGTAAACAATAAAAGAGATGCAAAATAATATAACAAATTGCTAGTAATAAATCTTTCTGCAAATCCATCTAGGCAAGTTATAATCTTTATATGTATCAACCTCTTTATTTGCAAACTTGGAGGGAGGATAATTAACACCACTCTCATGATTATAAGGAGGATTAAACATATATAAACTTATGAGAATTAAATAGTTATAATTTACATAAAACTCTTAGAACAGTTGCTAACCTACACTAAGTACTCAATAAGTATTATCTCAAGTAATGGGGAATATGTCCCAAATTTTCCAGTTTTCAAAAAAAGAGAAAATGTTCAAGTAATGAAATAGACATTCTAAATACCTCTGGCTAAGAATTTTTCTTGCCCTAGGAATTAGGCATTTTACAAGATGGTTAACATATTTCTTACAATAGCAAACATGTGGAAAAGTTGCTTTATGATATAAAATGTCAGTATTGTTTTGTATCAAGGTGATTTCAGTTTCATTAATTTATTATAAAACCCCTAAAGTGTATTAAATTCCAAATCTCAAGAAAATAATTCAGCAGTTTTTTTGCAAACAAATAGACAAAGACCCCAAAGTAAAATGTACTGAGTTACCCTATAGTTACTGAGTCCTCATGTTTCCTGATACCATCACCATGACATGCAGAAGGAAGAGGATTCTGCAAATATAAGCTATTTCCTGGCCAACCACTAGCTTCATCATGTAAATCAGCTTTAAGAACTGGGAGCAAGGATCAGAGAACAGTAAAGAAAAGTTACCACTGATTTTTTCCAGTCAGTGGTAACACTAACAGAATTCTAGATCTCCTGATAATTTGTCTTTCAACAACCTCTTGGAGCTTGGAATAAAACTCTTCATATAAAACTATATGAGGCCAGCTGCTGCGGCTCATGCCTGTAATCCCAGCACATTGGAAAGCCAAAGTGGGTGGATCACTTGAGGTCAGGAGTTGAAGACCAGCCTGGCCAACATGGTGAAACCCCGTCTCTACTAAAAATACAAAAATTAGCCTGGCATGATGACACATGCATGTAATCCCAGCTACTCGGGAGGCTGAGGCATGAAAATCGTTTGAACTCAGGAGGCAGAGGTTGCAGGGAGCAAGATCGTGTCGCTGCACTCTGGCAGGGCAGTAGAGTGAGACTCCGTCTCAAAAAACAAAAACAAAAACAAACAAACAACAACAACAACAAAAACTATTATGAAGAGCCTGGGTAACATAGTGAGATGCTGTATGAACAACAACAACAAAAAAAATTGTTTAAGTTAGCTGGGCATAGTGGCTTTCACCTGCAGTCCCAGCTACTAGGGAGGCTGAGGCAGGAGGCTTGCTTGAGCTCAGGAGTTCTAGGCTGCAGTGATCCATGATCGCGCCACTGCAGTCCAGCCTGGGTGACAGAGTGAAACCCTGTCTCTTAAAAAAAAAAAAAAGAGAATTTCCTTCAATTTTCAAAACTGGTCCCTAAGCTTTCCTGGAAGTTGCTATTGTGAGAAGGTGCTAACAGTCATGGCTCCATCCCTTTAGGGTTCATAATTATTTTCTTTACCTGATTCTGGAATGGATCAAGTTTTGTGCCAACATCTCCTTAGTTGGTGTGGGGAGAGGAGGGTGAAGGATACATTAATTGAAATTTATGATATGCAAGGCATTTATATTATTTTGATGTATTTAAAGACATACATTATTATATTAAGATGTAAGTGGCTCACACCTGTAATTCCCAGCACTTTAGGAGGCCGAGGCGGGCGAATCATGAGGTCAAGAGAGCGAGACCATCCTGGCCAACATGGTGAAACCCCGTCTCTACTAAAAATACAAAAATTGGCTGGGTGTGGTGGCGGGCGCCTGTAGTCCCAGCTACTTGGGAGGCTGAGGTAGGAGAATGGCTTGAACCTGGGAGGCGGAGGTTGCAGTGAGCCAGGATCACGCCACTGCACTCCAGCCCAGGTGACAGAGCAAGACTGCGTCTCAAAAAAAAAGATGTGGAAACACTCCTCCTTGTTTAAGTCATGGTAAAAATGAAGGTTCTCAAAAGGAACTTTTGCTAAGAAACTAGAAAACTAGAAGAAAATTCTCACCCTCTTTTTTGTTCCCCCCCACCCCAAAATAATCTTACAGGACATAGATCTTTGATCGTTACTAAAACTTGGCCATAACTTTGCTTGGTTGACAGAGCTTATGAGGCATCAGTTATTTTTTCCTCCAGTTAACCCCAAACCGCTTTCAGAACCTCAATATTTTGCCTTGTTACTTTTTCCTTTCCCCTTTCAACCTACCCACCTCCTCCTACTCTTTCAGGAAAACAAAACAAAACAAAACAAAACAAAAAAACACAATACTAACCTGGTAAGATAAAATAGGTCACACTTGTTTGAATCAGTGTCTCATCAATACATAAGCATTTTATTTTTAAAGCAACTCTCTGATCAGCTAATACCAACTGGTACCCTTTTCTCATGAAAGGTAGAGTCATTTTCCTACTGCGTCTCCTGGCCTAAGGATGCACTGTGTAGGACATACCACTGGAAATAAGGAAAAAATACCAAGAAGACACTCAGAAGATCAACAGACCCGACCCTTGGGAGAGGTCAAGGCGTATACAATGACCAACTCTTTTCTTCCCTTAGTTTAATCAGTAAAACAAGTGTAATTTATATTTACCGGATCTAGGAAGCACAAAGCACTACTGAATTAGTCTTTTGAAAGCATGGATATTGTTTGAAGACAGAACTAAAAACTGCAAGGAGGATTCTTTCAGAGGGAGGGAATCCTCTACGGAGTCTTGATTTTCTTTTCTAAATAAGGAGTGGGAATGAGGATGAAAGTGTA
The DNA here is from genome assembly GCF_000001405.40 of Homo sapiens. Lineage (NCBI taxonomy): Eukaryota > Metazoa > Chordata > Mammalia > Primates > Hominidae > Homo > Homo sapiens. Next base: position 18,045,281 of record NC_000011.10, read on the forward strand.
GATGAAATACAAAAGAAAACACTATCCATGAAAAACAGTATTCTAGGAAATAAAGGCACTGGCAGAGAAAATGGAAATAGAAGACACATCCCTATCTGGAGATAATCTAATAATACATGTACAAATGGACCTCAGTGATAACATATGTAAACCACAGATTATAACTTTACAGAAACATTGATATTAGAATTCCACCCCCCCCTTTTTTTTTTAACTAACAGGCACAAACTTTTCCTGGGTTAGCAAGTTCAACTCTAGTCTTTTTCCTGCTAAGTCAAGTAGAGTGGGACATCAATGAGAAGTTCATTTTAAACCTCTGAAAATCAAACGCCAAAGGCAAGGTTGAGTTCACACGGACTCTTAACTGACTCTAAACCGCAAGGACCTAGTCCTCTTTGTCAATTGCGACCTTGCAAAAAGCTCTCAGTCGTCTGTTGGGATGGTGGTGATGATGGTAAGTGCGATGCTGAGAAGCTTTGCATCTGAGACTCCTTCTTCTTCGGGAGGCTGTTTAAGGGAAGCTTCCCTTCATGGGAGGAGAAGAAAAAAAGAGACATTGCCCTTTGATGGAGAGGAAGGGAAGGAAGAAAAATCTTACTGTTTCTGCCAACATAGAGGAGTCACACAGACTTGGGTTGGACTCTGGACCCCACTTTCCTCATCTGGGGACTCAAGAAATATCTACCAGAGTTTGTCATGAAGGTGAAATCTCATGATGGCTAAAGAGTCTGTTCCTGGCACACAGGAGGCACTCAGAAAGTGTCTTTTCTCCCCAAACAGCGTGGGAGGAAAGAATAGTAAGCGTTTATAGGGGTACAACTCCGACCTCCCAAATCTGACTCCGCAAGACCACCAATTTACCTCCCGGGAGGGTGACTCTGCCCAGCCCCGCGCCTGCCAAGCGCCGCCAAAGCCTCGACGGCGGTCCCCGGTGCCCGCGGGAAGGGCCGCCTCACTCACCTCGGGCGCCAGTAGGTGCAGGCTGGGTCGGCCGGCGGCCCCGCGCTGCCTGTCTCTTATAGAAGCGGGCGTCGGAGCAGCTGGGCAGCGGCCAATGAGAAGGGAGGGCCGGCGGGTGTGGGGCGTGGGCAGTCGCGTCCGCCTGCTCCCAGAGACTTGCACGCCTCAATCTCTGCGTGTATCTGACTGGTGTTTTAATTAAGTGAATGTTAGGCCGTCCTTAACCACACAAGTCTGACTAACACTGAACAATCCAGAGTTGGACATTCTCTCCAAACCAAGATAACGCCTATTATCGACACAATGACCTGCTATAGGACTGCAGTGCTTCTCGCCTGTTGGAGACCAAAGCAAGAATCCCCCCACCTCCCACACCTCTCTGTGCTTCTGGGCTATTTAATAGCCCAGTCCTGACTTATTATTCTCTTGGTGCTTTCCCCCATTCCTTGAGGCAGAGCAACAGTTAGTTGAACTTTTTAGAAGAGAAGTGTTCAGTGCCCTTCTAATTAAAAAAAAATTTTAAGCTGCAAGCAGAGAAGCATTCTATATTAGCAAAAAATCATATTACGTGCTATTGTGAACAACAGGACATAGAGGCAAAAAATTTGGAATAGGTATTTACTGGTTGAGTAGTCAGTCGATTAGCTCCTTATCCCAAAGGACTGTACACATAACGAAGTATATTATAGGACATTCTTTCCTCCAATGTTTGAAAAGTAAGATTTATTGATGTATAATTAACATACAGTAATATTCACCCTGTGAGGTGTACAATTCTGAGTTTTGACAAACATGTATAGTTGTGTAACCACCAAACGATCAAAATATAGAACATTTCTATCACTGCGAGAAATTTCCCTTGTCTAAAGTCTCTCACCTCACACCCAGCCCCTGGCAGCCACTGATCTGATTTCTGTCTCCACAGTTTTGCCTTCTCTGGAATGTCACAGAAATGAAATCATGAAATATGTACAGATTTTTGGCTCCTGGCACTTAACATAATGCTTTTGAGTTTCATGCAGGTATTAGTGATTTGTTCCTTTTCTTTCCTGTTTTCTTTTTTGCTGAGTATGGATGTACTTTAAAGCTCAGGATCTTTACAGCTTTTCTATGCATTTTTCTTTTATCTGTATAATGCTTCTATGAGGTACATATTATTTGTATTTTACAGATACGGAAATTGAAGCACAGGGGTGGCTCTAAGACGTTATTCTGGCACAGGCTAGTAAGTACCATCAATAATCAAGCAAAAGTGTCTGAGTTTAAATCCAGTGCTCTTACTTCAATGCCATAAAAAATACTGGTCAGGGAGAGACCTTTCAGAACCAAGCTGAGGTCAAAGATGTCTTTCCTAAACTGAAAGCCTTTCCTTGTAGATCTGGAACACGATAAGGATGCCCAATTTCACCACTATTATTCAACATAGTACTGGAAGTTCTAGCTAGAGCAATCAGACAAGAGAAGAAATAAAGGGCATCCAAACTGGAAAGGAAGAAGTCAAATTATCCTTGTTTGCAGATGATATGATCCTATATTTGGAAAAACCTAAAGACTCCACCAAAAAACTATTTGAACTGATTAAATAATTCACTAATGTTGCAGGATACAAAATCAACATACAAAAATCAATAGCGTTTCTGTATGCCAATGGTGAACAGTATGAAAAAGAAATTAATCCCATTTACAATAGCCACAAATAAAATAAGTACCTAGGAATTAACCAAAGGAGTGAAAGATCTCTACAATGAAAACTATAAAATACTCATGAAAGAAATTAAAGAGGACACCAAAAGAACAGAAGGCTATTCCAAGTTCATGGATCGGAAGAATCCTTATTGTTCAAATGTCCATGCTACCCAAAGCAATCTACAGATTCAAGGCAATCCCTATCAAAATACCAAAGACTTTCCTTACAGAAATAGAAAAAACAACCCTAAAATTTATATGGAATCACAAAAGACCCAGAACAGCCAAAGCTATCCTGAGCAAAAAGCACAAAACTGGAGGAATCACATTACCTGACTTCAAATTATACTGCAGAGCTACAGTAACCAAAACAGCATGGTTCTGGCATAAAAACAGACACATAGACCAATGGAACAAAATAGAGAACCCAGAAACGGATCCACACACCTACAGTGAACTCATTATTGACAAAGTTGCCAAGAACATACAATGGGGAAAGGACAGTCTCTCCAATAAATGCTGCTGGGAAAACTGGATATCCATCAGAAGAATGAAACTAGACCCCTATCTCTCACCATATATAAAAATCAAATCAAAATGGATTAAAGACTCAAATCTAAGACCTCATACTATGAAACCACTGCAAGAAAACATTGGGGAAACACTCCAGGACATCAGTCTACTCAAAAATGTCTTGAGTGATACCCCACAAGCACAGGCAACCAAAGGAAAAATGATTGCATGGGATCACATCAAGTTAAAAAACTTCTGTACAGCAAAGGAAACAATTGACAAAGAGAAGAGACAACTCACAGAATGGGAGAAAATATTTGCAAAGTACCCATCTGACAAGGGATTAATAACCAGAATATATAAGGAGTTCAAACAGCTCTATAGGAAAAAATTTAATAATCCAATTAAAAATGGTCAAAAGATTTGAATAGACATTTCTCCAAAGAAGACATACAAATGGCAAATAGACATATGAAAAGGTGCTCAACATCCTTGGTCATCAGATAAATGCAAATCAAAACTACAATAACATGTCATCTCACCCTGGTCAGGCAATAACAAATACTAGAGAGGATGTGGAGAAAAGGGAACCCTTGTACACTGTTGGTGGGAATGTATAATAAATTAGTACGACCACTATGAAGAACAGTTTGGACGTGCCTCAAAAAACTGAAAATAGAGCTACCATATGATCCAGCACTCCCACTGCTGGGTATATACCCAAAGGAAGGAAATCAGCGTATTGAAGAGATATCTGCACTCTCATGTTTGTTGCAGCACTGTTCACAATAGTCAAGATTTGAAAACAACCTGTGTTCATCAACAGACGAATGGTTAAAGAAAATGTGGTACTTACACACAATGGAGTACCATTCAGCCATAAAAAAGAATGAGATTCTGTCATTTGCAACAACATGGATGGAAATGGAGATCATTATGTTAAGTGAAATAAGCCAGGCACAGAGACAAACATCGCATGTTCTCACTTATTTGTAGGATCTAAAAATCAGAACAACTAAACTCATGGAGACAGAGAATAGAAGGATGGTTACCAGAGGCTGGGAAGGGTAGTGGGAGGTACAGGGAATGGGGGGTTGTGGGGGATGGCTAATGGGGACCAAAAAACAGAAAAAATGAAAAAGGCTTAGTATTTGATAGAACAACAGGAGGACTATAGTCAATAATAATTTAATTACACATTTAAAAATAACTAAAAGAATATAATAGGATTGTTTGTAACACAAAGAATAAATGCTTGAGGGAATGGATACCCAATTTTCAATGATGTGTTTATTACACATTGCATGCCTCTACCAAAATATCTCATGTATCCCATAAGTACATACACCTACTACATGCCCACAAAAATTATAAATAAAAATAAATTTAAAAATAGAAAAAAGATGTCTTTCCTAAAGTTGGGACTACAGGAGGGCTTAAACCACCCCTGATGAAGAAGAGAGATGGCACCAACTCATTTAATGAGCACATCCACAAGGAGGTCAAGAGAATAGGTTGGATGCTGGCCCTGAGGTGGAAAGGCCTTAGTAGTTGACACTTACAAATCAAGATGTCATCAGGGCTGGGTACCTGCTGCAGGCTTCAGGGGAGAATCTGTCCCCTCGCTTTTTCCAGCTTCTAGAGGTCACTGCATTCTTTGGTTCATGACCCCTTTGTCCATCTTCAAAGCAAGCAATGTGGCATCTTGTAATCTAAGTCTTTGTCTCCTTTCAGTGACAAAGACCCTGTGCTTCCATTCTGCCTACCCAGATAATCTGGGATGATCCCCCATCTCAAAACCATTCATCACATTTGCAAAATCTCTTCTCATGTTAGATAACATAGTCATGGTTTCTAGACATTAGGACATGGACAATTTGGGGATGCCATTATTTTGCCTACCACAGAGAGGCACTGAAACTAGACACTTTGGGCAGTATTTAGATGGGAAATGGTCTTTCTCCTTAAGTGTGTCCTATCATTTTAATCTGTGGAACCTATGGTGAAGGAGTTCTCTGACCTGGAGATGGGGCTTTTGAGAAACTGAAAGTGCTCACTGCACTGATGGTAAAGGACACCTCGCTGCACTCCCCAGATCTCCAGCAGAACATATTTGAGAGGGGACACATTCCAACCTCTCAGTTTCTCATTTGGTGGAACCTTTGGATTGATCCTCTTCCATCTTCATTTAGGAGTTCCTCTTTCTCTTCCCTCCAGGTATTCAGGGTTCCTCTGGCTGGGTGAGGATTTGGGCCCTCTTCTCTTTCCAGTCTATACCCTCTTCCTCGTCAATTGCACCTCCTTTCCTGTACCCTTGTTATGCGAACAACTCCAAAATGTGTGTTTCAAACTCAGATCTCCCTTCTGAACTCTAGACCTTTATATCCAATAATTTACCTTGTATACATGATACATTGGCATCTTCACATGTTCTAAAGTAAACTTAGGAAAAGAATAGGTGTTGGTGAGAACTGGGAGAAATTGGATCCTATCTTGCTGGTCGGAAGATAAAATGGCTCAGCCACTGTGGGAAAAATTTTGTTGGTTCCTCAAAAAGTTAAACACAGAATTAACATATGACCTGGCACTTCCACTCCTAGGTATGCACACAAAAGACTGAAAAGAGGAACTTGAACAAATCCTTGTATGAGAATGTTCACAGCAGCACTATCCACAGCAGCCAAAAGATGGAAATAATCCAAATGTCCATCAACGGATAAGTGAGGTAAACAATCTGTGGTATACACATACAATTGAATAGTATTCTTCCTTATAAAAATAATGAAACATTGATACATGCTGCAACATGGATGGACCTGGAAAACATTACATAACGTGAAAGAAGCCAGAAATAAAGGTTGCATGTCCTATGATTCCATTTATATGAAATATTCAGAATAGGTAAATCTATAGAAACAGAATACAATGCAGTGGTTGCCCAAGGCAGGGTGTGAGGGAGTGGGAGAGTGAGGAGTGACTGCTTCATGGGTAAAAGGGGCTTTACTTTGGAATGACAGAAGTGTTTTGGAACTAGATAGAGGTAGTGGTTGTGCAACATTACGAATATACTGAATGCCACTAAGATGTTCACTTTAAAATGACTAATTTTAGGTTATGTGAATTTCATCTCAATAAATAAAAGTAAATTTGATCTCCCTGCCTTCGAAGTCCTTCTTCCTTCCTGCATATGCTTCTCTCTCATCTCCTTCATCCCATCAATTAGCACATTTGGTCTTTTCTACCTCCAATATATACTTGCATCCATCCACATCTCTCCATCTCTTCTGCCACTAAAATTCTGCAATTATCTCCTCACTGGTTTTTTTTATTTTCCCTTTTAATCAACCTCCTCCTACCCATTCTCATTTTTAAAATATGCCCAAAACTGTTGTGTAGAGACTAGACAATAATTTTTGCCCTGTTTAAAAAATGCAACATACAAACATGTCGCTACTCTAATTAAAACTACGCACTGGCCTATTATTCACGGGATGATATTTAAAACCCTTCCCATGTTCTCTGTAAAGGCCCCACATCTAGCCCCTAAGCACCTCTCTGGCCTCTTATCCAATCGCTCTCCCATCCCTCACTGCATTTCACTGGAGTGCTCTGTGTTCCAGTCCTCTAATCCACGCCCCTTCCCGCCGTAGTTAGGGCCTTCCTAGGTGCTTAAAGCTGAAGGTCCTCACTCCCACACCCTGACCCCTCCCTCTTTACCTGGTTAACCCCTTTCTCATCCTTTAGGTTTTCACTTAGGGTCAATTCCTTCCCTGAAGTAAATAGTCTCTCAGTGTAGGTTCTTCATTTTCTTTTTACACTCTGCTCTTTTACTTCAGAGAACGTGTAACAACTGTTATTATACGGTCATGTCATTTGTTCACTTGTATCCCCCATAGGCAAAAAAAGTGACTGTTTTCTTATTTTACCTTTTTTTTCTTTTTGAATCTTCATTGGCTAGCCCAGTGCCCAGCACATAGGCACATAATAGTTTCTCAATAAATATTAGTTGCATTCGGGACAAATTAATGATAGCACCTATGTTCAGATAGGTGTGTGTGCATGCATCCATTCTAGCCTTTCTGTAGAACTGAATCCCAGGTGTGGAGTACTGCCATATTGCCTTCCAAAAAGATTATACCAACTTACATTCCTATTCAAAAGAAAATAAAACAACATCCTCATCCTTCTCAACAGAGGAGGTTCTTAATTGCCTTAATGTTTGATAATCTCAATAGCACAAATAAATATCTAATTTTTCAATTAGCATTTTTCTAATTATTAGCAAAGCCAAGCATCTTTTCAGACATTTGTTCACATGTGAACTTATTTCACTGCTCATTTTCAATGAGATTATTTTTTCTTATTGATAAGTAGGAGCTCCCTAAATATTATTGATATTAATGGTCTGCAATATGCAATGCTGTCATCCAAGCCTTTCATTTTTCTTTCATATAATTTCAGATGTCTTGTATCTCAAAACTTTTTAAATTTGTTTTTATAAAGTCAAATCAAACTTTTAGGCTGGAGTTCAAGGGAGTCCCAAAATCACATCCTTCTCTTTCTTCCAAGTTCTAAGCCAGACAGATGGAGATTAGTTGTGAGGCAAGGAGTAAGGGTGGAAGCAGGGAGATGGGTTGAAAGGCTATTGAAGGGGTCCAGCTGAGATACAGTCATGGGTGTGGTGTAGAGTGGAGATGAGGAGTCACTTCTCGGCCTTTTGGCTAAGATCAAGTGTAGAGTGGAGATGAGGAGAATGGAGGACTAACAGAGCACATGCTTGGCAGATGGAGTCACTAGGATCAGCTGATGGCAGGATAGAGGGGTGGTAAGGGAAAAGGGGTCAAGAATGACTCCTAGGCTTTTTTGGCAATTGGGTAGGTTGCAGTTCCACTTACAAAGATGAGGACTGGGAAGAAGAAGAGCAGGCTTTTCAAGGAGGAGAAAATCAAGTTTGTTTTGGACTTGTTAGATTTGAGATGCCTCCTAGCTATCCAAATGAAGATGTCATGTAGGCATTAAATGGAAGTCTAAAATTCAGAAAGAGGCCACAGATATAAATGTAGAGGCCACTGGCATAATGATCATATATAAAGATAGTACATAGGCCGGGTGGGGTGGTTCATGCCCGTAATCCCAGCACTTTGGGAGGCTGAGGTGGGAGGATTGGTTGAGCCCAGAAGTTCGAGACCAGACTAGGCAACAAAGTGAGACCTTGTCTCTACAAAAAATTTTAAAAAGTTAGGAGGGGCATGGTAGTCCCAGGTGCTCTGGAGGCTGAGGTGGGAAGATCACTTGAGCCCAGGAGTTTGAGGCTGCAGTTAGCCATGATTATGCCACTACACCCCAACCTGGGTGACAGAGCTAGTCCCTGTCTCAAAAAATATATATTATATATTTTATATATATAAAATATATAATATATATTTATATAAATATATAAATATATATTATATATGTTTATATAAATATATAAAATATATATGTTTATATAATATATAAAATATATATATTATATAAATATATAAAATATATATATTTATATAAATATATAAAATATATATATTTATATAAATATATAAAATATATATATTTATATAAATATATAAAATATATATATTTATATAAATATATAAAATATATTATATATAATATATATTATATATAATATATATTATATATATAAAATATATAATATATATAATATATATTTTAAATATATATTATATATATTTAAAATATAATATATAATATATATTTAAAATGTATATCTATTATATTTTAAATATATTTAATTATATATTAATATATAAATATATAATATATACTTACATATTATATATTTAATATATAAATATATATGTACTTACATATTATATTTTAATATATAAATATATATGTACTTACATATTATATATTTAATATATTTATATATTTATATTTTTTATATATATATTTTTTTTATGGTTCTGCTCCCTCTTCTGAACCTCTGAAGCTTGATGTGCTCCGGGGTCCAGTACTGGCCTCTTTCTTGTCTCTCTGTATATTCTCTCCCTAGGAAATTTCATATATATATATATATGAAATTTATATATATATATATATATATATATATATAGGACTGGATGAAATTTCATATATATATATACTGGAGGAAATTTCATATATATATAGGACTGGATGAAATTTCCTAGGGAGAGAATATACAGAGAGACAAGAAAGAGGCCAGTACTGGACCCCGGAGCACATCAAGCTTCAGAGGTTCAGAAGAGGGTGCAGAAGGCAGAAAAGGAGATGTGAAGGAGTGGACACCAAGGAGGGAGAAAACTAAGGTGACTGCAACGTTACAGAAGCCGAGAGGAGAAAGTGTTGTAAGAAGGAAGGATTCGTCGGTTACCTTGAATGCTACTTCAAGTTGAGGACAGAGGTGTAACCAATAGATTCAGCATCGGAGACAGCACTGGGATCCCTGATGAGCACTTTAAGTGGTGTAGGGCAGAGGGAATCCAGTGTACAGGCGCAGAGACGAGATTAGGTCACAGAGCTCCTTTGGGAGTTTCATCGTAAAGGGGAGCAGAAAAATGAAGAGAAATGCGAGGTAAAGGGAGGGGTTTTTTGGTTTGTTTTTGTTTTTTTAAGATAAGCAATCTAGAGAGAGAATGTTCTAGTAGGGCAGAAGAAATAATTAAGGAAAGTAAGAGAGTGATTGTAGGAGCAAAGTTCATCTTGCTGAACTCATTGGTTCTATTAGGCCTGTCAGGTAAGTCTCTTGACTTCCCATGTATATAATCATATCATCTGAAAATGCACTTGAAAAAAAATAATGGCACTTTTCAGCCGGGCGCAGTGGCTCATCCCTGTAATACCAGCACTTCTGGAGGCTGAGGCGGGTGGACCATGAGGTCAAGAGATCGAGATCATCCTGGACAACAACAGGGTGAAACCCCATCTCTACTAAAAATACAAAAATTAGCCAGTCGTGGTGGTGGGCACCAGCTACCTGGGAGGCTAAGGCAGGAGAATCTCTTGAATGCGGGAGATGGATGCTGCAATGACTGAGATCACGCCATTGCAGTCCAGCCTGGGCAACACAGCAAGACTCCGTCTCAAAAAAAAAAATCATGTCAGAGACCAAGTGCAATGAATCATACCTGTAATCCCAACACTCTGGGAAGCCAAGGTGGGAGGAGTCTTTGAGGTCAGGAGTTGGAGACCAGGCTGAGCAACATAGCAAGACTTCATCTCTACTAAAAATTAAAAAAAAAAAAAAAAGGCTGGACATGGTAGTGCATGCCTGTACTCACAGCTCCTTGGGAGGCTGAGGCAGGAGGATTTCTTGGGCCCAGGAGGTTGAGGCTGCAGTGAGCCATGATCGTGCCATTGCTCTTCAGCCTGGGTGACAGAGCAAGACCCTGCCTCAAAAAAGAAAAGAAGAACGTCTGCTATAAGTATCATGTTAATAAAATTTTCTTCTATTTAGACTATAAAGGACTTTTTCTCAGAAATAAATGTTAAATTTTATCAAATGAGTTGTGAACATTTACTGAAATGATCACATAATTATTTCTTTAGTCTATTATGTAGTGAATTACATTAAATATTTCCTAATGTGAAGCCATACTTGCCATTCCTGGAATAGACTCATCTTGGTCATGATGTTTTTTAATGTATATTTTTATCCATCTTTTAATATAGTTAATTTTATTTGTTTGTATTTTGTCTGGAATTTTTGCATCAACACTAATAGATGAGATTGGTCTGCAGTTTTGCTTTGTGTGTGTGTGACTGTTTTTTCCAGTTTTGTTAACAATTTTGTTATCTCTATAGAATTCATCCATTTCCCACTATTTTCTGTTGAAGTACAGATGGAAGTAGTTCTTTTACTACGTTTTCAACGTGAATATTAGTTTTTAAAGGTTTTCTGCCTCTTCTTGGTTTTAGTATTTAATATTTTCCTAGGAAATTATCCACTATTTTAAAATTTTCTTTTGGTTATGTTTAGCTTTCCCTAAAAATATTGTTTTCTTTATTATGCAAGAGTCTGAGAATGTGCTGGTATGATTTCTACTTCGGGGGACTTAAGAAAATGTTCTTTGTGACTTATCACATCATCTAATTTTACGGATGTTCCATTTAATTTGAAAATAATGTAACATTTTCATTTTGGGGTATGTAACAGTCAGGATAGAGCAAACACACCTGCAATGACAAATTATCCCTTTATTGTGTTAACACAATAAAGGCTTACTTCACTTTCACTCTAAGTTCAACATACATTGGGGGACTCTCCAGGGCAGCTCCTCTCCATGTGGTTCTCTGTGTGGTTACTCAGAGATTCAGGTAATTTCCATCTTGTGGCTCGGCCATCTTATTCCATGGCTGTCACCAAGAAAGAAGAGAGTTTTGAGATGAAATACCAGCTTTTAAATGCTTTGTCATTTAACTCATTGGCTATCACTGAACACTTCACCCTTCCCTACTACAAGAGGGTTGTTAAACATAGTCTTCCCATTAGCTCAAGAGGAAGATAAAAACCAAATATGGAGAGCCCAAATAGTCTTTACCACAGAGTACAAAGGTCAATATATGTGTGCACTTAGAGTATAGGAATTAAGAGCATGAACTGTGGAGCCAAATGCAGTCCTGCCATTCACTTGGCTGTGTGACTTCAAGCAAGTTATTTAATTTTTCCATGCCTTGATTTCTCAATCTGTAAAATTTCTGTCTCATAGGATTATTATGAGGATTAAATGAGTTCATATTTATAAAGTATTCAAAATACTGCTTGGCACACAGTAAGTGCTAGATTTGATTTTTAAAAACAAATATATAAAATCCTTTGCTGTGCAGAAGCTCTTTAGTTTAATTAGGTCCCATTTGTCAATTTTGGCTTTTGTTGCCATTGCTTTTGGTGTTTTAGACATGAAGTCCCTGCCCATGCCTATGTCCTGAATGGTAATGCCTAGGTTTTCTTCTAGGGTTTTTATGGTGTTAGGTCTAACGTTTAAGTCTTTAATCCATCTTGAATTAATTTTTGTATAAGGTGTAAGGAAGGGATCCAGTTTCAGCTTTCTACATACGGCTAGCCAGTTTTCCCAGCACCATCTATTAAATAGGGAATCCTTTCCCCATTGCTTGTTTTTCTCAGGTTTGTCAAAGATCAGATAGTTGTAGATATGCGGCATTATTTCTGAGGGCTCTGTTCTGTTCCATTGATCTATATCTCTGTTTTGGTACCAGTACCATGCTCTTTTGGTTACTGGGTTTGTAGTAGGTTACAAGGCTTTGTAGTATAGTTTGAAGTCAGGTAGTGTGATGCCGCCAGCTTTGTTCTTTTGGCTTAGGATTGACTTGGCAATGCGGGCTCTTTTTTGCTTCCATATGAACTTTAAAGTAGTTTTTTCCAATTCTGTGAAGAAAGTCATTGGTAGCTTGATGGGGATGGCATTGAATCTGTAAATTACCTTGGGCAGTGTGGCCATTTTCATGATATTGATTCTTCCTACCCATGAGCATGGAATGTTCTTCCATTTGTTTGTATCCTCTTTTATTTCATTGAGCAGTGGTTTGTAGTTCTCCTTGAAGAGGTCCTTCACGTCCCTTGTAAGTTGGATTCCTAGGTATTTTATTCTCTTTGAAGCAATTGTGAATGGGAGTTCACTCATGATTTGGCTCTCTGTTTGTCTGTTATTGGTGTATAAGAATGCTTGTGATTTTTGTACATTGATTTTGTATCCTGAGACTTTGCTGAAGTTGCTTATCAGCTTAAGGAGATTTTGGGCTAAGGCAATGGGGTTTTCTAGACATACAATCATGTCATCTGCAAACAGGGACAATTTGACTTCCTCTTTTCCTAATTGAATACCCTTTATTTCCTTCTCCTGCCTAATTGCCCTGGCCAGAACTTCCAACACTATGTTGAATAGGAGTTGTGAGAGACAGCATCCTTGTCTCGTGCCAGTTTTCAAAGGGAATGCTTCCAGTTTTTGCCCATTCAGTATGATATTGGCTGTGGGTTTGTCATAGATAGCTCTTAGTATTTTGAGATACGTCCCATCAATACCTAATTTATTGAGAGTTTTTAGCATGAAGGTTGTTGAATTTTGTCAAAGGCCTTTTCTGCATCTATTGAGATAATCATGTGGTTTTTGTCTTTTGTTCTGTTTATCAATAATCTGTAATCAATAAATGCTGGATTACATTTATTGATTTGTGTATATTGAACCAGCCTTGCATCCCAGGGATGAAGCCCACTTGATCATGGTGGATAGACTTTTTGATGTGCTGCTGGATTCGGTTTGCCAGTATTTTATTGAGGATTTTTGCATCAGTGTTCATCAAGAAACTACCATCAGAGTGAATAGGCAACCTACAAAACGGGAGAAAATTTTTGCAACCTACTCATCCGACAAAGGGCTAATATCCAGAATCTACAATGAACTCAAACAAATTTACAAGAAAAAAACAAACAACCCCATCAAAAAGTGGGCAAAGGACATGAACAGACACTTCTCAAAAGAAGACATTCATGCAGCCAAAAGACACATGAAAAAATGCTCACCATCACTGGCCATCAGAGAAATGCAAATCAAAACCACAATGAGATACCATCTCACACCAGTTAGAATGGCAATCATTAAAAAGTCAGGAAACAACAGGTGCTGCAGAGGATGTGGAGAAATAGGAACACCTTTACACTGTTGGTGGGACTGTAAACTAGTTCAACCCCTGTGGAAGTCAGTGTGGCGATTCCTCAGGGATCTAGAACTAGAAATACCATTTGACCCAGCCATCCCATTACTGGGTATATACCCAAAGGACTATAAATCATGCTGCTATAAAGACACATGCACACGTATGTTTATTGCAGCACGATTCACAATAGCAAAGACTTGGAACCAACCCAAATGTCCAACAATGATAGACTGGATTAAGAAAATGTGGCACATATACACCATGCAATACTATGCAGCCATAAAAAATGATGAGTTCATGTCCTTTGTAGGGACATGGATGAAATTGGAAATCATCATTCTCAGTAAACTATCGCAAGAACAAAAAACCAAACACCGCATATTCTCACTCATAGGTGGGAATTGAACAATGAGAACACATGGACACAGGAAGGGGAACATCACACTCTGGGGACTGTTGTGGGGTGGGGGAGAGGGGAGGGATAGCACTGGGAGATATACCTAATGCTAAATGATGAGTTAATGGGTGCAGCACACCAGCATGGCACATGTATACATATGTAACAAACCTGCACGTTGTGCACATGTACCCTAAAACTTAAAGTATAATAATAAAAAAACAAATATATAAAATCAACTTTGTAAAATGTCGTTATTCATATCCTCTATGTCCTTACTATTATTTTTCTTTTACTTACTTTCCCATTTCTGAGAGATGAGTTTAACTTTCCTACAATTTTTAAAAGAATTACTCTTGGTATGTCTAACAAAATTTGCTTAACATATTTAGTTGCTCTATTGTTTATTGTAAAGTTTATGATGGTTACATCTCATTAATTGTATCATTTATAGTTATAAAATATCCCGTGTCCCTTTAATGTTTTTCCCCTGATTCTGTTCTTTGTTTTGCAATTCCTGCTTTCTATTTTGTTATTACTTACTTAATTTTTATTTATCCCTGCCTTTATTGTGTGTTGTTTTAAGTTTGTCACTTGTAAAAACGTAAAACTGATTTTGTCTCCAAACAGAATACTTACTTTTTAATAATGTAGTCTAGCCCATTCATATCATTGGTGTTTTGAGTCTTAAAATGTATTTTGATTTCCTTCTTTTTCTTTCTCAATCTGACCTTTGCTGGCTTGATCAAATTTTCTCTGGTCCTTTTTTTAAAATCTAGTGGTTTAGAAATTCTACATCTTTTGCCTATTTCAATAGTGATTATCCTTGAATCATTAACAAGCATATTTAAATGTATATATTCCTATCAACACCAAGATTACTCAGTATCTACAACCTCTTTCCTTAACAAGACAAGGCATTTGGAATGCTCTTATTTCTCTTTTCCCTTGCCTCCTCCACCCTAAACCTTCCAATATCTCATTTTTGTTCATTCAACAAATATTTACTGAGCCTCAAGTATGTGTTAAAAACATCTGGAATTTTATTTACAAATTGTTGGTACATTAACATTTAACAATTGCATCAAATGTTACATTAACATCATCAGTGATTATTTAATCTTTATTAACAATTTTCCTGATTTGTTCATTGTTTGTAGAGGCATTACTGGGTTTTTTTTTTAATTTTTAATTTTTAATTTTTGTGGGTATATAGTAGGTGTATGTATTTATGGAGTACATGAGATATTTTGATAAGACATGCAATGTGTAATAATCACATAGTGGAAAATAGCATATCCATCCCCTCAAGCATTTATCCTTTGTGTTACAAACAATCCAATTATACTCTTATAGGTTTTGTTTGTTTTTTGAGACACAGTCTTGCTCTGTTGCCCAGGCTGGAGTACAATGGTGCGATCTCGGCTCACTGAAACCTCCACCTCCTGGGTTCAAGCAATTCTCCTGCCTCAGTCTCCCAAGTAGCTGGGATTACAGGTGCCTGCCACCATGCCCAGCTAATTTTTTTGTATTTTTAGTAGAGACGGGGTTTCACAATGTTGGCCAGGCTAGTTTCGAACTCCTGACCTCAAGTGATCAACCTGCCTCAACTTCCCAAAGTGGTAGGATTACAGGCATGAGCCACTGCACCTGGCCTCTTATAGTTATTTTTAGATGTACAATTAAATTATTTTTAACCGCAGTCACTGTGCCCAGCGTCTTATAGTTACTTTTAGATGTACAATTAAATTATTTTTGACCATAGTCACTGCACCCGGACTCTTAATAGTTATTTTTAGATGTACAATTAAATTATTATTGACCACAGTCACCGGACATTACTGTTTTTAATGCTCTGCATCTATTCCCTTTCCTTCTGTTGAAAAAACTCTGGTTTTCTCCTGGGGACTCACTCCTCTCTCAGTCTCAGTCCATTTGCTTTGGTTGGACCTACTTCTACTCCTCCTGCCCTCTCCCCGAGTTCTAGGGCAGTTGCAGGACTCTGGACTGGCTGAGGAGAGGATCAATAGCCTTTGGCCAGATTAATTGGTTCAGTAATGAGCACATGATGCAATTTGGACCAATAAGAATCAGGCCCAAGACTTCTGTTTGCAATTTAGAAGATAGTTTCTCTTTCTTATCTTTAACTCTGGGGGATAAAAGCCTGAAGTTCATGGAAGTCATCTAGTGAAGAAGGCTTATTGAAGGTGATGACAAGGTGGTATCTAGTGATAGATGAAAAGAAACCAGGACCTAAGGCACTGCTTAGGTACCTGGAACCATCCTACCTGAAGCTTGACTCCTCTTTTGTTAAGCCATAGGTTTTTGACCCATAAGTTACTGGGTTTTTTTTCTATCCCATGAATATATTTTTTATTTTCTTAAAGTCCTTTAATAATTTTCTTCCAGAAAGACTGCAGGGGTATACTTCAAAATACTCATATGTCCAAGTGTTTCAATTCTAGAGGCTTGCTGTCTTTGTCATTTCATAGCTCGCCTTGGGAAGGTAAGTAAAACTGGTACAGCATTTTATATGATGGCAGTTCAATGTTCGTGTATTATACATGTAGAAAACGAAGCATTTTTAGGTAAAAATGGGGGAGGACTTTATAATCAGACAAATATGAATTCAAATTTCAACACTTCCACTTACTACCTGTGTGAACATCAACAAATTTCTTAACTTCTCTGAACCTTTCTTCATCCAGAAAAGATAGAGATGATATTATCTCCCTTGTGAGAATTGTGTTAATAAGATAATATATGTATGTAAATTCCCTAGATCAGGTCCTAGCACACAATAAGTACTCGGTAATTGCAAATTTCCTTCCTCTTCCCTTTCTTTATGGTGCTTCAATAAATTTCAACAAAGAATAATATTGCAGAGAGGAACATTTATTTTAATACATGTTTTAACCCCCAATCCTTATACAAGTATCTTACCAGGGTTTGGAAAGTAACATGAGCATTCCTGATCTGTGCAGTTATTTTTTGAAAGTTATAATCCCAAGATGTTATACTTCTAAGATAGCAAAAGTCATATTGAATTGTTGGTGTTGAGTCATTTAAAAAGTAAATCAAATGTGGGTATGTGGTGTATGGAAAGCGTAGAGAAGAACTTTCCTTTTTTGTGTGCAGTGAAATCAAAGCAAAGTGTAGCCTTGCCACTCGTATGCACACCTCAGGAAAAATCATTCTCTGAAAAATTATTCTTAGGCTGATCTATAGAGATTTTAATACCATGCTAATATACAAACTGAGAGTTTAAAATGCACGCTAATTGTCTTGTGACTGGAGATTTAGGTAAAAAGAATAGTTTTGGACATCACAATGTGATTTATGTGTATGGTTAAGAAAGATTAGGGAAATTTTTCTTCAGGGAAAAATTAGGCCCAAGGTAAAAGTTGTGCTTACTATTCTTCAGCTATATATTGTGTGCATGCAGCAAACTAAAGGTTTTTCTGATATCAATCTCTAAAATTTATATAGTGCTTTACATTTTTCAAAGTACTTTTATTTATATTGTTTACTTTGGTCATTAAAGTAACTGAGACTCAGATGGTTCGGTGACTTATCTAAAGTTACACGGCTTGTAAATGGCATAACATGAACTAGAAACCACCTGTTCTGTCTCTCAGCTCTGTGTGGTTTTACTCATCATGCTACCTCTTCTAAGAGGAAACGTGATTTGAACTCCAGTGAATGAATATGTACATGTTTAGCTTAGATTTTATCATTTACTTGAAGGAGATCCCTGTAACAAGCGACAACCATTTTCCAGAAACCACAGTTGCCGTGGGAACGCTCCCTAAGCTTACTTCTGTCTATGGCATTGTAAATATTTGTTCCTTTGTTTCTCTCCTTGGCCATAAACTCTTTCAGGGCAGGAACTGTGCCTTTCACCTCTACGGCAGGATCCAGCACAGTGCCTATTACAGAGAAGGCTGTTAATAAGTAATTATCCAATACATGCTTGTTGAGAAGGAATATATGAATACAAAAATGAAGCTGGGCATGGTGGCGGGCACCTTTAGTCCCAGCTACTTGGAAGGATGAGGCACGAAAATCACTTAAGCCCACGAGGCGGACGTTGCAGTGAGTGGAGATCGTGCCACTGCACTCCAGCCTGGGCAACAGATTGAGACTCCGTCTCAAACACAAAAAGAAAAAAGCAAGTCTATGTGAGATGTGAGAGAAATGCAAGACATGATAATAAAAACAAAATGCTGTCTGTAATCCTTAATCATGAAGGTCAAAGCTCCATTTATGCCTCCACGCGTGTGAAACAGAGGCTGCTTCTTTAAGACCTCAGATGTTAGAAGCCATATGGCATTCTATCCATGTTCAAATTGAAATTAATTTGATGAAGCAAAGGGATGGAGGAGAGAGGTTAGGCCGGGACATAATCTCTTAAGTCCTCAAGATCCAGATCTACTAAATCTCCCTGCAAAAATCATAGTAATCTTCACAACATGACATCTTC
The DNA here is from genome assembly GCF_000001405.40 of Homo sapiens. Taxonomy (NCBI): domain Eukaryota; kingdom Metazoa; phylum Chordata; class Mammalia; order Primates; family Hominidae; genus Homo; species Homo sapiens. The sequence continues at coordinate 18,064,012 of NC_000011.10, forward strand.
AGTGAGCTCTCATATCAGATGACACCCAAATGGCTTTACGGGAAGAGTGGTGCACAAGTCTGTTTACACACAGCATTACACAAATTTCATTCCAAGTCCCCTTCAATTCTCATTACACTTTTTAAAATTACAATTGGAAACCCTGTTTATCACTTGAACTTCTCTGCTTCAACACATTGCCTCATGAAGTGTTGGCTTGTGGCCATTTCAAACACACTGAGCAAAATGGCCCAACAAGTATCGATCACGACAAAGCCTTTCATTTGCTGTGCATTACAGCTTGCCAAAAGTCACACAGTAAGTGGCAGAGGGGGAACAGAACCTAAGGCCTCACTTATCCTTGGAAACATTTTACCTCAATGTACCACAACATTTCAAAAAGTAGATTGAGGAACCCAAAGATATATTTCATTTTTCAGTTCCTTCAGGTTTTTAAGACTTCATTAAGTTTGGGTTCTGAATCATATAGAAACCTCCCAATCCTTTAGTGATAATTATGAAAGCACTCAATACCATCTGGAAGAGCCAAGACATTCTAAGACTAGGACTCGTGATTTACATTAAAGACAGCGTGAATGGTGCCCCCCGGAGTTGTACCATGCAGCATTCCTGCTCAAGTTAATAACGCAAACTGTGCAAAAATGCCATTAATATGGAAACACAGAATGGTCTGAATCATTAGGAAGTGCTGGCTACTCAGATTTTGGAGTGAGGAAAACTATCTTATAGCATGAGAATCAACTGTGCTTGGGGAAATTGGCCCCGTTACTTGGGCACACTTGATTTCCCTCAATGTCTGCTGTCTTAATGTTTGCTTTGTGTTGTTCAAAGAGGCATTATCGCCCTGCTCATACAGTGCCACTAGCCATTTCTCCAACAAGTTAAACAGCATTTGTTGAGGCTGCAGAAAGCAAAGCCAGTACCATTTGTCAAATTAATGACCTCTGAAGCTTTTATGAAAGGGTATGATAAGTCTACATCAGGGGAAATGAGCAAACGTGATGATTAACCTCCCTTCTTTGTTTCTCCAACTGAGCTTAAGGTACTGTGACCGAGCTTTCATGGAAATCAGGAAGATTCTGAGAGAATCCAAATGTGACCATCTGGGAGAGTTAAGAGAAGAAAATACACCATGTGGAGAGACAAGGACTGCCACTCCTGGAGTTCCAAATGGACAGAAGGAGAGAGCTTCCTCGCATCTTTGGGAAAATCCTATCTACATAGCATAAATGCCCCATACTCCACCCTGGAAGAGGCTAATCAGGGGCACCTCCTCATGGGTGCCAGATATTAGAAGATTTTACAGGCTCCATTGCGGCAGAAGGTAATCAAAAAGGCCCAAGCCCCACCCTACAGAGAGCAGCAGCATGACCTTAAACTGCCTTTGCTGGTCACTTGGAGAGGGAGGGTCCATTTTCCTCAGTGGGCAACAAAGCCGCTGATAATCAGGTGCACACATGACGTGGATGTAACCTGCTGAGGAAGTGTCTGATATACCAAAGGAGCCAGGACTCACAACAAGCCTGGCCAGGAAAAAGAAGCCTCAGAGAACCCCAGAGCAGCCTCTACTTTGTAGATGATATGAGTAAATACAACGCAGACAGCCACTTAGCAAGTTCAGAGCCACTTCCAAACGACGCTGAGGGCCTGGTGTCAGCTCCTGCACAGCAGGCTCCATTCTCTCCCCTTCAGGCTGTGTGCATGTTCACTCCAGTGAGTCACAAAGACACATTCCCAGGTGCGCACCTGGCCAAAAGCACAGAAGAGGAAGTCGCACATGTGACCATCCTCTGCCAACCAGCCCACGTGTACAGCAGAAATCAGTATTGTTTGCCTCTGTAATAAAATCATTGCATAAATTTTGTAGAGCTTTGAATCGGCCTCGTAAGTGTCACCAGGCAACTCTTCCAAGAAGGGTAGGGGGATGGTGAGGTAGAGAACTCCAGGGACACAGAAAAGGACCATGGTGTGTTTCTTGCAAAGCCCTTGTGCTGGAAATGCTATGAAGGCAAAAACTTTATGCTGACCATGAAACCCAATCAATATAACACAAAATTCAGGCCAGGTACAATGGCTCACACCTGTAATTCCAGCATTTTGGGAAGCCAAGGCGGGCAGATTGCTTTAGCTCAGGAGTTCGAGACAAGCCTGGGCAAACATGGCGAAACCCCGTCTCTATAGAAAATACAAAAAAAGGCCAGGAGTAGTGGCTCATGCCTGTAATCCCAGCACTTTGGGAGGCCGAGGCAGGCAGATCACCTGAGGTCAGGAGTTCAAGACTAGCCTGGCCAGCATGGTGAAACCCTGTCTCTACTAAAAAATACAAAAATTAGCCAGGTGTAGTGGTGGGTACCTGTAATCTCAGCTACTTGGGAGGCTGCGGCAGGAGAATCGCTTGAACCTGGGAGTGGGAGGTTGCAGGGAGCCAAGATCACACCACTGCACTCCAGCCTGGGCAACAAGAGTGAAACTCCATCTAAAAAAAAGAAAAAAAAAGGAAAAGAAAATACTAAAAAATAGCCAGGTGTGGTGGTGCACGCCTGTGGTCCCAGCTACTTGGGAGGCTGAGGTGGGAGAATCACTTGAGTCTGGGGTGCAGAGGCTGCAGTGAGCTGAGATCATGCCACTGCACTCCAGCCTGGGCAACAGAGCAAGACTGTGTCTCAAAAAAGAAAAAAAATCCTCGATAAAACTACAGAACCTTGCACTTGTAGCAACCAATGCTTCCACTCCACACTGGAGTTCTCTCTGAAAGCATTGCAAAAATCCCTGTTAAGGTCATGGGCCAAAACATAAGGGAGACAAAACCACAAAGGGTGACATCAGTTGCTTGTAATGGTTTAGCTGCCATGTGGTGGTAGCCATAAGACGGCTGCTAATCTGTATCTTCAGCCAAATTACACTTCTGAAAACCTTGTGCTCAATAAGCAACCAGCTGACTGGACTAAGACCACCACAAGGATGGAGAAGGGCAGATTCAGATTTTATGGTACCTGAAAATCATTCAAGTTGGGGGCCTTGTCCAATAAAAATAGTATAAAATTTCACATTCAAAATTGCTAGGCACCTCCCAGAGTCGTGGAAGGAGACCACGTGACCAAGTGAGGGGCCATTAAACCCATGGTTCCCAAACTTTGCCATACAGTAGAACCACTTGGGGAGCTTTTAAAAAGTCCTGGTGCCCAGTTCGCACCCCATATCAATTGAATCAGAATGTCTGGGGGTAGAAACCAGGCACTGGCATTTTTAAAGAGCCTGTGGTGATTCCAATCTGCATGAAAGTTTGGGAACCACTACCTTAAGGGTTAAGCCTTATTGACGTTAAGTCAGCCTCCAGCTAGGGAACATAGTTTTCATTCACTTATTTAACTAACATTTGTGGAGCAACTGCCCTATGTCAAGCACTGTATCCCCCAGCATTTAGTGCTGTGCCTGACATGGAGCTGGCCATCAGCAAACGCTTGCTGAATATAAAAATGAATATGTTCAACAGTGTCTCCCGTTTCACATTGGAGATGGGTTGTAGACTGGATGTGGAATTCCAGTTTATCTTTCTCTTTAGATGTGTCAGCATTTTAAAGGAATACTTTAGGCTTACCCCAGGATAGACATGCTTCATGGCTTCACCATACATATTAGGTGCTCCCTGTAGATTCTGGATATAAAAGAAGTCAGTCAGCAAGCCTACTGAAATATAATGAAATCTCTTTTTTATCTACCATCCTGCTCTTTGTTTTCTTGAAAATGGATCCATGTATGTGGAAGAATATTGAGTATATCTAACTATAGGGATTCCAAAAGTCTCTAAGGATTCTTATTTTATCTCCCTTATCTATCTTACCTATCATAACTTCAGCAAATTCATCTCCTCCTACTCTTCCCATATTGTAGGGTCTAGGTCTCAAAATTCAACTCATACTATTGCTCAGATGCAGAGAGAAAGGTAACAGCTTCATTTTGCCTGTGACAAATCTGCTATTTCTCTGGAGCCCCCATCTGTTAGTAGCAGGAAAATTAACAAACTGAAGACCCAATTCAGTTTCAATTTACTCTGGTCCAATAACTTAAATAGAGACTTTAAGAATTGCCCAGTCCTTAGTGGGGCATGGTGGCGGGTGCCTTTAATCCCAGCTACTTGGGAGGCTGGGGTGGGAGAATTGCTTGAACCTGGGAGGTCGAGGCTACAGTGAGCCGAGATTGTGCCACTGCACTCTAGCCTGGGTGACAGAGTGAGCCTCCGTCTAAAAAAAAAAAAAAAATTGCCCAGTCTTTAATTAAAAAAAAAAAAAAAGATTCAGTGCTTAAATAGCTTCCTCTTAAGACGGAGCCCAACTTTATGAAAGAGAGGTACACCTGTGAGACCTCACGGTAGGTGTGGAGAGGATTATGTTCTTTCCAACTCTAGCCTCTTGGTTTCCAACATGCTGATTGCTTCACTGTTGTGTGAGGCTGTGTCGTGAAGCTAATGTAATTTAGGGATTTTGTTTTTCTTGGCCTGGGTAAGACTCCACAGTACTCCCTGAGTGAGTAGGCCTCATCACAGTTCCCACTGGCAACAAACCTTTGAGCCTCTCACATATACATCATTCCTCTAGTCTCTGCTGTGGCACAATCGTTCCCTGCCATGCAGGTGTGTTGGCATGTCCACTAGCTCTCAACTCAGCATTGATATTGCATGGGAACTTCAGGAATCACAGGAAAGCTAAAATTCAGAACCTCCCTCTACAGGTGAGATATGGCCAAGCCCTGGGTTGGAATGAGAGTGGTCTGAGTGATTTCCTTGTTAAGTCCCAAAAGAGGAGTGGGTGGAAGCATTTATCTGCTGTCCTTAATTGTCATGGAGGGTGGGCAGTGGTGGAAGGGTGCTGTTGAGCCTGCATATAAACTACAGGGAGATATTCTCTCACTAAATATATACATCACTTATAGTTGTGTAATCCTCAAGAGACCCCCACATCTCCGACTAGCATAGAAGTTGGAAGAGTGAAAGTACATAGCTTCAGGAGAAGTGAGATGGACCTTGAACTTTCAGAAACTGATGGAATGAACAGCTATTAACTAGCCCCCTTGTCTTCCTCCTATCTTGAATTGTCACCTCCTTAGTCCCACTAACTGAGCACAGTGCTTAACACACAATAAGTTCAAATCACAATATACTTTGGAATGAATGAATGAATGAGAAGTGTTAATCTACAATTCAGTTTCTCTCTTACGGGTTCAATAAGCTTCAACAAAGCACTTGGTGATCACATATTGGAAATTCATCTTTGACTGAAGACATGACACTCTCAATAGAACCTATGTTCTATTAACATCCCATTTCTCCCAGGGAGGGCCACATCGTCCGCCCACTGAAACTCTCCAAGGTCCAATAGCAATCTTACTGGAGTGCAGTTTGAGAGAACTGGTCAAGAGTGATGATAGGGGCTTTACAAAGAAAAAATTGAGCTCAAATTTTAGAGCAAGAAAAAATGGATTTTAACCAAAGATAAGTATTCCCAAACTCTACGATGTGGCAAATAAGCTGATGGTAGCTCCTCTGTATTAGACACAGACACAGATAAAAATCAGTAGACCAATCCAATTCTTCTACTAACAATCACATCAACTACCAAACTTCTCTTCTGCTCCTTCTGCACTTGTTTCCAGAACCGACGTCCACTCCCCGGGACAACCCGCCACATGTACACTGGCTCCGCTGCCCAGTGTTTCTGTTGTTTGGAATTATTTAGGCAGAGCTGTAACCCCTTTCCCATAACTACCCCCTCCCCACCATCCAATTGCTTTCTTCTGGTTCTTTTTATCTACAATTTCAAAAGAAACATTTTGGCTCCCATTGGCAACAAATCCTTGAATCTCTTTCTCATCATTTCTCTAGATGAGAGGCTTAAAGGGGAAATAAGACAGGAAGAATTTTTTTTTCTTTTTCAATTAACTTCAATTTCTTTCAAGTCTAAGTAAACTCTGGCCCCAGAACAACCAGGATGATATAATTATGGAAACTATTAATCTCTCCATCAAAGGAGAGCCAGCTCATGGTTACGGAGCAGTTGGCACGTTCCTCCAAAGGGTTTCTGCAGCATGATGTTCCTGGTTTCCCTCGGAGTCACAAATGCTCAGGGTACACCTTTTAGCAAGTAGGCAACTTCCTAAGAAAATGAAATAATCCATGAGTACTTTGTGAGTTGTTCTGGGAAATTGGGCATTTTTCCTTAATTGCTCTAAAGAAATAGCCAACTCACACTAAAGCATGTTCAAACAGAATGAAAGAGAAAAATCTAACATTTTCAGATCAGTCAAGGCTCATCCAAAATTGTGAAATTTGGATCTTTAAAGACCAGTCAGATATCACTTGATGTGAGCAACGAACAAAGGGGTGCATCTGGAACAAGAAGTCTCCAAATTGCTTTGAATATTGAACATCATGGAAATGGCAACAATCTCTAGAGGTCACTTAGGACAAACAGAACAGTTATCTGGTTTGTTCAAACCTAAAATAAATATAAAAAGAAATTAGAGAATTTAATTTAGAGATTTTATTCCAGGGCATCAACAAACTTTTGTTCTTCCAATGACAACAGAGTACAGACTTCTCTGTGATGGGGGGCAGGGGCAGTGTTAAAGGATTTAGGAGTTTCCTCCAGAAATTCCTGCCAATTGGCTTATTCCTGGGTACAGATAGGAAAAGTCCAACACCAGTTGCATTTTGAAGGAAGCACATTCATAGATTGACAAAGGCCATCAGCCTTCCAAAATACAGCCCCCCAAAAGAACGAATTTGCAGAGATGCCAAATTCCTCAAATGGTTTAGGTTCAACAGGCACCACTCAAAACAAAACTACATGATCGTATGTTGAGTGACATAATAAAGCCATAGTATATGCATTTGCTTGAATTGTGGGCTGTGATTAATATATACAATCCTTACCCACTGACTGCTTTCAATGTATACTGCTTCCTGGAAGCAAGCCCATACTTCAGGAAGTCAGGCTTCTCCAAGGGAACGGGAAGCCTCTTTGTTCCTTCTTCCCACTATCCTGTTGTTGGAGCCTGCATGCACATTGGGCCTGAGCAGGAAAGTGTCACTTCTGTGAAGAGACTGTTCACAGAACTTTAATTTCTCTTGTAATCATATAAAGCCTGAATGGTAAGGGGGAAAACCCATAAAGGTCATTATAAACAGATCCCGTGATGTCAAAGGAAAAACAGCTGGAGAGAGGGAGTTTAATAAGCAGCCTTCTTTTATTACAACAGGCTTGACGTCATTGATCATTTATTATTTCCAACACTAAAACATAAAGCCATGTGCTACACTGTGGACCAGGATGAAAAGGATATGTGGACTTTTCTGAGTATTTTAATATCCTTTTATTGACAGTAGATAGAAGATCTGAACAAGGACTGGGAACAGGAAATGATTTTAGCGATTTCATTACAGTAATAGAGAAAAGCATTACCAATGGCAGCATTTGGCAGATGGTCTGGTAAGTCCTGAACCTCTAAACAGCCTGCAGGTCAACAAGCTCAATATTGATACAAGGTCAGTATGTAATTATGAGGTGTTCTAGCAAGCAGAATAGTTTTTATAAATATGGGCTGTAGCCTTGGCAGTGGAACACAGGAAGCTGGTGTTTAAAAGTTAATTTAGGACGGGTGCAGTGGCTCACTGCAGCCTGTAATCCCAGCACTTTGGGAGGCCGAGGTGGGTGGATTACTTTAGGTCAGGAGTTCGAGACCAGCCTGGCCAACATGGTGAAAACCCATCTCTACTAAAAGCACAAAAATTAGCTGGGCATGGTGGCGGGCTCCTGTAATCTCAGCTACTCGGGAGGCTGAGGCAGGAGAATCACTTGAACCCAGGAGGTGGAGGTTGCAGTGAGTTGAGATCGCACCACTGCACTCCAGCCTGGGTGACAGAGCGAGACTCCGTCTCAAAAAACAAGGAAAGGTGTTTAGAGGCAGCACAAAGTATACAATAAGACCACGACTAAAGAGTTCTTGATGCTCCAGTACAAATCAGATTTGCAATGAAATATCAAGCATGGTACATCTTTACTTAGTTTAGCTCTAGTGAAAAATAAACATGGCTGTAGAATTTTCAGAGTTTTGAGACTTTTCAGATCTCACTCAAGAAAACCTAAGAAGTGATCAGCCAATTCATTTTAACCAACATCAAACATCATTTTGGTGAGGCCCCCTTAGAAACAGATTTCCCTGGAACAAAACATTAGTGTTTGGAAGCTCCCTAATATGTGAGATTTGTACAGGCCTTTACAATTTCCAGTGTTAGTTTAATCTCATTAACACTTCAAGTAATCCTGCAGGGTAGGCAATTTAACCTCATCTCTACTCTATAGATGAGGATGCTCAGAAAAGCTAACTGACTTGGTCAAGGTCATACTGACCCTTGATCACCTTGATCAATGGTTTTCTTTTTCATTTTCACCACTAATGTGTGTTCTATTTCTGTTTGATATGATCTATTTCTGTTCAATATTCTATGTATTTTAACAAAATCAAAATCGTATTGCATATCCAATGTGTTGTTTCCCTTTTTAAAAAACATGCTTCCCATTATGCCATACCTGCTTGGTCAAGCATGGGTGTGAAATATAAGTTCCTTACAGGAAATATCCTTATAGGAAACCTTTCTGTAGAAGGCTATGATTTTGAGTGTCCAGCGCCAATTCATCACACGGAGCTACTTTTCCTAAGCCCTAGGTGGAGCAGTCATGTTCAGAGGTGAGAACAGTGGATCTGGTGTTCAGCTTCAAATGTACTATTTCCTTGTGAACTGTCACTTATAAGCTGTAAATCTCTCCCAATTTAGTCCAGTGTCTCTGTACAACCTGTCTCTTTCATCGACATTGTTAGCCCTTTAAATGTTTGTATTCCTTGGAGCTTTGTCCTAAGTCCTTAAGCTGTATCTCTAGCCCACTCTCTCACAGAGTTCCAAGTCTGTATGGAAATGGGACATCTCCATGTGGATGTCCAACAGGTATTCAAAATTGAACACGTCTTTTACCCACCTTTACCTGCAACTCTTCCTGGATTACTTCCCTATCATGATGAATGACGCCATCATCTATTCAGTCACCTAATCCAGAATTCTGGATTTAACTTCTCACTCTCCTTTGCTTCAAACTGATGCCCAAATCCAGTTGTGTCTACTGCTAAACCTCTCTGTATCAAGCCCCTCCTCCCTCAGAAGGCTTTCAGTGATCATGACACTTTAAGGGCTTCTCACTGCCTTCAAGGTCACACTCAGCATGGTGATGTGCCACTGAGGACCAGAGAGTTTCCCTTTTCCACTACGTTTTACAAAAAAATCCTCCTCAGCCCCATGAGGCCTGTGGTTTAGATCTCAAGGACACACAAGAAATCAATCAGTTGGCTCTTCAGAACCTTATATCATGGATGGTTTGTGTCTCATCCAGAATTGGGGAACTTTCACTACCCTGCATCCTACCCTTCTGTAATCCCACAGACACTTCCACATTTTCTCTGTCTGTCACTTATTACACCATTCCCGGTGCCATTTTTTTTTAAAGATGGGAATGCAAATGATCATATCCCAAGTAGAATTTATTATAAGTTAAATTTACTATAGCGATTTGGGCATATCTTACAGACAACCTAAAGCAGGAATTACTGCTGGAACCCATGAGACTGTGACATGAAGCTGGAAAGCGGCTGAGCATTAAGGCAGCTTTTCTTTCATGCTGTTTCAGTGAGAGGTTACTTCAGTAAAGACGTGTAACAAACTACCCCAAGATTCAATGATTCAAAACAATAATCATTTAACTACTCATCACAGATCTGTAGGTTGGCTGCAACTCAGCTAGGTTAGGCTGGACTCCAGGTTGCAGATTAAAAAAAAAAAATTTTTTTTAGAGGATGCGGTCTTGCTCTGTCACCTATCCTGAAGTGCAGTGACACGACTATAGCTCACTGCAGCCTCAAACTCCTGGGCTTCAGGCAATCCTCCTACCTCAGCTTCCCAAGTAGCTGGAATTACAAGTGTAAGCCACCACACCCAGCACCGGCTGCAGACTGGGTTTAGGTTTGCTCCATGTTTCTCATCCTTCATGGATCAATGGCTACCCAGGGCATGCTCTTCTCACGGTAAATGACAGGAGCACAAGCAAACTGCTAAAAGTACTCTGCTTACATCAGCTCCATTAACATTCTATTGGCCAAAGCAAGTGACTTGGTCAAGCTCAAAGTCAAGGGACAGGGAAGTACACTCCATTCACGGAGAAGCCATGGCAAGGGCACGATACACAGAGGTGAAGAATCGAGAATAATGATCCAGTCTGCTACAGGATGCATGACCTCTATGCAGACCAGCTTCTTCCTCTGTTCTTCTTACACATGACTCTGGAATTCCAGGCCCACTAGGTCAAGATTTTTTCTGCTTTGTCCACAGTATTTCTATTACACAGATTTTGTCTGTTTTGTTTACTGCTGTCTTCCTAGTCCTTAGAATACCTGGTACATAGTGGATGATAAATATGACTGGCTGCCTCCTCCCAAATAGTGCCCTCAGCCTTGTAAGTTACGTGGTCTAGAGTCCTGTGTCCTTGAGCCAACCTGAGTTGTCCAGCTTGGGTTAGGAGTAATTCCCTTATTAAACCATACGCTGTAACCGGGGGAAGAATGTGGGCAGTCCAGCGGCAATTTTGGAGAAAGGAACGTGGATGTGCAGATAGCCTAGCTGTCTCTTCCATGTGATCTATCAAGACCTTCATGCTCCAGTCCATGCCTCCCCACAGTATGCAAGTACAGTATAGTGGCTAAAAGAATATTCATTAGGCTAGGCAGGTCCAGATCCAAGCCCTGGGTCAGCTACTTACTACCTAAATAACTTTCAGCAAGTTATTTTACCACTCTGAATCTTCATTTCTCCATCTATAAAATGGTGACAATTACCTTATGGGATTATTGCAAAATTAAATAATATACCTAAAGACCTTTACAGAGCATCTGACACATAGTAAATCCTCAATAAATGGCGGTCATCTCTAACAGGAAATTAAGTCTGGTGTCTACCACATCCTTCTGTGTCCTGAGGTAAATTTCGTATCACACTCATTTTAATTTCAACTTTAGTTGATTGTGTTGGGTCACACACTTAGCCCAAAGTAGCCAAATCACAGGTGACTCACACTGCTTGATACAAAAAGACTAGTAACTGCGCAAGAATTTCTCTCTCACAAATTTAAAGAAATACCAAGAGAATAAAGTGATTAAGCTGGCAGAACACAACCCCCCAAAAAAGACAGGCTGGTGTGGTCTTGAGAGACCACAGACAAGCTGAAGTCCTAAGAAAGAAGAAACGGAAATAAGGAAGCCAGGTGACACAGGGACTCAGAGCAGACCCTGATGCCACCTCCTTGGGTACAGATCCTCTCCCCTCCAGGTCTAATTTCAGTGTGGCATGACCCTCTCCCAGAATTGTGATCCTTGCCAGAGCCCTGAGGCATGAACAATTAGGATAAAATGAGAATGCCCTACTCCATGATGTTACTACACTATAGAATCTTGCAAACGTCCAGGGAAAACACAGTTGTTCAGAAAGGGCAATCACATGGGCACAATCATAATGATAGAAGGAGTAGCCTGATATTACGAAATCCTTGGCTGTGAAATGTGAACTTATGGAGGTTTTCTGGCTTTTATATTACAGATGTTCCTTGGGTTGTATAAAATTGGATTTAAGCAAATGTGACCTCATGCAAATTATCTAAGATACATCATAAAAGCTTAGCGATGCAGATTTTGCATTCTATATAGAAATACAAAGCAGTCAGGTTGATGAACAAATAGTATGAGAGGTGAGTGGAGGGCTAGCAGCACCACCACAAGGTTCCCTCCTGCTTCCAGTCTCACCTGTGGTTTTTTTTTTGGTTGCTGGACTGGCCCACAAGACTCAAGACTACATTGGCCCAGGCTCTTGTAAGTTTGACTAGCCCAATGACATAAAAGGAATAAGCATCATTCATAATCAAATTAAAGCTTAAGTTGTGTATCATTTATTTGCTTTTATAAACCTTTAACAGGAAGGCCAGGTGTGGTGACCTGCAAGCCCAGCACTTTGGGAGGCTGAGGCAGGATTGTTTGCAGCCAGGAGTTCAAGACAAGCCTGGGAAACAGTGAGAACCCATCTCTACAAAATCAATAAATAGGCCAGGTGTGGTGGCTCACGCCTGTAATCCCAGCCCACTGAGAGGCCAAGACAGGCGGATCACCTGAGGTCAGGAGTTTCAGACCAGCCTGGCCAATATGGTAAAACCCTGTCTACTAAAAATATAAAAATTAGCTAGGCTAGGCATGGTGGCTCACGCCTGTAATCCTAGCACTTTGGGAGGCAGAGGTGGGCGGATCACAAGGTCAGGAGTTTGAGACAAGTTTGACCAACATGGTGAAACCACGTTTCTACTAAAAATACAGAAATCAGCCGGGCATGGTGGCATGCGCTTGTAATCCCAGCTACTCAGGAAGCTGAGGCAGGAGAATCGCTTGAACCCGGGAGGTGAAGGTTGCAGTGAGCCGCGATTGCGCCACTGCACTCCAGCCTAGGTGACAGAGCAAGACTCCGTCTCAAAAAAAAAAAAAAAAAAGAAAGAAAGAAAGAAAGAAAGAAAACCCACAAAATTAGCCAGGTGTGGTGGTGCGTGCCTGTAATCCCAGCTACTCAGGAGGCTGAAGCAGGAGAATCGCTTGAACCTGGGAGGCGGAGGTTGCAGTGAGCCAGGATCACACCACTGCAATCCAGCCTGGGCAACAGAGTGAGACTCTGTCTCAAAATAAAATAAAAATGAATAAATAAATAAAAATTAGCTGGGCATGGTGGCATGCACCCATAGTCCCAGCTATTTGGGAGACTGAGATAGAAGGATGGCTTTAGCCCAGGAGTTTGAGGCTGCAGTAACCTATGAGTGTGCCACTACACTCTGGCCTGGGCAACAGAGCAAGACCTTGTCTCTGAAAAAAAAAAAAAAAAAAGTATAATGGAACCCCATGTAATTGTCACCCAGCTTCAGCAACTCCAATTCGCAGCCAGTCTTGTTTCATCTACTCCATTAACTTACTTCTTTCCCTCTGCCCCAGACTAATTTGAAGCAAATCCAAGACATCATACTATTTCACTATAAATATATAACTTTTAATAATGGTTCTTGGATCTCAAACCAGCAACAAAAAGAAAACATATTCTATTCAGGATGCTGAGGCAGGAGGATTGCTTCAGCTCAGGAGTTTGAAACCAGTCTTAGCAAGAATATAGTGAGATCCGTATCTCCAAAAAAAAAAAAAAAAAAATAGGAAAGAAAAATATGGTATGGTTAAGAGGGGCATTTGCCTATTTTCCCTTTCTTAAAACTTCTGACAGGAGCATGGAGGAAACTGAAGTTCCAAAGTGGTAAAAGAGAACACATGCTCAAGTAGAATAAATAATTCAGTCCTAAATTAATATGGACCTATTTCTTCTTTTTTAAAAAGGCTATTGATTAGGTCATAAAGAATATTAATTAAAAAAGAATATTAGTTGAAGAAATAGAATACTAGAGTTACAGATTATCAGCTTCACAGCTAGCTCAGACACAGCATCATTGCCCAGTCCTGAAGAACAGATAATGGTGTTCAATATTTCATACACTTAAGATTTTCTGAACCCCTAATAGAGGTTGTTTTTTAATGCTTATAGTCGGTTTCTACATGTGCTTCACCAAAAAAAAAAGTATATCAGGCTGAGAGGTGGCTCTTAAACTTTTTCCCACTTACATACCAAAATTATTCAGTAACTAATTCAAAGCAAGGCAACAGAAAATACTAAACATAGAGTGGGGAAACTCTTGATCTGGAAAGCTGAACCCACCAAGAAAACAACAGTTTAGCTATATCCCATTTGCTGTAGGGGATAAAATATCTTAAAAACAAAACAAAACAAAACAAAACAAAAACAAAAACAGTGGAAGGAAACCATGCCTTCTTTCTTAGTGGTTTAGGTACTTAAAATATCAAACTCAATATAACAAATGCTAACTCAAGCTCATTTTGCATTTTTCCTCTTCCCTGCCAAACAGTATAGGGAAAAAAATGAGTTTCCATTTCATTTGTGTATATAATTTCATCTGTATATAAAATTTCATATTTATGGTTCTGGAGAAAGCACCATTTCAAAATATCACTGCAACTGATTCAAGCACTAAATCTTGTGAGTGAATTCTTCAGAACATGCAGCATTAAAAATGCTTTAACACTGGTCACTTAAAAGTATCATAATTTATAGATATAGGATGTTTTCAAACATACCAAAGTACTATGAAAATATGTACCAAAACTCATAATGCTAACAATAAAGAAGTAACAAAGTAAACAGTGTAGGTCCAAGACAGAAATGTGAGCAGAAAATAAATTGGACACTCCTTGCCTTCCCACTACTATCCTTTCTCCTCCTCCCTCTGTAATTTGCCATTTTTGTGGAACACTCCTTCAGGTACATAAGGTCCTTGTGCTTCCCGTTTTAAAACACGCTCTCAGAAGGCTGGGCGTGGTGGCTCACGCCTGTAATCCCAGCACTTTGGGAGGCCGAGGCGGGCGGATCATGAAGTCAGGTCGAGACCATCCTGGCTAACACGGTGAAACCCCGTCTCTACTAAAAATATTTAAAAAATTAGCTGGGCGTGGTGGCTGGTGCCTGTAGTCCCAGCTACTCGAGAGGCTGAGCCAGGAGAATGGCGTGAACCCGGGAGGCGGAGCTTGCAGTGAGCCGAGATCCCGCCACTGCACTCCAGCCTGGGCGATAGAGCAAGACTCCGTCTCAAAAAAAAAGAAAAAAAATTAAAAACAAACAAACAAAAAAACAACAAAAAACATGCTCTCAGAAAAAAAGTGAAATTCATATGCACTGAGGTAAACATAACTAATAACCTCAAGTATTATTCTTAATCAGTGTTTGCATCTTAAGCTTAAACTTAAACAAAAAAAAAACCAAGAGTGGAATTTTCGTGTCAGCTAGCAGGTAGGAGTGATTTCATCAGTGCCTTTGAAATCTCATACTGAATATAGTCAATTCAGTCTACCAATAAGGTCAGCACTGAGGACATGCGAATATACATACAGTGTAGTATATATAAACCTACCAATGAGATTTCACCTGTAAGATTTTACTTTTATGTTCCAGTTCTTTTCAGCAGTGACACTTCCAACCATAAACCTACCTCTAAACTGGAAATCATATTATCTCTTACCAATAAGATTACTGTTTTTATCACCAAAAATCTGGTTTTATCACCAAAAATCTCTCAAGGAAAGAAAACAAAGTATGAGGCAAGACCAATGCTTTAAAGCCAAAAAACTGATATAAATTGGGAAGGGGCTATACCAAAAGTGAGGTTCAGAAAGCTGGCTTTGTTATTCCTAACAGATATTTTCTTAAAAATCTATTAAAAAGCACCCCCCCAACCCAGCCAAACACACATAAAGACTTGGTAGGAAAAAGCCCCTTCTCTTTCTCCCTTTTTCTTCCTGAATGTGGATAAAGGCCCAGAGATGGCACAGCCCCCTTAACCACAAGGCAATAAACATGAACGCAAAGGCCTACCTGGCAGACCACGTGAAGGGTGAAAGGAGCCACCTCATTACATCTGGATTTTTGCATAAGGTTCCTGAAAGAGATCAGATTCAGCTGCTACAGGAGGGTTTCTGTTACTGCAGCTGAATATACTTAACAGTGGATACAAAGACGTAATTCTCACTTAAAAAAATCAAATTAGGCTGGGCACGGTGGCTCACGCCTGTAATCCCAGCACTTTGGGAGGCCAAGGCGGGCAGATCACGAGGTCAGATCGAGACCATCCTGGCTAACACAGTGAAACCCTGTCTCTACTAAAAATACAAAAAATTAGCCAGGCGTGGTGGCGGGCACCTGTGGTCCCAGTTACTCGGGAGGCTGAGGCAGGAGAATGGCATAAACCCAGGAGGCGGAGCTTGCAGTGAGCTGAGATCGCACCACTGCACTTCAGCCTGGGCGACAGAGTGAGACTCTGTCTCAAAACAAACAAACAAACAAACAAAATTAACAGCTATGAAGAAAATCAACACTGATCTCGCACATATCCTAAAAAGAACCTCAATGATAAGCTTACATTTTTGCTTTCCTCAACTGAGGATGATAAATATCACATAAAAAGAGGGGTGACAGTGGTGAAACCTCAGATTCCAAAGTCAAAAAAAGTGAGACAAGTCTAGGACAGAAAAATGTTAACACCAGACAATTATGGTCTAATATGGGCTTTAGTTAATATTTCCAATAAGTCAATTTCAACTGTCAGTGAGAAAAATAAAGTTTATTTCTTGTACAGAAGTAATTCCAATTCAGGTTTTAAGTCTGAACCTTCAAACTTGGGAAGTTTTTTTCCAAGTCATCAGCAAGCGCCTTATCAACTTCACGTAGGATTTTAATAAAATCTTCCACCTGTGAGTCAAACAAACAAACAAAAATCAAACACAGAAGAGAAAAACGTGCTTTAAGGTACTGATTGCTCTACCTGTGGTTTCTAAATGGTCCAATGGAAAAGAAATGCTGGCAGATCTCCAGATGATAGTAACAGTACTTCCTAAGCAGTCTTCTAAATCATTCTCAAGGAAATGACTATGCTTTCCCATTCCGTTTTACTCTTGAGCTAGTACTTCTCCCCCCGCCTCTTCTTTACAGTCTGTTCCCACATTCTGTCCTTCATTTTCCTGAAAAAGTTCCTATTTTGAAATCTGATTCTAATGGTAGGAAATGTGATGTCATTTGAAGAACCATAAAAACCTACTGACTATTCCCAAGAATCTGATTTTGGCTTAATATAGATGTTATCTACTTCATAACAGAAAGGAGTACTATAAATTCAGAGCTTATTTTTTTCCTCTTAGAATTGTTACTCCCAATACTATTATGAATTTTCCAGTAGTCATCTTTTTTTCCCTCAACTTTTATTGTAGACTCAGGGGAGTCTAAATGTGCAGGTTTGTTATAAAGGTATATTACATGATGCCGAGGTTTGAGGCACAGATGAACCTGTTACCCAGGCAGTGAGCTTAGTACCCAATAGGTAGTTTTTCAGCCCTTGCCCTCCCTCTCTCCCTCCCCTCCTCCTGTGGTCCCCAGTGTCTACTGCTCCCATTTGTATGTCCATAGTATCCAATGGTTTAGCTCCTACTTCCAAGTGAGAACATACGGTATTTGGTTTTCTGTTTCCAGCAGTCATCTATCTGACAAAGGCATTAAGTCATATAAATTGTATATACTATCATTTTTGACAATGACCTCGAAATCAAGTGCTTACTTGAAAACATTTAGTAATCCTACAAAACTTGGCCACCTATATACATTTACCCATACTCACCACAGGGCTATAGAAAGGAAGAAGGTTTTGAAATGCAGAGGAACACTTCTGTTTGCTCAACTGGCCTTCCTTTACTCCCTGAGCCACCGTCTCCTAAAACAACAACAAGATTTAATGTCAAAAAAGGAAAATTTTTCAAGCTTTAACTAGTGAATAAAAACAAATCAGGATATTCAATTCCCTCCTGACTTCATAGGCATTTCAAATGTCCCACCTGAACCCACCAACATCAAGGAGGCTTATGTAACCCAAACATGTTCTCCACTGTCGTCTTTACTTTAGTGAAGGGCACCACCATCCACCCTGCTACACAGACTACAAACTTGGAACACAGCCAAGACTTTTCCTTCTCCCCTCCTGCTGACTCCTCCCGGCAAGTGCTCAATTCTATTCTACCAAATCTCTCTTACCCCCATCCCTCCTCTCCATTCAAACTTCCATTGTTTAGGCTGCCATCATTTTTCAGATTATTCTTGAAGATTACCAACCACAAGAGCCTGTTAGTTGATCTCCTGCCCTCCAGCCTCAACTCTCTCTACTCCTTCCTCTCTATTGCTTTTGGAGTAATCTTTCTAAACTGATCGTATCACTTGGTGCTTAAAAGTAAAAAATCTTTAGTAGTTCCTCAGCTTTTTCAAGATGAAGTCTAAATCCCCTAAATATGACATAAGAATTTGCATGACATAGCACTCGTGTATTCTCAGCCCACCTTTCTTTGATGTTCCCACCACTTAAAAGTTAAGAAATATCGATGTCCCTTGCTCCAAAAAACAGAAACAACAGCAAAGAATGGGAAAAAAATACATGCGATAAATATGGAAAAGATACATTATTACCCAAGAAATTCATACAAATAATCAAAATGGATAAATTATTAAAAGGTAGGAAACAAATTAACATACGACATCCAAATATTTCAATCTCATTAATTTAAAAATGCAAATCAAAGTAAGACACAATTTATTACCTGAACTTTGACATAAAAATTATAATACCCAATAATAAGCGTCAAGTAAAACCAACATTTTCACATATAAATAGCATTTTGACAAAATATGGCCATCATGACTTAGCCATCTTCACATTTATAATGTTGAATCCAGTAATTTAAATTATATAAAACCTGCTAAGGTAATAACCCCAAATCTGGAAAATACAAATATGGAAAAGGGAAGCAAGACAACTAATAAAAAAAAAATCACCAGAATAAGAGAAACTTTTTGTTTCATTTTGTTTTTTGAGATAGGGTCTCACTCTGTCGCTCAGGTTGGAGTGTAGTGGCACAGTCTGGGCTCACTGCAGCCTCGACCTCCTGGGCTCAAGCAATCCTTCCATCTTTGCCTCCCAAGTAGCTAGGATCACAGGCGTGTGCCACCATGCCCAGCTAATTTTTGTATTTTTTGTAGAGATGAGGTTTTGCCATGTTGCCCAAACTGGTCTCAAACTCCTGGGCTCAAGTGATCCACCTGCCTCAGCCTCCCAAGTGCTGGGATTATAGGCGCCTGGCCAAGAGAAACTTCTTAAGGAATACTCTTTAAAAAATTAAGTGGGTATGAATAAATATATTCTTCACAGCTATATTTATAACATTTTATATTCATAATACAATATATTCATAACATATTCATAATACATTTCTTTCCAAATATATGGATAGAAAAAACATGGTCAAAAGAAGAATATTAATAACCATTGAACATATTCAGGGAGAATGTTCCTTAAAAGAAGTTTGCAGTAAATTTTGAAAACTGATTATTTGGTAAATTAGGTTTAAACTGGCTCTCAGTAAAAAAGTCTTTCATCTAGAATCAAGAAAAATGTTTATAATACAGTGTTAAGGGAAAACAGTAGTCTATAAAAATTGCATATGCTGGGTTAAAGTATATGAAAAATGCATTTATAAAAACACATGCATGCAAACATAGGCATATGTCTGTCACACGTAAATATACCAAACCACATCAGCTAGTTGTTTTTAAGATTATAAACTCATGGTGATATTAAGATTTTACTTTATTTTCCCAAATTATATATTACTTTCATATTTAAAAAAAAATAAAGTTTGAAGCGTTAAGCAACCCACACTTTCTTTTGCTTATGACATCATCAATACTTCTTTCCTACCTTTGTTAATGCCTGAAAAATATTAGAAAGAAATTCACATAAAATATCCTTTAAGATTTTCAAGTGGAAATCATCTTGGGTTAAATCAGTCCTTTTAGTTTCCTCTGTGTTAGACTCTGCCGAGTTCTCTGGTTTTTTCTGACACTGTTCCATATTTTGTAAGACCCGAATGAGGCTGTCAATTAGAGGAAGATCTACTGTATAAACAAATCAAGAAGCATGGAATTGGCCAGTTAAGTTTGGTTTTTCATTCATATGTATTGAATTAGTGCTAGACATTATTATTTTGGGTATTACAGATACACTGGTAACATCAGCAAGATGTCAGCCCATAAGAGGCTTACATTTTTATACTTTCAAATAAGTAAATAAAACAGACTATTTCAGGTTTTGGTTAAGTTCTATGAAGGAAATAAAAGAGGAATATAATATAGCAGCCTAGCAGGGCTAGCTCTCTGACAAGGTAACATTGAGTTGAGAACTAAAGCAATGAAGCATCAGCAATTAAAATACCCTAGGAGGTCAGGGGTGGTAGCTCACGCTTGTAATCTGAGCAGTTTGAGAGGCCAAGATGGGCGGGTAGCTTGAGCCCAGGAGTTCGAGACCAGCCTGAGCAATATGGTGAAACCGTGTCTTTACAAAAAGTACAAAAAAATTAGCTCACAGGATTTTTCTACCACTACCACTGTTACCATCTTGGTCCAAGTTATAACATTTCTTGCTATGAGTCAATTATGAAGAATCTCTAAAAGCCTCCTAACTCATGTCCCTTTTGTACCCATGACTCCCCATATTTCTCATCAAAACAGCAGCCTATTAAAGCCAGCTCATGCGTAGGCAACTTCTGCTTAAAACCCACCATGGTTCCCCACCTCATTCAGAGGAAAAGGCAACATCAGGCCCTCCATACTCTACCTCTCTGGCTCCATGTGCTACTTTGCTAAATCCACCCCAGCCATATGGGATCTCACTGTTCCTCCTCAAAGACACCAGGCATACTTCTGGTTGAAGGCTTTTACACTTTCCATTCCCTCTGTCTGGAATGTTCTTCTCCCCAAGTATGCACATGACTCCCTCCATTCTGTCCCTAAGGACTGTACTCAATGCCACCTTCTCAATGAGGTAACGTATCTACAAATGAAGATCTTAAAAATATTCAACATTCCTTTTTTATTAAAAACTCTTAATAAAATAGAAACAGATTAATATTTCCTTAAATGGTAAGACATATATCTGTTTTTGGAGGGGGGGTGCGGAGTATTGCTCTGCTGCCCAGGCTGGAGTACAATGGCGTGATTTCAGCTCACTGCAGCCTCTGCCTCCCAGGTTCGAGCAACTCTCCTGCCTCAGCCTTCTGAGTAACTGAGATTACAGGCATGCGTCACCAAGCCTGGCTAATTTTTGTATTTTTAGCAGAGACAGGGTTTCACCATGTTAGCCAGACTGACTTTGAACTCCTGACCTCAGGTAATCTGCCCGCCTCAGCCTCCCAAAGTGCTGGGATTATAGGTGTGAGCCACAGCACCTGGCTGTAAAACATATATCTTATACCCAATAATGCTTAACAATGGAACTCTAGGATTATTCCTACTAAAATCAGGAAGAAGGTAAGGATGTTTTCTACCATCACTATTATTTTACACCAGAGACTCTAGGCAACCCAGAAAGACAAGAAGAATAAACCAGAGATAGACAAGTGATAAAATATATCTAACTTAAGCCAAAGCACTATCAGATAAAGCCCAAAGATTATTACTGGAACGACTACTAAAAATATTAAGAATTTGGTAAGGTTACAGGATACAAAGTTAATATACCAAAATCAATAGCCTTCATATATTCCAACAATAATAATCAGTGGAAGAAAATATGTCACAGACAATAGTAAACCCAAAAGATACAATTATCTAGGAATGAAACTAATAAGAAATATCCAAGATCCATATGAAGAAACCATTACTGAGGGACACAAAAAAGACCTGAACAAATAAAAGGGCATAACATATCCTATCAAGTTAACACGATGTCAACAAAAATGTCAGAAATTTTTTGTTTTTGGAACTCAAAGTTAGTGATAAAAATAGTTAAAAACATTCTGAAAACTTAGAATGAAGAGGAATTTGCCTTATTAGGTATTAAAACATAAAACCTTAATATTTAAAAACACTATGGCTACTAATATATGAATACAGCAATGGAACTGAACAGAATATATAGGGGAATTTTAAAAATAATGATGAAATTTCAAATCAGTGTGGGTAAGCTGGATTATTCACTAAATGATGTTGAGATAACTGGGTAGCCCTCTGGGAAAAAACTGATACCACTAGAACCAAAGTTATCAAAGGGGGAAAAAAAATTAAAGCCACACTTCACATGTGACACGAGAATAAATTCTAAATGAATCATGAATTTAATTGTGGTCATAAAAACAATTCTGTGAAAGAATATGTGTTTATATAGGAAAATATTCATTTTATATTTCTAAATGAAATGTTGGCTAAAAAGCAGAATTAAATATATGTGCATGTGTGGGATGGTAAGATTACAAACATCATGTTTCCTTGATATTTTTTATAAATTTTTCGGCAGGGTGCAGTGGCTCATGCCTGTAATCCCAGCACTCTGGAAGGCAAGGCAGGAAGGTCATTTGAGCCCAGGAGTTTGTGACAAGCCTGGGCAAGATTGTGAGACCCTGTCTCTATAAATATTTAAAAACTAGCCAGGTGTGGCGTCATGTGCCTGTAGTCCCAGCTACTCAGGAGGCTGAGGTGAGACAATCACCTGAGCCCAGGAATTCAAGGTTGCAGTGAGCTATGATCCTGCCACTGCACTACAGCCTGGGCAACAAAATAAGACTCTGGCTTTAAAATAAGTAAACAGGCCAGGTGGGGTGGCTCACGCCTGTAATCCCAGCACTTTGGGAGGCCGAGGTGGGTGGATCACCTGAGGTCGGGAGTTCGAGCCCAGCCTGGCCAACACGGTAAAAACCCGTCTCTACTGAAAAAATACAAAAATTAGCTGGGCATAGTGGTGTGCGCCTGTAATCCCAGGTACTTGGGAGGCTGAGGCACGAGAATCACTTGAACCCAGGAGGCAGAGGTTACACTGAGCCAAGATTGTACCACTGCACTCCAGCCTGTGCAACACAGCAAGACTCTGTTTCCAAAAAATAAAAATCAATAAAAAATAAAATAAATAAATATGATAATAAAATAAATTTTTGAAGTTTAGCATGTAATGTTTTTATAATTAGGGAAATGAAAGCATTTTTTAAAAGGGAGAAATAAATGAAATGAAAAACAGTATGAGCCTGGGAAACTGTACTTGCCTTTTTCTATCTTTAGATACTCTTGCTCAGTCTGTGAGGCATAGATGGCAGACAACACTGAAAAAACAGAGGCTAGCACTGTTTTCTGTTCTTGAAGAATGATGGGTGGATCATCAGACTGGCAGAATTCATGGCAGACCAGGTCAAAAAGTAAATTCCAAATGTCTTTTCCAGTGTCAGGACAATGTACTTAATAAAGAGGACAAATAAAGCAGTACTTTAAAATCAGCAAACAATTAAATGAGTAACTGTAGTGCATCCCGATAAACCACCTTACCAATTGCTTGAATTCCATCATCCACTGTAGTAAGCAGTTGTAAAATGTGCATGTAAACATCAAGCCATTCTGGATTTTCAGAACTAAATAGGAAAAGTAAAAGCACTGAATCAACAACTTTACTGTCCAGGGGATTCCAATCATTCCTCCATTCAATAAATATTTATTACTCTGCCAGCCACTGTTCAAGGTGCTGAGGATAAAACAAGGAAAGGAACGAAGTCTCTGTGTTCGTTAGAGCTTTTATATTCTAATAGGGGAAACAGCAAAAAATAAACAAATATTATATAATATAATCAACACACACAGGACAAGAAGTAAAAAAACTTTTTGGCTCTATCTCATAAAAGCAACAACGCAGAAACCTACCAGTTGATACTTTATCATTTTGGTTTGCTTGAATAATCAGAACAAAAAAAGACTGCGATTTTTATAGTATGAACGTTAAGGTCCGCTGCATCACGCATCAACAATAATGATGTTCTGAAAATGTCTCAGGATTAACCTAGCTCCCTAGCTGAGAACACTAAAACCATGTAAGTCTAATTCTTATGATCAACCGTTTGGATTCTCAAAAATCTAAATAGTTTGGAAACTCAAAATCTTAGTTCTTCAACCAAACAAGTGAAAAGACAGTGAACAATTAAAACAATGGTTTGGCAAATGTTTATTTAAGTACTTACAAATTTCAGGCACTATGTTAGGAGTTGAGAAAACAGATGTATAAGATGTTATCCCTACCTTCATAAACTTTATACTCTAAAAGGAAAGAAGATTCCAAGTGGGGTAATTACAATAAAGTGGTACTAATGTAGCACTATGGGCTAGGAACTTCACAAAGCAAGGAGACTTAGTTTGCAGGGTCAGGGAAGGTATCTTAAGAAAAATGATGTTTACACAGAAACATGAAGGGGCAAAGAAGTGTCTGAGGTGGAGGAAACATACTGTGCAAGGGCCTGGAGACAAGACAGCCTGGTTCAGTTGAAGAAGTGACGCAAACTTCACATGACTGAAACGCAGAGTACAAGGAATAAGGATAGCGCTACTGGGTCCATAAGCTGTACTTTATTTTTTTGAGAATTTTTCATTTATTTCATTCTTTTTTCCCCTATTTTATTTATTTATATTTTGGATTCAGAAGGTACATGTTGGGGGTTGTTACATGCATGATGCTGAGGTTTGGGAATATGGATGGTCCCATCACCCAGGTGATGTATGTAGTACCCAAGCTGTGTTTGTTTGTTTGTTTTTCTGGACCTTATCCTAAGGAAGGCAACTGAAAAGACCGAAGCATGAGAGTGAAATGAGTGCGTACTTTGCAAAAACAGCTTTAAAGTCTAGGCTTGGGAAGAGCAAGCATAGAGGCAGGGAATTCAAGTAAAAGAATGTGGCAGTTCTCCAGATGAGAAACAATAATGGCTTGATTGGCATGGATGGAATCCCAGAAAATGTCAGGAATAAGGGTTGGGAGTTGACTGCAATGGGAAAATACTGGGGCAGGAAAGATTCAGTAATTGGCTTCTCCATTTCTTCTACATTATCCAAATAGGATAATGATTACATCATTTACTGAGATTGAGAATACTGATGAAGCAGGTTTAGGGAAAGATGATGAATTTATCCCTCACTTGGATAAAGGACACAAAATTAATAGGTTTTGATGTGGCTTACTCAGCACTAAGAATGCACTAAGAAAAACACTAAGCAGATCAATTTAAAAATTAATTTTCTAGTGATTAGCAATAAACAGTTTTAATGACCTGTAAGGCTTAGTAATCACTCTTGGCAAGACATCAGAGTCCCAACATCGGTCACTTATTGAAGACTGGCATATAAACACAAGGAGCAAAAAAAAGCAAATGATGTGCAACGTTAATGAAGTTGTTAAATGTTCAATGTAAAATAAAGCACAAGAAAATGTTTTCTCTTTGATTTAAATTACATAAAATATGGTAAGACAGAAACCACAGTTAATGTTGAGTAACAGCCTATAGCTAAATGATAATATAACAGGAACTTTGTAACCACTATACAGGTTGCATCACAAATAGTAGTAGTGAATTAACGTAACAAGGAGTGACTATGTACTTTATTCTGTTGTAAGGAATATAAGAAGACTTTTATATCTGAGAATACTTCTAGCAATTGCATTTTCCCAGAACATTTTACACAAAAGAGCTCACCTACCGTACTTGTTTGGCAGCTTCAAGTATACAGGGCACAAGCCGAAACACTGGCTGCTCTTCAGACTCTTCCTGGGGTTGGTCCAGAGGCTGAGCAGCCCCATTTCTGACCCATTCTAACATTAGTTTCTCATCCAAATCAAAGAGCTTGTCCACAACCTCCCCCACCTTCACCAGCAAGTCAACTGCAGAGAATAAAACAGATATTGAAATGAAAAACAAACTGCTAAAAGCAATAGGGTTAAGCAAAATTCCTAAAGCTATTCTAAGAAAACCAAATCTTGCCAAAGCAGTACTTATTCTAAAGGGTGATTTACTTATCTTTTATGTTTAAATTTGCTTATCTTTCCTCATTTTTAAATGAGGAATTTATCAGTGTCCCAGGAGTTTAAGAAATTTTGTATCTTCAATCAAAAAACTTTCTCAAAAAAACAAACAAAAAGCTGGACATGGTGGCTTACACCTATACTCCCAACACTTTTGGGAGCCCAAGGCTGGATGACTGCTTGAACACACGAGTTGGAGACCAGCCTGGGCAAGAAAGCGAGACCCCGTCTCTACAAAAAATTTTAAAATGAGCTGAGCATGGCGGTGCATGACTATAGTCCCAGCTATTGGGGAGATTAACAGAAGGATACCTTGAGATCAGGAGTTTGAGGCTGTAGTAGGCTATGATCACACTACTGCACTCCAACCTGGGTGACAGAGCAAGATTCTGTCTCAAACAAACTTCATTACCTTGCACTCAAGGCTTTTTTTAAAAAGGTGACTTCTAGAAATAGTTACATGGTTTCCTAAAAATTAGATACAATTTAAAACATTTTTTTTCTAGAGTACATGATGACTTACCATTTGTTGAACTTGACATAATGAAGCAAATGCTATCATAAATAGCTGGATGTTCCTGGATCCTTTCAACCCAAACACTGGCCACTTCTGCCTGGGAAAGGCAAGTAAGCAACAACCTACATGGTAAACGTGGGTTGAATTTCTACTTTTCAAAAAAAAAAAAAAAACAGTAAAGGAAATTCGAAAATAAAAAATTAACTTTTTTTTCTTATCTACTCTTATGAGTAACCTTATAGAATTCATAAAAGGAAAAGCATACCTGCTTGTTTCCAGCAGAGTAGGTGGGTCTGAATCATACAAACAGTGCAATAACACCTGCCTACAAAAACAAAGAAGTTAACCGATATGCCTCACTTCTCGCATTTAAAATATCAGAGTTTTCATTTAATTTTTTGAACATCTTTATTGTGAAATACAGCATATATTCAGAAAAGCTCAAAAGATACAAATCTATAGTTAATAAATAATTATAAAGCAAACACTCGTGTTTCCAAGAAACAGAACAGAGCTGCATCTTTGTAGTCACCATGTGTCCATTCCAAATCACAATTCTCTTTCCCACCTAGAAATGATGACCATTCTGATTTTTCCAGCAATCATTTCCTTACTTTGCACTATAGTTTTATTATTTTATATATTTTGGTGTTGCTTTATACTGCAGGTAAAAGGATTAAGAGGACATGCTGAATAAATAGACATAATCTGGGAGGTTATTTGGATTCATGAAGACAGTCAAGGAGGGGAGACAACATATGAAATAAATTATACTTATTGAGTCTTCATTTATTTGCTGAAAATTATACATGTAAGATCTACCCATGTTGTTTCTTTAGCTGTTATTCTTTGACAGACTGCTGCAGAGCACTCCATTGTGTGAAAATAACACAATTTATTTTTCCAGACTACTGTTGATGGACATTTCTGTTGATTCCAATTTGGGGCTATTTCAAGCAATCCTCCTACAATATTTGTTAAGAGTTATCCTGATGCACACGTGCACAGTTTCTCTTACCATATATGCCCACTATGAGCTGGTCACAGCACATGCATATGTTCCAACGTGACCAGATAATGCCCAACTAAAGTGGTTCAACAAATTTATATCCCATCAGCAATATAAATTGCACCACACTAATATTAAGACAAGCATTTAACTGAATTTATAACATTTGTTAACATTTCTCATTTTTGGATTTTTGATAGAGAACATTAGAGACCAAACATAATCTTAAGTCATTTGTTCCATGGATGATGGTAAATTACTGAGGAATAAATACTCTGAACTAGGATCTTAAAGTCCCTCCACAACTAGGAGTTCTCTCTTTCTGAGAAACCCAGGTACTTGAATCCTGTGATAAAACCCTCATGGCCCCAGCTCTGACAAAAACTGCCTAGAACAGTTTTCTTAACCTATTTTGGGTACAAATTTCTTTGAGATTCTGATTAAAAGCCATGAACCCTTTGCCTAGAAAACTAATACACTCACAAAATTCAGCATATAATTTCGGGGTGTTCTCCGAACACAGTAACCACTGGGGTTTCCTCCATTAAAACACCTTCTGCCCAGAACTTTACACATGGAGAAGAGAACGAGCCTCGAAGCAGATATCTGAAAGTCTTTTCATCAGAGAGGCAACCCTTTATCTTCCAGTTGTTGGCAAGTCTTACACTCTAAGTCAGAGCTCTCAGGATGACATTATTCAACAAATCTAGTTTCTGTAGACTCCAGCTGAGTCATTGGATTCCCTGCCCCTAAACTGTTTTGGATTCCAGTTGGCTGCCCCATCTCCAAGTTTTGGCCCACTGGTTCTTCCCCTATCTGGCTTATTGCCACCAGCTGACAATTCAGGTTCCTTTGCTACTGAAGAAAACAGGCTTAAATCCTGAATCATTTCAGTATCTCCTGAAGAAGCCCCTAGCTATCATCAACACACAATGAAGTTCCCACAGAGTGTTCATCAAGACAAAGAAAGGACTGTCTTTCAGATTTGCTACTTTTCCTATGTATTAGAATTTCCTTAAGGATATAAATGAATATATTAAAAAACATAATTATATAGTAAGACTTACCCAAGATTTTTATCACTGCTGATGGACACACATATCTCCTGGAAACAGGCCATATTACCTAAAATTCCCACACAGATTTCCTGCCAAATCAAATTTTACAAGTCACAATGGCTCTGAGACGAAAGACGTAAACAAAAATATCAACTTGAACAAAAACTTTCGCTGAGCCAAGTTTTGGGGCAAGGCGGAGGGGAGGCAGGATAAAGAAATACATATACTGCCTGTACCCTAACCTTGACAAGCTTACAGTATTTGAGAAGGGATGAAAAACGTAAGAACAAGAAAGGGCAAAGGCAGGAGCTATGCGAGAAGAACTTCTATCGATAAAATGAGTTTTAAATGATTGATAGGAATGAGATATGCAAACAAAAAGACAGACATTCAAATAAGGGGAAAGTATCAGCAAAGGCAGGAAGGGAATCATGTACATGGCGAATACTGTAGACAATAAAGTACTCTGGTTGTGGCACAAAGTGGGTGAACAGCATGAGGTAAATACTGCAGGTATAAAGGACTGAGATTAAGGGCTCTGAATGCCGTGCTGAAGAATTAGACTTAATCTGGGAAGTTATTTGGAATCATGAAGATGCTCAAGGAGGGGAGACAACATACTGAAACAGTATCTTAGGAAGATTACTCTGGTGGCGAAATGCATAATGTATTAGTGTAGTCCCTCTTTATCCATGGTTTCAGTTACCCATGGTCAACCTTGGTATAAAAGTACTAAATAGAAAATTCTAGAAATAAACAATTCATGTTTTAAATTGCATGCCTTTCTGAGCAGCACGATGAAATCTTGCACCGTCTCACCCAGGATGTGAATCATTCTTTTGTTCAACATATCCACACTGTATGTGCTGCCTGCCCATTAGTTACTTAGTAGCCATCTTGGCTATCAGATCGACCATCGGGATATCTCACAGGGCTTGTGTTCATGTCACCCTTATTTTACTTAATAATGACCCCAAAGCACAAGAGTAGTGATGCTGGCAATTTGGATATGCCAAGGAGCCGCCATTAAGTGCTTTCTTTACATGAAAAGGTAAAAGTTCTTGACTTCATAAGAAAAACAAACAAAAATGTATGCTGAGGTTGCTTAGGATCTCTAAGAACAAATCTATCCATGAAACTGTGAAGAAGGAAAAGGAAATTTGTGCATATTATAAATAGGGTTCAGTACTATCCTCGGTTTTAGGCATTGGGGGCCTTGGAATGCAACCCCCAAGGATAAGGGGAGACTAGTGTATAGGGAAAAGAAGTTGAAAAGAACTTAAGAATCTATCTCAGTAATAGTTAATTAATATGTAATAACAGTTTATTACCACTCACGGTGGCCAGGCATTACTCTAAGCATTTTCTGTGTATAATTTCATATAATAACTTAGGTGATAGGTACTAATAGTATCCCCATTTTTTCAGATGAGGAAACTAAGGCACAGAGAAGTTAAGCTACTTGCCTAAGATCTTAAGATCTCCAACTAGAACACGGCAGAGCTCCAGAGCTTGAGCATTTAACCACTATTCCAAACTGCACCTCAGTTATCAAGATGCAAGAGGAGGAGGGCCCTCAGGCATGGAAAAGGATGAAGCTGAGGAAGACTCTCAAGGTGAAAGCAAAATAATCCAGTGTGAGGATAAAGGAGAAAGCAGTTGAACTTGACTCCTAGCTTTCAAGTTGCCTCATTTCCCCATCAGTGATATTGGTCCCGTTGACAGGAAAACTAAAAAAGAAAGTGCATAAAAGGCTACAATGAGTTCAGATGGTACAGTGTTTCCAACCTTGCTGGAACATAAGAATCACTCAGGGAGCTTGTTAAAAATACAGATTTCCAAATCTCATCTCAGATCTACTGAATCATAATTTCCAGGGTAGAGCCTGGAAAGCTATTGTTTACCCAGCATATACCAGGTGACTTTTATGATTAGATAAGTGTGACCATAAATCACTGAGGACATACAGAATTCAGGGTTAGAGAGTACAGCTGACCCTTGAACACAGGTTTGAATGTGTGGGTCCACTCATAGGTGGATTTTTTCTAACCAAACTTGGACTGAAAATACAGTGTCCTCAAGATGCAAAACCTGCACAATATGCAGAGCTGACTTTTCATACACACAGGTTCCACAGAGCTGACTGCTAAATTGAGTATGTGTGGATTTCAGTATGGGGGAATGTCTTGCAACCATCCCCCATGTATACCAAGGGACAACTGTAGAGCGTGCAAGCAGAGAATGCCTGAACAAAGTTGGAGATGTGACATCAGTTATCAGAAGGGAAGTCGAGGCTTTGCTCCTACAGGCAGAGTTGCAACTTAAAGGTGTAAAGAACACATAAGTTCACTAGGAAAATGAATATAATGAGAACAAAGGATCAGGGCCTACACCTTAGAAAAAGTCCATATTCGGGACAGTATAAAAAAGGAAGAAAGAAAAAAGCCAATGAAAGGTGAGAGACGAGTGACTGAAGAGGTCAGAGACGACAGTGAGGTGACACAGGAGCTATAGAAATGGAATTTCAATAAAAAGTGGGTGGTCAAATGTTGGGAAAAGATTAAGAGTGAGTAGGGGCAGAAAAAAACCACATACATTTCCCTTATAAACTAAAGAGGGAATAACTGAACTTCCAATCAAAGATCAAGTTTTTCTTGGCTGTTCACTGGAATCACCTGGGGAACTTTAAAAGCTGCCCAGAGTCTCACACTTGGAGATTCTGCTTTAACTCATCTAGGGTATGGCCTGACCAAGATTTTCAAAAGTTCCCTAGGGTAAAGCTTCTCAGAGTGTGGCAATGCACCAGAGCACCAGCATCACCTGGGAACATATTAGGAATCCTGGACCTACTGGACTAGAAACTCTGGAGGGAGGCTCGGCAATTAGTGATGCGGGGACATGCTTAAGTTTGAGAGTCCCTGTCCCAGGTGATTCTAACATGCAGCCAAGGCTGAGAATCACTGTGGCAGCAGACGGTGGCCAGCGGATATAATACAACAATATGACTAATTCCTAAAAGGTGCCATTCCTGACATAAGCTTATTTCTTTATATACTAGTAGTGAGTAAATATATTTAAGACAGAAAAACTCAGTATAAAAATAGCATAATCATCAAATCTTATATTAATATAAGGAATCAAGGAAAAAACGGTTAATCAGGCCCTAATTCAGAGAGAACATTCTACTTAAATAAGAATTCTAATTCAACATTCAATTTGTAAAAATACACTATGGAATTCTCCATTTTATAATCTGAAAGAGAGGAAATACAGTACAGTGGTTATACTGAAGTCAGGCCTAGGCTGAAATCTCAGCTCCATTCTTTCCTAGCTGTGTGACCCTGAACACATATCTTCACCCAAGATTTAGTTCTTTGAAAG
Source organism: Homo sapiens (assembly GCF_000001405.40). Lineage (NCBI taxonomy): Eukaryota > Metazoa > Chordata > Mammalia > Primates > Hominidae > Homo > Homo sapiens. The sequence continues at coordinate 18,095,617 of NC_000011.10, forward strand.
TATACCTCATAGTAGTAAGACCAGGTATTCAGTAAACAGCAGTTTTTCATAATTATAATTATTGAACAGATATTTACTAATCCATGATATGCATAGCACATGGCAATTTAATTGGCAATAAAGCACAGTACACTGCACAGTATATAAAGGCCTCTCCTTTAGTCTTTATCTATTGTTCTTGGCAGTTTACTAACAGCAATGACTACTGAAAGCTTACTTACTTACTTGGGAAGGTGTGGAAGGAAAAGTACCACTGTGAATTAACAGATGCAAATACTGAGAGGGGACAGAAGGCACACAAAGGGAGGCACGGAGACAGCATGAGACAGGGAGTAGAAAGGTCTGGCTAAATCAGAAGGGTTACCTGGCTATCCAGATTTTATGCTGGAAAGATGAGTTAGGTTCAGAGAGTAGAGGTCTTAAGCAGCAGGCTGAGTTTAGAATGGTTTTCAAGCAATGGTGGATTTTGTCAGTAAAAAAGAGAAATCAACTGAAAAATGGGAGGCCCAGGCTCTGTTCCTTGTTCTGATACATACTAGCAGCATAACAGTGGTTATGCCTAACTCGTCTCCACAGCTGGTAAATGAAAGTGCTAATTTCCCTGGTCCGGCCTGAATCTAAAATTCTATGATTTTCATAATTTTAAATTATTAAATTATTAATAATTTAATATTTTAAATTATTACAGGCATTTAGCTCACGCTTATAATCCCAGCACTTTGGGAGGCCAAGGTGGGAGGATCACTTGAGGCCAGGAGTTCAAGACCAGCCTGGGCAACATAAGGAGACCTTTGTCTCCACAAAATAAAAATAAAAATTAGCTGGGTGTGGTGGCTTACACCTATACTCCCAGTTACTTGGGAGGCTGAGGTGGGAGGGTCCCTTGAGCCCAGGAGGTCAAGACTGCAGTGAGCCGTGATCACGCCACTGCACTCCAAGCCCTGGAGACATAGTGAGACCCTGTCTCAAAAATAAAATAAAATAAATTTAAATAGCAAATTACCTAGGACCTGGCAATGTTCAATTAACATCTACAGGCTGATTTGTTGATTTATGGTCAGTAAGAAAATCAAAGTGAGAAAAATAAAAGACTATCCAGCACTATCTGTTCTTATTGCTTCAAAGAAGAAGGCTTTAGAAATGTACATACTTACTCTTAATCGAGGACACTTGGACTTGGCCAGTACTCCCATGAATATATCAGGAGCATTAAATTCTTGGAGAAATAAAGCCACGTCCTGAAAAGAAAAATGATTATTAACTTGGATGTTGAATATTCCTCCCTAAACCCTAAAGCTCAGGCAACCATAAAATTCTATATTAAAATTAGAATTTTACGCCAGGCGCAGTGGCTGACACCTGTAATCCTAGCACATTGGGAGGCCAAGGCTGGCAGATTGCCTGAGCTCAGGAGTTCAAGACCAGCTGGGCAACACGGTGAAACCCTGTCTCTACTAAAAATACAAAAAAATTAGCCGGGCATGGCGGCATGCACCTGTAGTCCCAGCTACTCAGGAGGCTGAGGCAGGCGAATCGCTAGAACCCGGGAGGCAGAGGTTGCAGTGAGCTGAGATCACGCCACTGCACTCCAGCCTGGGTGACAGAGCGAGACTCTGTCTCCAAAAAAAATAAAAAAATAAAATAAAATTAGAATTTTAGACACAAGAAAAAAAAAACACAGGCTTAGGAACTGTGTCAACAGACAAAAGTGATGTTAGAGAGTCTTTATGGTAACTAGTCCCAGACAATGGAACAATTTCATAAACAAATCTAAACTACCTACAATACTCCAGAGGATTATCCCACTCTTTTCTGCCCGAATCTATTTACCTTAATAATTTTTCTGCCCACTAGGAATTCTCATTAAACACATTCAAACACATTTGGTGATTACCTATCAGGTATTAAACTAGAAGCGGGGGACAAGGGAAAAAAGCAACACGCTGGGCGCAGTGGTTCACACCTGTAATCCTAACACTTTGGGAGGCTGGTTAGAAGGCCGAGGTGGGTGGATTACTTGAGCCCAGCTTGGGCAAACATAGTGAAAACCCATATCCACAAAAAATACGAAAATTAGCCAGGTGTGGTGGCACATGCCTGCAGTCCCAGCTACTTGGGAGGTTGAGGTGGGAGGATCACTTGAGCCTGGGGAGCTCAAGGTTGCAGTGAGCCATGACTTTGCCACTGTACTCCAGCCTGGGCAACACAGCGAGAAAAAAAGGAAAAAAAAAAAAAAGGTAAAACTTGGCTGGGCGAGGTGGCTCACGCCTGTAATCCTAACACTTTGGGAGGCCAGGACAGGCGGATCACTTGAGCCCAGGAGTTCGAGACCAGCCTAGGCAAACATAGTGAAACGCCATCTCTACAAACAATACAAAAATTAGCTGGGCATGGTGGTGTACCATCTGTAGTCCCACCTACTCAGGAGGCTGAGGTGGAAGGATTGCTTGAACCCGTGAGGCAGAGGGTGCAGTGAGCTGAGATCTCGCCACTGCACTCTAGCCTGGGCGACAGAGTGAGACTTTGTCTCAAACAAAAACAAAATTCCTTCTTGTCCTCCAAGAGCTTAAAACACGGTAGGGGAAAGAAGTCAAGAACTGCTATTGGGTCCTGTCCAAAACCAGAATTTGTGTTTTCAAAATCATCAATAGAATAAAAATTCTGATCACAATGTAACTGTGGCAGCCTCATAACTTCTTCCTACAGAGTCTGCCACAGTGCCTAAAGGGGCGTAACACACAGGTGACATGTGAGTGGACATGTGGCCCCAAATGAGCCAAATCTCACCTAGGAATGTAAGACACAAAAGCTAAGTCAGTTTGCTTGGGGACCTGCAATGTAAAATATATAAATAAAATTAAGTCTCTGGCTGTCCACTGCTTCAGATTTTCACTAAATGTGAGGTGTGTATTTGAGAAGCCTTAACTTAAAATATAAGCTGCATGGCTTATGTGAAAATTAAGGGCCCTGGAACATCTCAAAGAGACAGGCAATTATTCTCCACAGCAAGTGAAACCAGTAACCTGCCAGACAACTGACTGAGAGAGACACACTCTACTTACTAAAGGACCATGGTCAGAGAAAATAGTATTTTCAAAGATACACTCTAAACTGAAAGTCATAATGGCAGATTCTCTTCACTGTAAGTGATCAAGCTGTCCTGTGGGCAATTCTTTGCCACATGCAGAAATTTTTAAATTTAATGGTAATTCCTGGAGTAGCACAAGGGTGGCCTAACAATATCAACACCAACAGTAATAAAATTAACATTCATTGAACAAGTATTAAATGCCAGGCACAGTGAAGTGGCTTGCATGCTATCTCATTTAATTCTCAAAACAACTCTATCAACTAGTTATCATTGTTAGCCCCATTACACTCATAAGCAAACTGAAGTTTAAAAAGTGTAGCAACCTGCCCAAGATTATACAGTCTCAGCAGAGCAAAGCTAGGATTTGAACCCATGAGTCTGATTTGAGCCTATGGTCTTGTTTTTTAAAAGAGATGGGGGTCTTGCTATCCTGTCCATACTGGAGCAGTGGCTATTCACAGATTCACAGGCATTATCATAGCTCACTGCAGCCTCCAACTACTGGGCTCAAGTGATCCTCCTGCCTCAGCCTCCCAAATAGCTGGGAATACAGGCAAGTACCCAGCGAGACTATGTTCTTAACCAGCACAACATGCTACCTCTCAGGTATTCATCTATTCATTCATTACTCCCCAAATATTTTCTGAAAAACCTAATAGGCACTGTTTTAGGTTCTGGGGATACATCAGTGAACAAGCTAAATAAGGGCTCAGTCCCATGGAATTTTCATTCTAAAGAAATGAACAAACAATAAATATAAAACAACTAAACTACACAATTTCTAAATGCTACAAAGAAAATAAGATATGTGCTAGAAACCAAGATAAAGCGGGCTACTTTAGACATGACATTGAAAAGAAGGCATTTCAGAAGGGGTGACATTATGCTTTGATGAGAAGGAATTTAAATCCATCAGAGGACACATGTAACAGAGTGAAGCAATTCTGTGGGAACACCAAAACAAGACAGGTTAATTCTGACTGGAGTGTCTGGGGTGGCATCACAGAGGAGGTGACATTGAAGCCGGGCCATAAACAATGAGAAGGATTTTGCCAGCTGGAAGCCATTCTAAGCAGAGCGGCATGAATAGTGCCCATGGACACGTGAAAGTGCAGGAAGTATCTGGAGGTCTCTGGTCCTCGCACACTGAATTCATGGTTACAGAACGATAGGCGACAAGACTGAGATATAAACTCACCAGACTTTGCGCCAGGGACCTCAATTGTCAGTGGAGAGCTCAGTTCTGAGTGGTGCCTCAAGGGCACCTCTTGTAAGGGAGCAAAAGGAGGCCAAAGAACATGACTTTGCCCTGCACCAATAACCTCCTTCAAACAGTAGCGCTGTTTTCTCAATTTTAAAACTGAGACTTTCACCCTAAGAGTTCATTTAAAACACAGGTTTTATTTCTTTTTAAAAAAATTTGTTTAACCATAATTTATCAATAATTGTAGAATAGAAAGTAGATCTGAACAATACTCTCAACCAACCTGATCTGACATTGAGAATAAGATATTCCACCCAGCAACAGCAGAACACACATGCTTTTTAAGTCAACATGGTAAATATTTCAGGTTTACTTAAAACCATATTCTGGGCTATAAAACAAATCTCAACACATTTAAAAGGATTCAGTGTTCACCAACCACAGCAAGAGAAAGATAACTGAAACATTCCCAAATATTTGAAACTTACCTATAAACCAAAGAAAAAGTAAAGAATATTAGAAAGTATTCTGAACTTCTGCGGGCATGGTGGCTCACGCCTGTAATCCCAGCACTTTGGGAGGCCGGGGCAGGGGGATCACTTGAGGCCAGGAGTTCAAGACCAGCCTGGCCAACATGGCAAAACCCCATCTCTACAAAAAATACAGAGCGAGACTCTGTCTCAAAAAAAATTGTAAACACAGCATATCAGAAATTGTGGAATACTGGTAAAGCATAAATATTTAGGGAAAATTCTATAGTGCTTGATGTCTATCTTTAAAAAGAAAAGATTTCAAACTATAAAGTATGTGGACAACTGATTTTTGACAAAGACACAAAAGCAATTAGTGGAGAAAGGATCGTCTTTTCAACAAATGAACTTGAACAATTAAATATCCATAAGCAAAAAAATAAACTTCATCCATCCTTGCACCATATACTATACAAAAATCAACTCAAAATGGATCACAGACTTATATGTAAAACCTAAAATTATAAAACTTTTAGAAGAAAATGTAAGAAAACAACACAATTAAAAAGCAGGCAGAAGATTCAAACAGGTACTTCACCAAAAAAGATACACAGAGTACAAATAAACACATGAAAAGATGCTCATCATTAGGAATTAAGGAAGTCCAAATTATAATCACAATGAGCTATCATTACATACTTATTAGCATGGCTAAAATTAAGAAGACTGACCATACTAAGTGTTGGTGAGGTTGAGGAGAAATTGGACCTGGAATTATGTCTCATACACTGCTTGTGGTTATGTAAAATGGTAAAAAACTGCTTAGGAAAACAAATTGAAAGTTTCTTAAAAAGTTAAGCATACACCTACCGTATGATCCAGCCATGCCACTTGATATATGGTCTGGCTCTGTGTCCCCTCCTAAATCTGACCTTGAATTGCAATCCCCATAATCCCCACGTATCAAGGGCAAGACTAGGTGGAGGTAAGTGAATCACGGGGGTGGTTTCCCCCATGCTGTTCTCATGATAATGAGTGAGTCTCATGAGATCTGATAGTTTTATAAGCGTCTGGCATTTCCCCTGCTCGCACTTCTCCTTCCTGCCACCGTGTGAATAAGGTGCCTGCTTCCCCTTCCCCTTCTGCCATGATTGTAAGTCTCCTGAGGCCTCCCCAGCCATACTGAACTGAGAGTCAATTAAACCTCTTTCCTTCATAAATTACCCAGTCTCAGGTATTTCCTTATAGCAGTATGAGAATGGACTAACACACCACTCTAGGTATTCACCCAAGGAAAAACAAAGTATATGTCCATACACACTTGTATACAAAAGTTCACAACAGCTTTATCTGTAATAAGCCTTAAACAACTCCAACATTCATCAACAGGTAAAAAATAAATTGTGGTATATACATATAATGGAATACCATTCAGCAATAAAAAAAAAAAAAAAAGCCACTGATATACACAACATGGATGAATCTCAAAATAATTATGCTGTATAAAAGAGCCAGACCAAAAAAAGCATATGAGCACATTCATATAAAACTCTAGAATACATACTAATCTGTAGTGACAGAAAGCAGATCAGTGGTTGCCTGGAGGGGATGGAGGAATGGAGAGGCAAGAGGAAGAGACTACCAAGGACCATAAAGAAACTTTCAGGGGTGATGGGTATGCGCTGTATCCTGATTACAGTGACAGCTTAATCTGCGTACACATCCGTCAAAGTTTATTGGCTGGGTGCGGTGACTCACTCCTATAATCCCAGCACTTTGGGAGGCCGAGGAGGATGGATCATTTGAGGTCAGCAGTTCAAGACCAGCCTCGCCAACAGGGTAAAACCCTGTCTCCACTAAAAATATAAAAATTCGCAGGGATTGGTGGCTCACACCTGTACTCCCAGCTACTCTGGACGCTATGGCAGGAGAATCACTTGAGCCCTCGAGGCGGAGATTGCAGTGAGCTGAGATCGCACCACTGTACTCCAGCCTAGGTGATAGAGACTCCATCTCAAAAAAAAAAAAAAAATCAATGTCAATGATACTTCAAAACAATATGCAGTTTTTTGGTGTTAATTATACCTCAATAAAGTTTTAAATAAAATGACTGAAACAATGAATAGCCATTGACAATTTTTAAGAAAATGAGTACAATTAAGTCTGTATTTCCGGAAAAAAAGGTAACACGGGTGGCAATGTAGAGGACAGAAGGGAGGTGAAAGAGACTAAAACAAGGATTTTAATCAGGAAGCTATTGCTAAAGTCCAGGTAATAAAACAAGAAAGATTACATAGGTCATTTAATGTCTTTTGGCCTCTATTTTCTTAACTGTAAAATAAGGGTACTACCTACATCACAGGGTTATTGTGAAGATCAAATAGAATACTATATATGAAAATGCTTTTGAGCTATAGAATAAAATACAGATATTAAAACACTATGATTAATACTGCAATTACAGACATATAATTATTTATTGTCCTTTCCTTCTAATATTATCATGGTATATCAGTGGTCTTCTAACTCCTAACCTGCTGTCAAATATATGGCCAGAGCTCTCTTTAGGTAGGTAAGTATCAGAACTTTCCCGGCCTACATGTGTATAGGAATACATTCATAAGAGCTACGTATTTAGTCCGAATCTGTTGAGAGCTCAAATCCTCCAGCCTCAAAGACAGAAGTTTAGCATTTATAGCCCCTGGGATCTCATTCCCTATATCATATATGGGTGTGATTACAGACAGGAGATAAAGCCTTTCCCCAGAGTGAAGGACTGAACCGTTTTTAAAACATTCATTCACCATCTCCTCACCCAACAGTCTTCAGAGTTTTGTTTCCAGCCTCATACCTCATCCATTGACATATCCCATACTCTGCAAATTTCATTCTCCATTTCTTCATCAAGCTCCGTCAGCTGCTCCTCATCATCTGAGCTAGATTTGGTGTTTTCAGGGCTAACAATCTTCAGAAACACAAAGAAAGAAAACATGAATAAAAGTTGTCTACAATACTAACCAGGTACCCAAATACAGCAGGTGATCAAATAACATTTCCTCGTAACGCTGATGAGAAAAAAATTTGATTCCTGGCCAGGGCCACTGTCTGTGTGGAGTTTGCATGTTCTCCCCAAGAGTGCATGAGTCTGTTCCAGGTACTTTAGTTTCCTCCTACATCCCCCAAATTTGCACATTAGCACAACGGGTATCTAAATGGTCCCAATCTGAGTGAGTGTGGGTGTGTGTGTACCTGTGATGGGATGGCATCCTGTCCAGGGCTGGTTTCTGCCTTGCACCTTGAACTGCTGGTACAGGCTCCAGCCACCCTCAACCCTGAACCAGAGCAAGTGGGTTGGGAAATGGATGAATACAAATTATTATAAAACAAAAATCTGTAAAGAAGACAATAACCATAGAGATGCGTGACAATAATTATGTGGTAGGAAAGTGCTCAGTAAGCCTGCCTTATTTGTTATTGTTTTTGGACTGTACAGTAGTAAGAGGTGATCATTTTTGCTTTGTAAACATTTATTCCTTGATTTAACACAATCAAAGAATAAAGGTTGTAGTGATAATCACTACAACCACCATCACTCACTAACTCACCAAAACTGGGTGAATAATTATCTTGTTTTTATTAACCTTTCCTAAACGTATTATAGCTCACATTTATCTCAATGTTTAATATTAGAAGTGTTTTAGGTCCTCATTTAGAAGTTTGGTGATGTTCTTGTGTCCAGAAATATGCCACAGGGACTTAACTCTTGTTTATATCAATTAGCTATGGTAAAATTGGTTTCATTATCAGTAATTTTGCTTACAGTCACAATTTCCAAGAACCTACTGATGTTAAGTGAGCACTTACTTTAATATTAACCCATAATCGTTTAGAAGTCACAAAGAGGCTATCAGCAAAGTATCTTCTCTTGCAAAAATCTTCTTTTAAAAATGTAGTACCTTGGGTAGATCTACTCTTTCAACATTCACAAAGTAAATACTGTTGCTAGGCACTGGGGTAGATATACAAAGACAAGTAAGATATAATCCCTTACATTTAAGCTTTTTTTTTTTTTTAACTTTTAGGATCTAGTGGGGAAAGACATGTAAAGGGATAGTCATATTAGAAAAGGCAAAGTGATTCAACTGAATTGTGGACAAAGAGTTCTGGTAGCAAAAACGATGGACCAATGACCTATTCCTAGGAGAAGATGGGGAACCTTCCCTTAGGTGCTGATATTTAAGCTAAATTTTAAAGGAAGAATAGTAGTTTGTCATGTGAAGAAGGAGAGAAGTGAGTATTCAGAGGAAAGCACAAGAGTTCAGAGTTAAGAAAGGGCCTAGCATGTTTGGGGATGGTGAACAGTTCAGAGTTGATGGAACACAGTGTATCATGAGAAGATGAGGCTGGAAAATGTACAAACAGCCCTGGATTCCAAACTTCAAGAAACATGCATTTTTCTCCCAGGCAAAAAGAACTAAGAGCAGTATCATGAATAGCCCTGTCTTTAAAGAAGATTATTCTGGCAGCTGTGTAGAAAATTGACTGGAGAGGATAGACAATAGGAGGAGAGGAACCAATTAGGGAAACATGGGGGGAAGAAAACACATTTACTGACAGCCTCCTATAAGCCAAACACCATGCTAAGCACTCTGTTGCCATTATAATCTCACTTAACCTACACAATAACCTTATATATAATATAAATATTATAATCCCATTTTATAGAAATTAAGGGACAAATAGAGGTTCTGAGCCGTTAGGTGACCTGCAGCTAGTGGGTAAGGAAGCTGCGTTTTTTGTTTTTTTGAGACAGGGTCTTACTCCGTCCCCCAGCCTGGAGTGCAGAAGCTGGATCATAGCTCACTGCAGCCTCCAACTTCAGGCTCAAGCGATCCTCCAGCCTCAGCCTCCTGAGTCGCTGGGACTACAGGCGTGCACCGTCACGACCGGCTTTTTTTTTTTTTTTTTTTTAAGTTTGTAGAAACCAGGTCTATGTTGCCCAGGCTGGTCTCAAACTCCTGGCTCAAGCGATCCTTCCGCCTCGGCCTCCCAAAGTGTTGGGATTACAGAGGTGAGCCACCGCGCCTGGTCAGAAGCCACGTTTTTAATATAAAAGTTGTATAACCCTAAAGTCACCATTTATTCTATTACAACGATAGTCCATGAAATACATAAATTAAGGACCTGGGCTTCAGAAATGACAGTGGGGATGGGGAGCAAAACCCGAGGAATGCAGTTACACGATCATGTATTTTTGGAGAACTTGGGAAAGCAAAATAGAACGGCAAGTATTTCAGCATCCCTACCATTATACTTCCCTTTGTGTCGAGAGACCCCGAGGGGGCCCAGATAGTTTTGGGGTCCGCAGCGGCCGGCGAAACGCAAGGAGCAAGGTCCCGCAGCGCACGCCTGGGGAGGGGTCTTTGTGGGGATGGCGGCTCCCGGGGCAGGAGGATTCGCCAGAGGCGGAGCCCCGGTGCCTGGGGGATGTAGGGACACCCCACGCGTGGCGCGAGTTTCCACACCTGGATGAGTCCGCTGAGGACGCCGAAGAGCCAGTGTTTGCTGTAGACCGTGCTCCCTATGCAGTCTCCACCGGCCACCTCCTCCTCCTCCTCCTTGTCGCGACCCGGCGGCGGCGGCGAGGGGTTGCGGTCCATGACTTTGTCGCGTCCCGCGCTTGAAGGCCGTGCCGGAAGCTGCGGAGGAGACGACCGGCGCCCTAGTGCCAGAGCGCCCGGCGTACCCGGTGGGACTCCCCCTACAGCGCCATCTGCTGTTCGGAGCCTGGCCAGCTGCCAAGGCGGCTTGACCTCCCCCACCCCATCCTATCGAGGACCCTGGCACGAACATACTCATAATTATTTGTCACCCTCACTGAATCAGGTGTTCCATTTCTCCAGGAGCTCTTAGACTGATTGAAGAAGGAAGGGTGGGGAGCAGTGAGGAAGCCTCAGGAACAGATGTGAATCTCAAAGCTAGCGGACTTATTCTATTCGCCTTCTGATCTATGTTGCCCAGGCTGGTCTCGAACTTCTGGCTCAAGCAATCCTTCTGCCTCGGCCTCCCAAAGTGTTGGGATTACAAACGTGAGCCACCGCGCCTGGTCAGAAGCCACTTTTTTTATATAAAAGTTGTATAACCCTAATAATATAATCCTCTGATCTCTGGCCACTGTTGCCATTCCTAAAAATATCCGTAGGGGAAGCTGGATGGCTTGTGAGGGATTCCAGGGATCCAAAGTGATTCGAAAAACTAAAGAGGCACCATTTGTCCCCATTGGAATGGCAGGTTTTGCAGTAGTTGCTGCATACGGATTATACAAATTGAAAAGCAGGGGAAATACTAAAATATCACGTCACCTGATCCACATGCGTGTGGCAGTCCAGCTTTGTTGTAGGAGCAATGACTGTTGGTATGGGCTATTCCATGTATCCGGATTTCTATGCAAAACTTAAACCTTAGAAGAAGAGATGTTGTCTTTGTCTTGTTGGAGGAGCTTGACTCATTAATGAGTCATCTCATTATTGAAGTTACATGTTTATGTTGAACATAAATTATTTGGGTAGGTTCAGATGATACTACGGTATTTTGAATAGTCGCTTCCTTTCGTGTAGGCTTGATTTGCCTGGTGACCAAATTATTAGTGACTAGTTCACTAACTAGATCATTCCGGGGAGCCAAGTTAACACACAAGAAACACGTCACCTAAATGCGCTTGATGGTGTTAAAATGTCCAACTTCTTAAACTGTTAAGATGAAATTAATACTAAGGAAGATAGCAGGCCAATCCTGAAGTACTCCCAGTTTGCTGCAGAATCTTGCATGTTTCGAATGTTAAGAGTCCAATTTACTCCAGTTAATTTAACTTTTTTTCTGTCTGTCTTGTGGACTGGTTGGCTCTTTTAGAACTCTTTAAAAAAAAGTGCATGAAATATAACTTGTAAAGCCTCCTACAACTGACAGTATTGTGTGCGTGTGTTTAAACCGAATCTAGAAACCTTACAACAGACCTGCATAGTATTAGTATTGATTAAAGAACCACAATTGTAAACATGAGAAAACCTTAATTATGGATTTCAGTTTAGCACTTTTGTAATTGCAGAATTACATTTTTGCTGCTGTTATATTAGAAGAATTTTTCAGTGTCATCTTGAAATAGAAATGTGTATTTTAAGCACCCATGCAAAGGTAAATGAAAAACACTTCTTTCTCCATAAGAATCGTAAACATTAAACTAAAAAAATTACCTATGATGGAATTGATTTACAAGTACCCACTTTGATTTAATGGAATTAAATTTATAGATGATATAAGCTACTTCCACATGAAATTTCAAAAATATCAATATAATGACCAAACAGGAATGGAGACATGAAATTATTTATTTATTTATTTATTTTATTTATTTTGAGACGGAGTCTCGCTGTCGCCCAGGCTGGAGTGCAGTGGCGCGATCTCGGCTCACTGCAGGCTCCGCCCCTTGGGGTTCCCGTCATTCTCCTGCCTCAGCCTTCAGAGTAGCTGGGACTACAGGCTCCCGCCACCTCGCCCGGCTAATTTTTTTTTTGTATTTTTAGTAGGGACGGGGTTTCACCGTGTTAGCCAGGATGGTCTCGATCTCCTGACCTCGTGATCCGCCCGCCTCGGCCTACCAAAGTGCTGGGATTACAGGCGCGGGCCACCGCGCCCGGCCGAAATTATTTAAAATAAAATGTCCACATGAATATTTTAAATACTCAGTCATAACTATATTAGAAAACATAATGAAGGTGTCCAATGTTTGCCTAGAATTACTGTGATACTTACGTCAAAGTCAAACAAAACATAGAGATGAATCTCTAAATTTAAAGCAATTGATTTAGAAAGTAAGAATTACAATTCAGGGCATACACACAGATGAGACAGGTGGGCGTCTTCAATATATCTGAAGTACAAAGAGAAGGTTGGGGCTTTTATAAAAAGGAGAAATGTTACACGTTGTTTTGAAAGAAATTTTATTGGTTTTAGTAAGGTTTGGGGGAGCTTGCAAGCTAGGATTGGTGAGAGATGGCAGCAGGTAAAATTAGTCTTAGAGTCACAGTAGGTTGTTTCAGCAGTTGTTAGATAAAACTGGTCTCCGTTTACAAGAGGCAGTTTCAGCAGTCAGGCTTGCAGAGAGTTACCTTTTTGGAGACAGAAGGTCTCCCTGTGTTGCTCAGGCTGGTCTCCAACTCCTGATCTCAAGTGATCCTCCCACCTCAGCCTCCAAAAGTGTTAAGATTACAGGCATGAGCAACCATACCCAGCTCATTTCTTTTATTTATTTTATTTTAATTAATTAATGTATTTATTTATCTTTTGAGATGGAGTCTCGCTCTGTCGCCCAGGCTGGAGTGCAGTGGCACGATCTCGGCTCACCGCAAGCTCCGCCTCCCGGGTTCACACCATTCTCCTGCCTCAGCCTCCCGAGTAGCTGGGACTACAAGTGCCCACCACCACGCCTGGCTAATATTCTTTGTATTTTTAGTAGAGACGGGGTTTCACCATGCTGGCCAGGATGGTCTCGATCTCCTGACCTCGTGATCCACCGCCTCGGCCTCCCAACTCATTTCTTTTATCATATACACACATATAGGTTATGTTTACCAACCATCATATTGATGTGAGTCCACAATTCAATACTTGCTGGTTTATGATATATAATTTATGTTAAATTTTGACATATACTCATGGTATATTATTTGTTTTATTCTTAATAAAATAAAAATGAGTTTTAAAAAGAAGAGGCCAGGACTGGGCGCGATGGCTCATGCCTATAATCCTAGCACTTTGGGAGGCTGAGGTGGGCTGATCACTTGAGGTCAGGAGTTCAAGACCAGCCTGGAAAACATGGAGAAACCTGGTCTCTACAAAAAATATGAAAATTAGCCAGGCATGGTTGCGCACACCTGTATTCCCAGCTGGGAAGATGGCTTGAGCCTGGGAGGTGGATGTTGCAGTGAGCTGAAATCGCACCGGTGCACTCCAGCCTGGGTGACAGAGTGAGATCCTGTCTCAAAAAAAAAAAAAAAAAAGAAAGAGGCCAGTCTAAAATTCATTTGTAAGTTGTTGGCATTACTGAGATAACCTCCCAATGTCTTCTCAACTTTTATTTGAGTCTGATACTCACAGCTAGGCTCCATGAGTTTTGTTTTTTTTCTTTTCTCTTTGGATCTCAGGTGCACAGAATTGGATTAATCATAATCCTTAGTTATTACACACTCTCCAATGTCATCAGTGTGCTAATCAAACAGAATTACATTTTATAACCAGAAAGCAGGTTTTTTTTCCTTTCTTTTTTTTTGTCCCAATATCTCTCACTTTGATCCTGAACACAAGTCAATTCATGCCTTCCCTAGTTACTCAAAGGTTATTGAAAGTACTGTACAGGCCAGGTACGGTGTTCTCATGCCTGTAATCTCAGCATTTTGGGAGGCTAAGGTGGGAGGATCACTTGAGCCCAGGAGTTCAAGACCAACCTGGGCAACATAGTAAGACCCTGTCTCTACAAATGTTCTTTTTAAAATTAGCCAGGTGTGGTGGGGAGCACCTGTAGTCCCAGCTACTCAGGAGGTTGAGGTGGGAGGGTAGCTTGAGCCCAAGAAGTTGAGACTGCAGTGAGTGGTGATCATGCCACTGCACTCCAACCTGGGCAACAGAGCAAGACTCTGTCTCAAATAACAAAACAAAACAAAACAAACAGTGTTATACAGGTAGTAATTTAAAGCCACAGGTTTGATGGCATTTAGTTTATCTCAAAATGGTAACTAGAAAGTCCAGGTCCAAGTCATGATTTGAAGCTTCCAATTCATTTAAAATGAAAATTTCTCTCCCCTTTCCTAGTTAAGCCCACTATAGATGGGTACTTCAGTCTGGAGGGGGGTGATGACTTTGTTTCCTTCCCTGCTTCCTCCTCCCACAGATAGACAGCTGCTCTTTCTGACCTCTCCCCGATTAGGGGGGAAGGATTGGAAGTGAGAGGGGAGGGAAAGGAAAATTCTTACTTGACTGGTGTTTTCATAAGATGGTTTCATGTTCTTTGGGCCCAGCAGGTGTTTGAAGCTGATTCTGTGTATGTGTGTTGTGGATTCTTCACATATACCACCTCCATCGCTGGAGACGCCTCTCCACAGCTCCCTTGAATAGCGATGCAACCTCCTCCATCTTGCTGGTTTTTTCTCAGCTCCTTATTGCTCCTCACACACACAGATTTGATATGAGATTCATAGATTACTAACTAGGGTAGCTCATGGAATACATTCATAGGAGCAGTGATTACATGAACTCATATGTGCAAGCGTGTTTTATAAGTTCTAAACTCCAATGCAATTGCTAGTTACAGCAAATGGTTCAGAATGTTGACTCTAGCATCAAACTAGCAGTGCAACTTGTGTATGTTATCTAAATTGTCTGTGCCTCACGTTTCCTGAGCTCTAAAATAAGGATAATTAAAGTGTGAGGATCCAGTGGATAACAGAAGAAATCACTTAGACCAGTGCCTGGCCCTTGGTCACCGCACCATGAATAGTAACTGTCATTCTACCACCTTTATCATGATCACACATTCTTTCACTGCCATTGACTCGTTTAGATGAGCTTGAAAATCAACCAGCAGGAGTACTGCCATATTAACCACTGACTCTGACAAGGATGGAACTGGATTCTCAAGAAGGCATGAACAAAGTGCTATAGAGGCATTCATTATTACCCCAGGGTAAGGATTTAGGAGCTGACAGATCTGATTCATTGAGAAGATGACATTTTACCCTGGCACGAACCAAGGAGTAGTCAAAAAGATAAGAGAAATAGCTTTGAAAGGTATTTCTTAGTACCATGGACAGGGACTGGTTGACACTGGGTTTGGGAAATGAAGTGGGGAAAGATTCCTGGGATTATGCCTTCGTGGCAGGGAAAGAGAACACTGAGGAATCCAGATTCCTGGGGGGAAGAAAAAAGGAAAGGACATAGCTGACTGGACAGAAAGGAGGCCTGGACATAGAGGGGCCTAGAAACAGTCCACTGTAACCAGAGATACTTGGGCCAGCAAGACCCAGGAGAGAGGATCCAACTTGGGAAATAAACTATGTGGAGTGTCTGAGAACACCCCTCTCCAAGAATCCAGGATTTTCTGGGATTATGAAAGGAATAACCTCAGGCTACACAGTGAACTTGGAGATGGTCACTGCTGGGGCCAATTCATTGTAACTCCAAGTACTTTTGCTTTTTTTTTTTTTTGCATCTTTATTTATTTCTTTCCTTCTTTCTAACTCTCTTCTTCCTTTCTTCATTTTTCCATTTCTTCTTTTCTTTCTTTTTAGAGACAGGGTGTTGCTCTGTTACCTGGGCTGGAGTGCAGTGGTGTGATCATAGCTCACTGCAACCTTGAGTTCCTGGGCTCAAGCTATCCTCTGGCTTCAGCTTCCCAAGCAGCTGGGATGATAGGTGCACATAACCACACCTGGCTGTTTTTTGTTTGTTTGTTTGTTTTTTGTTTTATAGAGATGGGGGCTTGCTATGTTGCCCAGGCTGGTCTCAAACTCCTGGCTTCAAGCAATCCTCCCGCATCAACCTCCCAAAGTGTTAGGATTACAGGCATCAGTCACCATGTCTGGCCCTTATTTGCCTTTTTGAAGGCATATTATTTGTCTACAAAACCATCTGGGCCTGCTGTTTTCTTTGTAAGAAGATTTAATCTCTTAAAATAATTACAGGCTAATCTAGATTCTCATTTCTTCTTTAGTCGGTATTTGTAAATTGTATTTTTCTATGATTTGTTGATTTTTAATTTAGTTTTAGGCTTCATTACTGAAGTTGTTCATAGGATTATCTTATTATCTTTTCTATTTTATGAACCATATAATTATAGGCTTATAGTTGGTCCATATTATGGTCCATACAATGTGGTCCATGTATAGATATAGTTTTCTCCCCAATTCCCACTATTGTGCATTAGTGCTTTATGTTTTAAAAAATAAAACAGTGATGTTTATTGGTCATCCCTATGGTACTAAACAGGCCCATGATCCCAGGAAGACTGTCATATTCTGCTTCCAGATTCCAATAACAAACTGGATTTCACAAGCATTTATTAAGCATTTTTATGTGTTCTATATCAAGTACTAGGGATATAGAATTCAGTAACTGTAGGTCAACAAATGTCCCTGCCCTCAGGGGCTCACAGCCAGGTCTCCTGAGAGCAGATTGAAAAGGAAGCTCAGTATTTCTCTGGCAGGCCAGCAGGTCGGAAGTGATTGGGGTCTTTGCCACTCTGGCCCCATTTGTTGGTAGCCTGGCCAGCCAGCGAATCCTCTGCATGGTCTCCTGTGAGTCTCTGGACGTTCTCTCTGGCATCGCTGTAGTCCAGGCAAGCAAGGAGATTAATCACCAGGCCAGTGAGCAACAGCCCACCTTCCCATTCTCTGCTTTCCAAGGGAGGACTCTGGGAGAAGCCCAGGAAGGCCAAGGAAGGAGGGGTGAAAACAATGACCCTGCCTGGGCACTGCCCCACTCAGCCAGGCTGGGCACCCCTAGGCTGGATGAACAGCACCCAGAGAGGGAGGGTGAGGAATCACTCACTTCTACCATCCACTCAGACCCTCGCACTAAGCACACAGGCAGAGAGAGGGCAAGAGGAGGAGGGGCTGCAGCCTCTAACTTCTCTGCAAGGAGCTTACCTCTCTCCTGACTGTCCAAGGCAGTCAAGCTCTGCTCACTCATTCCTGGCAACATCAGGAATGTGCATTACCTGATCACTTCTGTAGCCCAGACAGCCCCAAGCCCCCTTTGTACAGCATCATAGTTCCCCCAAGCATGGAAGTATTTGTCTGAATTTTTTGTAATTGGCTTCTTTCATGTCAGAGTAGGCTTTCCACATGTCTTTAGTCCCTGGAAAGGAAAGAAAATGATCAAAACAATTATATACTGGGAAAATAGAGGAATGAACAGTTTTCTTCTCACTACTTTCCTCCCGAAGATTTCAGCCTTCAACAAAGCCCTTGGAAATTATATTGGCTTGAAATAAATATTCTTCTACTTTTCACTTCTCTGGGTTAATGTAATGAGAATTGTACTTGGTGTAAGTTTCATTCTGTTTGATTCCATTCTAAGTTCTGTTATTACTTTGTTTTAACCATGTGTGATGCACCTAAAGAAGAGATGAAATGGTCCTTAAGGGATGTTTCATTGTACAATGAACTTCTACCTGGAAGGACCCAGGGAACCCTCAGTTCCCTGGTGTGAGAACACAGGGGATTCTGAGGGAGGCTGCAGACATATGGCGCTCCTAACCTAGTCAATGAGAGAAATTCATGCCTGTAGGTAGAGTGAGGACAACTTGGTCCTGAATACATCTGAATGTCCAGGCTATAATTAGAAACTGACATCTGTCAGAATTCAGTCAGCAAGTGATAAAGGTGAGTTACCTAAGAAAGCTTTATACTACTGGGTAATCAAATTCAGAAAAAGGACAACTGACCCACTAGTTCAGAACCTCAATGTCCTCCCCAATGAAATGGAGGAGTATTGCCTGCCTCACAGTGATTATGCAGAAGAGCAGAGAAAATACATGTATGATGTCTAGAACATTGTAGGTGGCCAATATATTATCATTTCACTTCTCTGGTCCTTAGGAAAGGTGGCATAAGAAAAAAGAAGGGCTAAACTAAGATGAGGAGCAGGGAGTTACGGACTGAAGGGATCTGATCAAGCTAGAATTAAGTGACGAAGATTTTTTAGAAAATTAACTGATTACGGAAAAGGGGGAACTCAAATATAGAGTTATAATCATGGTTTATATAATTTCTCTATTAGATAACTCATCTTCATTTTATGCATTTATTACTCCTGGTGTTAAATTGATTGCTTTTATTGAGAGTTTATGACATTTTTACTCTACTTATTCCTCTGAGTTACTGACTTAAATGGCTCCTTGATGTTCAGATTGGCTTAATAAGTACTTCCAAAATTCCTGGCACATTTTATCACTTTCAGCAGCAAAACAAGAGGTAGTGGTTCTCAACCTTTGCTGTGCATAAAAATCTACCGAGGTGCTTAGCAAAGGCAAGATTTCTAGGCTCTGTCCCAAGAGACTGTGGCTGCTGGGGGCAGGGGGTAGGGTATGGACCCGGGAATCTTCATTTCATTTCACAAAGCATCCCAGAATCCAGGTGATTCTCACGCAAGTGGTCCCAGAACAACCCTTTGAAAAATATTAACCTAAGGAATGAAAGATATTTGTAGTTGAGTGTGTGAACATGTAAATAGGATTAAAAGCAAATCCTTAAAACCATTTTTCAGAGACTCAGAAAAATAATAATACCTGAAATTTAAAATACTGCATTCTGAAAACAAAATTTTGCCACTTTATTATGGCTAGTGGGGTATATTTCTCCCTCTCTCTCTCTCTCTGTCTCTCTAGATGGAGTCTTGCTCTGTCTCCTAGGCTGGAGTGCAGTGGTGTGATCACAGCTCACTGCAACCTCTGCCTCCTGAGTTCAAGCAATTCTTCTCCCTCAGCCTCCCGAGAGGCTGGGATTATAGGCGCATGCCACCACACCCGGCTAATTTCTGTATTTTTAGTAGAGACAGGATTTCGCCATGTTGGCCAGGCTGGTCTCGAACTCTTGACCTCAGGTGATCTGCCCACCTCAGCCTCCCAAAGTGCTGGGATTACAGGTGTGAGCCACTGTGCCCAGCCCTCGGGGTATATTTCTCTTGCTAGCAGTTTCCTGGCCATATATAAGCCCCAGTAGAACCACCATCAAGGTAATTCACTGTAGGTTTTACTGGGATAAGTGGAGCTAGACTTACCTTCCAAAGGCACCACATCCTATTTGCCATTTCTTAGATAAAGGATGAGCTATGTGTTCACAAATCCGAAACTCTTGTTTTGAAAGCAGCAGAGTACCTTGATTAAGAGCAAGTTCTGCAGAGCAAGACTGCCTGGGTTAATCCTGCTCTGCTTTGGAACTTCTTTACGTATCTTGGGGTTTGTGTGTGTGTGTGTGTGTGTGTGTGTGTTAGTGTGTGTGTGTGTGTGTGTGTGTTAGCTTCTCTGTTAAGGGATAATGCTGCTTGCATCATAGGACTAAATGATGGAAACCAATTCATTAGTACATTTAAACAGTGCCTAGTACGTATTAAAATCTCAGCTAAGCTTGGTTGTTTTTATGGGGACGGTTGGCTCCGTTCAGCTTCCCCATGGACTCGCCTCACACTTTTGATCCACCTGCTTCCTGGCTTCCCAGGAGACATAGACATGAACTGTCCCAGATTTCCCACTAGGGGGCAGTAGAGCCCCACCGGTATTATGGGAACATGCACCCCTCAACTCCACATCTCTCTCATGGTCCTGCTGAAAAGAGGCAGCTCACACCTTATGCGACCTCGGCTGGAGGATCCTCATAGAAGAGTGTCAAAGCTGTCCAGAAAAGCATGAGGAACCACGCTTATGAAAAACCATGCCCCTTCTCTATCCATCTGTGGCATCACTAGCACCTTTGCCCAGTGGGGATGTGGCCTCTGCTCAGCTGCATCCTGGGGGCAGCCAGAAGCAGCCTCCTGCCCCCTATCCTGTGGACCTCACCTTGGCCAGCTGCCTTGAGGAATGTTAACCATCCTTGGCTGCTGACACCCAGGACCAGGGAGCAGAAAATGATGCCAGTGGAGAGCTTCATCCTGCTGCAGGGCCAAGGAAACACAACCAAGGATAATACACATTCTGTTTCAAGTTTTTATTTTTTGTAATGTTAGTCCATTCTTTCATTCCAAGAAAAAAACCCACTCGGTTTTACACACGCACACACACACACACACACACACACACAGGTGTATGTGTATAGATAAAAGATAGAAGGTCAGAGGGTCTACGTCTCCATTTCCATTTGTCTCATTGGAATCCCAGTATCTGACAGAAGAGGAGCAGTGACCCAGGATAAAGCAAATAGACAAAAGTCACACCATGTTTGAGAATCATTATTTTAGATTAGAGCCTGCCAAAATTAGGAATTATGCCTCTTTCTGGGTTCTGAGCATATTTTAGGCACAGTAAAATGAAAGTTATAAGGCAGATAGCTGTCAGAGGATTTCCCTGTCCCTTTGGTTCTTATCTAAGGCAATGCTAAGCAACATTTGAATATTCCCTACACAACTTCCATTCCTTGGAAAAGGTGGGATTCCCTGTGGTCAGTGTAGTATCTGAGCTGGCGTGGCTCACTTGGTCCCAGGAGTAGACAGTAGAAGAGGGGGAAGAGGAGGGGAGTTGTCAACCATCCACAGCCACTGGTCATGGTGTACTTGGAGGAGCTGCTTCATAAAGCAGGGCATGTGATGTCCAGACCTCCTTTTTCCTACTCTTCTTCAGGCAGAAATTGAGGGCCAATGATCACATCCTGTCACAATTATTTTACTCCCTTTGGAACCATTCAATGCTGGAAATCTACTTTCTCGTTTTATTCAAGTCATTCTCTTCTTTGATAGAAGTTGATATGGTTTGGATCTGTGTCCCCACCCAAATTTCATGTTCAATTGTAATTCCCAATGTTGGGAGTGGAGCCTAGAGGGCGGTGATTGAATCAGGAAGGCTGTTTCTCATGAAAGGTTTAACAGCATCCCCCTTGGTACTGTCGTCGTGATAGTGAGTGAATTCTTTTGAGATCTGGTTATTTAAAAGTGTGCAGTACCTCCCCCCTCACTCTCTTTTGTCCTTGCTCCCACCATATGAGATGCCTCACTCCCGCTCTGCCTTTGCCATATTGAAAGTTTCCTGAGGCTTCCCCAGAAGCAGAAGCCACTATGCTTCCTGTACAGACTAAAGAACCATGAACCAATATAACCTCTTTTCTTTATAAAGTACCCAGTTTCAGTCATTTCTTTATGGCAGTATGAGAACGGACTAATACAGAAGTATTAGAAAGCAAGTGGCGTGGAGACACTGGCTCATGCTTATAATACCAGCACTTTGGGAGGCTGAGGCAGAAGGATCACTCGAGGCCAGGAACTCAAGACCAACCTGGGAAACATAGCAAGACCCCATCTCCACTATATATCTGTATATATATTTTTTAAATTAGCGGGGTGTGGTAGTATGCACCTGTGGTCCCAGCTACTCAGGAGGCTGAGGCAGGAGGACTGCTTGAGCCCAGGAGTTGGAGGCTATGGTGAGCCATAATCACACCACTGCACTCTAGCCTGGGTGACAAAGTGACACACTGACTCACAGGAAAAAGAGCAAGAAAGCGAGTATGATTTCTAGATACCAAGAGGAACTCCTCACAGGGACTTTGACAAGCCTTGCCTGTTTTCTTCCTTTGTTACTTAATGTATTCTGCCTTCCGGGAAGGTACACGCAGTTTCTTATGGTGCCAAGCTGAGAATAATAGACAATAACGGCAGTCAGTTCTTTTCACTTGTTTCTCCTGAAAAAGAAAGATTTCCTGTCATGATATCAGAGTCCCCAGGCCTTAAAGGGATTTTCCAACAGTCTCTTACAAGTGACTACGTGTGCTGGTTTGCATGAGATCAGTGTCTATTGTCCAAGCTTAATAGTGGCACATCTTTTCATTGTCTACAATGGCCTGGATTGAACAGTAAATCAGATGGTAGCACTACTCTGATAACCTTGTGTGACCAGGCTGATTGAGAGGCCCAAGACACCTCCATTCTTTTAAGTTACAATTAATTTAAGTAGAAGAGGAGAATACTAAGGCTTAATTCTATTAGGAATTAGAAAAACAAAAATCAGAAAAGCCCAAAAGTCCACAGGTATCATGACTAAGAATGACATCTCAGACCTAAGCCCCAGTCTTAGAAGACCAGCGGGAAGAACTTTATATTCCCTAAATATAAAATGAAGAAAATAATGATACAAAATCACTACCCTCAAAAAATTCACATTTAATGAATCCTAGTTACCAGAATAGTAGATATAGGAAGGATGCAGAAAAATACAACTCCCTTGTAGGGTTGTTGTGAGGATTAAATGATTAATGCTGACAGGGACTTGGGTTAATTCTGGGCACGTGTAAAGCATTTAATTAATTTTAGAGCTTCCACCTTAACCAAGAAAACGCATAATAATTTATATTTTCCAGGAGACAGAAATATTAATTACAATATTGTTACCAAGGCAACCTATTATTAAGACATTAGTAAGTAAGATTACCAATTAGAACTACAGTTATAAGGACCAAGGTTTATTTTCACATAGTGTCAGAGACGTTTGAACCAGAGCGACTCTATTTGGCATGAGGGCTAGGAAAATGAGGCTGAGATTGCTAGGCTGCGTGCTCAGAAAGTTAGGCATTCCTAACCTCTAGATGTTTACAGTTAAGGGAACAAATTCGTAATGTTTACTAAACAGACCCAGACTTGGGAGTGTGCAAATATCCCAATATTTGGAGAACAAAGACATTCCTAATTTTTCTTTGAAGATAATAACATTGGCCGGGCGCGGTGGCTCACGCCTGTAATCCCAGCAATTTTGAAGGCCCAGGTGGGTGGATCACGAGGTCAGGAGTTCGAGAGCAGCCTGGGCAAAATGGTGAAACCCCATCTCTACTAAAAATACAAAAAGCAAAATTAGCTGAGTGTGGTGGCACGCGCTTGTAGTCCGAGCTACTTGGGAGGCTGAAGCAGGAGAATTGCTTGAATCCAGGAGGTGGAGGTTGCAGTGAGCCGTGATTGTGCCACTGCACTCCAGCGTGGGTGACAGAGTGAGACTCCATCTCAAAAAAAAAAAAAAAGATAATAATATTGATTCTTGCAAAATATAGTAATTAAGAAAACAGGGCTGGGTGCGGGGGCTCACGCCTGTAATCCCAGCACTTCGGGAGGCCAAGGCGGTGGATCACCTGAGGTCAGGAATTCAAGACCAACCTGCCCAACATGGCAAAACCCTGTCTTTACTAAAAATACAAAAATTAGCTGTGCGTGGTGGTGGGCACCTGTAATCCCAGCTACTTGGGAGGCTGAGGCAGGAGAATCGCTTGAACTTGGTGGGCAGAGGTTGCAGCGAGCTGAGATTGTGCCACTTCACTACAGCCTAGGCAACAAAGCAAGACTTTGTCTCAAAAAAAAAAAAAAAAGAAAGAAAGAAAGAAAAGAAAAAGAAAAAGAAAAGAAGAAATCTGTTATCACAAACCCTTGTAGCAGAACACATCTCCCCATGTATACAAGCAATTGTGCCTAGGGTGGACACGTTCCTTTTCTGACTTTCAGGAACGTTCTACTCTGTCTATGGAGTAGCTGTCCTTTTGTCACTTTACTTTCTTAATAAATGTGCTTTTACTTTGCACTGTGGACTCGCCCTGAATTCTTTCTTGTGCAAGATCCAAGAACCCTCTCTTGGGGGTCTGGATCCTGAGCCCTGTCCTGTAACAATAGGACATAAAATCATCTTTGAAGTCTGGGTGAAAGACTTGAAAGAAAAATCTTTCGGTAATCTCACGAGTCAGCTAGGGAAAAGGTGCTGAGGCTGAACTCCATCAGACACACACGCTGGGTGGTCAGTGGTATGGAATTTCTGGGTTCTTGCCCTACCTCTCTGCTTCTAGCCAGTGATGTGATTTTGGGAAGGTCTCTCCATCTCCAAAAGGCTCAGTTTTCTGAGCCTTTTAGATCTATTAAATCACTGGAGTAGACTACAGTATATAATGTTTTTAGTCCCTATTTCTTCTACCGTTTTCTCTCTCTCTTTCTTTCTTTCTTTCTTTTTTTTCTTTTCCTTTTTCTTTCTTTCTTTTTTTTTTTTTTTGAGACAGGGTTTTGCTATGTTGCCCAGGCTGGTCTCAAACCCCTGGGCACAAAGTGATCCTCCTACCTTGGCTTTCCAAAGCGCTGCAATTACAGGCATGAGCCACCATGCCTGGCCTTTTTCTAATTTTTTTTTTAATTGAGGTGAAATTCACCAAATATAAAATTAATTATTTTAAAGTTTACAATTCGGGGTATTTAGTTAATTCATAATGTTATACCCACCTCTATCTAGTTCCAAAACATTTTCATCACCACAAAAGAAAATCCTGGACTTCCCTCTCCCTCTCCCTCTCCCTCTCCCTCCTCTCCCTCTCCCTCCTCTCCCTCTCCCCACGGTCTCCCTCTAATGCCGAGCCGAAGCTGGACTGTACTGCCGCCATCTCGGCTCACTGCAACCTCCCTGCCTGATTCTCCTGCCTCAGCCTGCCGAGTGCCTGCGATTGCAGGCGCACGCCGCCACGCCTGACTGGTTTTCGTATTTTTTTGGTGGAGACGGGGTTTCGCTGTGTTGGCCGGGCTGGCCTCCAGCTCCTAACCGCGAGTGATCCGCCAGCCTCGGCCTCCGGAGGTGCCGGGATTGCAGACGGTGTCTGGTTCACTCAGTGCTCAATGGTGCCCAGGCTGGAGTGCAGTGGCGTGATCTCGGCTCGGTACAACCTTCCACCTCCCCAGCCGCTGCCTTGGCCTCCCAAAGTGCCGAGATTGCAGCCTCTGCCCGGCCGCCACCCCTTCTAGGAAGTGAGGAGCGTCTCTGCCTGGCCGCCCATCGTCTGGGATGTTAGGAGCCCCTCTGCCTGGCTGCCCAGTCTGGAAAGTGAGGAGCGTCTTTGCCCGGCCGCCATCCCATCTAGGAAGTGAGGAGCGCCTCTTCCCGGCCGCCATCCCATCTAGGAAGTGAGGAGCGTCTCTGCCCGGCCGCCCATCGTCTGAGATGTGGGGAGTGCCTTTGCCCCGCCGCCCCGTCTGGGATGTGAGGAGCGCCTCTGCCCGGTCGCGACCCCGTCTGGGAGGTGAGGAGCGTCTCTGCCCAGCCGCCCCATCTGAGAAGGGAGGAGACCCTCCACCTGGCAACCGCCCCGTTTGAGAAGTGAGGAGCCCCTCCGCCCGGCAGCCACCCCGTCTGGGAAGTGAGGAGCGTCTCCGCCCGGCAGCCGCCCTGTCCGGGAGGGAGGTGGGGGTCAGCCCCCCGCCTGGCCAGCCGCCCCGTCCGGGAGGTGAGGGGCGCCACTGCCCAGCTGCCCCTACTGGGAAGTGAGGAGCCCCTCTGCCAGGCCACACGCTCCGACCGGGAGGGAGGTGGGGGGGTTAGCCCCCCGCCCGGCCAGCCGCCCCGTCTGGGAGGTGTGCCCAACAGCTCATTGAGAACGGGCCAGGATGACAATGGCGCCTTTGTGGAATAGAAAGGCGGGAAAGGTGGGGAAAAGATTGAGAAATCGGATGGTTGCCGTGTCTGTGTGGAAAGAAGTAGACATGGGAGACTTTTCATTTTGTTCTGTACAAAGAAAGATTCTTCTGCCTTGGGATCCTGTTGATCTGTGACCTTACCCCCAACCCTGTGCTCTCTGAAACATGTGCTGTGTCCACTCAGGGTTAAATGGATTAAGGGCGGTGAAAGATGTGCTTTGTTAAACAGACGCTTGAAGGCAGCATGCTCGTTAAGAGTCATCACCACTCCCTAATCTCAAGTACCCAGGGACACAAACACTGCGGAAGGCCTCAGGGTCCTCTGCCTAGGAAAACCAGAGACCTTTGTTCACTTGTTTATCTGCTGACCTTCCCTCCACTATTGTCCTATGACCCTGCCAAATCCCTCTCTGTGAGAAACACCCAAGAATGATCAATAAAAATAAAATTTAAAAAAAAAGAAAAAAAGAAAAAAAAAAAAGAAAAATCTTTCAAGATTTTTTTTTGTTAGAAATAACTGTTGCAAGGATATGTTTATGATGCAAAAAAAACTGCATTGCTTGCATGCAAAAAAATCTGCATTGCAAAAAAACCTGCATTGCTTGCAGCTGCAAGAGATAACATTCCTTCAAACCTTGCTGAGACTTTTTTTTTATTATTATACTTTAAGTTCTAGGGTACATGTGCACAACATGGAGGTTTGTTACATAGATATACATGTGCCATGCTGGTTTGCTGCACTCATTAACTTGTCATTTACATTAGGTATTTCTCCTAATGCTATCCCTCCCACGACAGGCCCCAGGGTGGGATGTTCCCTGCCCTGTGTCCAAGTGTTCTCATTGTTCAATTCCCACCTGTGAGTGAGAATATGTGGTGTTTGGTTTTCTGTCCTTGTGATACTTTGCTCAGAATGATGGTTTCCAGCCCCATCCACGTCCCTGCAAAGGACATGAACTCATCAATTTTTTGGCTGCATAGTATTCCATGGTGTATATGTGCCACATTTTCTTCATCCAGTCTATCATTTTTGGATCTTTGGGTTGGTTCCAAGTCTTTGCTATTGTGAATAGTGCCACAATAAACATACGTGTGCATGTGTCTTTATAGCAGGGTGATTTATAATCCTTTGGGTATATACCCAGTAATGGGATGGCTGGGTCAAATGGTATTTCTAGTCCTAGATCCTTGAGGAATCGCCACACTCTCTTCCACAATGGTTGAACTAGTTTACACTCCCACCAACAGTGTAAAAGCTTTCCTGTTTCTCCACATCCTCTCCAGCATCTGTTGTTTCCTGACTTTTTAATGATTGCCATTCTAACTGGTGTGAGATGGTATCTCATTGTGGTTTTGATTTGCATTTCTCTGATGGCCAGTGATGGTGAGCATTTTTTCATGTGTCTTTTGGCTGCATAAATGTCTTCTTTTGAGAAGTGTCTGTTCATATCCTTTGCCCACTTTTTGATGGGGTTGTTTGTTTTTTTCTTGTAAATTTGTTGGAGTTCATTGTAGATTCTGGATATTAGCCCTTTGTCAGATGAGTAGATTGCAAAAATTTTCTCCCATTCTGTAGGTTGCCTGTTTGCTCTGATGGTAGTTTATTTTGCTGTGCAGAAGCTCTTTAGTTTCATTAGATCCCATTTGTCAATTTTGGCTTTTGTTGCCATTGCTTTTGGTGTTTTAGACACGAAGTCCTTGCCCATGCCTATGTCCCGAATGGTATTGCCTAGGTTTTCTTCTAGGGTTTTTATGGTTTCAGGTCTAACATTTAAGTCTTTAATCCATCTTGAATTAATTTTTGTGTAAGGTGTAAGGAAGGGATCCAGTTTCAGCTTTCTACATATGGCTAGCCAGTTTTCCCAGCACCATTTATTAAATAGGGAATCCTTTCCCCATTGCTTGTTTTTGTCAGGTTTGTCAAATATCAGATAGTCGTAGATATGTGGCATTATTTCTGAGGGCTCTGTTCTGTTCCATTGGTCTATATCTCTGTTTTGGTACCAGTACCATGCTGTTTTGGTTACTGTAGCCTTGTAGTATAGTTTGAAGTCAGGTAGTGTGATGCCTCCAGCTTTGTTCTTTTGGCTTAGGATTGACTTGGCAACGCGGGCTCTTTTTTGCTTCCATATGAATTTTAAAGTAGTTTTTTCCAATTCTGTGAAGAAAGGCATTGGTAGCTTGATGGGGATGGCATTGAATCTATAAATTACCTTGGGCAGTATGGCCATTTTCACGATATTGCTTCTTCCTACCCATGAGCATGGAATGTTCTTCCATTTGTTTGTATCCTCTTTTATTTCATTGAGCAGTGGTTTGTAGTTCTCCTTGAAGAGGTCCCTCACATCCCTTGTAAGCTGGATTCCTAGGTTCTTTATTCTCTTTGAAGCAATTGTGAATAGGAGTTCACTCATTATTTGGCTCTCTGTTTGTCTGTTATTGGTGTACAAGAATGCTCTTGATTTTTGCACATTGATTTTGTATCCTGAGACTTTGCTGAATTTGCTTATCAGCTTAAGGAGATTTTGGGCTGAGACGATGAGGTTTTCTAAATATACAATCATGTCATCTGCAAACAGGGACAGTTTGACTTCCTCTTTTCCTAATTGAATACCCTTTATTTCCTTCTCCTGCCTGATTGCCCTAGCCAGAACTTCCAACACTATGTTGAATAGGAGTGGTGAGAGAGGGCATCCCTGTCTTGTGCCAGTTTTCAAAGGGAAAGCTTCCAGTTTTTGCCCATTCAGTATGATATTGGCTGTGGGTTTGTCATAGATAGCTCTTATTATTTTGAGATACGTCCCATCAATACCTAATTTATTGAGAGTTTTTAGCATGAAGGTTGTTGAATTTTGTCAAAGGCCTTTTCTGCATCTATTGAGATAATCATGTGGTTTTTGTCTTTGGTTCTGTTTATATGCTGGATTATGTTTATTGATTTGCGTGTGTTGAACCAGCCTTGCATCCCAGGGATGAAGCCCACTTGATCATGGTGAGTAAGCTTTTTGATGTGCTGCTGGATTCAGTTTGCCAGTATTTTATTGAGGATTTTTGCATCGATATTCATCAGGGATATTGGTCTAAAATTCTCTTTTTTTGTTGTGTCTCTGCCAGGCTTTGGTATCAGGATGATGCTGGCCTCATAAAATGAGTTAGGGAGGATTCCCTCTTTTTCTATTGATTGGAATAATTTCAGAAGGAATGGTACCAGCTCCTCCTTGTACCTCTGGTAGAATTCGGCTGTGAATTCATCTGGTCCTGGACTTCTTTTGGTTGGTAAGATGTTAATTATTACCTCAATTTCAGAGCCTGTTACTGGTCTATTCAGAGATTCAACTTCTTCTTCGTTTAGTCTTGAGAGTGTATATGTGTCGAGGAATTTATCCATTTCTTCTAGATTTTCTAGTTTATTTGCATAGAGGTGTTTATAGTATTCTCTGATGGTAGTTTGTATTTCTGTGGGATCGATGGTGATATTCCCTTTATCATTTTTTATTGCATCTATTTGATTCTTCTCTCTTTTCTTCTTTATTAGTCTTGCTAGCGGTCTATCAATTTTGTTGATCTTTTCAAAAAAACAGCTCCTGGATTCATTGATTTTTTGAAGGGTTTTTTGTGTCTCTATCTCCTTCAGTTCTACTCTGATCTTAGTTATTTCTTGCTTTCTGCTAGCTTTTGAATGTGTTTGCTCTTGCTTCTCTAGTTCTTTGAATTGTGATGTTAGGGTGTCAATTTTAGATCTTTCCTGCTTTCTCTTGTAGGCATTTAGTGCTATAAATTTCCCTCTACACACTGCTTTGGGTGTGTCCCAGAGATTCTGGTATGTTGTGTCTTTGTTCTCGTTGGTTTCAAAGAACATATTTATTTCTGCCTTCATTTCGTTATGTACCCAGTAGTCATTCAGGAGCAGGTTGTTCAGTTTCCATGTAGTTGAGCGTTTTTGAGTGAGATTCTTAATCTTGAGTTCTAATTTGATTGCACTGTGGTCTAAGAGAGAGTTTGTCGTGATTTCTCTCTTTTACTTTTGCTGAGGAGTGTTTTACTTCCAATTATGTGGTCAATTTTAGAATAGGTGTGATGTGGTGCTGAGAAGAATGTATATTCTGTTGATTTGGGGTGGAGAGTTCTGTAGATGTCTATTAGGTCCGCTTGGTTCAGAGCTGAGTTCAAGTCTTGGATATCCTTGTTAATTTTCTGTCTTGTTGATCTATCTAATATTGACAGTGGGGTATTAAAGTCTCCCATTATTATTGTGTGGGAGTCTAAGTCTCTTTGTAGGTCTCTAAGGACTTGCTTTATGAATCTGGGTGCTCCTGTATTGGGTGCATATATGTTTAGGATAGTTAGCTCTTCTTGTTGAATTGATCCCTTTACCATTATGTAATGGCCTTCTTTGTCTCTTTTGATCTTTGTTGGTTTAAAGTCTGTTTTATCAGAGACTAGAATTGCAACCCCTGCTTTTTTTGTTTTCTTTCCATTTGCTTGGTAGAGCTTCCTCCATCCCTTTATTTTGAGCCTATCTGTGTCTCTGCACATTGAGATGGGTTTCCTGAATATAGCACACTGATGGGTCTTGACTCTTTATCCAATTTGCCAGTCTGTGTCTTTTAATTGGAGCATTTAGCCCATTTAAATTTAAGGTTAATATTGTTACATGTGAATTTGATCCTGTCATTATGATGTTAGCTGTTAATTTTGCTCATTAGTTGATGCAGTTTCTTCCTAACATTGATGGTCTTTACAACTGGCATGTTTTTGCAGTGGCTGGTACTGGTTGTTCCTTTCCATGTTTAGTGCTTCCTTCAGGAGCTCTTTTAGGGCAGTCCTGGTGGTGCCAAAATCTCTCAGCATTTGCTTGTCTGTAAAGGATTTTATTTCTCCTTCACTTATGAAGCTTAGTTTGGCTGGATATGAAATTCGGGGTTGAAAATTCTTTTCTTTTCTTTTTTTATTATTAAGTTTTAGGGTACATGTGCACAATGTGCAGGTTTGTTACATATGTATACAGGTACCATGATGGTGTGCTGCACCCATTAACTCGTCATTTAGCATTAGGTATATCTCCTAATGCTATCCCTCCCCCTTCCCCCACCCCACAACCGTTCCCAGTGTGTGATGTTCCCCTTCCTGTGTCCATGTGTTCTCATTGTTCAATTCCCACCTATGAGTGAGAATATGCGGTGTTTGGTTTTTTGTCTTTGCGATAGTTTGCTGAGAATGATGGTTTCCAGCTTCATCCATGTCCCTACAAAGGACATGAACTCATCGTTTTTTATGGCTGCATAGTATTCCATGGTGTATATGTGCCACGTTTTCTTAATCCAGTCTATCATTGTTGGACATTTGGGTTGGTTCCAAGTCTTTGCTATTGTGAATAGTGCCACAATAAACATATGTGTGCATGTGTCTTTATAGCAGCGTGATTTATAATCCTTTGGGAATATACCCAGTAATGAGATGGCTGGGCCAAATGGTATTTCTAGTCCTAGATCCCTGAGGAATTGCCACACTGACTTCTTTAAGAATGTTGAATATTGGCCCCCACTCTCTTCTGGCTTGTGGAGTTTCTGCCGAGAGATCCACTGTTATTCTGATGGGCTTCCCTTTGTGGGTAACCTGACCTTTCTCTCTGGCTGCCCTTAACATTTTTTCCTACATTTCAACTTTGGTGAATCTGACAATTATGTGTCTTGGAGTTGCTCTTCTCGAGGAGTATCTTTGTGGCATTCTCTGTATTTCCTGAATCTGAATGTTGGCCTGCCTTGCTAGATTGGGGAAGTTCTCCTGGATAATATCCTGCAGAGTGTTTTCCAGCTTGGTTCCATTCTCCCCGTCACTTTCAGATACACCAATCAGACGTAGATTTGGTCTTTTTACATAGTCCCATATTTCTTGGAGGCTTTGTTCCTTTCTTTTCATTCTTTTTTCTCTAAACTTCTCTTCTTGCTTCATTTCATTCATTTGATCTTCCATCACTGATACCCTTTCTTCCAGTTGATCGAATCAGCTACTGAGGCTTGTGCATTCATCATGTAGTTCTCGTGCCGTGGTTTTCAGCTCCATCAGGTCCTTTAAGGACTTCTCTGCATTGGTTATTCTAGTTAGCCATTCATCTAATCTTTTTTCAAGGTTTTTAACTTCTTTGCCATGGGTTCGAACTTCTTCCTTTAGCTCGGAGTAGTTTGATCGTCTGAAGGCTTCTTCTCTCAACTTGTCAAAGTCATTCTCCGTCCAGCTTTGTTTCATTGCTCGTGAGGAGCTGCATTCCTTTGGAGGAGGAGAGGTGCTCTGATTTTTAGAATTTTCTGTTTTTCTGCTCTGTTTTTTCCCCATCTTTGTGGTTTTATCTGCCTTTGGTCTTTGATCATGGTGATATACAGATGGGGTTTTGGTGTGGATGTCCTTTCTGTTTGTTAGTTTTCCTTCTAACAGTCAGGACCCTCAGCTGCAGATCTGTTGGAGTTTGCTGGAGGTCCACTCCAGACCCTGTTTGCCTGAGTATCAGCAGCGGAGGCTGCAGAACAGTGGATACTGGTGAACAGCAAATGTTGCTGCCTGATCGTTCCTCTGGAAGTTTTGTCTCAGAGGAGTACCTGGCCATGTGAGGTGTCAGTCTGCCCCTACTGGGGGTGCCTCCCAGATAGGGAATCAGGGGGTCATGGGGTCAGGGACTCACTTGAGGAGGCAGTCTGCCTTTTCTCAGATCTCAAGCTGCATGCTGGGAGAACCACTACTCTCTTCAAAGCTGTCAGACAGGGACATTTAAGTCTGCAGAGGTTTCTGCTGCCTTTTGTTTGGCTATGGCCTGCCCCCAGAGGTGGAGTTTACAGAGGCAGGCAGGCCTCCTTGAGCTGCAGTGGGCTTCACCCAGTTGGAGCTTCCCAGCTGCTTTGTTTGCCTACTCAAGCCTCAGCAATGGCGGGCACCCCTCCCCTAGCCTCACTGCCACCTTGCAGTTTGATCTCAGACTACTGTGCTAGCAATGAGCGAGGCTCCATGGGCATAGGACCCTCCGAGCCAGGCACAGGATACAATCTCCTGGTGTGCCGTTTGCTAAGACCGTTGGGAAAGCGCAGTATTAGGATGGGAGTGACCCGATTTTCCAGGTGCCGTCTGTCACTCCTTTTCTTGGCTAGGAAAGGGAATTCCCTGACCCCTTGCACTTCCCGGGTGAGGTGATGTCTCGCCCTGCTTCGGCTCACACTTGGTGCGCTGCACCCACTGTCCTGCACCCACTGTCCGACAATCCCCAGTGAGATAAACCCAGTACCTCACTTGGAAATGCAGAAATCATTCGTCAGATTCTGTGTTGCTCACGCTGGGAGCTGTAGACTGGAGCTGTTCCTATTTGGCCATCTTGGCTCCACCCCCCTCCTGAATTATTATTCAATCAACAATGAAATCAAGATAGAAATTTAAAAATTCTATAAACTGAATGATAATAGTGACACAACCTATCAAAACCTCTGAAATACAGCAAAAGTGGTGCTAAGAGGAAAGTTCATTGTATTAAATGCATACATCAAAATGTCTGAAAGAGCACAAATAGACAATCTGAAGTCACATCTCAAGGAACTAGAGAAGCAAGAACAAACTAAACCCAACCCAGCAGAAGAAAATAAATAAAAACGATCAGAGCAGAACTAATTGAAACTGAAGCAAACAAACAAAAGATAAATGAAACAAAAAGCTGGTTCTTTGAAAACTTAAACAAAATTGATACACCATTAGCAAGGTTAACCAAGAAAAGAACAGAGAAGATTCAAATAAGCTCAATTAGGAATGAAACAAGAGATATTACAACCAATGCTATAGAAATACAAAAGATCTTTCAAGACTATTGTGATCACCTTTACATGCACAAACCAGAAAACCTGGAGGTTATGCATAAATTCCTGGAAACACACAAACCTCCTAGATTAAACTAGGGAGAAATAGAAAGTCTGAACAGACCAATAAAAAGGAATGAGATTGAAATAAAATTTTTTTTTAAATTGCCAACAAAAAGTACAAGACCAGATGTATTCACAGCTGAATTCTATCAGATATTCAAAGAAAAATTGGTATCAATCCTACTGAAGCTATTCCATAAAGAAAGAGGGAATCCTGCCTAAAGCATTGTATGAAGCCAATGTCACTTTAATACCAAAACCAGGAAAGGATATACAAAAAAGAAAACTATAGACCAGTACCACTGATGAATATACATGCAGAAATCCCCAACAAAATACTAGCTAACCCAATCCAACAGCATATCAAGAAGATAATCCACCATTGTCAAGTGGGTTTCATACCAGGGGTGCAGGATAGGTTAACATACACAAGTCAATAAATGTGATACATCACATAAACAGAATTAAAAACAAAAATCACATGATCATCTCAATAGATGCTGAAAAAGCATTTGACAAAATCTAACATTTCTTTATGATTAAAACCTTCAGCAAAATCGACATAGAAAGGACATACCTTAATGTAATAAAAGCCATATATGACGGACCCACAGCAAACATTATACTGAATGGGGAAAAGTTGAAAACATTGTCCCTGAGAACTGGAACAAGACAAGGATGCTACTTTCACCACTTCTATTCAACATAGTAGTGGAAGTTTTAGCCAGAGCAATCAGACAAGAGAAAGAAATCAAGGGCACCCAAATCAATAAAGAGGAAGTCAAACTGTCCCTGTTCACTGATGATATGATTGTATACCTAGAAAACCCTAAAGACTCATCCAGAAAGCTCCTAGAACTGATACATAAATTCAGTAAAGTTTCAGGATACAAACTAAATGTACACAAATCAGTAGCACTGCTATACACCAACAGTGACCAAGCTGAGAATCAAATCAAGAACTCAAACACTTTTACAATAGCTGTAAAAAAATACTTAAGAATATTCTTACCCAAGGAGGTGAAGGACCTCTACAAGGAAAACTACAAAACACAGCTGACATCATAGATGACACAAACAAGTGGAAACACATCCCATGCTCATGGATGGGTAGAATCAATATTGTGAAAATGACCATATTGCCAAAAGCAATCTACAAGTTCAATGCAATTCCCACCAAAATATCATCATCATTCTTCACAGAACTAGAAAAAAACAATTCTAAAATTCATATGGAACAACAACCAAAAAAAAAAAAAAAACCCGCATAGCCAAAGCAAGACTTAGCAAAAAGAACAAATCTGGAGGCATCACATTACCCATCTTCAAACTATACTACAAGGCTATAATCACCAAAACATCATGGCACTGACATAAAACTAGGCACATAGACCAATGGAAAAGAAGAGAGAATCCAGAAATAAAGCCAAATAATTATAGCCAACTGATTTTTGACAAAGCAAACAAAAACATAAAGTGGGGAAAAGACATTCTAGTTAACAAATGGTGCTGAGATTATTGGCAAGCCACATGTGGAAGAATGAAACTGGATCCTTGTCTCTCACTTAATACAAAAATTGATACAAGATGGATCAAAGACTTAAATCTGAGACCTAAAACCATAAAAATTCTAGAAGATAACATCAGAAAAATGCTTCTAGACATTCACTTAGGCAAAGACTTCATGGCCAAGAACCCAAAAGTAAATGCAACAAAAACAAAAATAAATAGATAGGACTTAATTAAACTAAAAAGCTTTTGCGCAGCAAAAACAATCATTAGCAGAGCAAACAGACAACCCACCGAGTGAGAGAAAATCTTCACAAACTAAGCATCTGACCAAGGACTAATATCCGGAATCCACAAGGAACTCAAACAAATCAGCAAGAAGAAAGCAAACAATCCCATGAAAGAGTGGGCTAAGGACATGAATAGACAATTCTCAAAAGAAGATATACAAATGGCCAACAAACAGGAAAAAATGCTTAACATCACTAATGATTAGGGAAATGTAAATCAACACTGTAATGCGATACCACCTTACTCCTGCAAGAATGGTCATAATTTAAAAATCTAAAAATAATAGATGTTGGTGGGTCTGTGGTGATAAAGGAACACTTTTACACTGCTGGTGGGAATGTAAACTTGCGCAACCACTATGGAAAACAGTGTGGAAATTTCTTAAGGAACTAAAAGTAGATCGACCATTTGATCCAGCAATCCCATTAAATATGTATAAATATATATATTTATATACCATGGAATACAACTCAGCCATAAAAAAGAATAAAATGATGACATTCACAGCAATCTAGATGGAATTGGAGACCCTTATTCTAAGTGGGGTAACTCAGGAATGGAAAACCAAACATCATATGTTCTCACTTACAAGTGGGGACTAAGCTGTGAGGACACGAAGGCATAGAATGATATAATGAACTCTGGGGACTTGAGGGGAAGGATGGAAGAGAGGCGAGGGATAAAAGACTACACATTGGGTACAGTGTACACTGCTCAGGTGATGGGTGCACCAAAATCTCAGAAATTACCACTAAAGAACTTATCCATGGAAGCAAACACCACCTGTTCCCCAAAATCCCAATGAAATAAAAATAATAATAATAAATGATTTAATTTCACAGAATTTAAAAAAGTTCACTGTTCAGAGTTTATAATAATGAAGTAAGAATGAAAAGTGTAGCAAGTGGTAGCCTCTGGACAATGGGACTCTAGATTTTCACCTTGCATACACTTCTCTGGCATTTGGAAAGAAAGTATACACATGAATATATCACCACTATGATAAAGAAAACA
Organism: Homo sapiens; assembly: GCF_000001405.40. Lineage (NCBI taxonomy): Eukaryota > Metazoa > Chordata > Mammalia > Primates > Hominidae > Homo > Homo sapiens. The sequence goes on from NC_000011.10 coordinate 18,132,265, forward strand.
TCAAAAAATTGTGTCAGGCCATTGTCAGCCTTGAATGGTCCCATGATCTACTTTTTCATTTGGATATAAAGCCTCATAATGATAGTTCACATTGCTTAATGTGATGCCTAGGCCCATAATTGATTTTTAAAATCAGGACAGCAATTACTTACAGGAAGTTGAACAAGATGGGACGTGATAGGAGAGGCTTAAATGTACTGGATATGGGACAGAGGCCAAGAATCATCTCAGTTAGGATTTGTGTCTCAAATACCTCTGGCCTCTGATTTGCCCATAGTCCTCATACAGGAAATAACAAGACTGTCCAGCATCTTCGTAAGCCTGGATTGCTCACCAGCTTTCATTTCAGCTCCTGTAGGCATCTCCTGAATTAAGCAACACAGAAAAGTCCTCTGAAGTCACTGAATCCCATAAAGGCTCTCTACCTTTAGCACAAGGGAGGTCTTCACCACTGGACAAAGAAGGAACGATAAGGGTAAGTACCAAGAACTCTCTTCTTCCACAGTCAGTTATGATTTTTGCTGTAAGATCATGTCCTTATGCTTCCACCTTGGTGCTACATGCAGGGGGTCACGAGCTTGTTTCAGGAAAAGACAGGAGACATGAAGCTTCCTTTCAGAAACTGAGTGCTGTCAACCCAAACTGTGTGAGCTCTAAATGGTGTCCCCCCTTCTAATTTATCTCCCCATATCACCTCCTTCATTCCAATCATTCAATCTGCCCTCATGGAGAGACTGCTGCCTCTTACATTCATTTAACGAGCAAGGGGACATGCAGGCATTTCTTCCCAGAGTTGAACTGCTATAGAGCCAGTTTCTTTGTTTCACTTACTTTTCAAATTTATTCTTCTTTGCCTATCTGGAAAGGTCTAAGGAAGATATAGATGGCCCAATAATTAAGGAGTGTTTCATGAGGAAAGTATTTACAAAGATGCACAGAGTTAAGGGTCAGGATCCTAAGCAGCAATACATAGGGGAGCACTACTTCCTCCCCTAGGCTGAAACGGACAGGGAAGGAGCAGTTACCATTGTCACTATAGCCATAGCTGTAGCCATAAGGGTGGGAGAGCATGAGCAGGCAAGTGGAGAAGCCCTGCGTGGCCAACGCACAGCCACACAGGCTGATATAGTTTGGATCTGTGTTCCCACCAAAATCTCATGTTGATTGTAATTTCCAATGTTGGAGGAAGGGCCTTGTGGGAGATGATTATTAGATCACGGGGATGGTTTTGCATGAATGTTTTAACACCATCCCCCTTTGGTATTGTTGTTGTGATACTGACGAGTTCTCATGAAATCTAGTTGTTTAAAAGCGTGTAGCACCTCCTCCCTCTCTCTTACTCCTGCTCTCACCATGTGAGACGCCTCGCTCCCCCTTTGCCTTTCACCAGGATTGGAAGCTTCCTGAGGCCTCCCCAGAAGCAGAAGCTGCTATGCTTCTTGTACAGTCTGTAGAGCTATTAGCCAGTTAAACCCATTTCCTTCATAAATTTCCCAGTCTCAGGTATTTCTTTTTAGCAATTTGAGAATGAACTAATACACAGACAGAGAGCCAGGAGATGGAAATCCCAAGGTGCTTTCCTGCTGTCTTCCAGTCTCCTGCTGGTGTCTCCCAGTGTCTCAATTCCACCAGAAACCAGAAATAAAAAGAATCCCACTGATGTGGTACATAGAAGCCACTCTCTTGGGATGTCAAACAGGATAAAGAAGAATGGAAAGCAAATCCTCATGGTAAATGAGACTATCCCTCTCACCTTCTTGTATCCTCCTAATTCCTGGGGCTTTCTCTATCTGATTGATCCCTGTCTCATTTCAGCTCTATCAGACTACTTTAATGTTTGGCTTGTCTTTCTCTACTGTCACTTTTATGCAGAAATGTTTGCATTTGTTAAAAATGCATAGAAAATAAAATGTAATTTTAAAAAGAACATATGTATTTTGTTTAGAATATAAGTTTGGCTGATCTAATAAAGACATGAAGAAGAAATATCTTAAACAAGAAAGTATAGTTGTGCCTCTGGGTCACTAGGTTCTGAATCTACAGATTCAACAAACTACAGGAGGAAACTTTTCCAAAAATAAAGGTGTGGCGGAGTTGTGTATGTACTGAACAGGTACAAACTTGTATTTCTTTGTCATTATTTCTGAAAAACTACAATATAACAAGAACTTATATAGCATTTGCATTTTGTCAGTTATTCTAAATAACTTTAAATGATTTAATGTATCTGGGAGAAAGTGCATAGAGTATATACAAATACCACATATAAGGAAATTGAGCATCTGCAGATTTTGGTCTGTGCTGGGGTTCTGGAAAGAATCCCCTGTAAATACACAAAAATGACACTCTTCGAGATCTGAACTAGAAGCTCCAAAGCATCATACATCAGAATTCCAAAAATTGCTGCTCCCCAGTTCCTAGAGAGTTGCCCTCATCCTTGTGATCCTACATGGTTCCCAGCGACATTAGCATTCCAGTCTTATGGAAAAAGGACGAGGGGAAGGAGAGGCTTTGCTCCTTCTATTAATCCCATGAGCCAGGACTTGCTTCTGTCACTTTTGTGATTCTTCCACTTAACAGCACCTGCTCATGGGATGTCATCCAGCATCAAGGAAAACTGGGATGTGGGTCCTTGTGCTGCTTGTACATTCTCAGAAAGGTTATGTGACCAAAAAAGGAAATCTTGGGGCAACCAGCAGTCTCTTCAGCCCCTGACTGTCTCTGATTCTGTGCTCACATCAAGATTTTTCAGGAACTCCTCAGAAATAATAAATGGTGGGGCAGAGAACAGAACTGGAGTCTCGTGCAGGACTCCAGGGACCAGGGGCTGGTATTGGACCTGCTCTTCATGTTGTGAACCAGGAAAACCCTTTAATTCTCTAGGCCTTAGCTTCATCTTATGTTATATGAGGATAATACCATAGACAGTCTTTAAAGAACATCATAGCATGTTAAACAACATGCTAAATGTTGGTGATACCACAGTGAAAAAGACAGGCATGACTTACTCCTTACGGATCTTCGGGTTTCATGAGGAAGACAAACATATCATACCATACCTATAGATGGACAAACAGTTTAGTGCTCTGAGTGTGGATAACAGAGGTTCTCCTTTTCCTCCCATTTCCTTTTTGGGCCAATCAGAGCTGTGGCAGCTTGTCTCCCTAAGAGAGCTCATGATGGATGCACTCACTCCTGATGCTCCTCTATACTCCCAGAGGAGGATGCATCTTCTTTCCACCTGGAGAGCTCCTGCCCATGTGCATTCTTGGGATTCCAGAGCAAACGTGGCCTCTGATAGGCAAAAAAGAACTCCTGAATTTGTTCCTAAATGGCACGCACTCACCTCTATTTTTCCCTTATTTCATTTGCTTCTCATTCTCTATCTGGAGTTTGTTTAGGTTAATTTTTTTTTTCAGCCCACAATTTTGACTGTCAACTTGGATTTAACTTGAGAATCACTCCTCTACTTTACCCCCCTCTAACATGTATAATCGACACATAGTGGTGCTGGGTCCAAAGGGCTGGTGAAAAAATGGATCATGAGTCAGCCCTGCTGGGCTCACATTCATACTATATAATATATAACCCCCCGGACAAATAATATCCTCTCTTTATACTCTAATTTCATTATCTGCAATACAGGAATAATACTAATTTTTACCTCCTAGGCTCTTCAGATGATTAAAAGAGGCAATACCTAATAAACTGTCAATCAGCTGCTGTTATTCTCCCAAATTAGACCTAATCCTCATTCTCCAGTTGAAATTTGCATGAATATCTCTCTTTACAACCCAAGCCCTACACTTCTCCTATTTCCACTCATGGACTCCTCTCATACAAATGTTTGCATCAACAAAGAAACGCTACCAAAGATCTCCCGAAAGAGAGAATGAAATAGGTTTACATTGTGTATACTCAGCAGAACACTTAGTAGTCCCCCATACATATTCCCACACTTCAATTACCTGCTGCAGTGGCACTCAGGCTCACCCTCACTTACTCTTTCCTCTGTTCTGTTGCTGAGCAATTCAGCTCAGACCCACACCCTACCCAAACACTGTGTACAAAATGCTTCTAGGGGTTCGGCAAAGCCACACTGAGTCCTTATTTTAAAGGCACATCAGTGGTCAATTTCAGGTTTTGGGCACTCATCAATCATTCTTCTCAACACAGATAGAGCTGTCCACAAATAGAATTCTGATGAATGAAATTTTCTTCATCTAATTATATGTGTGTGTTCTAATGCCTTACATTGTGCTTTCATTTTTATTTTCCATTTCATCCAAATCTACCATTGCCATTAGGCTTCTCATGCATGCATTCCTTCATTGAATGAACGTTTATGAAAAGCACATTGTGCTGCTTATGGAATAGGCACTAGGAGTATAAAATGTAAAATGTGGTCCTGTCTGCAATGACTGACACACTGAGTTATTTCTCACCCACCAGGTCCCGCCATTTTCACACATCCTAGCGAAGATCCCATTTTCCTCTGGTTCATAATGCATGATCTTTTTTCCTGTCCAGAGATGACCAGTCCTGGTCATGAGGGTGTCACAACCACCTCTTTGTGTATCTGAATTCCTCCACCTGAGAGAAAATTTCAGGCCCAGGATAGAGTAATCATCGGGTCCACAGCACTGGCTAGATGAGTGGGGGTGTTTTGATCCTAATGTTATCCCCATGTCAGCACAGAACTTGTGTGGCAGTAGAGAGAGGTCAGGCTTCAGAGTCAACAAGAACTGGATTTCAAACTGGATTTGAGGACCCCCACCTTTTGATAGGTGACTTATTCTCTGCGAGTCTCTGATCTCTCCTCTTTAAATGAGGACAGTAAATCCCACATGGCAGGGTGGTGGGGAGAATCAGAGATCAAACAGCTGGTGATCACATCTGGTTTCTGTTTCCAGGGTCATCAGACTGGGGTTTCTGAGCATGGATTCAACCATCCCAGTCTTGGGTACAGAACTGACACCAATCAACGGACGTGAGGAGACTCCTTGCTACAAGCAGACCCTGAGCTTCACGGGGCTGACGTGCATCGTTTCCCTTGTCGCGCTGACAGGAAACGCGGTTGTGCTCTGGCTCCTGGGCTGCCGCATGCGCAGGAACGCTGTCTCCATCTACATCCTCAACCTGGTCGCGGCCGACTTCCTCTTCCTTAGCGGCCACATTATATGTTCGCCGTTACGCCTCATCAATATCCGCCATCCCATCTCCAAAATCCTCAGTCCTGTGATGACCTTTCCCTACTTTATAGGCCTAAGCATGCTGAGCGCCATCAGCACCGAGCGCTGCCTGTCCATCCTGTGGCCCATCTGGTACCACTGCCGCCGCCCCAGATACCTGTCATCAGTCATGTGTGTCCTGCTCTGGGCCCTGTCCCTGCTGCGGAGTATCCTGGAGTGGATGTTCTGTGACTTCCTGTTTAGTGGTGCTAATTCTGTTTGGTGTGAAACGTCAGATTTCATTACAATCGCGTGGCTGGTTTTTTTATGTGTGGTTCTCTGTGGGTCCAGCCTGGTCCTGCTGGTCAGGATTCTCTGTGGATCCCGGAAGATGCCGCTGACCAGGCTGTACGTGACCATCCTCCTCACAGTGCTGGTCTTCCTCCTCTGTGGCCTGCCCTTTGGCATTCAGTGGGCCCTGTTTTCCAGGATCCACCTGGATTGGAAAGTCTTATTTTGTCATGTGCATCTAGTTTCCATTTTCCTGTCCGCTCTTAACAGCAGTGCCAACCCCATCATTTACTTCTTCGTGGGCTCCTTTAGGCAGCGTCAAAATAGGCAGAACCTGAAGCTGGTTCTCCAGAGGGCTCTGCAGGACACGCCTGAGGTGGATGAAGGTGGAGGGTGGCTTCCTCAGGAAACCCTGGAGCTGTCGGGAAGCAGATTGGAGCAGTGAGGAAGAACCTCTGCCCTGTCAGACAGGACTTTGAGAGCAATGCTGCCCTGCCACCCTTGACAATTATATGCATTTTTCTTAGCCTTCTGCCTCAGAAATGTCTCAGTGGTCCCTCAAGGTCTTCGAATAGATGTTTATCTAACCTGACAGTTGCAGTTTTCACCCATGGAAAGCATTAGTCTGACAGTACAATGTTTGGATTCTCCTTGATATTACCAATACATTTTCCCTGTTATCTTGCACTGAATCTTTCCTACTGAACACTTTTTCTGCACTTTTCATTGTAATAAAAGGAGTTGCTGTCCACAACCCTAAAACTCTTCTTTATACTTGTTTCCTACCTGATAGTATCAAAAAGGAAGATTCCTTATTAATCTGTCAGACTATGTTCCCCTGAAAATCATGTTCCCTTCTATGACTGGAGGCATTACTGCAGTTGGAAGCTCAATTCTTAATAAGTGAGTTCTGCTACCTCTAAATTCCATTGAATTCTCAGATATAAAGCAAAATAATGACCTTAGAGAGAGATTCTCCCTTCATAAAAACAGTCTTAGAAATTGGTTTTATGAATAGCCCTCTCCTGTCATTTGTCCACAGCATGGTGACATGTTGGCCTTGGTTTCTAGTAAAGATCACCGTGGCCCCTTCCCCTTGAGAACTGGTAAGTTCTTATTTAGCTCTTCCTGGACTAATGAACTAGTGAGGAGCCTATAAATATGTCCCACCAGTTTCATTTTGGCCATTGGAAACCTCAATATTGATTTTAAAGTGGAAATTATCTTGAAAACCATTTATTATTCACTTACAGATTCTTTCAGTTGTAGGAGAATTCTTCATACTTCCAGGTTTTGTATAAATTGTTCTGATTGTAACTTTCAGTTAGTTTTATGGCTGTTTACATGAGAAGCAAAACTGAAAACATCTGACCTTTCCATGACAATCTCAATTATGGTATCTGGATAATAACTTACAGTTGGTACAGAATTCTGATACATGCTGTGACATACATGAACCTGGAAATATTGTGCTAAGGAAAATAAGCCAGACGCCAAACAATATTGTAAGTTCAAATTCTATGAGGTATCCAAATTAGGAAATTCTTGAACACAGAAAATAAATTAGGAGGATCCTGGTGCTGGAAGATGGAGAGAATGTGTAGCCATTATTAAATGAGCACAGGATTTCTGTGTGGAATAATGAAAAGTTTTTAAAAGGGACAGTGGTAACGGTTACGACTTATTGTGAATGTACTTACCTACACAGAATTGGACAATTAAAATGATTAAAGTTGTAAAATGTATGTTATGTAAATTTTACCACAATTTAAAACATTTAATTATAAAAGGAGGATCAGTACAAAATTCAGGACTATTCTCCACCAGTGGTTATCCCTTCCACAGATAACTCAAGCAGACAGAAGAGACCACCAAGAGAAGATGTGACCTCACAGTGGACTCTGTGCTGCTCACAGTGAGGCTGCCCCTCAGATTAACCCTCACTGAGGGGAGCTGACACATGCAATTTGAGTTTGCAGGAGGCAGTACAAAGCAGCTATGAAAGTAATAAAGAGGTCTATACTTTTCCATTTTTCAAACCATATTTATTGGTGGCTCTTATCACACTGTTCACAATGTTGAACTCAGGTCCCCTGAGTCCAGATCTATTGCTCTTCCAGGCCTGGCATTCTGCTGATGCTCAATCCTATCTGTCCACCCTCAATTTCCAAATGCTGTAGTAGGACGTAGCTGTAGTTGAGAGTTTCCTACAGGTGACAGGAAGCAGGAAAGCAGTGTTTGCAGCCAATGCTCTGGGCCAGGAGCTTTGCTGTGATGTCTTTAGTTCAGACTGAGGGTTATTGAGAGAGTCCACTCTGGAAGTCTGTGATATCAATTGTACAGTTTTGGCTAAAGATGTTGTCTATCATGAGGAATTCTGCAGAGAATTTTCACCTGGCAATTGAATCAAATCATGTTGGTTCTCACCTGCGATTCTGCTTATTTTGATGTTAGTGACATTCTTTTTCTTTTGATAGGAGAAAACTTCAACTTCATGAAGGCTTAGATTCTGTCCCTGAAGCCCATTCTGAACTCACTTGGCCTCACACATTGCTCCACTACAGCACTTATAACAGTGTACTTCAAATATTTGTCCTCACATCTTTCTCTTCAACCGCACCCTGAGGTCTTTAAGAGCAGAGAAACTGTCTTGGAATTTCTAGTGCAACAGACTAGGTGTGGAATTTAGAAGAGTGTTGGTAACTATTTCTCTCAAGCAGCTCCTACCTGAAAATCACAGGGTCATCCAGCATCTTGCAAAGGCTGGCTCAGTCACCAGATCTCACTGGAACTCCTACAGGAACCTCCCACTCAACAGAGTGTCCTCTGCAGTTGGTCGTTCTGAGAACAGCTGTTCCCCTTCATTGCAGGTCTGCTCACTGCCTCTGGGAAGAAGAACGGAGGGGATGTGGGAATCTGCTCATGAGCTGCCTTCTTTCCAAGGCCAATGATATCATTTCCTCTAAAAGTTACATGTCGAGGAAGAGCATGCAGGACATTCAGGAGTATTCTCCAGAAAGTGAGAAATGATATGAAAATCTCACGTGGCACCTTTTGGGAGCTACCATTCATGACTACTTTTTTTTTTTTCTTTGAGATGGAGTTTCGCAAGCACATTTATTTATTTATTTATTTATTTATTTATTTATTTATTTATGCCCAGGTTGAGGTGCAATGGCATGATCTCAGCTCATTGCAACCTCTACCTCCTGCGTTCAAGCGATTCTCCTGCCTCAGCCTCCCAAGTAGCTGGGATTATAGGGGCCTGCCACCACGCCTGGCTACTTTTTTGTATTTTTAGTAGAGACGGGGTTTCACCATGTTGGCTAGGATGGTCTCGATCTCTTGACCTTGTGATCCGCCTGCCTTGGCCTCCCAAAGTGCTGGGATTACAGGCCTCAGCCGCCACACCCGGCCCATGACTATTTTTTAGGCATGAATTCAACAAACTTTCACACCTAACTCATCAAGCATTGTGCTAATTCTACATAAAAGCAAACACCTTTCAAATAAGTCTCTCACTAATACATCCTATCTCTATATCCAATCCTTTCCACTTCATGAAGAAAATATATTTATTGATGCTGAGCAAATGCTGAGCCTTCGTAGCCATTCACTGATGCTCTAGTACACCTGGGCTCAAGGGCACTGAGTCATCAGCCTCACAAGAACCAATTGGATCTGTTTCCTGTCTTGCTTTTGCCAATTAGACTTGTCAATATAATTACCTAATTTATCAAAATACACCACAAATCAATGAAATACCAGTATGAAAGAAGAATTGTGGTTTCCATACAAATTAATGTGAATGCTTAAAGGGACAATAAAAGCAGGTTCCAAAATTATTGTTAGTTTAATAGGTGTGAGTCTTCCAATTCTACAAGATTAAACAAAAATGAACAATATTGAACAATATCCTCAGAGAGAATGCTATGTATTTGATGCTAAGATCTACACTTAAACTAATCCACACTGCAAATCATAGACAATGATTGATAGATATGCTTTCAGCAAGATAGAGTAGAATTCTATTTGCTGAACCCTACACAAAGGAGTGTTCTGTAGTCTAGTTCTACTATAGTGAATGAATTCTAGGTAAAAATGAAATATTCATGTTACAAACATATCCTTTTTTATGAATACTGATTAACAGACATTTTCAGTTAACCTATCCACTTGCATTCCTGAATATATCATTAAGTGGGCTTTTCATAACAGTATCTCTCACTTATTCTACTGTTTATTGTATAAATACATACTGAGCATCTTCTATTCTCTAACTTGCATGCCAGACACTTAAGGAGTCAAAGTAAACACACCTACATTCACAGAGCGCACAGCCTGTGAAGGAAGGACACTAGTGCAGGAAAGACTGCCTCCCAGTGTGACACATGCTATCCAAGAGTTGTACTTGTGGCTCAAGGGTGCTCAGAGGAGAGGGTATCTAAAAATTCCAAGTTATCTTACTGCCATCCTGAAGAGGAATGCCACCCCCAAGCACCCAGCTGAAGCAGGGCAATACGACTCCAATAAATTAGAGAACGTTCACCAGGTGGCTGCTCATGCGGGACAACAATCTCAACAACGGTTTTATAATTGATGACATCACAAGATTAATAGGCTGAATCTTACAACAGCCCTCAGTCTATAGTCCAATATCACACCAGTGCACAATTCCAGAAAAGATTTTCAACAGACACTGCAGGTGCTTGGGTCACAGTCATTGCAGAACTACCTACTACCATTACCCTGTGTTCCAGCAGAAGAATCCCTTACCTCAAGGCAAACCCAAATCAAAGCATCTAGAAATCTTAGAATACAGAAGGGTGCAGAATATGCAAGTGCTAAAATGGGAAGAACATGGACATAGTTTCAGGGATTTGGGATTCTCAAGCTGACTGCATGGCCAACATGAGTCACATGCTCATTCCAGGGAAACCAAGCAGATAGTGAGGTTATGGGATTGTCCCAGTCTGAAACTGTGCCATTCGTGCATTTGTGCTCAGGTATCTCTTTTCAGAATATGTGGGCAAGGTGTGACTTTGCCATAAACATGGACTGAAGATAAGTACTGTTATGATCCAGACCGCCTGAGAAATTCGTGTCTCTGCACAGTGACTATAATCACAGTCAGCATATATTCTTCTCACCTATGTGGCAGTGACCTAGAATCCAAAGAGACTGCTGTGATGCTTTTCTGTATGACGGTGTGGTATCCACTGGGCACCATTATTGTCAATGTACCAATGCTGACTATAGATATAGATGGCATTTGTTTGCTGTTATCTAACAACAACAGCAGAGTATAGAAGAAGAAATCTCAATGCTCATGCCCATCATATTGGTCCAATTCTTCTGAAACCTTGCAGGATGCAAACACAAGGAAGGAGAGAAGAGACACAGCAGATCTTATCCCTAAGTGTGTATGTAGAAGTGAGTGGATCATGGAAGGCTTCGTGTAATAGGTGGAATTTTAACTGATGACTACAATTTACCCAGCATTATTATTATAATTATACCCTCTGTAAATTTTTCCAGTCACACAAATTTTTGTATTAGGGAAGGAGAGATAAATAGGATCTGGACAGATGGAAATAGAAGAAGAGATAATTTACAGTGGCACTGTTAATAAAAGCGTACAGTTTTTTAGGGAATGGTGAATAATTCATACATGAGTTTTATTCCTTGTATCACCCCATGTATCTGGTCATGGTGGCAAGATCCCTCTTAAATAGAATCACAAGGCTGGAGTGCTCTGAATAATGAACATTATCTTTTGTGGCCTTGAAGTAGTAGGTGTTGGTGTTAATTTTGTGATATTCGTAGGAGTGAACTCTATAATAATGTAAAGTCCAGAGTGGGCCAGGCAGGTCAGGCCAACAGGACAAGCCACAAAGTCAATGTCCTGCTCTCCATACCCTCCTCCAGCCCTCCAGGGTCAGAAGGCATATGTGCAGCCCTCCAGGGTCAGAAGGCATATGTGCAGCCCTCCAGGGTCAGAAGGCATATGTGCAGCCCTCCAGGGTCAGAAGGCATTCATAAAAGATAATAAAAAGCATGGGGTTAGCGGGGGAAGAACAAAAACAGTGGAAGGCAGCCCCTTCTCTGGAGCAGCATTTTTACCTGCAAAAGGCCCACATTGGGAGTAAAGGAGATAGTTAATCTTTGAGTTAATTTTAACATTTTATTTTTCACATAAAAATTTAACTCTAAACTTTTGCATAGCCTTGATATTGGTGCTAGGTTAAGAGTTGGTAACCAGTCGTCCAAAATATCTCTATTCAAATTCTGTGTGTCATCTTGCACCTCTTTTGTAATGTAGTATCTATAGTGTGTTGATATTTAGCTCAGTACTCCTGGTTTAATATCCTGATACACGTGTGAAAGAATAATACATACCAACCTGAGAAGTTCTAAAGAAGTTGATGAGAATTGTCATTCCCTGTCCAGGTCCTCAGGCACACTTACCTTCTTATCAAATTCATATACAGTTACTAGTGAGAGTAGAGATGCAGGATTCAGCCTTTAATTGTGTCTGTAAAAGTTTATATACTAATTGCAAGAGAAATTGGAAGCAAATATGATAAAAATTTAATATGTGCTCAATTTCGTGGTAGGTGTGTGACTCATTATTATATCATCTTCTACCCTATGTCCCTGGCTTGCAAACTTCCTTCCAGTACACCCCATGTCCTCATTCTTGGTTGATTAGTCTGTTCTCACCCTGCTAATAAAGGCATACCCAAGACTGGGTAATTTATAAAGGAATGAGGTTTAATTGACTCACAGTTCTACATAGGTGGGTAAGCCTCACAATCATGGCGGAAGGCGAACGGGGAGCAAAGTCACATCTTACATGGCAGCAGGCAAGACAGCACGTGCAGGGGAACTCCCCTTTACAAAACCATCAGATCTTGTGAGACTCACTGTCACAAGAACAGCATGGGAAAGGACCCCCCCATGATTCAGTTATCTCCCACCAGGTTCCTCCCATGACACATGGGAATTATTGGAGCTGCAATTCAAAATGAGATTTGGGTGGGGACACAGTCAAACCATATCACTTGGTGACTTCAATATCTATGGAGGTTATCCATACAAAGAAAAGGCCTTTCAGTTGTTTTTTAAGTTTTCATTCTCAACTAATTGTAGACTATGAAGAAGTTACAAAAACAGTACAGAGAGTTTCTGTATGCCTACCACCCAAACTACAGCAATAGTAACATATAACATAAATGTATTATCAAAAGCAAAAGATTGACATTGGTACCATCTAATTACTACACTTCAAATCTTATCAGATTTCACCAAATATCTACAGTACGATCTTACCAGATTTTACCAGTGTTTGCATGCACTCATTTTTGAAGTGAGCTATGCCTCTGTGTTTCATTCCATAATATTTTGTCCCATGTATAGATTCATATAACCAAAACCACATTGAAGACCTAGAAGTGTTTCTTCCCCACATTAGAGCCGCCTTGGGCTCCCCCTACTGTCATAGCCACTCTGTTTCTTCCCAAATCCCTTTAATCACTGATCTATTTTCCATCTCTATAATTTTGTCATTTCAAACATGTTACATAAATGGAGTCATACAGTATCCAATCTTTTGACTTTGGCTTTTTTCATTCAGCACAATGTTTTCAAGATCCACCCAAGCTGTTGCAGGTATCAGTAGCTTATTGCTGATTTTTTTTTAATGCTACCGAGTAGTGTTCCATTGCATGGATGTACTATGCTTTGTTTCACTATTCATAAGTGGAAGGACATTGTCATTTTTTTCTAATGTGGCATTTAAAAATAAAGCAACTAGAAACCTATGTGTACACATTTTTAAGTGAACATAGTTTTCCTCTCCATATGATAAATTCTAGAGCTGGATTTCTGGGTTGTATGAAAATAGGATTTCCCAGCGTAGCTCTATCATTTTACTTTCTTACTGGCAATCCCTCCAAATCTCAGCCAATATTTTAGATTTTTTATTTATTGCCCCAAATATTAGTGATGTTGAGCATCTTTCGGGCATTTATTTGCCATGCATACATCTCCCTGTTGAAGCATCTGTTCATCTTTTGCCCTGGTTGAATCCAGCTCTGCACTAACTCCAGACCTGTTCCCATAGAACTGAATGTGGCTAGAGCAAAGTAAACAACCATGCCCCATTGTTTCACTTTATATTTATGACTTGCAACCTGAAATGTCCATTTATTTCTCCTGAAAAATAATCTAGCATTTCCATAATTGCCTCTCACTCTGCAAGCGAAACTCTTCACACCATCTCTCTCTTGAAACCACTTCCTCCTTCTTTTTATCATTCTGAAGTGATGCACTGCTGAGAATTATCCACCTCGCCATGCAAGCTACCTGCCCATCTGTCTCTGAGCCCATTTCTCTGCCTTTTCTCTCATGCCAGGAAATGGGCTCTGTGTGCTCGTGTTTGAAACCATTCTTTCCACTTGAATGCAGTTTCCCTTGCCCCCTCTCCCTGAATCATTTTATAAAATCATTGGATCCCCCTCCCGCATCTTTCATATTTTCTTCTCTATTGGATCCTTCCATTACAGTTGAAATCCACTATCATATTCCTGGCTTAAATCACCACCCATGTCCATATTACCCTTCACTACAGCCTGATTTCTTTTCTTCACTTTAGAAAAAAATCTCTTCCAAAGAGGTTTCTACACTCATTATTCTCATTTCCTTTCCCATTCATATCTTCTCAAATCCCTATCTCCCTCTCTTAGCTAGGCCATTAAATTTTTTTTCCTTGTTTGAAAATTTATGTTGTCAAAGTAATAAAGTCACAAGTTTCAAAAAATTTTAATACACACAGTAAAAATTGTCATTCCCATTCCAGGTCCTCAGGCATACCTGCATATATATATATATATTTGTTTCAACTGTAGTGGAAGGATCCAATAGAGAAGTAAACATTGCAGGTGCAGAAGGGAGATTCAATAATTATATAAAAGAATTCAGGGGGAGGGGGCAGGGAAACTGCATTCAAGTGGAAACAACTATATATATGTAGTTGTTTTAGTATGACAAAGAATATATATGTATTCTTTTATATATGTATTCTTATATATATTCTTTTACATATATTTATCCTTTGTCATACAAAATAGAAGTTGGTCTGTGTTCTTTTTTTAATGTTTATTTTTATTTTAAGTTTGAGGGTACATGTGCAGGATGTACAGGTTTGTTACACAGGTAAACATGTGCCATGGTAGTTTGCAGCACCTATCAGCCCATCACCTAGGTATGAAGCCCAACATGCATTAGCTTTTTTTCCCAATGCTCTCCCTCCCATCACGGCAGCCCCAACAGGCCCCAGTGTGTGTTGCTCCACTCCCTGTGTCCATGTGTTCTCATTGTTCAGCTCCTACTTGAAGTCAGAACATGTGGTGTTTGGTTTTCTGTTCCTGCATTAGTTTGCTGAGGATAATGGCTGCCAGCTCCACCCATGTCCCTGCAAATGACATGATCTCATGCTGCAATGAACATATGTGTGCATGTATCTTTGTAATAGAATGATTTATATTTCTTTGGGTATATACCCAGTAATGGGATTGTTGGGTCAAATGTTATTTCTTGTTCTAGATCTTTGAGGAATTGCCACACTGTCTTCCATAATGGTTGAACTAATTCACTTTCCCATCAACAGTGTAAAAGCATTTCTTTACTTTTTAAAAAAGAGAAACAAACACTAAAATAAGTGGTATCAGTCCATTATGAGACTTAGATGACTCTATGGTCTACATATTATTTTGTTTAAAGACTCACATCACAAGCTTACATTGCTTGACACTGATACCTAAGCTCACAGTTGGCAATTAAGTGCTCTAGAACAACAATTACTAACGAAGAGGTGGACCAGATGAAATGGGATGGGAGAGGCTGATATGTGAGTGAAAATGGGACAGAGGCCAAGAAACACCTCAACTAGGGATTCTGCCTCAAATGGCTGTGGTCTCCAATTTGCACCCATTCCCTGTAAAGGAAATCACAGAGCTGTCCAGCATCTTGATAAGCCTGGCTTGGTCACCAAATTTCCGTGCAGCTCCTAAAGGCATCTCTGAAATTGCAGGACACAGAAGGGTCCTCTGGAGTCACTAAATCCCAGAAAGGCTCTTCTACTTTAGCACAGGATGGCTGTCTACTTCTAGATAGAAGAAGGAGCAAATGTAAGGGTATATATCAAGAATTGTCTTCTTTCCAAAGTCAGTTATGGGTTTTTGCTATAAATTCACATTCCTGTGTTTTCTCCTTAGGGTGTGTATTAGTCGGTTCTCATACTACTAACAAAGACATACCTGAGACTGGGTAATACATAAAGAAAAAGTTTAATGGACTCATAGTTTCAGAGGCCTCACAATCATGAAGGAGGAGCAAAGGCACATCTTACATGGTGGCAGGCAGGACAGCATGTGCAGGAGAACGGCCCTTTATAAAACCATCAGATCTCGTGAGAGTTATTCACTATCACGAGAACAGCAGAGGGAAGACCCAACCCATGATTCAATACTTTCCACTGGGTCCCTCCCCTGACATGTGGGCGCTATGGGAACTACAATTCAAGATGAGATTTGGGTGGGGACACAGCCAAACCATATCAGGATGCTACATGCAGGGAGTCATTAGCTTGCTTGAGGAAAAGTCAGGAGGCATGAAGCTTCTTTCTTGAAACTGAGTGCTGGCAAACATGATTGTAGGAGTTCCAAATGGGGTCAAACAGACTTTTCTCCCTACTATCTATCTCTCCATGGCCTCTCCTCTATTTCAACCATTCAAATCTTCTGTCATGGAGAGAATGCTGCCTCTTACATTCATTATGGAGCAAAGAGACATGCAGGCATTGCTTCCCAGAGCTAAACTGCTCTAAACCCAGGTTTTACTTCATTCCTTGCTTTCAAAGTTATTCTGAAATAATAATAATAGTTATCCAGGAAGAAACAAATGGTCCAACATGAAATAATTGAGGAGTATTTTACGCCGGGATTACTTACAAAAAAAAATTCTGGCTTAAAGGAAAGTGACAATGCATGGCGATGCAACCTAAGGCAAGCAATAAACACTATTTCCTCCCCTAGGCTTACAGGGACAGGAAAAGAGCAGTTACCATTAAAAGCATAGCTGTAGCTGTAACTGTAAAGGTGGGAGAGGATGAGGCAGGTGGAGAACCCTGCATCACCATCACACAGCATCACAGGCAGAGAGCCAGAAATCCCAAAATTGCTGTCCTCCTGCCCTCCAGTCTCCTGCTAGTGTCTCCTAGTTGCTCAGTTGAACCAGAAACCAGAAGGAAAAGAATCTCATTTATGAGGTACATAGAAGCCACCATCTTGGAACGCCAAATAGGGTAGAAAAGAAGGGACAAAAAATCCTTAGGGAAAATGAGACTATCTCTCTGACCTTCTTATATCCTCCTACTTTCTGGGGTTTTTCTCAATCTAAATGTCATTGAATCATGTATCATCACAGCTCCATCTATTTTTTTTTTTTCTGTTTCCACCTTCTCTCTCTAGTGTCAATTTTATGGACAAACACCCACATTAATTAAAAATGACTAATTGGAAGATAATTTTTAAGAGAAAATATATTTCTTTTAGTTTGAGTATAAGCTTAGTTGTTCTAATAAAGATATCTTTATTAAATCAAAATATCTTAAACAAGAAAGTACAGTGGATTCTCCATATCCATAGTTTCCACATCCAGGGATTCACCCAATAGCAAATCAAAAATGGTCAGAAAAGGAAAATAAAAAAGGATAGTGACATCTGTACTGAATAGGTACAGACATTTTTATCCTTTCTTCCCTAAAAAATATAACAACTATTTATACAGCATTTAGATGGTCTTAGGTATTATTAGTAAAGTAGAAATCATTTAAAGTATATAGGAGAATGTGGGTAGGTTATATATAAATGCTATGCCATTTTCTATAAGGAAACTGAACATCTGGAGATTGTGGTGCATGCAGGGGTCCAAGAATGAATTGCCTGTAATGCCCAGGAATGAATGTATCTTAGATATAAGTTGGAGGCTTCAAGGCATCATACATTAAGACTCCAAAAACTGCTGCTTCCCAGTCCATAGAGTGGAGTCCTCATTCTTTGTGGTCTTACTGGTTCCCACCCACATCAGCATTCTAGCCTGATGGAAAAAGAAAGAGGGAAAGGGGAGCCTGTACTTCTTCCATTGATCCCACGAGCCCGGACTTCCTTACATCACATCTGCTCACCTTCCACTGACAAGAACCTGGTCTTATGATGTCATCCAGCATCAAGGAAAACTGGGACATGTGTCCTTGTGCTGCTCTTAAATGCTCAGAATTGTTATGTCACTGAAGAGGAGAATGGAGATTGGGGCAACTTGGCAGTCTCTGAAACCCTTGATTATCTCTGAGATTTTTTGCTCACATCAAGGTTTTTCAGGAGCTCCTCAGAAATAATGAATGATGGGGCAGAGAACAGTACATAAGTCTCATACAGGGATGTTGACATGGGGCCTGCTCTTTGTGATATTGGAAAAACAAGTCTGACTCTTGTAGCCTCAACTCCTTCTTATGTCAAATGAGAATAGTACAATAGATAGTCTTTAAGGAACACATGCTGTATTAGTCTGTTCTCACACTGCTATAAATATACTACCTGAGACTGAGTAAGTTACAAAGAAGAGAGATTTAATTGACTCACAGTTCCACATGATTTGGGAGGTCTCAGGAAAATTACAGTCATGAAGGAAGGTGAAAGGGAAGCAAGTCATGCCTTACATGGCAGCAGGAGAGAGAAAGAGAGAGAGAGAGAGAATGGGAAAGTGCCAGACACTGAAACAACCAGAACTCGTAAGAACTCACTTGCTATCATGGGAACAGCAAGGGGGAAATCCTGCCCCATGATCCAATCATGTCCAACCAGCTCCCTCCCTCCACACATGAGGATTACAACTCAAGATGAGATTGGGTAGGGACACAGAGCCAAACCATATCACATGCTAAATGTTGGTGATACTACAGTGAACAAAAACAGGCATGGCTTACTCCCTATGGAGCTTCAGGTTTAATGAGGAAGACAAATGTTTCAAATGTTAAATACGGTATATCAAATATATACCCTAAATATAGATGCACAAACTGTTAAGTGCCCTGAGTGGGGATCACAGTTTTCCTTCCATTTCCCTTTCTGGCCCAAGGCTGTGGCAGCTTGTTTCTCTAAGACAGCTCAGGATGGATGCACTCACTTTTGATATCTCTCTGTACACCTGAGGAAGGATGCATTTTGTTTCCACTTGGATGCTTTCTACGCCTGTGGCTCCTCAGGATTCCAGAGGAAAGCTTGACTTCATGAGGAAGGAAAGGGTCTCTGATTTCCTTATTGTGCTCCTAATTGGTTTCCCTTCACTCTCATTTGTTAGATATTAGGTTGGTTTCTTATTGTCTCCAGAGTTTGCTTACGTTACTTTTTTCAGTCCACAGTTTTGACTACCATCTTGGATTTATATTGGGAATTACAATGTCCTCTGCTTTCCCACACAGTGATGTGTAAGCAACACACAGTGGTGCTGGATCCAAAGGGTTGGCAAAAAAGATAAACTCTGAGGCAGCCCTGCTGGGTTCTAATCCACATCGTGTGAGACTAAGAAATAATTACACATCCTTTATGTCTTCCTTTGTCATCTCCTGTAAAATGGGAATATTACTAATTCTTCTTACTTCCTAGGCTCTTGAAAAGATTAAGAGGGATAATACCTAATAAATACTCAACTGGTTACTGTTATTCACCCAGATGGAAGCTAGTCCTCTTTCTTCAGTTAAAATCTGCATGAGCATGTCTCTTTACATTCCAAGCCCTGAAATTTTTCTGGTTCCCCTCAGGAACTCCTCTGAAACAAAAGTTTGCATTAGCAAAAGAAATTCTACCCAAGATCTGGGAGAGAGAATGAAGTAGGTTTGTGTTATGCACACCCAGCACACCACTTAGAAGTTCTCCAGGTCTATTTCCACATTTCAATTGCCTCCTTCAGTGACAATCAGACCTCACGCTCACTTACTTTTTCCTCCTGTATATTGCTGAGCAATTCAGCTCAGACCCACACCCTACCTCAACGCTGTATACCAAAATGCTTCTAGGTGCTCAGCAAAGCCAACACCGAGTCCTCATTTCAAAGTCACATCAGTGATCAGATATTTAGGCTCACATAGGTAATTCTTTTTAACACAGACAGAGCTGTCCACAAATAGAATTCTGATGAATGAAATTTTCTTCATCTTATGCATATATGTGTTCTGATACCTTTAATTGTGCTTTCATTTTTATTTTCTATTTAACTCAAATCTGCCACTACCATTAGGCTCCTCATTCATGCATTCACTCACTGAATAAATGTTTGTGGAGAATATAGTGTGCCTTACATGGAGCTAGGCACTGGGAATATAAAAAGTGGTGCTCCTTCCTGGGGATTAGCCCAAGCAGGTTCTTGGCTTTGTACAGAAAAGAATTCAAGGGTAAGCCAGTGGTGTTAGATAGCAAGTTTTATTAAAGCAGCAGAGGTACTGCTCCTTGCCAAGCAGGGCTACCCCACAAACAGTGTGTCCAGAGTAGCAGCTCAGGGGCAGTTCTGCAGTCATATTTATGCCCACTTTTAGTGATACACAAATTAAGGGGCAGTTTATGCAGAAATTTTTAGGATAAGAGTGGTAACTTCCAGGTCATGAGGTAGTTGCCATGGAAAAAAGTGATAATTTCTAGATGTCACCATGGCCATAGTAAACTGACATGGCACACTGGTGGGCATTCTTATGGAAAACTGCTTCCACCCAGCCCTGTTTTAGTTAGTCCTCAATCTGGTCCAATGTCAGAGTCCTCACCTCCAGAGTTGAGTCACACCTCCTACCTCAGTGGCATACTGGTGGCCATGTCCTGTGGAAAGCTGCTTTCACCCTGGCCTTGTTTTAGCTAGTCTTCAATTTGGTCTGATGTCTAAGTCCCTGGCTCCAGAATCAAGTCCCACCTCTTACCTCACTGTCTTCAGTGACTGACATGCTGAGCCCTTTCTAGCCTACCAGGCCCAGCCATCCTTACATCTGTCCCAGCAAAACGCTACATTCCTTTCATGTCCCTTAATCATGATCTTTTTCCTCCATGGATACACCACTGTTAGTCATGGAGGTGTCAGAGTCACCTTTTTGTCTTTCTGAATTCCTGCACCTGAGAAAATTTCTGGCCCAGTCCAGAGTAATGCTCAGGCCCATAGCCCTAGCTGGTTGAATGGAGAGGTTTTGATCAAAGAATATTTCCATGTGAGTAGAGAACCTTGTTGCAATAGAGAGAGCCCAGGCTTTAGTGTCAGCAAGAACTGGTTTGAAACCAGATCCAAGGCCTCCTGATATTTTAATTGGTTATTCTCCATATGCCCCAATTTTTCTCTTCTGAAAAATGGGAACAGTAATTCACACATTGCAGGGTGGTCTTGAGAATTAGAGATCACACAGCTGGAGCTCAAATCTCCTTGCCTTTCCCTAGGCACCAGTGAAGGGTTTTGGAGCGTGGATCCAACCATCCCAGTTTGGAGGACAAAACTCACATCAATGAATGGAAATGAAAAGAACCTTTCTTGAACTTGTGACTTGGAGACCCTGATCCCAAACTTACTGACGTGCATCATTGCCCTGGATGGGCTGGCAGGAAACGCGGTTGTGCTCTGGCTCCTGGGCTTCCATGTGCCCAAGAACACATTCTCTATCTACATGCTCAACCTGGCCAGACGGACTACCTCTTCCTCAGCGGCCACATTATACATTCCCCGATGTAATTCATCAGCACTTTCTCTTCCATCTCCATCTACTTTCCTAGCTTCTTCAATGCTGTGATGATCCTTTCCTACCTTGCAGGGCTGAGCATGCTAAGCACCATCAGCATCAAACACTGCATATCTGCCCTGTGGCCCATCTGGTACCACTGCCGTCGCCCCACACACCTGTCAGCAGTCCTGTGTGCCCTGCTCTGGGCCCCGTCCCTGCTGCTTGCCTTCCTGGAAGGTTACTACTGTGCTTTTCTGTTTAAGATTGGGGACTACAGTTGGTTTCAGACATTTGATTTCATCACAGGCACGTGGCTGATTTTTAAATTTGTGGTTCTCTGTGGGTCCAACCTGGTTCTGCTAGTCAGGATCCTCTGTGGCTCCCAGCAGATGCCACTGAGCGGGCTGTAGATGACCATCTTGCTCACAGTGCTGGTGTTTCTCCTATGCAGCCTGCCCCTTGGCATTCAGTGATTCCTGTTATTCTGGACTGAAAAAACTTTCATGTCTTCCTTTGTCATGTTCTTCCAGTTTCAGTTGTCTGGTCCTCTCTTAAAGCAGTGCCAACCCCATCATTTACTTCTTCTTGGGCTCCTTCAGGCAGCGTCAAAATAGGCAGACCCTCAAGCTGGTTCTCCAGAGGGCTCTGCAGGACATGCCTAGGATAGATCACAGAGAAGGATACTTTGCTCAGGGAAAGCTGGAGCTGTCGGGAAGTGGATTGGGGCAGCAATTTTCATCTGATGCAATGAATCTCTGTCCAAAACCACGCAACTCTTCTTTATCATTGTTTCCTTCCTGATAATATTGAAAAAGATTCCTTATTTATCTCTCAGTCTATGTTCCCCTGAAAATCATGTTCTGTTCTGAGATTGGAGTTGGGGACGTTGCTGCAGGTGGAAAGCTCAATTCTGAATAAGTGAGCTCTCTATCTTTCAATCTCACTGAATTCTCGGGTGTTAGGGAGAATAATGTCCTTGGAGACAGACTCTCTGCCTGCATAAAAATAGTCTAGGAAATTGGTTTATAGAATAAGGAAATTTAAAAAGTCAATTTTGTACAATTGTACAATGTGTTTGTGTTTTAAGCTAAGTGTTATTACATAAGAGAAAAAATTAAAAATTAGAAAGTTCATAAAGTAAAATAGTTACAGTAAACTAAGTTTAATTTATTATTGAGGAAAGAAAAATTTTTAATAAATTTAGTGTGGCCTAAATGTACACTGTTTATAAAGTCTGCAGTAGTGTACAGTAATATCCTAGGCCTTCACATTCACCCACCACTCACTGACTCACCCAGAGTAACTCACTGTCCTGCAAGCTCCATTCGTGGTAAGGGCCCTATACAGGAATATCATTTTTTAATCTTTAGTACCACACTTTTAGTGTACCTGTTCTATGTTTAGATGTATTTAGAACACAAATACTTACATTGTGCTATAACTGCCTACATTATTCAGTACAGTTATTGCTGTGTAGGTTTGTAACTTAGAAGCAATAGGCCATAGAATGTAGCCTATGCATATAACAGGCTATACTATCTAGATTTGTCTAAGGACATTCTATGATGTTCACACAACAATGAGATCGCCTAAGGATGCATTTCTCAGAATGTATCCCTGTTGTTAAGTGAAGCATGCTGTGCCTGATTTATCAAAATACAATGTAAATCAATGAAATACGAGTATGAAAGTAAAAGTGTAGGTTCAGTGAAAACTAATGTGCATGCTAAAAGGAGCAGTAAAGGCTGGATTCAAAATTATTGTTATCGAATTTTAGCTGTGAGCCTGACAACTGTTCTGCACTGAAAAAATTTAACAATATTGAGAAACATCTTCCTGCAGAATTTCTTTCATATGATGCTATGATCTCCATTTTAATAAAGTCAAACTGCAAGTGATAGACAATGCTTGATGGATGTGCTTTCTGCAAGACAGGTAGAGTAGAATTCTATTTGCTGAACACTTCTCAAAGGAAAGTCCTTCATCTCCTTCATTTTTGGTAAGTGAATTCTACTTACAAATAAATTTTTATATTATAAATATATCTTTTTTTACAAATGCCGTTTAATAGACCTTTGCATTTGAACTGTCCACTTTCAGTGCTGAATTTGTCACTAAGTTGGCTTTTCATAGCAATGTCATATGCTCATTCTTCTGTTTATTCTATAAATACATACTGAGAATCATCCATCTTCTAGCCTGCATGCCAGACACTGGGGCATCAGAGAAAACATACCCATCTTCACAGAGCTTACAGTCTGTAAAAGGATGGAGCCTAGTGCAGGGAAGACTGCTGCACACTGTGAAACATGCTATTACAGAGCTGCATCTGTGGGTCTAGGGTGCTCAAAGGAGGAGGCATCTAAAAACTCTCAGTTCTCTTACTCCCATCCTGAAGGGGAATATCACATCCAACTTCCCTCGTACGCATGACAATATGGTTCCAAAAATTAAGGGAGGGTTCACCAGGTGGCTACACATGAGGATGAAATACATCCTCAGCAAAAGGTTTACAATTGATGGAAGGGCAAAACTCATTCTGCCGAATCTTGTAACGTTGCTCAGTCTACAGTCTGATGTATCACCACTGCACAATTTGTGGAAACATTTCTCAAGGAGAGTCCCTACAGGTGTGTAGGCCATAGGCATTACAGAACTACCTGCTTCCACCACCCTGTATTCCAACAGAGGAAGCCCTTGCCGCCGGTAAAGCCCAACTTAACATCAGGAAATCCTGGGATATGTAGGGATGCAGAATGGACAATGCTAGATTGGAAAGAACAGTGGACCTGGAGTCAGGGAACCTGGATTCTCATGTTGACTCCATGCCAACTTGGGTCACATGCCCTATCCAGGCCACTGAAGCAGCTAGTGAGTTTATGAGATTTCTCTAGTCTGAATCTTATGCCAGTTGTGTCCAGGTAAAAGAAACCATTGGTGGGAGCTTACTTTACCATAGACTTGAAGGTAACTATCATTGAGAGTCAGGCAGATGCAGAAGATCACATATCTACATCGTGACTATAATGACATTGAGCATATATTCTTCTCACACATGTGAAAATTACCTAGAACTCAGACAATAGTGTGGTATGTATTGGGCACCAATATTGTCAGTGCACAAATGGTGACTATAAAAATAGATGGAATTTAGCTCCTGTTTTCCAGAAGCTACAGTAGAGTGTGGAAGAAAAGATCCTATTACACATGCTTATCATATTGGCAAAGATGGCTCAAAATCCACTAGGATTAAACACTGAGATTGGAGCAAAGGGTAAAAACCCCATTAATAAGTGTGTCTAGGGTGGTGAATAGACCAGGGAAGGTTTCTTGAAATACTTGGAATTTGAAGTGACAACTCTACAATTCGCCCAGCTTGTACCCTCTGTCTCTTCAACCAGTCACATACATTTTTGAATTAGGCAATGAAAGCTAAATATGATCTGGACAGATGGAAATGGTAGAAAAGGTAATTCCTGGTGGCACTGCAAATAAAAGCATAGAGTTTTTTGGGAATGGCAATCAGAACATAAATGTTTCATTTCTTTTGCCACCACAGGCATTTGGACATGGTTGTGAGAACCCTCTTAAAAGGCTCAAGGATGTTCAATTCCCACCTATGAGTGAGAACATGCAGTGTTTGGTTTTTTTGTCCTTGCAATAGTTCACTGAGAATGGTGGTTTCCAGCTTCATCCATGTCCCTACAAAGGACATGAACTCCTCCTTTTTTATGGCTGCATAGTATTCCATGGTGTATATGTGCCACATTTTCTTAATCTAGTCTATCATTGATGGACATTTGGGGAACATCACACACCGGGGCCTGTCGTGGGGTGGGGGAGGGGGAGGGGTAGCATTAGGTGATATAACTAATGTAAATGACGAGTTAGTGGGTGCAGCACACCAACATGGCACATGTATACATATGTGACAAACCTGCATGTTGTGCACATGTACTCTAGAACTTAAAGTATAATAATAAAATGAAAAAATAAATAAAAGAAAAAAATAATAGGCTCAAGGATGGAGTGCTCTGAACAACGAGTGATGTCTGTTGTGGCCTTGAAGTGGTAGAGGTTGACATCTATTTTGTGAAATTAGTGGACCGTGAACTAAAATACAGTCAAGTCTGGAGAGAGCCAGCCAGGTCACCCCAGCAGGACAAGCCAAAAACCAAAGTCTTGCTCTCCCGACTCTTCCCCCTGGTATATGTTCAACCCTTCAGTGTCAGAAAACACCAAAAAAAGCAAGGGGGGAGTGGGCGGTTCCAAGATAGACGAATAGAAACAGCTCCAGTCTACAGCTCCCAGTGTGAGCGATGCAGAAGACAAATGATTTCTGCATTTCCAACTGAGGTACCGGGTTCATCTCACTGGGGATTGTCGGACAGGGGGTGCAGGACAGTGGGTGTAGCAAACTGAGCATGAGCCGAAGCAGGGAGAGGCATCGCCTCACCCGGGAAGTGAAAGGGGTCAGGGAATTCCCTTTCCTAGCCAAGGAAAGGGGTGACAGACAGCACCTGGAAAATCGGGTCACTCTCACCCTAATACTGCACTTTTCTGACAGTCTTAGCCAACAGCACACCAGGAGATTATATCCCATGCCTGGCTCAGAGGGTCCTATGCCCATGGAGCCTCGCTCATAGCTAGCACAGAGCTCTGAGATCAAACTGCAAGGCGGCAGCAAGGCTGGGGGAGAGGCGCCTGCTGTTGCTGAGGTTTGAGTAGGTAAACAAAGCAGCCTGGAAGCTTGAACTGGGTGGAGCCCATCGCAGCTCAAGGAGACGTGCCTGCCTCTGTAGACTCCACCTCTGGGGGCAGGGCATAGCCAAACAAAAGGCAGCAGAAACCTCTGCAGACTTAAATGTCCCTGTCTGACAGCTTGGAAAACAGCAGTGGGTCTCCCAGCACACAGCTTAAGATCTGAGAATGGACAGACTGCCTCCTCAAGTGGGCCCCTGAGCCCCGAGTAGCCTAACTGAGAGGCACGCCCCAGTAGGGGCAGACTGACACCTCACATGGCTGGGTACTCCTCTGAGACAAAACTTGCAGAGGAACAATCAGGCAGCAACATTTGCTGTTCACCAATATTCACTGTTCTGCAGTCTCTGCTGCTGATACCCAGGCAAACAGGGTCTGGAGTGGACCTCTGGCAAACTCCAAAAGACCTGCAGCTGAGGGTCCTGACTGTTAGAAGGAAAACTAACAAACAGAAAGGACATCCAAAACAAAACCCCATCTGTACGTCACCATCATCAAAGACCAAACGTAGATAAAACCACAAAGATGGGGAAAAAACAGAGCAGAAACACTGAAAATTCTAAAAATCAGAGCACCTCTCCTCCTCCAAAGGAATGCAGCTCCTCACCAGCAATGGAACAAAGCTAGACAGAGAATGATTTTGACGAGCTGAGAGAAGAAGGCTTCAGATGATCAAACTTCTCTGAGCTAAAGGAGGAAGTTCAAACCCATCGCAAAGAAGTTAAAAACCTTGAAATAAGATTAGATGAATGGCTAACTAGAATAACCAATGCAGAGAAGTCCTTAAAGGATCTGATGGAACTGAAAACCAAGGCATGAGAACTACATGATGAATGCACAAGCTTCTGTAGCTGTTTTGATCAACTGGAAGAAAGGGTATCAGTGATGGAAGATGAAATGAATGAAATGAAGCGAGAAGAGAAGTTTAGAGAAAAAAGAATAAAAAGAAAGGGACAAAGCCTCCAAGAAATATGGGACTATGTGAAAAGACCAAATCTACATCTGATTGGTGTACCCGAAAGTGACGGGGAGAATGGAACCAAGTTGGAAAACACTCTGCAGGATATTATCCAGGAGAACTTCCCCAATCTAGTAAGGCAGGCCAACATTCAAATTCAGGAAATACAGATAACGCCACAAAGATACTCCGCGAGAAGAGCAACTCCAAGACACATAATTGTCAGATTGACCAAAGTTGAAATGAAGGAAAAAATGTTAAGGGCAGCCAGAGACAAAGGTCAGGTTACCCGCAAAGGGAAGCCCATCAGACTAACAGCGGATCTCTCGGCAGAAACTCTACAATCCAGAAGAAAGTGGGGGCCAATATTCAACATTCTTAAAGAAAAGAATTTTCAACCCAGAATTTCATATCCAGCCAAACTAAGCTTCATAAGTGAAGGAGAAATAAAATTCTTTACAGACAAGCAAATGATGAGAGATTCTGTCACCACCAGGCCTGCCCTAAAAGAGCTCCTGAAGGAAGCACTAAACATGGAAAGGAAAAACCGGTACCAGCCACTGCAAAAACATGCCAAATTGTAAAGACCATCGAGGCTAGGAAGAAGCCGCATCAACTAATGAGCAAAATAACCAGCTAACATCATAATGACAAGTTCAAATTCACACATAACAATATTAATCTTAAATGTAAATGGGCTAAATGCTCCAATTAAAAGATATAGACTGGCAAATTGGATAAAGAGTCAAGACCCATCAGTGTGCTGTATTCAGGAAACCCATCTCAACGTGCAGAGACACAGTTAGGCTCAAAATAGAGGGATGGGGGAAGATCTACCAAGCAAATGGAAAGCAAAAAGAAAAGCAGGGGTTGCAATTCTAGTCTCTGATAAAACAGACTTTAAACCAACAAAGATCAAAAGAGACAAAGAAGGCCATTACATAATGGTAAAGGGATCAATTCAACAAGAAGAGCTAACTATTCTAAATATATATGCACCCAATACAGGAGCACCCAGATTCATAAATCAAGTCCTTAGACACCTACGAAGAGACTTAGACTCCCATGCAATAATAATGGGACACTTTAACACGCCACTGTCAACATTAGATAGATCAACAAGACAGAAAGTTAACAAGGATATCCAGGAATTGAACTCAGCTCTGCACCAAGTGGACCTAATAGACATCTACAGAACTCTCCACCCCACATCAACAGAATATACATTCTTTTCAGCACCACAACACACCTACTCCAAAATTGACCACATAGTTGGAAGTAAAGGACTCCTCAGCAAATGTAAAAGAACAGAAATTATGACAAACTATCTCTCAGACCACAGTGCGATCAAACTAGAACTCAGGATTAAGAAACTCACTAAAAACCGCTCAACTACATGGAAACTGAACAACCTGCTCCTGAATGACTACTGGGTACATAAGGAAATGAAGGCAGAAATAAAGATGTTCTTTGAAACCAACGAGAACAAAGACACAACATACCAGAATTTCTGGGACACATTCAAAGCATTGTGTAGAGGGAAATTTATAGCACTAAATGCCCACAAGAGAAAGAAAGAAAGATCTAAAATTGACACTCTAACATCACAATTAAAAGAACTAGAGAAGCAAGAGCAAACACATTCAAAAGCTAGCAGAAGGCAAGAAATAACTAAGATCAGAGCAGAACTGAAGGAGATAGAGACACAAAAAACCCTTCAAAAAATCAGTGAATCCAGGAGCTGTTTTTTTGAAAAGATCAACAAAATTGATAGACCACTAGCAAGACTAACAAAGAAGAAAAAAGAGAAGAATCAAATAGATGCAATAAAAAATGACAAAGGGGATATCACCACCAATCCCACAGAAATACAAACTACCATCAGAGAATACTATAAACACCTCTACGCAAATAAACTAGAAAATATAGAAGAAATGGATAAATTCCTCAACATATACACCCTCCCAAGACTGAACCAGGAAGAAGTTGAATCTCTGAATAGACCAGTAACAGGCTCTGAAATTGAGAAAAGAATTAATAGCTTACCAACCAAAACAAGTCCAGGACCAGATGAATTCACAGCTGAATTCTACCAGAGGTACAAGGAGGAGCTGGTACCATTCCTTCTGAAACTATTCCAATCAATAGAAAAAGAAGGAATCCTCCCTAACTCATTTTATGAGGCCAGCATCATCCTGATACCAAAGCCTGGCAGAGATACAACAAAAAAAGAGAATTTTAGACCAATATACCTGATGAACATCGATGCAAAAATCCTCAATAAAATACTGGCAAACCGAATCCAGCAGCATATCAAAAAGCTTATCCACCACAATCAAGTGGGCTTCATCCCTGGGATGCAAGGCTGGTTCAATATACACAAATCAATAAACATAATCCAGCATATAAACAGAACCAAAGACAAAAACCACATGATTATCTCAATAGACGCAGAAAAGGCCTTTGACAAAATTCAACAACCTTCATGCTAAAAACTCTCAATAAATTAGGTATTGATGGGATGTATCTCAAAATAATAAGAGCTATCTATGACAAACTCACAGCCAATATCATACTGAATGGGCAAAAACTGGAAGCTTTCCCTTTGAAAACTGGCACAAGACAGGGATGCCCTCTCTCACCACTCCTATTCAACATAGTGTTGGAAGTTCTGGCTAGGGCAATCAGGCAGGAGAAGGAAATAAAGGGTATTCAATTAGGAAAAGAGGAAGTCAAATTGTCCCTGTTTGCAGATGAAATGATTGTATATCTAGAAAACCCCATCATCTCAGCCCAAAATCTCTTTAAGCTGATAAGCAACTTCAGCAAAGTCTCAGGATACAAAATCAATGTGCAAAAATCACAAGCATTCCTATACACCAATAACAGACAAACAGAGAGCCAAATAATGAGTGAACTCCTATTCACAATTGCTTCAAAGAGAATAAAATATCTAGGAATCCAGCTTACAAGGGATGTGAAGGACCTCTTCAAGGAGAACTACAAACCACTGCTCAATGAAATTAAAGAGGATACAAACAAATGGAAGAACATTCCATGCTCATGGGTAGGAAGAATCAATATCGTGAAAATGGCCATACCGCCCAAGGTAAATTATAGATTCAATGCCATCCCCATCAAACTACCAATGACTTTCTTCACAGAATTGGAAAAAACTACTTTAAAGTTCATGTGGAACCAAAAAAGAGCCCGCATTGCCAAGTCAACCCTAAGCCAAAAGAACAAAGCTGGAGGCATCACGCTACCTGACTTCAAACTATACTACAAGGATACAGTAACCAAAACAGCATGGTACTGGTACCAAAACAGAGATATAGACCAATGGAACAGAACAGAGCCCTCAGAAATAATGCCACATATCTACAACTATCTGATTTTTGACAAACCTGACAAAAACAAGCAATGGGGAAAGGATTCTCTATTTAATAAATGGTGCTGGGAAAACTGGCTAGCCATATGTAGAAAGCTGAAACTGGATCCCTTCCTCACACCTTATACAAAAATTAATTCAAGATGGATTAAAGACTTAAATGTTAGACCTAAAACCATAAAAACCCTAGAAGAAAACCTAGGCTATACCATTCAGGACATAGGCATGGGCAAGGACTTCGTGTCTAAAACACCAAAAGCAATGGCAACAAAAGCCAAAATTGACAAGTGGGATCTAATTAAGCTAAAGAACTTCTGCACAGCAAAAGAAACTACCATCAGAGTGAACAGGCAACTTACAGAATGGGAGAAAATTTTTGCAATCTACTCATCTGACAAAGGGCTAATATCCAGAATCTACAATGAACCCCAACAAATTTACAAGAAAAAAACAACCCCATCAAAAAGTGGGCAAAGGATATGAACAGACACTTCTCAAAAGAAGACATTTATGCAGCCAAAAGACACACGAAAAAATGCTCATCATCACTGGCCATCAGAGAAATGCAAATCAAAACCACAATGAGATACCATCTCACACCAGTTAGAATGGTGATCATTAAAAAGTCAGGAAACAACAGGTGCTGGAGAGGATGTGGAGAAATAGGAACACTTTTACACTGCTGGTAGGACTGTAAACTCGTTCAACCATTGTGAAAGTCAGTGTGACAATTCCTCAGGGATGTAGAACTAGAAATACCATTTGACCCAGCCATCCCATTACTGGGTATATACCCAAAGGATTATAAAACATGCTGCTATAAAGACACATGCACATGTATGTTTATTGTGGCACTATTCACAATAACAAAGACTTGGAACCAAGCCAAATTTCCAACAATGATAGACTGGATTAAGAAAATGTGGCACATATGCACCATAGAATACTATGCAGCCATAAAAAATGATGAGTTCATGTCCTTTGCAGGGACATGGATGAAGCTGGAAACCGTCATTCTCAGCAAACTATAGCTAGGACAAAAAACCAAACACCACGTGTTCTCACTCATAGGTGGGAACTGAACAACGAGAACACATGGACACAGGAAGGGGAACATCACACACCGGGGCCTGTTGTGGGGTGGGGGGAGGGGGGGAGGGATAGCATTAGGAGATATACCTAATGTAAAATGACGAGTTAATGGGTGCAGCACACCAACATGGCACATGTATACATATGTAACAAACCTGCACGTTGTGCACATGTACCCTAAAACTTAAAGTATAATAATAATAATAATAAAAAGAAACTTCAAAAAAAAAAAAGACTCACAGAAACCTACAGTAAAGGAGTGGAAAAAGATAGTCCACTCAAATGGACACTAAAAGTGAGCGGGAGGAGCTATTCTTACATTAGACAGAACAGACTTTAAAGCACAACAGTTAGAAAAGACAAAGAGAGATATTTTATAATGATAAAAGGTCTATTCCAACAGGAAAGTATCACAATCCAAAATATATATGCACCTAACACTGCAACTCCCGTTTATAAAACAGTTCCCACTAGACTTAAGAAATTAATTTGATGGCAACACAATAATAGTGCGGAACCTCAATAGTGCTCCACTGACAGCACTAGACAGGTCATCAAGACAGAAAGTCAACAAAGAAACAATGGATTTAAACTATACCCTAGGTCCGGCACGGTGGCTCACGCCTGTAATCCCAGCACTTTGGGAGGCCAGGGCTGGTGGATTGCCTGAGCTCAGGAGTTCGTGACCAGCCTGGGCAACACGGTGAAACCCCGTCTCTACTAAAATATAAAAAATTAGCCAGGCGTGGTGGCATGTGCCTGTAGTCCCAGCTACTTGGGAGTCTGAGGCAGAAGAATTGCTTGAACCCAGTAGACGGAGGTTGCAGTGAGCCAGGATAGCGCTACTGCACACGAGCCTGGGCAACAGAGTGAGACTCCATCTCAAAAAAATAACAATAATGAATAAACAAAATAAAATACTATACCCTAGAACTAATGGACTTAATGATATTCACAGAACGCTCTACCCAACAACTGCAGAATATACATTCTATTCATCAGCACATGGAACATTCTCCAAGATAGACCATATGTAGGCCACAAAACAGGTCTCAATAAATTTAAGAAAATTGAATTTATATCAAGTACTCTCTCAGAACACAGTGGAATTAAATTGGAAATCAACTCCAAAAGGAACTTTCAAAACCACATAAATACATGGAAATTAAATAACCTGTTCCTGAATTATCATTGGGTCAACAATGAAATCAAGATGAAAATTTAAAAATTCTATGAATTAAATGCTAATAGTGACACAACCTATCAAAACCTCTGGGATACAGCAAAAGTGGTGCTAAGAGTAAAGTTCATAGCATTAAATGCCTACATCAAAATGTCTGAAAGAGCACAAATAGACAATCTAAGGTTACATCTCAAGGAATTAGAGAAGGAAGAACAAACTCAACCCAAACCCAGCAGAAGAAAAGAAATAAAAACAATCAGAGCAGAAGTAAATGAAAAAAAAAAAACAAATGAAACAAAAGAAAAGTGAAACAAAAACCTGGTTCTTTGAAAACATAAACAAAATTGATATACCATTAGCAACTTTAACCAAGAAAAGAACAGAGAAGATCCAAATAAGCTCAATTAGAAATGAAACAGAAGATGTTACAACCAATACCACAGAAATACAAAAGATCCTTCAAAGCTACTGTGATCACCTTTACATGTACAAACAGGAAAACCGAGAGGATATGCATAAATTCCTGGAAATATACAAACCTCCTAGATTAAACTAGGAGGAACAGAAACTCTGAACAGACCAAAAAAAAAAAAAAAAAAAAGCAGAGAGATTGAAATAAAAATTAAAGAGACATTGCCAACAAAAAAGTACAGGATCAGACGTATTCACAGCTGAATTCTATCAAATATTCAAAGAAGAATTGGTACCAATCCTACTGAAACTATTCCAAAATATAGAGAAAGAGAGGATCCTGCCAAAGCATTGTATGAAGCCAGTGTCACCTTAATACCAAAACCGGAAAGGACATAACAAAAAAGGAACTACATACCAGTATCCCTGATGAATATAGATGCCAAAATCCCCAACAAAATACTAGCTAACCCAATCCAACAGCATATCAAGAAGATAATCCACCATTGTCAAGTGGTTTTCATAGCAGGGATGCAGTGTTAGGTTAACATACACAAGTCAATAAATGTGATACATCACATAAACAGAATTAAAAACAAAAATCACATGATCATCTCAATAGAAGCTGTAAAAGCATTTGACAAAATCTAGCACCCTTTATTATTAAAACCTTCAGCAAAATCGACATAGAAAAGACATACCTTAATGTAATAAAAGCCATCTATGACAAACCCACAGCCAACATTATACTGAATGGGGAAAAGTTGAAAACATTCTCCCTGATAACTGAAACAAGACAAGGATGCCCACTTTCACCACTTCTATTCAACATAGTACCACTTCTATTCAACATAGTACTGGAAGCTTTAGCCAGAGCAGTCAGACAAGAGAAAGAAATCAAGACCATCCAAATCGATAAAGAGGAAGTCAAACTGTCCCGTTCACTGATGATACGATTGTATACCTAGAAAACCCTAAAGACTCATCCAGAAAGCTCCTAGAACTGATACATAAATTCAGTAAAGTTTCAGGATACAAACTAAATGTACACAAATCAGTAGCACTGCTATACACCAACAGTGACCAAGCTGAGAATCAAATCAAGAACTCAAACACTTTTACAGTAACTGTAAAAAAAAAAAATACTTAGGAATATACCTACCCAAGGAGGTGGAAGGCCTCTACAAGGAAAACTACAAAACACTGCTGAAATCATAGATGACACAAACAAATGGAAACATATCCCATGCTCATGGATGGGTAGAATCAATATTGTGAAAATGACCATACTGCCAAAAGCAATCTACAAATTCAATGCAATTCCCATCAAAATACCATTGTCATTCTTCACAGAACTAGAAAAAAATTCTAAAATTAATATGGAAACAAAAAACCCCACATAGCCAAAGCAAGACTTAGCAAAAAGAACAAATCTGGAGGCATCACATTACCCATCTTCAAACTATACTACAAAGCTATAGTCACCAAAACAGCATAGCACTGGCATAAAACTAGGCACATAGACCAATGGAAAAGAAGAGAGAATCCAGAAATAAAGCCAAATACTTACAGTCAACTGATTTTTGACAAAGCTAATGAAAACATAAAGTAGAGAAAAGACAGCCTATTTAACAAATGGTTTTGAGATAATTGGCAATCCACATGTAGAAGAATGAAACTGGATCCTCATCTCTCACCTTCTACAAAAATCAACTCAAGATGGATCAAAGACTTAAATCTAAGACCTAAAACCATAAAAATTCTAGAAGATAATATCAGAAAAATCCTTCCAGACATTCACTTAGGCAAAGACTTCATGGCCAAGAACCCAAAAGTAAATGCAACAAAAACAAAAATAAATAGATGGGACTTAATTAAACTAAAAAGCTTTAACACAGCAAAAGCAATCGTCAGCAGAGCAAACAGACAACCCACCGAGTAAGAAAATCTTCACAAACTAAGCACCTGACAAAGGACTAATATCCAGAATACAAGGAACTCAAACAAATCAGCAAGAAGAAAGCAAACAATCCCATCAAAAAGTGGGCTAAAAACATGAATAGACAATTCTCAAAAAAAGAGATAGAAACAGACAACAAACATAGGAAAAAATGCTTAACGTCACTAATGATCAGGGAAATGCAAATCAAAACCATAATGCGATACCACCTTACTCCTGCAAGAATGGCCATAATTTAAAAATCTAAAAATAATAGATGTTGGCGGGGATGTGGTAAAAAAGGAACACTTTTACACTGCTGGTGGGAATGTAAACTAGCACAACCACTATGAAAAACAGTGTGGAAATTTCTTAAAGAAGTAAAAGTGGATCTACCATTTCATCCATCAATCCCATTAAATATATATAAATATATATATATACAACTATGTATATAGTACACGTATACATTTATATACCATGGAATAGTACTCAGCCATAAAAAGGAATAAAATAATGGCATTCACAGCAACCTAGATGGAACTGGACATATTACTCTAACTGAGGTAACTCAGAAATGGAAAACCAAACATCATATATTCTCACTTACAAGTGAGAGCTAAACTGTGAGGATGTAAATGCATAGAATAATATAATGAACTATGGGGACTTCAGGGGAAGGATGGAAGAGGGGTGAGGGATAAAAGACTACACATTGGGTATAGTGTACACTGCTCAGGTGATGGGTGCCCCAAAATCTCAGAAATTACCACTAAAGAACTTATCCATGTAAGCAAACACCACCTGTTCCCCCAAAACCCATTGAAATAAAAATAATAACAACAAATGATTTAATTTCACAGAACTTTTAAAAAGTTTAATGTTCAGAGTTGATAATAATAAAAGAAGTTAGAAAAAAATGTGTAGCAAGTGGTAGCCTCTGGACAATGACATTCTAGATTTTCACTTTGCATACACTTCTCTACCACTTGGAAAGAAAGCATACACATGAATATATCACCACTATGATAAAGAAAACACCGAAACATGGTGTCAGGCCATTTTCAGCCTTGATGATCCTATGATCTACTTATTTCTTTAGTTAAAAAGCCTCATAACGAAAGTTCACATTACTTAATCTGATATCTAGGCCCATAATTGATTTTCAAAATCAGGACAGCAATTACTTACAGGAAGCTGAACAAGATGGGACATGATGGGAGAGGCTGATATGTATTGGATATGGGACAGAGGCCAAGAATCATCTCAGTTAGGATTTGTGCCTCAAATACCTCTGGCCTCTGATTTGTCCATAGTCCTCATACAGGAAATAACAAGACTGTCCAGCATCTTCATAAGCCTGGATTGCTAACCAGCTTTCATTTCAGCTCCTGTAGGCATCTCCTGAATTAAGCAACACAGAAAAGTCCTCTGAAGACACTGAATCCCAGAAAGGCTCTCTACCTTTAGCACAAGGGAGGTCTTCACCACAGGACAAAAGAAGGAAAGATAAGGGTAAGTACCAAGAACTGTCTTCTTCCATGGTCAGTTATGGTTTTTGCTATCAGATCATGTCCTGTGCTTCCACCTTGGTGCTACATGCAGGGGGTCATGAGCTTGTTTCAGGAAAAGACAGGAGACACGAAGCTTCGTTTTGGAAACTGAGTGCTGCCAGCCCAAACTGTGTGAGTTCCAAATGGGGTCCCCCTTCTGATTTATCTCCCCGTATCATCTCCTTCATTCCAATCATTCAATCTGCTCTCCTGGAGAGAATGCTGCCTCTTACATTCATTTAAGGAGCCAGAAGACATGAAGACATTTCTTCCCAGAGTTGAACTGCTGTAGGGCCGGTTTTATTGTTTCACTTACTTTTTAAATTTATTCTTCTTTGCCTATCTGGAAAGGACCAAGGAAGTTATAGATAGTCCAAACTGAAATAATTAAGGAGTGTTTCGTGAGGAAAGTATTTACAAAGATGCGCAGGGTTAAGGGAAAGAGATGAGGCATGGCAAAGCACCTCAAGCAGCAATACATAGGGGAGCACTACTTCCTCCCCTAGGCTGAAAGGCACAGGGAAGGAGCAGTTACCATTGTCGCCATAGCCATAGTTGTAGCCATAGGGGTGGGAGAGCACGAGCAGGCAGGTGGAGAAGCCCTGCACAGCCAACACACAACCACACAGGCCGATATGGTTTGGATCTGTGTCCCTACCCAAATCTCATGTTGATTGTAATTCCCATTGTTGGAGGGAGGGCCTGGTGGGATGATTATTAGATCATGGGGATGATTTTGCATGAATGTTTCAACACCATCCCCTTTTGGTATTATTGTTTTGATACTGATAAGTTCTCATGAAATCTAATTGTTTAAAAGTGTGTAGCACCTCCTCCCTCTCTCTCTTGCTCCTGCTCTCACCATGTGAGATGCCTTGCTCCCCCTTTGCCTTTCATCAGGATTGGAAGCTTTCTGAAGCCTCCCCTAAAGCAGAAGCTGCTATGCTTCCTGCATAGCCTGTAGAGCCATGAGCCAATTAAACCTGTTTTCCTCATAAATTTCCCAGTCTCAGGTATTTCTTTTTATCAATGCAAGAAGGAACTAATATGCAGGCAGAGAGCCAGGAGATGGAAATCCCAAGTCACTCTCCTGCTGTCTTCCAGTCTCCTGCCAGTATGTCCCAGTGTCTCAATTTCATTAGAAACCAGAAATAAAAAGAATCCTACTAATGTGGTACATGGAAGCCACTCACTTGGGATGTCAAACAGGATAGAGAAGAACGGAAAGCAAATCCTCATGCCAAATGAGACTATTCCTCTTACCTTCTTATATCCTCCTACTTCCTGAGGCTTGCTCTGCCTGAAGGTGATTGATTCCTGTCTCATTTCAGCTCCATGAGACTACTTTAATGTTTGGCATGTCTTTCTCTACTGTCACTTTTATGCAGAAATGTTTGCATTTGTCAAAAATGCATAGAAAATAAAATGTAATTTAAAAAGAGAACATATTTATTTGTTTAGAATCTAAGTTTGGCTGCTCTAAAAAAGACATGAAGTAGAAATATCTTAAACAAAAAAGTATAATTGTGTCTCTGGGTCACTAGATTCTGAATCTGCAAATTCAACAAACCACAGGTGGAAACTATTCCAAAAATAAGGGTATGGTGGAGTTGTGTATGTACTGAACAGGTACAAACTTGTTTTTCCTCGTCATTATTTCTGAAAAACTACAATATAACAAGAATTTACATAGCATTTGCATTTCGTCAGTTATTCTAAATAACTAAAAATGATTTAACATATCTGGGAGAAAGTGCATAGGTATATACAAATACCACATAGAAGGAAATAGAGCATCTGCAGATTTTGGTGTGTGCTAAAGTTCTGGAAAAAATCCCCTGTGAATACCCAGAAATGACTATCTTTGAAATCTGAAGTAGAAGCTCCAAGGCGTCACACATCAGAATTCCAAAAATTGGGGCTCCCAGTCCCTAGAGAGTTGCCCTCATCTTTGTGATCTTGCATGGTTTCCAGCTACATCAGCATTCCAGCCTTATGGAAAAGGACGAGGGGAAGGAGAGGCTTTACTCCTTCTATTGATCCTGTGAGCAAGGAATTGCTTACATCACTTTGTGATTCTTCCACTTAACAGCACCTGGTCATACAATGTCATCCAGCATCAAGGAAAACTGGGATGTGGGTCTTTGTGCTGCTTTTATACTCTCAGAATTGTTATGTGACCGAAGAGGAAAATGAATATTGGGGCAATCTAGCAGTCTCTTCAGCCCTGATTGTCTCTGACTCTGTGCTCACATCAAGATTTTTCAGGAACTCCTCAGAAATAATGAATGATGGGGCAGAGAACAGAACTGGAGCCTCATGCAGGGTTCCAGGGACCAGGGGCTGGTATTAGACTTGCTCTTCGTGTTGTGAACTCAGGAAAACCCTTTAATTCTCTATGCCTTGGCTTCATCTTATGTTATATGAGGATAATACCATAGATGGTCTTTAAGGAACACAGGCTAAATGTTGGTGATACTACAGGGAAAATGACAGGTATGACTTAGTCCTTATGGAGCTTTGGTTTTCATGAGGAAGACAAACATATCATACCATAAATATAGATAGAGAAACTCTTTAGTGCCCTGAGTGTGGATAACAGAGGCTCTCCTTTTCCTCCCATTTCCTTTCTGGGCCAATCAGGGCTGTGGCACCTTGCCCCTCTAAGAGAGCTCATGATGGATGCATTCACTCCTGATGCTTCTCTGTACTCCCAGCAAAGGGTGCATCTTCTGTCCACCAGGAGGCCTCCTGCCCCTGTGCATCCTCAGGATTCCAGAGCAAATGTGACCTCTGATAGGCAAAAAGGAACTCCTGAATTTATTCCTAAATGGCATTCACTCACCTCTATTTTGTTCCCTCTTTGATTTGCCTCTCCTTCTCTATGTGGAGTTTGCTTAGGTCAGTTTTTTTTTCAATCCACAATTTTGGCTGCCAACTTGGATTTAACTTGAGAATCACTCCTCTGCTTTACTCCCTGTAACATATATAATCGACACAGGGTGGTGCTGGGTATAAAGGGCTGCTCCAAGACTGGATTGTGAGTCAGACCTGCCGGACTCAAATTCATACTATGTAATACATAACCCCTGGGACAAATAATTCCCTTTCGTTGTGCTCCAATTGCATTATCTGCCATATGGGAATAATACCAATTCTTACCTCCTAGGCTCTTCGGGTGATTAAAAGAGACAATACCTTACAAACTCTCAATCAGCTGCTGTTATTCTCCCAGATTAGACCTAATCCTCATTCTCCAGTTGAAATCTGCATGAATCTCTCTCTTTACACTCCAAGCCCTACACATCGCCTATTTCCCCTCATGGACGCCTCTCATACAAATGTTTGCATCAACAAAGAAATGCTACCAAAGATCTCCTGAAAGAGAGAACCAAAAAGTTTACATTGTGTATACCCAGCAGAACACTTAGTAGTCCCCCATAGATATTTCCACACTTCAATTACCTCCGTCAGTTACACTCAGACCTCATCTTCACTTACTCTTTCCTCTGTTCTATTGCTGAGTAATTCAGCTCAGACCCACACCCTACCCAAACACTGTGTACAAAAATGCTTCTAGGTGTTCAGCAAAGCCACACTGAGTCTTCATTTCAAAGGCACATCAGTGGTCAATTTCAAGTTTTGGGCACACATCAAGAATTCTTCTCAACACAGATACAGCTTTCCACAAATAGAATTCTGATGAATTAAATTTTCTTCATCCAGTTATACGTGTGTGTTCTAATACCTTACATTGTGCTTTCATCTTTATTTTCCATTTCATCCAAATCTACCAGTACCATTAGTCTCATGCATGCATTCATTCATTGAATGAATGTATATGAAAAGCACAGTGTGCTGCTCATGGAAATAGGCACTGGGAGTATAAAATGTAAAATGTAGTCCTGTCTGCAATGACTGACACACTGAGTTATTTCTCACCCACCAGGCCCAGCCATTTTCACACTTATCCTAGCAAAGGTCACATTTTCCTCTAGTTCATAATGCATGGTCTTCCTTCCTGTCCATGGATGACCAGTCCTAGTCACGAGTGTGTCACAACCACCTCTTTGTGTATCTGAATTCCTCCACCTGAAAGAAAATTTCAGACCCAGGATAGATTAATCATCGGGTCCAAAGCCCTGGCCGGATGAGTGGGGGTGTTTTGATCCTAATGTTATTCCCATGTCAGCACAGAACTTGTGTGGCAGTAGAGAGATGTCAGGCTTCAGAGTCAACAAGAACTGGATTTCAAACTGGATTTGAGGACCCCCACCTTTGGTAAGTGACTTATTATCTGCGAGCCTCTGTTTCTCTCTTCTTTAAATGAGGACAGTAAATCCCATACGGCAGGGTGGTGGGGAGAATCAGAGATGATACAGCTGGTGATCACATCTGGTTTGTGTTCCCAGGGGCACCAGACTAGGGTTTCTGAGCAT
This sequence comes from Homo sapiens, assembly GCF_000001405.40. Classification (NCBI taxonomy): domain Eukaryota; kingdom Metazoa; phylum Chordata; class Mammalia; order Primates; family Hominidae; genus Homo; species Homo sapiens. Next base: position 18,173,259 of record NC_000011.10, read on the forward strand.
GGATCCAACCGTCCCAGTCTTCGGTACAAAACTGACACCAATCAACGGACGTGAGGAGACTCCTTGCTACAATCAGACCCTGAGCTTCACGGTGCTGACGTGCATCATTTCCCTTGTCGGACTGACAGGAAACGCGGTTGTGCTCTGGCTCCTGGGCTACCGCATGCGCAGGAACGCTGTCTCCATCTACATCCTCAACCTGGCCGCAGCAGACTTCCTCTTCCTCAGCTTCCAGATTATACGTTTGCCATTACGCCTCATCAATATCAGCCATCTCATCCGCAAAATCCTCGTTTCTGTGATGACCTTTCCCTACTTTACAGGCCTGAGTATGCTGAGCGCCATCAGCACCGAGCGCTGCCTGTCTGTTCTGTGGCCCATCTGGTACCGCTGCCGCCGCCCCACACACCTGTCAGCGGTCGTGTGTGTCCTGCTCTGGGGCCTGTCCCTGCTGTTTAGTATGCTGGAGTGGAGGTTCTGTGACTTCCTGTTTAGTGGTGCTGATTCTAGTTGGTGTGAAACGTCAGATTTCATCCCAGTCGCGTGGCTGATTTTTTTATGTGTGGTTCTCTGTGTTTCCAGCCTGGTCCTGCTGGTCAGGATCCTCTGTGGATCCCGGAAGATGCCGCTGACCAGGCTGTACGTGACCATCCTGCTCACAGTGCTGGTCTTCCTCCTCTGCGGCCTGCCCTTCGGCATTCTGGGGGCCCTAATTTACAGGATGCACCTGAATTTGGAAGTCTTATATTGTCATGTTTATCTGGTTTGCATGTCCCTGTCCTCTCTAAACAGTAGTGCCAACCCCATCATTTACTTCTTCGTGGGCTCCTTTAGGCAGCGTCAAAATAGGCAGAACCTGAAGCTGGTTCTCCAGAGGGCTCTGCAGGACAAGCCTGAGGTGGATAAAGGTGAAGGGCAGCTTCCTGAGGAAAGCCTGGAGCTGTCGGGAAGCAGATTGGGGCCATGAGGGAGAGCCTCTGCCCTGTCAGTCAGACGGGACTTTGAGAGCAACACTGTCCTGCCACCCTTGACAATTACATGCGTTTTTCTTAGCGTTTCGCCTCAGAAATGTCTCAGTGGTAACTCAAGGTCTTCAAATAAATGTTTATCTAACCTGACAGTTGCAGTTTTCACCCATGGAAAGCATTAGTCTGACAGTACAATGTTTGGATTCTCCTTGATATTACCAATACATTTTCCCTGTTATCTTGCACTGAATCTTTCCTACTGAACACTTTTTCTGCACTTTTCATTGTAATAAAAGGAGTTCCTGTCCACAACCCTAAAACTCTTCTTTATACTTGTTTCCTACCTGATAGTATCAAAAAGGAAGATTCCTTATTAATCTGTCAGACTATGTTCCCCTGAAAATCATGTTCCCTTCTATGACTGGAGGCATTACTGCAGTTGGAAGCTCAATTCTTAATAAGTGAGTTCTGCTACCTCTAAATTCCATTGAATTCTCAGATATAAAGCAAAATAATGTCCTTAGAGAGAGATTCTCCCTTCATAAAAACAGTCTTAGAAATTGGTTTTATGAATAGCCCTCTCCTGTCATTTGTCCACACATGGTCACACGTTGGCTTTGGTTTCTAGTAAAGACAATCGTGGCCCCTTCCCCTTGAGAACTGGTAAGTGCTTATTTAGCTCTTCCTGGACTAACGGACCAGTGAGGAGCCTATAAATACACCCCACCAGTTCCATTTTGGCCATTGGAAATTAAAATTGGTTTCAAACTGGAAATTATCTTGAAAACCATTTATTATTCATTTACAGAGTCTTTAAGTTGTAGGAGAATTCTTCATACTTTCAGGTTTTGTACAAATTGTTCTGGCTGTAACTTTCAGTTAATTTTATGGCTGTTAACATAAGAAGCAAAACTGAAAACATCTGACTTTTCCATGCTAATGTCAATTATAGTATCCGGATAATAACTTACAGTTGGTACAAAATTCTGATACATGCTGTGACTTAGATGAACACGGAAACATTGTGCTAAGGAAAATATGCCAGATACCAAAGAACAATATTGTATGGTCAAATTCTACGAGGTATCCAAACTAGGAAATTCGTGAACACAGAAAATAAATTAGAAGGATCCTGGTGCTGGATGATGGAGAGAATGTGTAGCCATTATTTAATGAGCACAGACTTTCTGTGTGGAATAATGCAAAGTTCTTAAAAGGGACAGTGGTAACGGTTACGACTTATTGTGAATGCACTTAATGACATTGAATTGTACAAATAAAATGGTGAAAGTTGTAAAATGTATGTTATGTGCATTTTACCACAATTAAAAACATTTAATTATAAAAACAGGATCAGTACAAAATTCAGGACTATTCTCCACCAGTGGTTATCCCTTCAACAGATAGCTCAAGCAGACAGAAGAGACCACCAAGAGAAGATGTGACATCACAGCAGGGTCTGTGCTGATCATAGACAGTGAGGCTGCCCCTCAGATTAACCCTCACTGAGGGGAGCTGACACATGCATTTTGAGTATACAGGAGACAGTACAAAGTAGCTATGAAAGCAATAAAGAGGTCTATAACAATAAACAGGTGTATAGTTTTCAATTTGTCCAACCAAATTTATTCGTGGCTCGTATCACATTGTTCACAATGTTGAACTCAGGTCCCCTGAGTGCAGATCCATTGCTCTTCCAGGCTCAGCACTCGCTGATGCTGAATCCTATCTGTCCACCCTCGATTTCCAAATGCCATAGTAGGACATAGCTGTAGGTAAGGGTTTCCTACAGGTTGGAGGAAGCAGGAAGGCAGTGTTTGCAGCCAATGCTCCACAAAAGGAGCTTTGATGTGATGTCTTTAGTTCAGACTGAGGGTTATTGAGAGAGCCCATTCTGGGAGTCTGTGATATCAATTGAACAGTTCTGGTCAAAGATGTTGTTTATCATGAGGAATTCTGTAGAGAATTTTCACCTGGCAATTGAATCAAATAATGTTGGTTCTCACCTGGGACACTGCTTATTTTGACGTTAGTGACTCTTTTTTTCTGACAGAAGAAAATTTCAATTTTATGAAAGCTTAGATTCTGTCCCTGAAGCCCATTCTGAACTCACTTGGCCTCAGACATTGCTCCACTACAGCAGTTATAACAGTGTATTTCAATTGTTTGTCCTCACATCTTTCTCTTCAACTGCACTCTGAGGTCTTTAAGAGCAGAGAACATGTCTTGGAATTTCTAGTGCAACAGACTAGGTGTGGAATTTAGGAGAGTATCAGTAACTATTTTTCTCAAGCAGCTTCCACCTGAAAATCACAGGTTTGTCCAGCATCTTGAAAAGGCTGGCTCAGTCACCAGATCTCACTGGAACTCCTACAGGCATCTCCCACTCAACAGAGTGTCCTCTGCAGTTGGTTTTTCTGAGAAGAACTGTTGCCCTTCATTGCAGGTCTGCTCACTGCCTCTGGGAAGAAGAATGGAGGAGATGTGGGAGTCTGCTCGTGAGCTGCTTTCTTTCCCAGGCCAATGATATCATTTCCTCTCGGTTCTATGTCGAGGAAGAGCATGCAAGACATCCAGGAGTGTTCTCCAGAAAGTGAGAAATGATATAAAAGTCTCTAATGGCACTTTTTGGGAGCTGCCATTCATGACTATTTTGTAGGCATGAATTCAACAAACATTCGAACCTAATTCATCAAGCACTGTGCTAATTCTACATAAAAGCAAACACCTTTCAAATAAGTCTCTCACTAATACATTCCATCTCTATAACCAATCCTTTCCACTTCATGAAGAAAATAAATTGATTGATGCTGAGCAAATGCTGAGCCTTTGTGGCCATTCACTGATGCTCTAGTATACCTGGGCTCAAGGGCACTGAGTCATCAGCCTCACAAGAATCAATTGGATCTGTTTCCTGTCCTGCTTCTGCCAATTAGGCTTGTCAATATAATTACCTAATTTATCAAAATACACCACAAATCAATGAAATACGAGTATGAAAGAAGAATTGTGGTTTCCATACAAACTAATGTGAATGCTTAAAGGGACAATACATGTAGGTTCCAAAATTGTTGTTAGTTTAATAGGTGTGAGCCTGCCAACTCTATCAGATTAAACAAAAATGAACAATATTGAACAATATCCTCAGAGAGAATGCTATGTATCTGATGCTAAGATCTACACTTAAACTAATCCACACTGCAAATCATAGACAATGATTGATAGATATGCTTTCAGCAAGATAGAGTAGAATTCTATTTGCTGAACCCTACACAAAGGAGTGTTCTGTAGTCTAGTTCTATTATAGTGAATGAATTCTAGGTAAAAATGAAATATTCATGTTACAAACATATCCTTTTTTATGAATACTGATTAACAGACATTTTCAGTTAACCTATCCACTTGCATTCCTGAATATATCATTAAGTGGGCTTTTCATAACAGTATCTCTCACTTATTCTACTGTTTATTGTATAAATACATACTGAGCATCTTCTATTCTCTAACTTGCATGCCAGACACTTAGGAGTCAAAGTAAACACACCTACATTCACAGAGCTCACAGCCTGTGAAGGAAGGACACTAGTGCAGGAAAGACTGCCTCCCAATGTGACGTATACTATCCAAGAGTTGTACTTGTGGCTCAAGGGTGCTCAGAGGAGAGGGTATCTAAAAATTCCAAGTTATCTTGCTGCCATCCTGAAGAGGAATGCCACCCCCAAGCACTCAGCTGAAGCAGGACAATAGGATTTTAATAAATTAGAGAATGTTCACCAGGTGGCTGCTCATGCAGGACAATCTCAGCAACGGTTTTATAATTGATGACATCAAAAGATTAATAGGCTGAATCTTACAACAGCCCTCAGTCAATAGTCCAACATCACACCAATGCACAATTCCTGAAAAGATTGTTAAGAGACCCTGCAGGTGCTTAGGTCACAGGCATTGCAGAACTATCTACCACAATTACCCTGTGTTCCAGCAGTACAAGCCCTTGCCTCCAGGCAAAACCAAATCAGCATCTAGAAATCCCAGGATAGGTAGGGAAGCAGAACGTGCAAGTGCTAGATGCGAAGAACACCTGACCTATTTCAGGGATTTGGGATTCTCAAGCTGACTGCATGGCCAACGTGGGTCACATGCTCATTCCAGGCAATCCAAACAGATAGTGAGGTTACGGGATTGTCCCAGTCTGAAACTGTGCCACTTGTGCATTTGTGCTCAGGTATCTCTTTTCAGAATATGTATGTAAAGTGGGACTTTACCATAACCATGGACTGAAGATAACTACTGTTGTGATCCTGGCAGCGTGAGAAATTCACGTATCTACAGAGTGACTATAATCACAGTAAGCATATGTTCTTCTCACCTATGTGGCAGTGACCTAGAATCTGAAGAGACTGCTGTGATGCTTGTTCTGTATGACTGTGTGGTATCAGTTGGGCACCATTATCGTCAATGTACCAATACTGACTATAGATATAGATGGCATTTGTTTCCTGTTATCTAACAACAACAGTAGAGTATAGAAGAAGAAATCTCAATGCTCATGCCCATCATATTGGTCCAATTGTTTCGAAACTTTGCAGGATGCAAACACAAGGAAGGAGAGCAGAGACAGAGCAGATCTCATTCCTGAGTGTGTATGTAGAAGTGAGTGGATCATGGAAGGCTTCGTGTAATAGGTAGAATTTTAACTGATGACTACAATTTACCCAGCATTATTATTATAATAATACCATCCTTAAATTCTGCCAATCACCTCAATTTTTGTATTGGGGAAGCAGAGATAAATAGGATCTGGACAGATGGAAATGAGAGAAGAGATAATTTACAGTGGCACTGTTAATAAAAGCATAGAGTTTTTTAGGGAATGGTGAATAATTCATTGATGAGTTTTATTCCTTGTGTCACCCCATGTATTTGGTCATGGTGGCAAGATCCCTGTTAAATAGAAGGAAAGATATGGTATTTTTCAGACAAACAAATACTGAGAGAATTTGCCACTACCAAGACAGCACTACAAGAACTGCTAAAAGGAGCTCTAAATCAGGAAATAAAACATCAAAATACAACCTCCTTAAAGCCTAAATCTTACAGGGCCTATAAAACAATAACACAATGAAAAAAAAATGTATTAACACAACAACTAGCATGATGAATAGAATAGTATCACACATCTCAATACTAATGTTGAATGTAAATGGCCTAAATGTTCCACATAAAGGATACAGAATGTCAGAATGGATAAGAATTCAGCAAACAAGTATCTGCTGTCTTCGAGAGATTCACCTAACACATAAGGACTCACATAAACTTAAGGTAAAGGGTTGGTAAAAGATATACCATGCAAATATATACCAAAAGTGAACAGGAGTAACTATTCTTATATCAGACAAAAGAAAGTACTTTAAAGCAACAACAATTAAAAAAAACAAAGGGAGACATTATATAATGATAAAAGGATGAGTCCAACAGGAAAATATCATAATCCTATCATAATCCTATATATATATATATATCTAACACTGTCACTCCTAAATTTATAAAACAAGTACTAATAGACCTAAGAAATGAGATAGATGGCAACACAATAATAATAGTAGACTTCAATACCCCACTGACAGCACTGGACAAGTCATCAAGACAGAAAGTCAACAAAGAAACAATGCACTTAAACTATACCCTACAACAAAAGGACTTAACAGATATTTATAGAACATTCCATCCAACAACCACAGAATATACATTCTATTCAACAGCACGTGGAACTTTCTCCAAGATAGACCATATTATAGGCCATGAAACAAGTCTCAACAAATTTAAGAAAATTGAAATTATATCAAGTATCCTTTCAGAACACAGTGAAATAAAATTGGAAATCAACTCCAAAAGGAATCCTCAAAACGATGAAAATATATGGAAATTAAATAGTCTACTCCTGAATGATATTTTGGTCAACAACGAAATCAAGAAGGAAATTTAAAAATTCTTTGAACTGAGTGATAATAGTGACATAACCTATCAAAACCTCTGGGATAAAGCAAAGTGGTGCTAAGAGGAAAGTTCACAGCATTAAATGCCTACATCAAAAAGTCTGAAAGAGCACAAATAGACAACCTAAGGTCACACCTCAAGGAACTAGAGAAACAAGAATAAACCAAAGCCAAACCATGCAGAAGAAAAAAAAAAAAGAAACATTACAGCAGAACTAAATGAAATTGAAACAAACACCAACAACAACAACAAAAAAAAAAAAACAAAGATAAATGTAACAAAAACCTGGTTCTTTGAAAACATAAACAAAATTGGTAGACCATTAGTGAGATTAACCAAGAAAAGAAGAGAGAAGATCCAAATAAGCTCAATTAGAAATGAAACAAGAGATATTACAACCAATACCACAGAAATTCAAAAGATCATTCAAGACTACTATGAACACCTTTACACACACAAATTAGAAAACCTAGAGGAGATGGACAAATTCCTGGAGATTAAAATAGGAAGAAATAGAAACTCTGAACAGACTAGTAACAGGCAGCAAGATTGAAATGGTGATTTGAAAATTGCCAACAAAAAAAGTCTAGGACCAAACAGATTTACAGCTGAATTCTATCAGACATTCAAAGAAGAATTGGTGCCAATCCTATTGACACTATTCCAAAAGATAGAGAAAGAGGGAATCCTCCCTAAATCATTCTATGAAGCCAGTATCACCCAAATACCAAAACCAGGAAAGAACATAGCAAAAAAAAAAAACTACAGACCAATATTCTTGGTGAATACAGATGCAGAAATCCTCAACAAAATACTAGCTAACCAAATCCAACAGCATATTGAAAAGATAATTCAGCATGATCAAATGGGTTTCATACCAGGGATACAGGGATAGGTTAACATACACAGGTAAATAAATGTGATAAAACATATAAAAAGAATTAAAAACAAAAATCATATGATCATCTCAATAGACACAGAAAAGCATTTGACAAAATCTAGCATCTCTTTATGATAAAAAGCCTCAGCAAACTCGGCATAGAAGGGACATACCTTAACGTAATAAAAACTATCTATGACAAACCACACAGCCAACATTATACTCAATGGGGAAAAGTTGAAAGCATTCCACCTGAGAACTGAAACAAGATAAGGATGCCCATTTACACCACTTCTATTCAACATAGTACTGGAAGTCCTAGCAAGAGCAATTAGACAAGAGAAAGAAATAAAAGGCATTCAAATCAGTAAAGAGGAAGACAAACTGCCGTCGTTCACCAATGATATGATTGTATACCTAGAAAACCCTGAAGACTCAACCAAAAAGCTTCTAGATCTGATAAATGAATTCAGTAAAGTTTCAGGATACAAAGTCAATGAACACAAATCAGTAGCACTGCTATACACCAAAAGTGACCAAGCTGAGAATCAAATCAAGAACCCAACCCCTTTTACAATAGCTGCAAAAAAATAAATAAATAAATAAAATACTTAGGAACATATCTAACCAAGGATGTGAAAAACCTCTATAAAGAGAACTACAAAACACTGCTGAAAGAAATTTTAGATGACACAAACAAATGGAAACACATCCCATGATCATGGATGGGTAGAATCAATATTGTGAAAATGACCACACTTCCAAGAGCAATCTACAAATTCAATGTAATTCCCATCAAGATACCATCATCATTCTTCACAGAACTGGAAAAAACAATCCTAAAATTCATATGGAACCAAAAAAGAACCTGTATAACCAAAGCAAGACTAAGCAAAAAGAACAAATCTGGAGGCATCACATTACCCAACTTCAAACTATGAGGCTATAGTCACCAAAACCCATGGTACTGGTATAAAGATAGGCGTATAGACCAATGGAACAGAACAGAGAACCCAGAAATAAACCCAAATACTTACAGCCAACTGATCTTCAACAAAGCAAACAAAAACATAAAGAGGGGAAAGGACATACTTTTCAACAAATGATGCTGGGATAATTAGCAAACCATATGTAGAAGAATGAAACTGGATCCTCATCTCTCACCTCATACAAAAATCAACTCAAGATGGATCAAAGACTTAAATCTAAGACCTGAAACCATAAAAATTCTAGAAGATAACATCGGAGAAACCCTTCTAGACATTGGCTTAGGCAAAGACTTCATGACCAAGAACCCAAAAGTAAATGTAAAAAAAAAACAAAGATAAATCAATGGGACTTAATTAAACTAAAAAGTTCTGCACAGCAAAATAATAATAATAATAATAATCACCAGAGTAAACAGACAACTCATGGAATGGAAGAAAATCTTCACAAACTGTGCATCCGACAAAGGACTAATATCCAGAATCTACAAGGAAATCTAACAAATCATCAAGAATAAAACAAATTATCCGTTTGAAAAGTGGGCTGAGGACATGAATAGACAATTCTTAAAAGAAGATATACCAATGGCCAATAAACATATGAAAAAATGCTCAACATCACTAATTATCAGGGAAATGCAGATCAGAACCACAAAACAATACCACCTTACTCCTGCAAGAATGGCCATAATTAAAAAATCAAAAAATAATAGATGTTGGCATGGATGTGGTGAAAAGGGAACACTTTTACACTGCTGGTGGGGATGTAAACTAGTAAAACCACTATGGAAAACAGTGTGGAGATTCCTTAAAGAACTAAAAGTAGATCTGCCTTTTGTTCCAGCAATTCCACTACTGGATATCTACCCAGAGGAAAGGAAATCATTTATGAAAAAGACACTCACACATGCATGTTTATAGCAGCACAATTTGCAATTGTAAAAATATAGAACCAGCCCAAATGCCCATGAATTAATAGGTGGATAAAGAAAATGTCATATATATATGCATATGTATATATATATGCATATGCATATGCATATACACACACACACACACACACACACACACACACACACCATGGATTACTACTCAGCCATAAAAAGGAACAAAATAATGGCATTCACAGCAATCTGGATGGAGTTGGAGACCATTACTCTAAGTGAAGTAACTCAGGAATGGAAAACCAAACATTGGATGTTCTTACTTGTAAGTAGGAGCTAAGCTATCAGGACACAAGGGCATAAGAATGATACAATGGACTTTGGGGACTGGAGGAAAAAGAGTGGGAGGTAGGTGAGGGATAAAAGACTACACACTGGGTACAGTATACACTGTTCTGGTGATGGGTACATCAAAATCTCAGAAATCACCACTAAACTACTTATCCATGTAACCAAACACCACCTGTTCTCCAAAAACTTATCGAAGTAAAAAAATAAAATGTATAATCTCAGCTATTTTCAAATGTGTACTACATTATTATTTACTATATTTACCACACTATGTAATATATCTCAAAGAAAAAAATTATTCCTCCTATTTAATTAAGGTTTTATACTCTTTGACCGTCAATCATTTCTCCATGGGTGTTGAAATTTGTCAAATCCTTTTTCTCTGTTTATTGAGATATTCACATAATTTTTCTCCTTTAATCTGTTAATGTGGCAAATTTCACTGATTGATTTACAAATGTTAAACAAACATTGCACTACTGAGATAAACCCCACTAGCCATTCTGTATTATCCTTTTGATATATTTCAGGATTCTACCTGCTACTACTGTGTTAAGAATTTTTGCATCTATATTCATAAAGAATTTTGGTCTGTAGTTTCCTTATTGGTAATATCTTTTCCAGATTTCACTATTAAAGATATACATGGTCTCATAAAATAAGTTGGAGAATATTCTTTCCTTCTGAAATTTATGATAAAATATTTGTATAAATTTGATATGATTTTTCCCTTTAAATATCAACAGAATTTATCCAAGCCTTCTGGATCTAAATTTTTGCATGTGCATGTGTGGAAAGTTTTAATTAAAAATGTAGTATCTTGGCCAGGTGCAGTGGCTCATGCCTGTAATCCCAGAACTTTGGGAGGCCAAGGCGGGCGGATCACCTGAGGTCAGGAGTTCAAGACCAGCCTGGCCAACATGATGAAACCCCATCTCCACTAAAAATACAAAAATTAGCCAGGTTTGGTGGTGTGCGCCTGTAATCCCAGCTACTCAGGAGGCTGAGGCAAGAGAATCATTTGAACCCGGGAGGCAGAGGTTGCAGCACTCCAGCCTGGGTGACAGAGTGAGACTTCATTAAAAAAAACAACAACTATATATATATATATCTTTCACAGACATACAGCTATTCACATTTTCTATTGCTTCTCATGTCAGTTTTGGTGAGTTATGTCTTTCAAGAAAAGTGTCCCTTTCATCTAAGCTTTGAATTTATTGACATAAGTTTGTTCGTGATAGTTCTCTATTATCCTTTTAATGTCTTTAGAGACTATAGCAATATTCCCACTCTCATTCTTGATAATGATGTTATTTTCTCTTTGTTTATTGTTCAGTATTGCTAAAAATTTATGAATATCATTAATCTTTTCATGGTACTATCACAGCTTTGATTTTATCTCTATTGCTTGTTTTCTGTTTCACTGATTTCTGCTCTTTATTGTTTCTTTTTATTTTGGTCTTAATTTGTTCATGTTTTTTATACTTCTGAAGCTTGAAGGTTAGATCTTGATTTTTTTAATTATTAAGTGTTTGATAGAATTCACCAGTGTGGCCATGTGTGCCTGGAGCTTTCTTTGTAGAAGAGTTTTTAATTATAAATTCAATTTCCTTAGTAGATACAGGATTATTTGCAATTACTGTATCTTCTTGATCAATTTTGGGAAGGTGCGTTTT